>NC_000012.12:22084650-22709650 GCF_000001405.40 Homo sapiens
ATCCCGCCCACCTGCCTCCAGACATACACCTGTTCGTTGGAAGAGACTCTAACTCACTCAAGTCACTGTGGGGAGCTTCCAGCACATTCAGATGCCTAGAATAACCCAGACCAATCAAACCAGTGTCTTTTGGTATGAGGCCCAGATAATTGCTATTAAAAATATTTTTCCCCTGTGATTCTCATGTGGAGCCGGAGTTGACTACTACTGTTCTTGAGCAACAATTCCCAAATGGAATTTTAAACAATTACTTCAGAGGTAATTAGCATGCTGATATTTTGCAAAATGTGCTTTGAGAAATGGTCTAAAAGATATGAATGTACAACTGGGAAAAGAATGCCAATGAAGTTAAAAAAGTTGGACTATGACCCCTCTAGGCAACATTAAACTAAGGCTGGTTTTGTGGCTCTGGAGACTGGGCAGCTTTGGACCATAAAGAGGGTGAGGGATCTGTCAAGGAGCCGTCAAGTTCAGCCATAGTCTCTCTGCTCATGCCTGATCCACCTGGCCAGAGGGCCATATTTTGCAAAAGATGAGACCCAGCTGGCTATGTGGGCATGCTGGACACATGCCCACCAGAACAATTGTACATTAGGTGTACCTATTGTGTCTGAGGAAACATTGCTTACCTATTGCAGCCTCTGAGGCTTCATTTTGAGCCCCATTCCTGGGTCCCCCAACACACAGATTCATATCTGCAGACCTCTATCGTCACACTTTTCTTATTTAATTGTCACCCTTCACTTCTGTATGGAGGCTCAGAAGAGATGACCCCATGTGGCTTAATCATCAGTATTTTCAGAGTTTGGTACAGCTCCTGGAGTCCCTTCTAAAGGACTTCCTATCCTTCCTTCATCACTGTAAAAAATAGTGGGATAATTCTTCAAAATGAAACCCCTTTGTGCCTGCTTAGCAGAAAACCTGAAGTACCTATGAGAGCCAGAGTAGATGACTGTGGCTGGGGAGTGACCTCACATCTCTTTATCCTGTTCCATACACTTGCACTGCATTCCTTATTCTCTGTGTTTCCAAGGGGTGGTGTCCCTGAGGGAGGCATTTCAGGGCGTGGAAATGGTACTGACCTGGATGGGCCCTCAAGGGGTCTTTCTGTACTACTTCCTCATTTTATGGAAATAAATATATTACTTCTTAAGTTTACTTCAAGTTTCATGTCTTGTATTTTATAGCAGAAACCCAGGCCTAGAAAAGCCTTTGTAGAGCCAACACTTATGAATGAGGCCAAGAGTTCATATGAGCCTACAGATTACCCTTCGTATATCAAATGAGGCCCGACTAGCCCACTGACTAGGTGTCCTTCCTGCCATACTTGTCCCTTTGCTGATTGGCATCCTAGAAGGAGTACTGTGGCAAGGGCTGTCACTACAGCCTCATTACTCTTTGGGCCTCAGCTTTATTTACATTTTGTAGAGGACTCAAGGAATTCCTATTTAGGTTTTATGAATCTCAGGGAGGATACTACTCCATTAGGTACAGAAGCATTATAACCTCAGTTGAAATTAGAAGCTGGACTCTCATAAGATGGGATAGTTGGCCTTTATTGTATCAGCAAAAGAATGAAATATTTATTGAATTGTCTAGAACTGCTTTTTGAAGCAAAATTAACATTATTAGTTTATATATTTACCCGATGCCTTTAAAATATTTCTGTCTGGAGCAAATAAACTTCTCTATATCATTTTCCAGCTCAGCTGTGTACTACCTAGCAAGATTTAGCTGGTCACACTAATTTACTTTAATTAAAATTCCCTTGGAACAATTACTCAGAAGTATGCTCTCTTTCTAAAACCCAGTTAGTCATCACTAGGATGTTCTCTCCCTACCTGCCTGAATCTCCCTTCGGCTGTCATTTATACAGACCCGGTAGACTGTGAAACTTTCACAAAATGAAGGAGCAATCTAACTAATGGAGAACATCTAAAGACCTATGTCTTCTCATCTCTATTAAGTCAAATTGATACTGTAAACTGATATAATCCATTGAAAGAAATAGCAAATTTGAATTGAGTAAGAGGACATTTTTAGAAATATACATACAAATACGTGTTTATCGTAGATACAAATTGTCTCAGATGTGTACTGCAGTTATTAATTGCAGCTTGAGAATTTCCTTTTCATCCCAGCAATAATATACAGCCAGTCAACAATTAGGGATGAGTAAACTCTCATAGCTACATAGCAAGAGTCATGATTATTTAAAACTACTAATGATTATATTGCAATTGAACCAAAACTGCTCAAATTTATTTACCTAAAAATCTGTTTAGTTATACCTTGTGTTCCTCATACTTTGGAAATGTGGCAATCCACTCTTCTTATCTAAATGGGGCACAGCATTTGCCTGTAATTAGTTTCCTAATTGGTTACTCATGGGGCTAGGTGTGTGGCTGACTCCTTATTCATCAAGTGTCATGTTGCTTTTCATCGAAAGTAGCCACAAGGGCCATTTCCTCTGCTAAATGGAAATTCCACCTAGGCCTGTACCTGTGCATCTAGGAAAAAACCAACAATTCTTTTATTAAACTAAAGTATAAAAATAAATAAAACCAATGTGAACATTGTTTAAATGCTACATTATCCTTCTTTAACACTGATTTCCAACTACACGATATGGTTTGGCTCTGTGTCCCCACCCAAATCTCATGTCAAATTGTAATCCTCATGTGTCAGGGGAGGCATCTGGTGGGAAGTGACTGGATTATGGGGGCGGATTTCCCCCATGCTGTTCTCATGATAGTGAGTGAGTTCTCATGAGATCTGATGGTTTAAAAGTATGGCACTTCCCCCCTCGCTCACTCTGTCAAGCATAAGACGTGCTTGCTTCCCTTTTGCTCTCCGCCATGATTGTAAGTTTCCTGAGGCCCCCCAGTAATGCTTCCTGTTAAACCTGTGGAACTGTGAGTCCATTAAACCTCTTTTCTTTATAAATTACCCAGTCTCAGGTAGTTCTTTATAGCAGCATGAAAACAGACTAATACACCTGACTTTAAATGGTATCTTATAAATCTGTGAATGAGCTGCTTAAAGGCAGAAAGAGATTCTGTTCTATAGTCTTACACTTTACAAGGAGAAATTATCAAAGAGAAAAGGCTAAAATACATTGAATGAAACCCACCAACCTGTCTGCCAGATGTGTTTATCATATAGGTAATAGCTACGGGCTAGTTTTATAATTTATAACTGATTTTTGCTTACCTTTATGTTTGAAGGAGGATGGGTAAAATTTCTTATTACACTCAGAATGGATTAAGAGGCACTGAAAGGCAAGAATCAATAACATATTGTGACTGGTTTGATTTGGAAAGTGGAGGAAAAGCAAAGAATTAGGTGACACTAAGCATTCATGCCTACAGGATCAGGAAGCTGCACAGTAGATAAAAAGACAGGAGTGTGTTTATTCATTCTTCAAATCATGCATTAATTAATTCATTCTTCCATGCAACACGTATTTATTGAACAATTTCTGTGGAAAATACACTGCATCAGTCCCCGAAGAGGCTGGTTATGAGCTCTCTGTATGTTTACAATAAAATGAGGGAAAAAAGGTTTACACAATGTGAAACAGCTAAATGATAATGGAAGAGAACATATGATTAGGTTAAAAACAAAGAATTGACTAATGCAGACATGAAGTACTAGGAGAATACAAAAATAGGATCAATGTGGGTTGCAGTATTGGAACTGAGTTTTTCCAGAAGACATAGAATTTAAGTTGGTCCATGAGCTCATTCACAATGAACATTTGTTAAACATCTATTATGAGTGCTGTGCTTGGCTAGGTGTGCTGAAGGATGCAAAAATGAACAGCATGTGAACTCTAATTGGCAAGAACTTTACAAACTGGAATGGCAGGTGGACATTTACTTAATAACACAAGGCTCAAATGATAAAATATGAAAAGTAAAATATAAGCGAAGAGTCTATGGAGAGTCAATGAGGAAGAAATGAAAAATAACAGGGGCAAGGACTGGGGACTATCAGAGCAGGTTGTCATAGAACTGGTGTTAATCTACTATGGGATGAAATGCCTGTGAGCCACAAACAAATGCTTGGGTGGGAGAAAGTCCTGGTTGATAAAACTTAGAAGAATCATTCACATTTAGCAGTTACTCATTGACAACAAAGGGGCAAGGGTAGAGCAGAGAAAGGAAGAGAAGAGTGAAAAATATAAATGACAGAGAGAATCAGTAGGGGAATAGTGGAAGGTAGCTTGGATGGGGAAATGCATATTGAGTTGCTCTTAGGAAATGAAAAAGCAAAGCCAGAGTTTGTGGGGAGAGATCAGGGAGAAATCCTTTCTGAAAAGGGAAAAACCCCAGTGGGCACGGACATCAGGCAGTCAGTCTGCAGCAGTCTCCAGGACTGCCAGGATAGATTTAACCTACCTGGCTGGCTTGACTGGCAATTTCTTTCATTCTCTGGGCAATGATCCAGGAGATGAATGAAGGATGAGTAGTAAGACTTGAAAGAACTTACCCAAGTCTATTTGTACATTCTCGGACCTTGCTCTGCCCTCCAAAAGCAGAGCACCTCCCCTTCCCAATGGGTGTAAATTAAAGTTAGGGAAGATGGCATTCTCACTAGAATCTAGATACCCAGTGACTGGGTACCTTGTACCTGATATCTACAAGTAAAGAAAAAAAATAAGTGACTCCTTAGGATATTTTAGCTTTATTTGGCCTCTTTAATGAAAGAACCAACAATTTACAATTTATATTGTTGTATTCGTGTGCACTAAGACACAACTCCTGGGTGGTGTTTATTATTGAAGTATTGAACTCATGGGTACAGAATAAACTTTGACAAAATAATTCTTCCAAAGTTTCATTTTAGAAAGATTAACCACGAAAATGATTTTAAAACTGGTTATTAAAATTTTTTATGAAAAAGAAAAAGCTAAAGATAAATCTCGACATCATATACAGTTGCATATCATTAAACTGTCTCAGTGGAAGCAAGCCAAGTAAGGACCAGCATCTACATCTATTGTATGCTCTGACTTGCAGGATCAATATGTCTTAATTTATATCCTAAGCTATGTCAGCCACTATCAGAAGTCCAAGATTCCCAGGTCATTCATCATCATACAGATGCTCATTACCATAATGTTCTATAAATCTTCTAATCTGATGCAACTTCCCACTGGAATCCAGCAAAAACTGCAGCAGTCAGAAAGATTCTTATATACAACAAACTATCTGGTGTCTAATAGACACTTCAAAGAGCATGGCCAAAACAGAAGTCTTTAATCACTTGCTTCCTACCCGCCCACTAAAACCATTCTGCTATCAAGCCTTCTGATATGGTCTGGCTCTGTGTCCCCACCCAAATCTCACCTTGAATTGTAATCGCCACATGTCAGAAGGGGGGTCTGGTGAGAGGTGATTGGATCATGGGGATGAATATCTCCCTTGCTGTTCTTGTGATAGTGAGTTCTCATGAGATCTGATGATTTAAAAGTGTGGCACTTCCCTCTTCACTCTCTCTCTCCTGCTCCACCATGGTAAGATGTGCCTTGCTTCCCCTTCCGCCATGATTGCAAGTTTCCTGAGGCTTCCCCAGTCATGTGGAACTGTGAGTCAATTAAACCTCTTTTCTATACAAGCTACCCAGTCTCAGGTAGTTCTTCATAGTAGTGTGAAAATGGACTAATACACCTTCACACCTAAATAAGTGCCATCCTCAGATATTCAGTTGATGAGCCAAAAATCTAGTCTTTATCATCTATTTCTTTCTGTCTCTTATATCTATTATAGGTTCACCGGCTCAATATCCATATTATATCCTGAAAATGTCCATTTCTCACCATCTCCCCTGCTCTAATAGTCCAAGATGCCTCTTCTCTCACCTATACCATTGCAATAGGCTTTTATCCCTGCACCACTGCCCTTGACCCCTTAGGTCCATCTTCCATCTAGCCGTTGATTAATCTTTCAAAAGTGTCTATTAGAATGTCTCACTCCCTTGCGGAAAATCCTCCACCTAGAATAAAATCCAAACTATTTGCCACGCCTCCAAGCTCATCCAGCCCCATTTATCATCCACATTGGATTTCCTAGGTCACCTTAAGGTCTTTGGCCAAACACACCAGCTAAAGCAGTCACTGTCTACTGCATTAACCTTATTTTATCTTCTTTATAGCACATATTGGTACCTAGCATATCTCATATGTTTACTTTTAAAAATTATTTTTATTTTTTGAGACAGAGTCTCACTCTGTCACCCAGGCTGGAGTGCAGTGGCATGATCTCAGCTCACTGAAACCTTTGCTTCCTGGGTTCAAATGAGTCTCATGCCTCAGCCTCCTGAGTAGCTGGGACTATGGGCACATGCCACCACGCCTGACTAATTTTTGTATTTTTAGTAGAGACAAAATTTTGCCATATTGGCCAGGCTGGTCTGGAACTCCTGACCTCAAGTGATCCACCCACCTCAGCCTCCCAAAGTGCTGGGATTACAGGCCTGAGACACCATGTCCAGTCTCATACGTTTACTTTTTAAAAAAACAACTACATATGTACCTCCTCTAGCATGTAAGCATCTTGCCAGCAGAGACTCCAAGTTTTTCATGTGCCCATACAATCTAAAATAGAGCCTGGAACATAAAATGTGCTCAACAATATTTTTGACTCATGGATAATGTACTGGAAATTAAGGTTCTTGGCTACACCTTTATATTTTTTACCTTAAGCAATTTTTTATCAAAATTGGATTACAACATCTCAAAGTTACCTTACAGATCTAAAATACTATAATGTCATCAAATATAGTCCTATTTCAGTTTTTTCAGTTTCAAAATTATTATAATGTTGAGAGAAGATGATATAGACTCATAGGATTTGGTTCCTTTAACACTACTTTCATTTTTTTTACTTGCCAGCCTCATTAGATCTCCTTTGCCTTACTCGGATGGCTTTGGCATTCTCTGAACACCAACGTCAGGTGTGATTTCAGCTCCAACATGAAGACTTCACCAGATCACATTTGATTACCTTTCTCATCTACTAACCTCATTTATTTGGGAAGGGAGATGTCTAAGTAAATCTCTACGAATGTTAATTTTGAAGGAAAAAAACTGAATTGCATGAAGTCAATAGGAGAACACTTTATTTATAACAAAATATACATATAAGATTTACAAGGATCTAATTGCTTACTGAACTGTGAGCTCGATACAAAAGACTCCAATAGATTTGTTACTAAACATAAATTTCACCATGCATTAAGATACAAAACCAAAGTGTTTGACTGAATTAACTAATTTAGCCCATTGCTTTGAGTTCAGAGCTCAGTGTTATATACAAAACACAATTTTGATTTCCCATTAAGCCTTGCGTTAGCTATGACATATGGAAACAATCTGACATAATTTTTATATTGTCATCTAGGTAATAAATAACCCTAAAATAAGTGTTTTCATTACAAGGTCCTCTAGGCTAACACTAATGCAATAGAAAAGTATTGATTACAGGAGAGAGAGAATTCTAGAAATTAGATTAATGTCGGGAATTGTTTTGGAGAAAAGCACACATATTCAAAATACTGTAAAGAATCATAAACATCTCAAGAAAAATTGTGCTTTTCAAAACTGGAAAATAGGAAATTTTGTGATTTAACTAATGTCATTAAAAATAAAGAAAATACTGCTGGAATGCCAAGCCGAGACTTTTTTTTTTTTTAAGACTGAGTCTTGCTCTGTCACCAGGTGGGAGTGCAGTAACGTGATCTTGGCTCACTGCAACCTCTGCCTCCTAGGTTCAAGTGATTCTCCTGCCTCAGCCTCCCGAATAGCTGGGACTACAGGCATGTGCCACCACGCCCAGCTAATTTTTGTATTTTTAGTAGAGACAGGGTTTAACCATTTTGGCCAGGATGGTCTTGATCTCCTGACCTCGTGATTCACCCGCCTCGGCCTCCCAAAGTTCTGGGATTACAGGCGTGAGCCACCGTGCCTGGCCTCTTTTTTTTTTGTTATTATAGGGTCAAGCTCTGTTGCCCAGGCTGGAGTGCAGTGGCACGATCATGGCTCACTGCAGCATTGACCTCCTGGGCACAAGTGATCTTCCCACCTCAGCCTCCTGAGTAGTTGGGACCACAGGCGCATGCCACCATGCCCAGTTAATTTTTGTAGAGATGGGGTTTCGCCATGTTGCCAACTGGTCTCAAACTGCTGGGCTCAAGCAAACCAACTGCCTCAGCCTCCCAAAGTGTTGGGACTACAGGCGTGAGCCACTTTGCCTGGCGTAGACTATTTTTTCATATTTTATTCTCACCACTATACTGGAATATGGTTATTTGATATAATCTATCTATTAAGTGTTTCCACGTTAGTAAGATTACGTTTGTCACTGTTATGACACTGGAGGCTATTTCTACACAAACATCAGGGAATGTTGAAGTAAAAATATTTGTCTAGAGGTCATAATCATCCAAATAGGCAGAAAATAAATTGTCAGACATTTGTTATTTTAGAAAATCCTTCACGTTTTTTGTTGGACATTAATGCAGCTTGAACACCCACAGTGATATGCTCTTTCTGAATAGAAGTATTCTTGCCTTATTGAATATCCTGAACAATTTGGCCATTCAAAAAATTTATGTTCTTTTTTTTAATTTAAAAGATGTATTCATTTTTTATTAAAAGAATTCATTCATTAAAATCATTAGTGATATTTCTCAGCATGACTGCCATGAATACGAGCAAAAGATGGAAATTTAATTTCAAATTGTATAAGATTTGCTGAAATTACTCATATTTGCATATTACATTTCTTTGTATGGTCTTTTTGCAAACCTAAAATAAGTTTAGAAGATCTAAAGACAAATCTCAAAAATATGTATAATTAGATTAGCTCATGCGTCTGGTTTAACACAGTATACTGTTTTCAAACTCAGAATGTAAGGAGAAATCTCACATGGACAGGTAGACATCTTTCTAAACTCTTTGGACTGCCAACATTTAAGGCATTCAATAATCTGGCCTTATGCTTAGGCCTAAGCCTACATTGTTCTACGTGCACTCAAAATTTCAGTCAGACTAGACCTCCTGATTAGCGTGAGGAAGAGAGAGAAAGATTTTCAACCTGCTGCTTTACAACCGAAACATTGCAGCAAGGGCTGCAAGCCAAGCTCACTGCTTTCCAGCACTGATGCATTTGTCTATGCTCTTCCTCCGTCCTAGAAAGGCCTCCCCATGGGCACACTGCACTTGTTAAAAATCTTACCCACCTTATTCTAAGGCACAGCTCAAATGCCTTTTACTCTGTAAAGTATTCCTTGACTTTGAGGCTTACCCAGTAAAGTATGATCTCTTATTTTTCTGGACACATAGCATTTTGGCCTTTTTCATCGTGATAAGACTCATAGTACCTGGCATCATGTCTTGTCTATGGTAGGCATACTAATATCTGCTGAATGAATAAATGAATAATTCTGGTGATTCAAACAGAAAATCTCTCAACTAATACGTCTTGTTCATAGCGCTTCACCCATATGTAGTAGTGTGCCTTTGATTTGTTAGGAGAAGGAGAGAAACAACAGAAAAAAAAATTCGACTAATATATATATATATATATATATATATTTTTTTTTTTTTTTTGAGATGGAGTCTCGCTCTGTTGCCCAGGCTGGAGTGCAGTGGGGCGATCTCGGCTCACTGAAAGCTCCGTCTCCCGGGTTCACGCCATTCTCCTGCCTCAGCCTCCCGAGTAGCTGGGACTACAGGGACCCGCCACCACGCCCAGCTAATTTTTTGTATTTTTAGTAGAGACGGGGTTTCACCTTGTTAGCCAGGATGGTCTCGATCTCCTGACCTAGTGATCTGCCCTCCTTGGCCTCCCAAAATGCTGGGATCACAGGCGTGAGCCACCGCGCCCGGCCAACTAATATATCTTTTAACCGCAGAATGGAAACGCATTCAAATAGAAGTGTCAACAGTTAATTACAAGAGAAAAATAATTTTCAGTGAAGTGGTTTTATCAATTGATCAATGGTACCCTGGCTATTACCTTCTTTTGCTCAAAATAAAGGCAATTTTAATTGATTTAAAAATATAGAAACTGAGGCCCAGAGAAAAGAAGAAAAGCAGGGAAAGACCACAGGTCTCATTCAAAATGTATTATTCCGCTAGACCGTATCACTTCTTGCCCATTAATAGTGGGTTTCTTTGTCAACCTAGACACAGCACAAATGTGAATCATCTGCCAAAAACTATAAAAAAACTACCCACATTACTTCACTATTGATAAATAATACATTTTAACAATTATAAAAGATTTTCTTTACATGACTAGGTTTTTTCCCCACCGCTTAAAAACAAAAGGAGTGTGAGGGTGGAGATAAACTGGCTACACAAATGCATGGGGATTAATTTATCAGAATCATAAACCAGTCTATTAGTGACTCATTATCAGTAAGAGGCATGCAAGTATAAACAAAATTAGTTACATAAAAAGAAGTAAATTGGACATTTATGGGGAAACTCATTTGGCCATATTCATCTTCTCATGTAAAAATAGCTTCGCAATAATAACCAAAATTATCTACTAGTCTATTGCCATATGTGGCTTCTTCATTGATGACACTCAATGCTTCTTGAATTTTTTTTCTGATCCTAATAAGATCATCTTTTTCATTAAAGCAAGCACAAACAATTCACTCATTTACTCTCCAAAAAAGTGAGTTACATTTGGTTTCTTTCTTCAGAGATAAGAAGTTGATGTAACCTATTTCTATATAAATCATTGAAGATACTTATTCTTCTAGGATTGCTTGCATTCACAATTAAAACGAGAGAAAAGTGACACCTAACATTTATAGAGCTTTGAATAGAAGGGCCAAGAGTCACAGTTTGCATTTTGGTGTAGTGTTGCCATCTTTATAAGTTTCTATTTTTTTTTTAACTTTTATTTTATTTTAGGTTCAGGGTTTAGGGGTATGTGTGCAGGTTTCTTATATAGGTAAACTCATGTCATAAGGGTTTGTTGTACAGATTATTTTGACATCCAGGTATAAAACCTAGTACTCAATAATTATTTTTTCTGATCTTCTCTTTTCTCCTGCTCTTCACTTTCAACTAGGCACTAGTGTCTGTTGTTTCCTTCTTTGTGTCCATGTGTTCTCATCATTTAGCTCCCACTTATAAGTGAGAATGTGGCATTTGGTTTTCTGTTCCTGCATTAGTTTGCTAAGGAAAATGGTCTCCGGCTTCATCCATGTTTCTTCAAAGGACATGATCTTATTCTTTTATATGATTGCATGGTATTCCATGGTGTATATGTATCACATTTCCTTTATCCAGTCTGTCATCGATGGTCATTTAGGTTGACTCTATGTCTTCACTATTGTGAACAGTGCTGCAATGAACATATGCATGCATGTATCTCCATGATAGAATGATTTTTATTTCTTTGGGTATATACTCAGTAATGAGATTGCTGGGTCAAATAGTAGTTCTGTTTTTAGCTCTTTGAGGAATTGCCACACTGCTTTCCACAATGGTTGAAATAACTTACACCTCCACTAACAGTGTATATGTGTTTTTTTCTTCTCTGCAACCTCACCAGCATCTGTTATTTCTTGACTTTTTAATAATAGCTATCCTGACTGGTGTGAGACAGTATCTTGTTGTGGTTTTGATTTGCATTTTTCTAATGATCAGTAATGTTGAACTTTTTTTCATATGCTTGTTGGTCACATGTACATCTTATTCTGAAAAGTGACTGTTCATGTCCTTGGCCCACTTTTTAATGGGGTTGTTTTTTTCTTTTAAATTTAAGTTCCTTATTGATGCTGAATGTTAGAACTTTGTCAGATGCACAGTTTGCAAATGTTTTCTCCCCTTCTGTAGGCTGGCTGTTTACTCTGTTGATAATTTCTTTGCAAATGCTCTTAAGTTTAATTAGATTCCATTTTTCAATTTTTGCTTTTGTTGCAATTAATTCTGGTGCCTTCATGAAATCTTTGCCAGTTCCTATGCCCTGAATGGTATTGCCTATTCCATTGTCTTCCAGGGGTTTTATAATTTTGGGTTTAACATTTAAGTCTTCAATTCATCTTGAATTGATTTTTTTGTATATGGTATAAAGAAGGGGTCCCATTTCAGTATTCTTTATATGATTACCCTGTTATCCAGGCACCATTTATTGAATAGGGAGTCTTTCCCCATTGCTTTTTCTTGTCAGCTTTGTCAAAGATCAGATGGTCATAGGTGTGTGTTCTTATATCTGGGCTCACTATTCTGTTCCATTTATCTACATTTCTGTTTTTGTAACAGTACCATGCTGTTTTAGTTACTGTAGCCCTGTAGTATAGCTTGAAGTTGGGTAACAAGATACTATCAGCTTTGTTCTTTTTGCTTAGGATTGCCTTGGCTATTCAGGCTTATTTTGGTTCCATATGAATTTTAAAATAGTTTTTTCTAGTTCTGTGAAGAATGTTATTGAATTTGTAAATTGCTTTGGGCAGTATGACTATTTTATTTATTATTCTTATCCATGAGCATGAGATGTTTTTCCATTTGTTTGTGTCATCTCTGATTTCTTTGAGCAGTGTTTTGTCATTCTCATTGCAGAGACCTTTCACCTCCCTGGTTAGCCGTATTCCTCAGTATTTTATTCCTTTTGTGGCAATTGCGAATGGGATTGCCTTTCTGATTTGGCTCTGAGTTAGGTTGTTGTCGGTGTATAGAAATGTTAGTGATTTTTGTGCATTAATTTTGTATCCTGAGACTTTGCTGAAGTTATCAGCTGAAGGAGCATTCAGACTGAGACTATGGGGTTTTCTAGACATAGAATCATGTAGTCTGCAAAAAGGAATAGTTTGACTTTCCCTCTTTCTATTTGGATGTGCTTTATTTCTTTCTCTTGCCTAATTGTTCTGGCCAGGACTTACAATGCTATGTTTAATAACAGTAGTGAGAGAGGGCATCTTGTCTTGTGCCGATTTTCAATGGGAATACTTCCAGCTTTTGCTAACTCAGTATGATGTTGGCTGTAGGTTTGTCATAGATGGCTCTTATTATATTGAGGTATGTTCTTACAATATTTAATTCATTGAGAGGTTTTAAGGGATGTTGAATTTTATCAAAACCCTTTTCTGTATCGAGATAATCATGTGGATTTTGTCTTTAGCTCTGTTTATGTGATGAATCACATTAATTTGCATAGGTTAAACCAACCTTGCATCCCTAGGATAAAGCCTACTTGATCATGGTGGTTTAGGTTTTTGGTGTGCTGCTAGAATCGGTTTGCAAGTATTTTGTTGAGGATTTTTACATCCGTGTTCATTAGGCATATTGGCCTGAAATTTCCTTTTTTTTGTTGGATCTCTGGTAAGTTTTGGTATCAGGGTGATACTGGCCTCACAGAATGAGTTAGGGAGGAATTCTTCCTCCTCAATATTTTGGAATAGTTTTAGTAGGAACAGTACCAGACTTCTTTCTACATCTGGTAGAATTTGGCTGTGGATCTGTCTGGTCCTGGGCTTTTTTGGTTAGTAGGCTGTTTATTACAGATTCAATTTTGGGACTTGTTATTGGTCTGCTCAGGGAATCAACTTCTTCCTGGTTCAGTTTTAGGAGGGTGTATGTGTCCAGGAATTTATAAATCTCTTCTAGGCTTTCTAGTTGGTGTGCATGGAGGTGTTTGTAGCAGTCTCTGATGGTTATTTGTATTTTTGTGGGGTCGTGGTAATATCCCCTTTGTCATTTCTAATTATGTTTATTTGGACCTCCTCTCTTTTCTTCTTTATTAATCTAGCTAGTGGCCAATCTTATTAAATTTTTTCAAAAAGCCTACTCTTGGATTTGATGATCCTTTGAATGTTTTTTTGTGTCTCAATCTCCTTCAGTTCAGCTCCGATTTTCATTATTTCTTCTCTTCTGCTAGTTTTGGGATTGGTTTGTTCTTGCTTCTCTAGTTATTTAGTTGTAATGGTAGGTTGTTAATTTGAGATCTTTCTAACTTTTTGATATGGGCATTCAGTGATATAAATTTCCCTCTTAACGCTGCTTTAGCTGTGTCCCAGAGATTCTGGTATCTTTGTTCTCATTAGTTTCAAAGAATTTCTTGATTTCTCACTTAATTTCATTATTTACCCAAAACTTGTTTAGGAGAAGGTTAATTTCCATGTAATTGCATGGTTTTGAGTGATTTATTTTTAAGTCTTTACTTCTATTTTGTACTGTGGTCTGAGAGTGTGTTTGGTATTATTTCAGTTTCTTTGCATTTGCTGAGGATTGTTTTATGTCCAACTGTGTGGCCAGTTTTAGAATATGTGCCATGTGGTGATGAGAAAAGTGTATATTTTGTTTTTGGGTACAGAGTTCTGTAAAGGTCTATCAGATCCATTGGTCCAATATTGAGTCCAGGTCCTGAAATGTTGTTGTTAATTTTCTGCCTCAATGATCTATCTGATACTGTCAGTGGAGTAAGGAAGTTTTCCACTATTATTGTGTGGAAGTCTAAGTCTCTTTGTAGGCCTCTAAGAACTTGCTTTTTGAATCTGAGTGCTCCTGTATTGGGTGCATATATATTTAGGATAGTTAAGTCTTCTTGTTGAATTGAACCCTTTATGATTACGTAATGCCCTTCTTTGTCTGTTTTGATTTTTGTTGGTTTAAAGTCTGTTTTGCCTGAAATTAAGATTACAACTCATGCTTTTTGCTGGTTTCCATTTGCTTGGTATATTTTCCTCTATCCCTTTATTTTGAGCCTATGGGTGTCATCGTGTATGAGATGGGTCTCTTGAAGACAGCATATCTGGGTTTTGCTTTATTATCCAGCTGACCATTCTGAGCCTTTTAAATGGGGCATTTAGCCTGTTTACCTTCAAGGTTAGTACTGATATGTGTGAATTTGATCTTGTCATTGTGTTGTTATCTGGTTATTGTGCCAGCTTGTTTGTGTGGTTGCTGTATAGTGTCATTGGTCTGTGTCCTTAAGTGTGTTTTTCTATTGGCTGGTAATGGTCTTTCTTTTCCATATTTAGTGCTCCTTTCAAGATCTCTTCTTAGACACATCTGGTGGCAATGAACTCCCTCAGCATTTGCTTATCTGAAAAGGTTCTTCTTTCTTTTTTACTTAGAAGAAGCTTAGTTTGGCTGGATATAATATGCTTGGTTGAAGATTATTTTTTCCTTAAGAATGTTGAATATAGGCCCCCAATCTCTACTGGCTTGTAGTGTTTCTGCTGAGAGGTCTGCTGTTAGCCTGATGGGGTTCCCTTTGTAGGTGACATGCTCTTTCTCTCTAGCTGCCTTTAACATTTTTTCATTTCAACCTTGGAAAATCTGACTGTGTTTTTTGGGGATGATCTTCTTGTATAGAATCTTGCAAGGCTCTCTGTATTTCCAGAATTTGACTCTCAGCCTCTATAGTGAGGTTGGGGACATTTTCATGGATGATATCCTGAAATATGTTTTCCATGTTGTCTGCTTCCTCCCCATCCCTTTTCAGGATGCCAATCATTTTTATATTTGGCATGTTTACATAATCCCACATTTCTTGGAGGTTTATTAATTCCTTTTTATTTTCTTTTAATTTTTGCCTGACTGTCCTATTTCAGAGAACCAGTCTTCAAGTTCTGAGATTCTGGCCGGGCGCGGTGGCTCACGCCTGTAATCCCAGCACTTTGGGAGGCCGAGGCGGGTGGATCATGAGGTCAGGAGATCGAGACCATCCTGGCTAACAAGGTGAAACCCCGTCTCTACTAAAAATACAAAAAATTAGCCGGGCGCGGTGGCGGGTGCCTGTAGTCCCAGCTACTCGGGAGGCTGAGGCAGGAGAATGGCGTGAACCCGGGAAGTGGAGCTTGCAGTGAGCCGAGATTGCGCCACTGCAGTCCGCAGTCCGGCCTGGGCGACAGAGCGAGACTCCGTCTCAAAAAAAAAAAAAAAAAAAAAAAAGTTCTGAGATTCTTTCCTCAGCTTGGTGTATTCTGCTGTTAACACTTGCAACTGCATTGTGAAATTCTTGTAGTGTGTTTTTCAGCTCTGTCAGATCAGTTAGGTTCTTTTTTATGCTGGCTATTTTGTCTGTCAGCTCCTGTATAGTTTTATTGTGGTTCTTATTTTCCTTGGATTGGGGTTTGCCATCCTCCTGAATTTTAATTTTAATTATCTTTGTTTTTCCTATATTCTGAATTCTATTTTTGTCATTTCAGCCAGATCAGTCTGGTTAAGAATCCTTGTTGGAAAATTAGTGTGGTCATTTGGAGGACATATGGCACTCTGGCCATTGAGTTACTGGAGTTCTTGTATTGCCTTCTTTCTCATCTCTGCATGTGGGTGTTCCTTTAACTGCAGCGTAGATTGAGTATAGTCAATAGACTTCTTTTCTGGATGTTTTCACAGGGCTGAAGCTTTGTGCAGGGTTTTTATTTGTGGCTAACTTCTTGTCTTTGGTTTTACAGGGGAGTATGTTACCTAGACATTTTTGGTGTTGAAGCTTTGGGGTATGATCCAGTAGGTGGCGCTTAGGCATAGTGGTCAGTTGGTAGGCTCTTGCTCAGTTGTGTGGTTCCCCTGTATTTCCTCACAGTTGCAGCCATGTTCCCTCTCAATGCTCTGAAATCAAGGGCCCCTCTTCCACTTGAGCGCTGGCTGTAAATTGCGGCTTGGCACTCCCAGGCTGTCCACCAGAGCTCTGGGGTGAACTCAAGGTTTATGTTTCCTCCCCAACTTAGAGGCAGCAGAGGAAGGAACCTTAGCAGTGGTTGTAGCCGATGGTCTTTTATTTGTATCCTAGGGGCTCCACCCCAGAGAAATGCAGGTCAGCAATCGCTCAGTGCAATCAGCCTAGGATGGGTCTGTGCTGTGGGCCCAAGCCTGGAGTTCCCTTTCCTGCACTCCATCTTTCTTGTAGGTGGAACCCCCAGGGGCAACCAAAGCCTCTCTGCCACTGCTTCTGCCTTTGTTACTCTGAGAGTGGCAGGGGTAATACCACTGCAGAGGCAGTGGCAGAGAGGCTTTTGGTTGCCCCTGGGGGTTCCACCTCTGTGAAGCAGAGCTGCTCTTATTGGGAGTGTTCAGCCAGTGGGGAGGGGCAGGTGCAGTGCTGGCACATGAGCTTGGGGCTCTGCTTGTTTGGCAGCAGGGGGTCAATGGTTCACTGGGAGGAGAGACTGGTTTCCTCTCCATATGACTGTGGCATGCTGTAAGCTCAGATGTAGCCCTCAGGTTCTTTGTTTCTTCTTCAGACTGAGGGCAGCAGGGATAGAACCAGTGACGAAGGGGCTGTAACATGTCTCTACAAGCCTCTCCTCAGGCCACTACCAGTGGATATGTTCAGCCATGGGTGGAGTGGCTGTTCTGCAGTCATGAGCCAGGGGCCCTGCCTGGTGAAGAGTGTGGGGTGGGGATTCCCCTGGAAGAGGGGCTGGGCTCCTCTCTATAGCGTGGCTGTGGTGTGCTGGAAGTGCCAGCATAATGACTAAGCCCCTTGTTCCTTCCCAAGCACGAGGGCTGTTGGAACTGTACCACTGCAGCTGCAGCGAAGGAGGGTTTGTGGGTTGGCTCTGCGATTTCCTCCTGGGAGAAGTGCTGAGCTGGCTCTGATTGAAGTGATCAGGCAGGGTCAGGGTGGTTGTGTTGGGGGTTGGATAGCCCTGCCCAGTGAGAAGTGAGGACTGGGACCTGTATGGGGAACAATCTGACCATTTTTCCATGGGGTTGTTGCTCTGTGCTGGGGATCTGGACCAGTCCCTGATCCTCACAGACTCTCCAGAGCCTGGAGACACCAAGGGCAAGGGCTGCAAGACAGCCACCATGGCAACCTGCCCCTACCATGGGGAGCTCTGCCCAGGGAGTTACAGAGCTGCTATTGGCTCTATAGCCTCAGCAGAGGGTAGTTGGAGACCCAAGCCAAGAGGACCTGCCCAGTGAGGAGCTACACGATTGGGGACCACATAACAGTCTGGCCACTTTTCCACAGGGCTGCTGCAGTATGCTGGGGGTCCACTCCAGTCCCCAGTGGCTTTGAATTTTCCAGTATCTAAAGATATCAACAGTGAAGGCTGCAAAACAGCAAAAAGGTGGCCTGCCCCTCCCTCTGGGAGCTCCATCCCAGGGAGGTCGGACCTGTTACCAACCTGAACACACCTGCAAGAAGTGGTTGGAGACCCCAATCAGGAGATCCCACCCAGTAAGGAGGTATAGGATCAGGGACCCATGTAAAAAAGCAGCCTGGCTGCTTTTCCTCAAGATAGTTGTGCTTTTCTGGGGATCCACTACAGCCCCTGGTCACCATGGACTCTAATGCCTGAAGGCAGCTAAGGCTGCTAAAGAGCAAAGATGGTGGCCTGCCCCTCCCTCTGGGAGCTACATCTCAGGGAGGGGTTGGAACTGCTGTCAGCCAGAAAACACCAGTGGGGGTGACAGGAGGTCCTGGTCAGGAGATTCTACCCAGTGAAGAGAAATGGGATTTGGGATCCACATGAAAAGCAGTCGGCTGCTGCTTTGCAGAGCTGCTATGCTGGACTGGGGGTCCGCTCCAGCCTCCAGTCACTTCAGACTCCTAGAGTCCAAAGGCAACAATTGCTAAGGCTGTAAAACAACAAAGATGTGGCCCACCCCGCCCTCTGGGAGCTTCATCTCAGGGAGGTGTAACGGTTATTATTGGTGACTGGCTGGGTTCCCAAGCCGGTGGGTCTTATCCAGTGAGGTGCCTGTAGTCCATCGCTGCTCACTCCCCTGGATTCAGCCCCTTTCCTACGGGTAGGTACGAGGATCTAACCTCTCACTTTGAAAGAGCTGCAGCTACTTTTTGACAGGAAGCTGGATATCTAAGGCTCCCAGGGCTCCACATGTGCCTGAGTGGCTACTCTGCAGAGACATTATGTAGCTCTGCATGTCAAACTGAAGGTTTGGGTAGAGTGGGTCCATGAAGGGATCTCCTGACCTGAGGGTTGCAAAGATCTGTGGTAGAACAGTGGGTCTCTGCAGTCACTTCCTCATTCAGTCAACACTTCTCTAGGCAAGGGAGGCTCCCCTGGTTCCATGGCACTCCTAGGTGGGCAGTTACCCTGCCTTGCTTTTCTCCATTCTTCATGAGTCAAATTGTTTCCTTGATGAATCCCAATGTGTGTACCTGGATGCTTCCGGTGTACACATTGTACCGGAAGTACAATGTGCTGTATTTACTCACCCCTTCTATTTCTCTTAGATTGGCACAACGTAGCTGCTACTAGTCAGCCATCTTGGCTAACCCCCTCACCACCACTTTTTTTCTTACTAATAATTCTCTGCTATCACAAAATATGAAATAGTATATCACACATGACACTTTTGACACATTTATAAAGTGTCTGTTTTGCACTGAAAAAAAATCTGCTTTCTATAATGGTGAAAAATATTTATGTTTTCCCAAAGCACTGCATTGCATAAAATAAAAATTGGTTTCATTTCCCATTTGTACTGAGTGATCTTCAAAGTGTCTTACCAGTTCACTGTGTTTCATCTTCTCTGTGAATAGTTCATTAAATACTCTTCTGCTCTGAAGTAGTTTATCCAATCATCCACCGCTCCTGGATAGATTGGAAATGTATTAGACAAGAACCAATTTAAATGTATTGTATTCACAAAAGAAATCTGCCAGTTTTAAAATAAAATGTGAACATCTTGTATCTCTTGGTGCCAAGATGATAGGGGATTATTCTTTATTTACTTATCTGTTGTTTCTAATTTCTTCTGTAATGGTTGTATATTATGCAGTTTAAAAAGTTATTTCTGGAAAAAAAGGCAGATTAAAAATACATGAATGTCATAGGTTTTACTCTAACAGGCAAAGTTTCTCACCTAAACTTAATAAAATCATAAAGCGGGCAATATGGACATAATGATGTTTCGTTTATTTCCCAACTTGCACATCTCCACAGCAGAAGCTGTGCTGATGACTGGAGGGTGGCGGTAATTAGTCTAATTTTAAAGACATTTATTTTACAACATGATATTGAAAACATAAGTGCCAAGTTATATAAACACAAACAAAATTTACTTGTGTGATATCCTCACTTTCAATATAAAGTGTTGGGTGATTGAGATAAGATATACACTTCACATAGTCCATCAGCCTCTCTTGATCATACAAATCATCTCTCTCAGCCTTGGCCACAGGGTCAACCACACAGGACTGCCTTTTTTGCCCCCACTATGCACACAATGCCAAACCCCAACCCTGGATCTTGCCTACAATGGTCTTTTGCCACTTCTAGCCTCAAACTTCATCTCTGGGGTCTACCTGTACTGGAGCCAGTGATACGTTTTATCCATCCATTACAGAACATCTTCTGTTGTTCTCTATCATCTTTTCTTTCCAAATAGCTTATATGTTCATTCATGTTAGGAACTGTGATGTGCTGTTCATGTGTAATCCTGCAGAACCTCTCATCCAGTGCTGACCAGCAGCCAGCAGGTCCTGAGTAAATACCTGTGTTTTGACTGAGTGTCAGACAATTTCCCACAGCAAAAAAATACAGTAAAATCTAGGAATTTTTGATGTTGTTGATTCCGGGTTCAAAAAACTGAGTTTAAGAAGAAGCAGAGAGAAATGACAAAAAGTAGTACCAGAGAGATCTCAGAGTAAGGAAGTGACATTGCTCCGAAAATGCACGAATTGGGAGACAAGGCCAACTTCATGAGGTCAAAGTGCCTGGCCCATAGAAGATTAATATTAATGTCAAAGGCATACTTCAGAGATATTGCAGGTTCAGTCCCAGACCACCCCAATAAAGTGAATATTACAATAGAGTGAGTCACTTGAATTGTTTTGTTTCCCAGTGTATAAAAAGTTATATTTACACTATACTATAGTCTATTAAGTGTGCAATAGCATTTTGTCTAATAATAAACCATGAACATACCTTAATTAAAAATACTTTATTGCTAAAAATTACTAACAAACACCTGGGCCTTCAGCAAGTTGTAATCTTTTTGCTGATAGAGGGTTTTGACTCCATGTTGATGGCTGTTAACTGAACAGAGTGGTAACTGCTGAAGTTGAAATAGCAGTGGCATTTTCTTAAAATAAAACACTGAGTTTACACATCAATTGACTCATCCTTTCAGTAAAGATTTCTCTGAGGCATGCAATGCTATCCAATAGCATTTTATCCACAGTAGAACTTTCAAAACTGGAGTCAATTCTCTTAAGCCCTGCTAGTGATTTGTCAGCTAAGTATATGTAATATTCTAAATTCTTGGTTGTCATTTAAACAATGTTCACAACATCTTCACCAGGAAAAACCTCTTTTTTTCTCATCCATAAGAAGCAACTCTTCATCTGTATTAGTCCATTTTTCATACTGCTATAAAGAACCTCCCAAGACTGGGTAATTTATAAGGGAAAGAGGTTTAGTTGACTTACGGTTCAGCATGACTGGAGAGGCCTTGGGAAACCCACAACCAGGACAGAAGGTGAAGGGGAAGCAAAGCACCTTCTTCACAAGGCACCAGAAATGAGAAGAGTGGCACAGCGAAAGGAAGAGCCCCTTATAAAACCATCAGATCTCGTGAGAACTCACTCACTATCACAAGAACAGTATGGGGAAAACTACCCCCATGATTCAATTACCCCCACTGGGTCCCTCCCATGACACTGGGGAGTATAACAATTCAAGGTAAGATTTGGGTAGGGACAGAGAGCCAAACCACATCATCATCTATTCAAGTTTGACCATGATATTGCAGCAATTCAGTCACATCTTCAGGGTTCACTTTTATTTCTAGTTCTCCTGCTATTTCCACCACAACTTCAGTTTCTTTCTCCACTGAAAACTTGAACCCATCCATGAGTATTGAAATTGACTTCTTCCAAACTCCTGTTAATGTTGACATTTTGACCTCTTTCCATGAATCCCAAATGTTCTTAATGGCAATAGAATGATGAATCCCTTTCCAGAAGATTTTCAATTTACTTTGCCCAGTTACATTAGAGAAATCACTATCTATGACAGCAGTAGCCTTACGAAATGTATTCCTTAAGTAATAAGACCTTGAAAGTTGAAATTAGTCTTTGATCCATGACTGTGGAATGAATGTTATGTTAGCAGGCATAAACAGGCATGAAAACAGCATTCATCAGCTTTTATATCACCATCAGAGCTCTTGGGTGACCAGATGAATTGTCAACGAGCAGTAACATTTTAAAGGAATCTTTTTTTCTGAGCAGTAGGTCTCAACAGTGGGTTTCAAATATTTAATAAATCGTGCTACAATCAGATGTGCTGTCATCCAGGCTTTGCTGTTCCATTTATAGAGCACAGGCAGAGTCGATTTACCCAAATACTTAAGGGCCCTAGAATTTTCAGAATGGTAAGTGAGCGCTGGCTTCAACATTAAGTCACCAGCAGCATTAACCCCTAACAAGAGAGTCAGCCTTTCCCTTGAAGTTTTGAAACATTGACTTCTCCACTATAGCTATGAAAATCTTAGATGGTATCTTCTTCCAACAGGAGGCTATTTCGTCTACATTGAAAATCTTGTTTAGTGTAGCCACCTTCATCAATGATCTTAATTAAATCTTCTGGATAACCTGCTGCAGCTTCTTCATTAGCACTTGCTGTTTCTCCTTGCATCTTTATGTTATAAAGACATCTTGGCGTGATTGAGTGAAAATGGCAGATAGGAAGCAAGACTAGTTTGTAGCTTCCACTTAGACAGACAGAGCAGCATGTGGAGACTCACATTGTGAACTTTGGCTCCCAGAACTACTGCAGGAACATATCAGGAAAGTCAAGAGAATCCACAGACCCTTTGAAAGAACTAGGTCACTGCTGCAGCATCCCTGAGATGCCAAAAAACTGTGAGTCTGCTTGCCTTCTCAATGGGGAGGCTCGTGGCCTGGGACAAGTTCTCAGTCCTGGTCACCAGCTGCCTGGAAATAGAAATGCAGGGATGGTTTAACATACATAAGTCAATAAATGTGATACATCATATAAACAGAATTAAAAACAAAACTTAGGCCAGGCGTGGTGGCTCATGCCTGTAATCTCAGCACTTTGGGAGGCTGAGGTAGGTGGATTATGAGGTAAAGAGATCGAGACCATCCTGGCCAACATGGTGAAACCCCGTCTCTACTAAAAATACAAAAATTAGCTGGGTGTGGTGGCACGTGCCTGTAGTCTCAGTTACTTGGGAGGCTGAGGCAGAAGAATCACTTGAACCCGGGAGGTGGAGGTTGCAGTGAGCCAAGATCATGCCACTGCACTCCAGCCTGGGGACAGAGTGAGACTCCATCTCAAAAAAAAAAAAAAAATTCTCATGACTATCTGAATAGACACAGAAAAAGCATTTGACAAAATCCAGCATCCCTTTGTGATTAAGACACTCAGCAAAATCGGCATATTACCTTAAGGTAATAAAAGCCATCTATGACAAACCCACAGCCAACATTATATTGAACGGGGAAAAGTTGAAAGCATTCCCTGTGAGAACTGGAACAAGACAAGGATGTCCACTTTCATCACTTCTATTCAACATGGTACTGGAAGTCCTAGCCAGAGCAATCAGACAAGAGAAAGAAATAAAGGGCATCCAAATCAGTAAAGAGAAAGTCAAACTCCTGCTGTTTGCTGATGATACAATCATATGCCTAGAAAACCCTAAAGACTCATCCAAAAAGCTCCTAGAACTGGTAAATGAATTCAGCAAAGTTTCAAGATACAAAATTAATGTATACTAATTAGTAGCTCTGCTATTCACCAACAGTGACTAAGCTGAGAATCAAATCAACAATTCAACCCCTTTCACAATAACTGCAAAAAAAAAAATAAAATTCTTAGGAATGTACTTAACCAAGGATGTAAAAGCCTTTACAAGGAAAACAACAAAACACTGCTGAAAGGAATCATAGATGTCACAAACAAATGGAAACACATCCCATGCTCATAGAAGGGTAGAATCACCATTGTGAAAATGACCATACTGCCAAAAGCAATCTATAAATTCAATACAATTCCCATCAAAATACCACCATCATTCTTCACAGAACTAGAAAAAACAATCCTAAAATTCATATGGAATCAAAAAAGAGCCTACATAGCCAAAACAAGACTAAGCAAAAAGAACAAAGTTGGAGACATCACAATACCTGATTTCAAAGTATACTATAAGGTCACAGTCAACAAAACAACATGGTATTGGTGGCACATAGACCCGTGGAACAGAATAGAGAACCCAGAAATAAAGCCAAATACTTACAACAAACTGATCTTTGACAAGGCAAACAAAAACACAATGTGAGGAAAGGACACTGTATTCAACAAATGGTGCTGGAGTAATTGGCAAACCACATGTAGGAGAATGAAACTGGATCCTCATCTCTCACCTTATACAAAAATCAACTCAAGAAGGATCAAAGACTTAAATATAAGGCCTGAAGCCATAAAAAGTCTAGAAGACAACATTGGAAAAACCCTTCTTGACATTGGCTTAGGCAAAGACTTTATGACCAAAAACCCAACAGCAAATACAACAAAAACAATGATAAATAGGTGGGACTTAATTAAACTAAAAAGTTTCTGCACAGCAAAAGAAACAATAAGCAGAGTAAACAGAAAACCCACAGAGTGGGAGAAAATCTTCACAATTTTTACATCTGACAAAGGACTAATATCCACAATCTAGAAAGAACTCAAACGAATCAGCAAGAAAAAAAATCCCACAAAAAAGTGAGCTAAGGACATGAATAGACAATTCACAAAAGAACATCTATAAATGGCCAACAAGCATATGGAAACATGCTCAACATCACTAATCATCAGGGAAATGCAAATCAAAACCACAATGCAATACCACCTCATTCCTGCAAAAATTGAAAAATAATAGATATTGGCATGAATGTGGTGAAAAGGGAAAACATTTTTACACTGTTCGTGGGAATGTAAACTAGTACAACCGCTATGGAAAACAGTGTGGAGATTCCTTAAAGAAATAGATCTACTGTTTGATCCAGCAATCCCACTACTAGGTATCTACCCAGAGGAAAATAAGTCATTATATAAAAAAGATAATTGCATATGCATCTTTATAGCAGCACAATTTGCAATTGCAAAAATATGAAACCAGCCCAAATGCCCATCAATCGACGAGTGAAGAAAGAAAATATGGTGTGTGTGTGTATACCATGAAATACTACTCGCCATAAAAAGGAATGAAATAATTACATTTGTAGCAATCTGGATAAAATTGGAGACTATTTTTCTAAGTGAGGTAACTCAGGAATAGAAAACCAAACATCACATGTTCTTACTCATGTGGGAGCTAAGCTATGGGGATGCAAAAGTATAGGAGTGATACATTGGACTTTGGGGACTCAGGGGAAAGGGTGGGGAGTGGTGAGGGATAAAAGACTACACATAGGGTACAGTGCGCACTGCTCAGGTGATGAGTGCACCAAAATCTCACAAATCACCACCGTAGAACTTTTTCATGTAACCAAATACCGTAACCTGTTCCCCAAAATCCTATTGAAATAGAGAAATAAAGATATCTTTATGTTATAACATAAAAACAGCTTTATAACATAAAGAAAGCAGCACTTGCTGCTTCTCTGTGTGTCTTTATGTTCTAAAGATGGCTTCTTTTTTTAAACCTCTGCTTGCCTTAAACTAACCTCTGCTTGCGTTAAACTTTTCTTCTATCATTTCCTCACCTCTTTCAGCCTTCACAGAATTGAAGAAAGTTACGGCCTTGTTCTGGATTAGACTTTGACTTAAGGAAATGTGGCTGGTTTGATCTTCTCTCCAGATCAGTCAAACTTTCTACATCTCAGCAAGAAATTTGTTTCACTTTCTTATTATTTGTGTAAATAAATAGTAAAGTAGCACTTTGAGTCGCCTTCAATAACTTTTCCTTTGCATTCACAGCTTGGCCAACCATTTGGTGCAAGGGGCCCAGCTTTCAGCCTGAAGGCTTTCAACATGCCTTCTTCACTAAGTTTAATCGTTTTAACTTTTGATTTAAAGTGAGTGATGTGAGACTCTTCCTTTCACTTGAGCACTTGAAAGTCATTGTAGTTTTATTGATTGTCCTAATTTCAATATTGTTGTGTCTCAGTGAACAGGCAGGCTAGAAGAAAGGGAGACAGATGTGGTGGGAACAGCTGTTTGGTGGAACAGTCCGAACACTTACAACACTTATCAATTAGGTTCACCATCTTACATGGGCACATTTCATGGCACCCATAACAATTACAATAGTAACATCAAAGATCACTGATCACACATCACCCTAACATATATAATAATAAAAGTGTTTGAAACACTGGGAGAATTACCAAAATGTGACACAGAGACACAAAGTGAGTGCATACTGTTGAAAAATGGCATCCATAGACTTGCTTAACACAGGGTTGCCACAAACCTGCAATTTGTAAAAAAATAAAATAAAATAAAAACAAATACCAATATCTGCAAACTGAAATAAAGCAAAGTGCAATTTATGAGGTGTGCCTGTGATTGTCAACATTCTTTGGTCCTTTCTGGTTCTGCCGTCTGGCTTCTATATTATTCACCTGAACTCTTACTTCATTTGACCTGACTCTTTTTCTTTGCCCTGTTTTTAATTTGTTCTTTCGCCTTGCCATTTTTTTTCCTTTTTTTAAAGAAAAACTATTTTAAAAAATAATATCACAATTGTATATGTAGGTTATGGAAAATTATATAAGCAAAAGATGAAATAGAGTAAATACACTCAGCTAACATGGCTTACAGACCTGCTAACATGCATTCTTCCAGATGTTTCTCTTTGCAGACACACACACACATATATAAACTACATTTAAAAATCACACAATTTCAACCTGCTTTTTTTGCTTATTATACTTTGATTATCTTCAATGTTAACATTAATATGTGTATATACACACACACGCAAATATATGGTTCAGTAGAGCAAGATGAGTAACCAGTAGGTCAAAAAAGAAATCAAAAGATTAGAAATGAAAATGAAAACACAACATATCAAAAATTATAAGATGTTGCTGGACGCAGTGACTCATGCCTGTAATCCCAGCACTTTGGGAGGCTGAAGTGGGTGGATCACTTGAGGTTGGGAGTTTGAGACCAGCCTGGGCAACATGGTGAAACCCCATCTCTACTAAAACTACAAAAAATTAGCTGGGCATGGTGGCAGGTGCCTGTAATCCCATCTACTCGAGAGGCTGAGGCCAGTGAATCACTTGAACCCGGGAGGCGGAGGTTGCAGTGAGCCGAGATCGTGGCACTGCACTCCAGTCTGGACAACAGAGCGAGACTCCATCTCAAAAAAAAAAAAAGTTATAGAATGTATTAGGTTGGTGCAAAAGCAGTACAAAGAGGGCAGTTTATAGGGTTAAACACTTATATTTAAAAAGAAGATGATCTCAGAGAAACAACCTACCTTTATACCTCAAGGAACTATAAAAGGAATAAACTAAGCCCAAAGTTAGCTGAAGGAAGAAAATAATAATGCTTAGAGCAGAAATAAATGACATAGAGAATAGAAAAAAATAGGAAAATAGTCAACAAAACCCAGAGTTGTTTTTTGAAAAGTAGACAGCATTGACAAACCTTTGGTTAGACTAAGAGTAAAGAGAAGACGAATAAAACGGTTTGAATTCAAAACTTGACTACCTTCTACTAGCTCTGTGACTTTGGACAAATTATTCAGGTGCCTGACATCTCAGCAAAGTGTGGATAGCATGAATGTCATCCTCAAGCCTGCTGCCATGTTTAAGATAAACCAAGTACTGTGCCTGGCACATAAGAAGCACTCAATAAAAGCTAGTTATACAATTTTCTATATTTTTCATGACTTCATACTGAGTCCCCATATGGTTGCGTCTTAACAGTTTTTGATTAATGGTCATTTAAGGGCATTCTAGGTTTTCATTGTTATAAGCAATATTGCAAGATGCATCCAGTCCTTATGTCCTTCCATCCACCTGTAATTCTTCCCCTGATTTTTAATATGTATGGGACCTGAAACTTGTGACACCTGTGTTCTCACCTCTCACCTTATCTCCATGACGACTATAATCGCTTTCTTTTAAAAAAAAGTGTTTAATTACTTACTTTTTATTTTTGTAGAGATTAGGTCTCACTATGTTGCCCAGGCTGGTCTTGAATTCCTGACCTCAAGCAATCCTTCCATCTCAGCCTCCCAAAGTGCTAGAATTACAGTCGTGAGCCACTGCTCCCAACCGACTTTATTGAATATCAGCTCTATTTCTGACATCAGAGTAAAGAGAACTGCAGGCATGCCTGTAATCCCAGCACTTTGGGAGGCCAAGGCAGGAGGATCACTTGATGCCAGAAGTTCAAGTCCAGCCTGGGCAACATAGTGAGACCCCCATAAAAATAAAAAATAAAAAATAAGAGAACCACAAGCATAAATTCTTCGTAAAGTGT
This sequence comes from Homo sapiens, assembly GCF_000001405.40. Taxonomy (NCBI): domain Eukaryota; kingdom Metazoa; phylum Chordata; class Mammalia; order Primates; family Hominidae; genus Homo; species Homo sapiens. The sequence goes on from NC_000012.12 coordinate 22,113,052, forward strand.
GGAGTATCTCTGTGAGCGAAGGAGTCTGAATCAATGACTTCAGTAATTTATTTGAAATAATTATTCTCACATGATAGGTCCCTAACTCCCACCCCATCCAATCAATCAATGAAAAGAGTGAAGCAAATGGGCTTTATTGGTTCATCCTTGTGTTTAATTCTGCAACAGGTGCTCAGGTGATAACTGTCAGTGAGGGTGTTTCCACTTGTAACCTTCTGTGATTAGATCCAGCACAAGAAAAACACTTATTAGATAGAATTTCAATGCATTAGAACTAAAGTCACCAGCTACAATCATGTCGATATGATTTCACCTGAGGATATTTACCAGGGTTACTAGTGCGGCAGGCCAGAGATTAACTCTCTTCCTATTAGAGTAAAATTACCCAAGTTTGTAGGATACGATGCGTGAATCACAATTATTTTGCTCATCCAAATCTCAAAGAGCAGTGATAACTGGTGTCAACAGTGACACCAAACACCACTGAGCATCAGAACTTCTTCATTTCTCACTGTCCTCTTTACCAGGGTCCCTCCCAATCTCTTTATCTCCCCTTTGCTTATTTTGCCTTCCTTCACGTGTTCTTTTCTAAAGTCTGTCTTCCCTTCATCTTCTCTCCCCAACCACTCCTAATCTTTGCCTTGACCCTGCCTCTCTCTCTCTCTCTCGAGCTCCCACGTCGTCTTGTCCCCATCGTCTACTCTCAAACTTCTTGAAAGAGTGCCATTGCAAAATTATAACTGAGACTGTGAAAGAGATCTGACCTAACCAGCTCCATCTTGCTTCTAACCTCCAAGCTGTCTTTGTTCATTCCTGGGTGTAGGCTGAACAAATTTGGGGAATAACTTAGTTTATGGTTTAAAACAAAGACAGTAACAGCCCTTTCCCAAAACAGACCTCCTTCTTGCTTGGAGACTAGACTGCCTTTGTAGGACTAACAAATTACCTATAAGATTGGAAATTATGTTTTAGGGGTCATGCAGCTGGAGGCTACAATATTCTGACCCTTCCTAAACTGCTCCTAAGGTCAGTACTTGAGATATTATGCAGACGCTGCATTGACGGGTCAGCTGGCACCACCCAGATCGATAACTGGCTCATCTGATCTTGTGCCCCCCACCCAGGAACTGACTCAGTGCAAGAGGACAGATTCAATTCCCTATGATTTCATCTCTGACCCAATTTTCATGACTTCATACTGAGTCCCTATATGGTTGTGTCTTAACAGTTTTTGATTAATGGTCATTTAAGTGCATTCTAGGTTTTCATTGTTAAGAGCAATATTGCAAGATGCATCCATTCAGCACTCTCGACTCACTGGCTTTCCCCCAACCCACCAAATTATCTTTAAAACTTTAATTCCCAAATTTTCAGGGAGACTGATTTGAGTAATAATAAAACTCCACTCTGCCATAAAAACAAATAAAGAAACAACTACTTGGAAGAGCAGTCCTTATTGCTGCTCCCCTCTTCACATCTCATCTCTTCAAACTCCTCAACGTGGCTTCCATCTCTATTGCTGTAGATGCTGTGCTCTCAGAATTCAGGAATGATAAACCAATAGCCATATGTGATCCTGGTTTTCCTCCTAATTCTGGCTGATCTTTTCTTCTTGAAGCTTTTCTTGGACTGTTTCATTCCCATTGACGTTAGGGTCTCCAGCACTCCATCTTCTATCACATTCTTCACTAGCTCTTCCCACTTGCCTTGACAATTTTACCTAATTCCACGACAAGCTGATGGCTCCTAAACTCACTTTTCAGCTGAGCTCCACCCAACAGTGATTCCACTGTCACTGCTCTAATTATGACCCTCGATGTTTCCCACCCAAAACTATTACAACAACATCTTTTTTTTTTTTTTTTTTTTTTTTTTTTTGAGACGGAGTCTTGCTCTGTCGCCCAGGCTGGAGTGCAGTGGCGCGATCTCGGCTCACTGCAAGCTCCGCCTCCCGGGTTCACGCCATTCTCCTGCCTCAGCCTCCCGAATAGCTGGGATTACAAGCATCTGCCCCCATGCCCGGCTAATTTTTTTGTATTTTTAGTAGAGACAGGATTTTGCCATGTTGGCCAGGCAGGTCTTGAACTCCTGACCTCAGGTGATCCGCCCACCTTAGCCTCCCAAAGTGCTGAGATTACAGGCGTGGTAATTAGTGTAATCTCAGGAATTAGTTAAACCTCAGGAATTAGTGAGAACGATTTATTTCCTTCTCTTTGTGTTTTCATGTGAGGAACTTCCCTAGATAGCAATCCCAGCTTTTCTCCTAACCTCTACTTATTTCTGGAGGGTAATTTTGCAGGTTGGTGAGTTGAGAGAAATGTACCATTCATACTCCCTCAGCTCCCTTCTGTCTCCTGAAAAACAAGTGTCTTATAGGGCTCCCTACCACAGTCTGGTGACTGGCCCCAGTGGGAGAAAGGCCTGCATTCAATTGACTGTAACTAAGTGGATATGTTTGTAAAATTCAGGGTAAACGATAAGCAAACACACTAGGCTGCAGACTTGAGGCATAGAATTCAATAGCTTTATCATTTCCAACTTTTTGACTCCTGTGCCTCCCTCTCAATTGGTTTCTAACTGGGCATAGAAATCTCAACTCTGGAAAGAATGCAACTCAAGAATTTCGTTTAATAAACATTCACTGAAGGGTGACAATGTGGAATCCATTGCACAAGATATGGGGTGTATGAAGATGAAACGAGAAATTAAAAAGGGCAAAACTCTGGAACTGAAATGGGAGAGTTCCCTTATCCCCTTTGCAGGACATGCAGCAGGGGTGTGGCTTGCTTGTTCAGTTGCCTCTGCTGCTCAAACCTCCAATAGGAGAGAGAACACATAGATAGGCAGGTGCAGAAGCCAAGGCAAGTGCTGTGGGCTCCAGCCCCATGGTAGTGTCTAAGGGTGGGTGCCTGCAGCCCCAGTGTTACAATGCTCTTTTAGCTCTGCCATCCGTAGATGGCTTAAGTTTTAACCAGCCCAGTGGACCCTCTGTCTTTTCACAAGGGTGGGGGGCTAGTGTGACAGTTTTCTGTATCCCGAGCTCTTGCCCAGCATCCCGGAAGAATCGGGTAATACACGGGCTTGAAGGATGAATGTGAGGTTTTATTGAGTGGTGGAGGTTGCTCAGCGGGATGGATGACGAGTTGGCAGGGGGATGGAGTGGGAAAATGATCTTCCCCTGGAGTTTGGCCATCCAGCTGCCGAACTCCCCTCCGACTGTCCCCAGCCGAATTCCTCTTTGCCTTCAGACATTCCTTCTCTTCTCCCTTTCTCTGCCATGCCGTTCTGCTATCCATCTGCTTGCCTGCTTGTCTCCTTGTCTCCTCGTCTGCTTCTGGAGCCTTGGGGTTTATATGGGTACAGGATAGTGGGGGCATGGTGGGCTAAAAGGCAACTTTTTGGGCACGAAAACAACAATGCCTGTTCTCACTTAGGGCTGCAGATCTTCAAGCTTGAGGATGGGGCGTTTGCCAGGGAACCACCCTCTTCTACCCAGTATCTCCCTGTCTCCTGTCCATATCAGAACTGCTTCCAAATATAGGCTGCAGACAAAGCACCACATGGCTTTCTGGCTTACCTTTCCTAAATACCAGGTTCCTGCTAGATGTGAGGCACAGATGGTATGATTTGGATCACAATTTTCTTTGGCTGCGTCATTTCTCATTTCACTGAATGATATTTTCTAAGCAATTTTATTAATTTCACGTTTATACTGAGGAAAGTAGTTATTTTCTTTATGCTTTCAGAAAGATCCTGAGCAATAATTGAATTAAAACAGTAAGGGCAACTCTTGTCAAAATGCCAAATTAATTCCCTGAAACCTAAATTCATTGACAAATTTTGTGTTTTAACTTAATTTGATTTAAATTTTGGTTGTTGGAACATTGGGAAGGACTTACTTTTTTTCATTTCTTCATGAAATATAATTTTTTTGTCACTCTTGTACTCTTCCCTTAAATATGATCAAACCAGGATCCATATACAACTGGAAGAAAAGTGAATTGTTCATATTAAACATTATGGGTTTGCATCCCTGAGTTCTTCCCACTTCAGCGCAAAGTGAGACAGTTTCCTTAGAAGAGCTCAATTTCACTATTGTTTCAACTAAATACAATGTTGTGATATGAAACCAGATGGCCATATCTTTTATTAAGCCTATTAGTGTTTTTTTTCTATTTCTAGTTAATATTATCTTATTGTAAGCAAAAGTGGCAACAGAAATACAGAGCTACACATTTTTCCTAATAACTGTGTTCTGATTACTGCTTTGGTTTTTGAGAGAAATAGACAAACATTGAGAATTTATCATTTTCTTTCTGAAAGTGACGTGCTTTTCATAATTGTAGGCTCACCACAAAAAGTTTACAGACTTCAAATAAAAGATTCTATTCACTTATCTCAGTTCAAGGCTGAAAAATACAGTCCTAGGGATTTATCTGTAGCTGATTTTATCTCTTTCTTGTTGGTAAAGGACAGCCTTAAAAAACCTCTAGGGCTTAAAAGTAAAATATTGTCGTGCAAAATAATCTCTTCAGCAGTGATGATTAAAAACAAAATGTGAGCAACTTCTTGTCCTTACAAGAAGCCAAATAGTATGAAAATCTCAAGCACAAAACATAGTAATTGAAAGTACTATAATCCATCATTCCGTGCACTCATCATCCAAAGTTTAAATTCTAGCTAATGCCCAAGCATAAAAGAGCTACTGTGCTAGTGATTTCCTGAAGATCTGCTGACTTTTGATTCATTGAATAAACATTTATTAAAGCCATTAGTGTCTGCCAGACATTGTGCTAGACATTCTGAACATTAAAGCTTTGATTAAATTGAAGTATAATTAACTCCAAACTAAATGCAGTTTTTCATGGCTTCAGTTCTTGAGGAAATTAAAGGCAAGAAAATAACCATAATGTATTTTTAGAACAAGAATTTCCAGGATGACTGTAGTGTCATTAAAAAATCAGTACCATTTTCTGTCCCTGGGACCCACAAGGTTATATATGTAATAAGAATTGGTGCTTAGAAAAAGCTGTCCTGATACAGTCTTTAGCTATTAGCAATCTCAGGCTATTCCAATGACTTACAAAAAACATTATCTTAGAATTACTCAAATTACCATGTCAGCGATAAGGGGTTTGCCCTCTAAGAATAGCCAATCTTTCCCCAGACACAAAAACTGGATGATAGAAAAACTGATCTCTGATGCACATTTGGGAAATTAACTAGTCCCTAGCACCCAAACAATGTTCAAAAATATTACCTGCCTCCCCACCTCGCACCAACAGCCACAGCCCAGGCCTCCTGGATGATGTCACTGCCCAGGGTTGCTGAGGTTGCAGAAGCCCTTGAGACTGTCAGTGAAGCTCAAGCTCTCGTGCCCAGGAGGCTGTGCAGGGTTAGAGACTCAGTGTCACACTCCAAGGTCAGGTGTAATTGACTCTGCCCATTATGTTTTTTCAGTTGAAAATATATTGCAACATGCCTCAAAATAGATTTAAAAAAGAACTTTTGGAGCATCGCCTGATTGCAATTTGACAACAAGCTGTTCTGTTACTAATTAATTTATACCCCACCTTGTTCCAAAAAGACTTAAGTCAGCCAAAAGAATGCAAAGAATTGGCTGCCTGTGTCTTTCTTACTACTATAGGAAAGTGAATGTATTAATATATTTAAAGCCTTTTTTAAAAAACTTAATATTTTATTTTTTTATTTTTAACCTTTTTGAGTCTCATTTTGTCACCCAGACTGGAGTTCAATGGTGCAATCTCTGCTCACTGCAACCTCCGCCTCCCAGGTTCAAGCTATTCTTGTGCCTCAGCCTCCTGAGTAGCTGAGATCACAGGTGCACGCCACCACGTCTGGCTAATTTTTGTATTTTTGGTAGAGACAGGGTTTCACCATGTTGGCCAAGCTGGTCTCGAACTCTTGGGCTCAAGCAGTCCACCTGCCCAGGCCTCCCGAATGCTGAGATTACAGGCGTGAGCCACCACACCCTGCCAAAAGTTAGAATTTTTAAGAAAGCATTTTAGTTAATTTTTAAATCAGAATCCTCATTGTGCAGGTTATTAATAGATCTGTGGCTTTAAAGAAAATGTAGCTTCCAAAATAGAGATTTGAAATCTTTTTCCAGGAAATACTTTTCTTTGGTTAATTACAGAATTATCCTACCACCTCTTGGCCTTAACATATACCTGGACTGCCCTTTCTCTGTGGTCCAAATGGCTCCTTCCCCTGTGTGCCCCTGAATAGAGGTTGCTCACTCTCACCCAACCTATGTCTTAGGGTCTGAAGAGTGAGTCAACAATCTCACTGCTTCCTAGAAACTTCCAGAACTCCCTCCTCCTATAGAAACCAGGCTTCTTTGAGAGTCATGGGAATCTGCCACTCTTTCCTTCAATATTTCAGCCATAAGTTGACCTCCTGGTCTCTCCCCTACATTCACAGAAGATTCTGACTTTAGAACATTTTCTGTGTCATCTCAAGTCTCACCATCAGCTGGAGTGACTTTAATAAATAGTTTCTACAATCCCTACTCTGACCACTTTTGTCCCTTTCTATCTTCACTTTCTTTCCCTTGTTCATCCTCTCAACAGTTTTCTTTCCAAAACCTTCAACTTCCTTGCCCCTTATTGCTTATTTCAGTCACCTAAAAATGTGCCCAGTATTGAATCAAAACACTTTACCATCTTTTCTTCTCTCCATTGCTACAGAGTGCTGCTGGAGAAATTTACACAACTCTATTCACACCAAGGCCACCTACCAAACCTACTTATCCTACATTAACACATTCTATTCTTTACATCAGCTATTTCAAACCTTCCACACTTTCTGCAAACCTTCTGCCCCACACTTATATCTCATTATAATGAGCATCTTAGTCTTGAATTTCTAGAAAGTACTTTGAGGATAAGATAATCGTACAGAAAATATAAATTCTCTAGGATGAATTGGCCTAGGAAATATAGAGTAATAATGTAAGACTGGAGATAGAGCTACAAGGAAAAAAAATGCTAATATATTAATTTCATCAAAATACTAACCTATCAAAATATTACTAGAACACAATTTACAGTTATTGTTTAACTTGAAAAAATAAAGCATATTTATATACTATCTAAAAGGTAAATTACAAGATTAGATAAATGTAGCTGTCTTTTTTTTTTTTTTAAGACAGAGCCTTGCTCTGTCACCCAGGCTGGAGTGCAGTGGTGCAATCTCAGCTCACTGCAACCTCCGCCTCCTGGGTTCAAGTGATTCTCCTGCCTCAGACTCCCAAGCAGCTGGGATTACAGGCACATGCCACCACGCCCAGCTAATTTTTGTTTTTTTTTTAGTAGAGACGGGATTTTGCCATGTTGGCCATGCTGGTCTCAAACTCCTGACCTCAGGTGTTTCATTAGCCTCGGCCTCCCAAAGCGCTGGGATTACAGGAGTGAGCCACCGTGCCCAACCTGCTGTCTCTTTATTATACTGTCTTGTCATATAACTCATGTCTATGACTACATTTGAAGATGAATACAGAATATCATGATGCCTCAGTTGTAAAACAATCTCTTTAGAAAAATACCTACTTGCAGTATTTTCACGTTGATATAAAACTACTTAAAAGTCTTCTGTGTCTAGTAGAATAATGAGTAGATTTCTATAGCATATTTCAGCCATTACTTAATTTGAATCTCTAAATAATCCTACAGAATAGATTTATTGGTCTTATTTTATATTAGAAATGTAGAACTCAGAATGGTTACTCTGCTCATCCAAAGTCATACAGGGAATAAATTATAGTCAGAACTTGATGCCAAGTCTTCTACGTCCATAGCCTTTTCTTTCTACTACATTATGTTTTCATTTGCAAGAGAATAAGCCTCCCCTCAAAAAGCCATTGAAGGCCAGGTGCAGTGGCTCATGCCTATAATCCCAGCACTTTGAGAGGCTGAGGCAGGTGGATTGCTTGAGCTCAGGAGTTCAAGACCAGCCTGAGCCATATGGAGAAACCCCATCTGTATAAAAAATACAAAAATTATCTGGACATGTTGCTGTGCACCTGTAGTCCCAGCTACTCAGGAGGTTGAGGTGGGAGGATTGCTTGGGGCCAGGAGATCAAGGGTGTGGTGAGCTGTGGTCGCACCACTGCACTCCAGCCCGGGTGACAGAGGGAAACCCTGTCTCAAAACCAAAAGAAAAATAAAGGAAAGTCATTGAAGAACATCCCTGAAACACAGTCACATACATATAATACATCCATACATGCATACACTCAGAAAGACAAACAGCCCTATCTTATTGAAATGGGAGAGTTCCCCAGTTCCCCTCACAGGACATGTGCCAGGGTGTGGCTCATCTGCTTGGTCACCCCAAAGCTCAAACCGCTAGGGGGAGCATGCAGATGGGCAGGTGCAGAGGCCACCTGTGCACTTTTGGGCTCTGGCCCCACAGCAGCATCTAGGGGTGGGTGTCCGTGACTCCCAAAGCCCAAGTGGGCGTGTGTTACAAAGGTCTTTCAAATTTGCCACCTGCAGATGGCTTGTGTGTTAATCAGCTCAATCGACCCTCTTCCTTATTGCAAGGGCAGAGGGCCAGTGTGAGAGCCTTCTGGACTCTAAGCTCTTGCCCAGTATCCTGGAAGGATCAGATCACACGTGGGCTCAAAGGATGAGTTCAAGGTTTTATCGAGTGGTAGAGGTGGCTCTCATTGAGATGGATGGAGAGCTAGAAGTGGGGGTGGAGTGGGAAGATGGTATTCCCCTGGAGTTGGGCTGCCCAGCGGCCGAATTCTTCTCTGACCACTCCCCGCCAAACTCCCCTCAGCTTCCAGACATCCCCCATCTTCCTTCTTTCTCTGCTGTGTGTCATTCCACCATCTCTGGTCTGCTGGTCTCGACATTCAGCCACTTGTGTGTGTGCCTGCTAAAATCTCAGGAATATATGGGCGCAGGATGGGGGCATGGTGGACCAGAGTCGTCTTGGAAAATGCAATACTCAGGTGTGAAAACAGGAGTGCTCATTCTCACTTAGGTCCGCAGGCACATGCCCGAGGGTGAAGCCCTCGCCAGGGATCCCACCCTTCTCTACCCAGCACTTCCCTAACGCCCCCCCCATATCATTATAAGTAAAGAAAAGTGAAGCTACTGCTTCCATTCATACAGATTTCTTTTAAAAGCTCTAGTGATTCAGTGACTATTCCTGGTGGTGACAGGGTTTGCACAGGCTGGAACATCCTGATGTAGAATACTTACAAGTAAAATCTCTTCACACCTAAGAAGGTGTAAAAGAATCATGTGGAATATTTTTCCAACCACACTCTGCCCCTCCTAGATATTCTGCTATGAGTCCTGATTAACGTGGTGACAACAAAGACAGATGTTCCCTGAAAGCCAGTGAGCTTCACTGAGTTCTGGTCTGGGCTGGCATTTTTGTAGCTGCAGTCACAGAAAAATAATCTCTAGAACAGAAGCAGTGCTAGGTCTGCTCTACCCTGCCCTAGTCAGACCATATCTATGGTGTGCGTTTCCTTCTAAGCACTGCACTATAATAGAGATGTGGCCAAATCAGAGCTCATGCAGCCAGGAGAGAGAGGTGGTGAACCACAGTGTGTAATGACAGTAGACAAAAACAGTATTTCTTTTCTTGAGGAAAAGCAGACCCAATCTTTTTTTTTTAAATATATGTATTTCAGCACTGCTTACTCCAAAAATGGAATTGAGGTGGAGTGAGGCATGCAAACTATCTTCAAATATTTAGAAGCCTTTCATGTGGAGGAGGAATTAATAACGAGGAGGACTGGTTTTTTGTTTTGTTTTGTTTTGTTTTAGGACAAATTATGACACTGTGGTAAGGGCAAAGATTTTCGAGCTGCTACTTGAATTTATATCTTGACTGTTTTCCTTATTAGTTACACATCTGTGGACAAGTTATTTGGCCTCCAAAGGTTTGCATTTTCCTCCTCTGTAAAATAAGGATAAGGACATCTACTTCATAGTGTTCTAATAAGGAAGACATGAGATAATGTTAGCATGACACTTAGATAAGTGTCTGTAGCACATGGTTAGCAAACAGTAAATTGTTAAGATTTTTTTTTTTTGAGTTGGAGTCTCACTCTGTCACCCAGGCTGGAGTGCAGTGGCATGATCTCGACTCACTGCAACGTCCATCTCCCAGGTTCAAGTGATCCTCCTGCCTCAGCCTCCTGAGTAGCTGGGATTTCAGGTGTATGCCACCAAGCCTGGCTAATTTTTTTTTTTCTAGATGGAATCTCATTCTGTGGCCCAGGCTGGAGTGCAGTGGCACAATCTCGGCTCACTGCAACATCTGCCCCTGGGTTCAAGTGATTCTCCTGCCTCAGCCTCCAGAGTAGCTGGAATTACAGGCATGCACCACCACACGCAGCTAATTTTTATATTTTTAGTTGAGACAGGGTTTCACCATATTGGCCAGGCTGGTCTCAAACTCCTGACCTCAGGTGATCCACCTGCCTCGGCCTCCCAAAGTGCTGGGATTACAGGGGTGAGGCACCGTGCCTGGCCAAGAGATTTTTTTTTAAACATCTCAGCAGTTCCCACATAGAATGTGTTGCTTTGTAAGGGTAATTCAAACATTGGGTGGATGTTTTGACCAGATAAACATTAAGGTACCTGTCCTTCCTGAAACTTTATGATTCCACTAAGTGTGTGCCATTAGTTAAAGAAGAAAATAGATGATGAAAAACAGGAGTTCAAATAGTGTGAGCATTGCATATTCTTCTATAGGGAATAGCAAACCTATTTGCTGGTGAGTTACCAATGTCCTTATGTTAAAGCTACACTTGCTGTGACTTTCCTGAAATGAAAATATAAAAGTATAACAATTTTCAAGCAAAATAACAATATATAACAATTAAAAAGATCTACTCTAAGTCCAATAAGAGACAGGATTCTTTGGGTGTGCAGCATTCCTAAATGATTTGTTTTCAAAATTCTGTATCATCTTGGTATATTTATTTTTGTTCAGTGAAAGCCTTGGGAATTCAGAATAGTTTTTTTAAGTGCTTCAGACACCAATGAGTCAAGGAGAAAGGGTTGGGGTCAATGGTTGTGCACAGTGGCAGGACCAATGTGTGCTGTACAGCTTAATCAAATCACATTTCATTGTGATGTTTTCAGGATAAATTACTTTCCGTTAGTTTTTTTTTTAAATAAATACATTTTTAAATAATGGAGACAGGTTTTCTCCATGTTGCCCAACCTGACCTCAAACTCCTGGGCTCACGTGATCCATCTGCAATGGCCTCCCAAAGTGTTGGGATTACAGGTGTGAGCTACTGCACCTGGCCTTCATTAGTTTTTATAAAACCAATTCTCTCACTGTTTGTTTGAGGAACTTACTTGTGTGAGTGTATGTATTTTTTTATTTGTGTTGTTTTATTTTCTAGGCAGGTATATATATAAGGCACATTTCAGACTACCTCTTCAGGTTTCAGCTATATGTCTATGCACTTCAATCAGTGCATAATTATTTCACTAAAAAGGTTGGTGGTATATGAAAACAAAAGGTGCTTGTACAGAATTAATCTCTGTTTTGAACACACTAGCTCAATAAGTAATCACTAATATGTGCTACCCACATGTTATAAGAAAGATTGTTGATATGGTTTGGCTGTGTCCCATACAATTATGGGAATTGTAGCTCCCATAATTCCCAAGTGTTGTGAGAGGACCCAGTGGGAGATAATTGAATCAGGGGGGTGGATTTCCCCCATAATATTCTCATGGTAGTGAATAAGTCTCACAAGATCTGATGGTTTTATAAGGGGAAACCCCTCTCACTTGGCTTATATGTCTTTATTAGCAGCATGAAAATAAACTAATACAGTAAACTGATACCAGTAGAGTGGGGCACTGCTGGAAAAATACACACAAATGTGGAAGCAACTTTGGAACTGGGTAACAGGAAGAGGTTGGTACAGTTTGGAGGGTTTGGAAGAAGACAGAAAAATGTCAGAAAGTTTGGAACTTCCTAGAGACTTATTGAATGGCTTTGTCCAAAATGCTGATAGTGATATGGACAATAAAGTGCAGGCTGAGATAGACTCAGATGGAGATGAGGAACTTGACATTTGGGCTATCTTCACGGCAGCCCCTCCCATCACAGGCCCAGAGGCTTAGGAGGAAAAATGGTCTTGTGGGCTGAGCCCAGGGTCCCCGTGCTGTGTGCAGCCTAGGGACTTGGTCCCCTGCCTCCCAGGCACTCCTGTGGCTGAAAGGGGTCAACATAGGGCTCAAGCCATGGCTTCAGAGAGTGCAAGCCCCAAGCCTTGGCAGCTTCCATATGGTGTTGAGCCTGTGAGTGCACAGAAGTCAAGAACTGGGATTTGGGAACCTCTGCCTAGATTTCAGAGGATGTATGGAAACGTCCAGATGCCCAGACAGAAGTTTGCTGCAGGTGCGGGGCCCTCGTGGAGAACTAGGGCAGTGGGGAAGGGAAATGTGGGGTTGGAGCCCTCACACAGAGTCCCTACTGGGGTGCCACCCAGTGGAACTGTGAGAATAGGGCCACCATCCTCCAGACCCTAGAATGGTAGATCCACCGACAGCTTGCACCATGCACCTGGAAAAGCCATAGATACTCAATGCCAGCCTGTGAACACACCCTGGAGGGGAGCTGTACTCTGCAAAGCCACAGGAGTGGAGCTGCCCAAGACCATGGGAACCTACCTCTTGCATCAGCATGACCTGGATGTGAGACATGGAGTCAAAGGAGATTATTTTGGAGCTTTAAGATTTGACTGCCCCACTAGATTTTGGACTTGCATGGGGCTGGTAGCCCCTTTGTTTTGGCCAATTTCTCCCATTTGGAACAGCTGTATTACCCAATGCCTGTATACCCATTGTATCTACGAAGTGAATAACTTGCTTTTGATTTTACAGGCTCATAGGTGAAAGGGACTTGCCTTGTCTCAGGTGAGACTTTGGATTGTGGACTTTTGAGTTAATGCTGAAATAAGTTAAGACTTTGGGGGACTGTTGGGAAGGCATGATTGGTTTTGAAATGTGAGAATATGAGATTTGGGAGGGGCCAGGGAATAATATGAGTTGGCTGTGTCCTCATCCAAATCTCATCTTGAATTGTAGTTCCCATAATTCCCATGTGTTGTGGGAGGGACCCAGTGGGAGATAATTTGAATCATAGGGGCAGTTTCCCCCATGCTGTTCTCATGACAGTGAGTAAGTCTCATGAAATCTGATGGTTTTATAAGGGGAAACCCCTCTTGCTTGGCTCTTATTCTCTCTTGCTGCCACCAAGTAAGAAGTGCCTTTCACTTCTGCCATTATTGTGAGGCCTTCCCAGCCACGTGAAACTGTGAGTCCATTAAACCTATTTTTCTTCCCAGTCTTGGTTATGTCTTTATAGCAGTGTGAAAACGGATTAACACAACTGTGAAGAAGCAAACTGAAAAAGAATTTGCTTAGAAAGAATATAAGAATAATATATTCAGTGTATTTCTAAAAATGGTTATGATCCACTTAAACTTTTGGAAAATGCTTACATTTTGAGTGATAAAGTTCATGTAAATTAAAAATAAAAATTATTGTTATATTTACTATTTCCTCTTAGGAATGGCTCTAAAATTGTAGCCCATGTTTTAATGCAGGTGAGATTAGGGTTATCTCTATAGTAGTGGCATAAAGAAAGAGCTGTGTCTTTTGGATTCCTAATGATGTAGAAAATCTGTTAGATTCATTTATTCTTGGATGGAAATAACCCCAGTACAAAACATTTCTATAAGGAAGTAGCATTTAAATTCACCTGTGTAAGTCACAGTTGTTTTGGGCAGCTTCAGCTGATGATTAAACACAGTATTAGAAGGTGGATGTGATAGTAATATTTTCAGTGATGCTCAACATTGCATGCTCTACTTGGTTTTTAATTGACAATCAGAACAGGCACATTTTACTTAGGTAAGAAAGCATTTGCTGAGTCACTTTTAATACATAACTCTCTTTCGGTGTCATGTTTATATCATCACCTGATGGGTTCTTTCTCCTTGCTGCACAGACAAAATCAATTGACTGAGACCATGGCATTGCAGTAGAGAAATAGTTTAATTGATGTGAGACCAGCCTCAAATCAATCTCAAAGGCTCAAAGGCTAGGAGTTTTCCAGGAAGTTTGGTGAGCAGGGGACTAGGGAATGGGGAATATTGATTGGTTACAGATGGAATCATAGGAGTGTGGAAAACAGTCCTTGTGCACTAAGTCCACCTCTGGGTGGGACCACGGGATCAGTTGAGTCATGAGTTAAGAGTCTGGGTGGGGTCAGCCTGAAAAATATCTCAAAAATCCAATCTTAGGTTCTATAATAGTGATGTTATTTATAGGAGTAATTGGGGAAGACACAAATCTTATGACATTTGGCCACATGACTCCTGAGCAGTAAGGGATTATAGAAACTATACCTACACCTTATCAGAATTTAGGACCCTCTCATAATCCTAACATTGTGGTGTGTATTAGTCCATTTTCATGCTGCTGATAAAGACATACCAGAGACTGGCCAATTTACAAAAGAAAGAGGTTTAATGGACTTACAGTTCCACACAGCTAGGGAGGCCTCACAATCATGGCAGAAGGCAAGGAGGAGCAAGTGACATCTTATGTGGATGGCAGCAGGCAAAGAGAGAGAGCTTGTGCAGGGAAACTCCCATTTTTAAAACCATTAGATCTCATGAGACTTATTAAGTGTTACGAGAATAGCATGAGAAAGATCTGCCCCTGTGATTCAGTTACCTCCCACCAAGTTCCTCCCATGGCATGTAGGGATTGTGGAAGTTACAATTCAAGATGAGATTTGGGTGGGGACACAGCCAAACCATATCATGGTGTTACATTAGTTTTACAAAGGTGGTTTAGTTTTGGGAAGGGCTATTTTTATCCTTGCTTTAAGGTTAAAGTATAAACTACATTTCTGCCAAAGTCAACTTGGTCTACACCCAGAAATGACCAAAGACAGCTTAGAGGTTAGAAGCAACATGGAGTCAACTGTGTCAGATTTGTCTTGCTGTAATAATTTTCTAAAGGTAGTTTCAATTACAGTCCAGGTATTGTGTGAGTCCACATGAATAGCACCTGCTTATTTTTAATTGAGAGATGTATAAAGGCCACTGTGTACAAGAATAAATAGTCACCGACCCCCTCACTCATCTCCAATACCACAATATCCTCTCTTTATCCCAGGAAGGAATTGTGGAGTAAGCCAACATGTCATGCTTTCTCTAACTGCTCTAGATTTTCTCAGCAGATTCACAGAACCCCAAGGCTCAGGGAGCACAATTTAAAAAATCTACTTCTTAATAAAAAGGAATAAAATGGCAGAACTTTAAGCCTCATCCATTTAGTTGGACGTATTTGTTTTGACAAAGAAGAGAGATTTTAGGGCTTTTGGAGAACACCTAAAGTTACATGTCTATTATCTTCTGGGAAAGACAATGCAACCCATTAATGCCTATTTTGCCAAAGACTGTATTCTATGAAATCAGAAGAATTATTGGAGGAGGTTGGGGGACATACAGGGAAGGTGGAACAGGACTCTGGAAGTGACAGGGGATCAAATATTAAACAAAACATTATGAAATGTGCTGGGAAGCATACCTTTCACATCAGAGAGTTTAGAAACATAAAAAAGGAAAAACAAGGATTAGGAAGAAAATATAGAAGGCAAAGTAGGGTTGAGAGCTGGGAGGGAAAGACTAGGGGAGGAAGCTCCTATTTGACAGGCCGTTTTAGGGCAAAAGAAGCTTGTCCAATTTGGGAGCTCTCAGGGACCAAGCCATCAGTAACAGTGGGCAGGTTATCTTCTCAGGAGAGAGAACTGGAAGGTCTCAGTTCCCAGTATGGGACACACTGAAAGTACTGTATCTTAAGGCTGTACCTTCTTTCACTGTGATAGTTTAAAAGTACTCCAATCCTTCTGAGCTTCAGTTTCTTTACTCATAAAAGGAGAAATACATACACTTGTCATTGTTGTAATGTATACAAAACACATAGCTTACTTTCTGGCAGTCATTTGTTTTCAATGTTATTGCATTACCCTAAGTGTTTCTTAGCTTACCGGACTTCTTTTCTCCTCAAATCTCTCTCTCTTCTCTGTCTCTCTCTCTCCCTCCTTCCCACCCATCTGAGAAATCATCTGCTGAAACGAAAATGATTTATTCAATGAAACTGTAATCCAGTTAATACATCTTCCCTGTTCTGACAGATTCACTGGGGACAAAGGCAAACTCTCTGACATTTCGCCTCTGGTTGATTGTGTTTACTTTCTTTGGGGCACAAGAGTAGATGGTGTGGGCAGAGGCACTGTGGTCACAGAGTTACAATCAGTTACATATATGACTGGTAGATTGTTTCTGTTTTTATGTTTAGAACATGGCTGACATCGTTTGAAGAGGCTTTATTACTGGGAATTTGCAATGTATCCTGATTTTGCTTTTCAAATATTCTTTTTTTCCTCATCAAAATAGAATTTTAAAATATTCCTCATACATATATCTCTAAAGAAAATAAAATTCAACGCTAATGCCATACTGTAGAAAGTCACTTGGCACATTGATATATTTATATCTACTCTTTTTTTATGCATGTATGTGTATATTTTAACTAAATTGAAATTATTTTATATGTATGAATTTAAAAACATAGTTTCTACTTAACCTTAACCCATGTGCATTTCTCCATGAAAACTTAAATTTGAATAAGAAAGTTTTGAAAATAGAAAGCATTCTTTTAAATTACAATTCACTTTTAAAATAATAATGTGTGCACTTTAACTAGATGCAGTGGCTCACACCTGCAATCCCAGCACTTTGAGAGGCTGAGGTGGGAGGATCATTTGAGCCCAAGATTTTGAGACCAGCCTGGGCAACACAGTGAAACCCCATCTCTACAAAAAAAAATACAAAATATTAGCCAGGCATGGTGGCACACACCTGTGGTCCCAGCTACTTGGGAGGCTGCGGTGGCAGAATTGCTTGAGCTCGGGAGGCAGAGGTTACAGTGAGCCAAGATTGTGCCACTGCACTCCAGCCTGGGTGAAGGAGCGAGATCCTGCCTCAAAAATAAAAAATAAAAATAATAACGTTCATTTTTAAAATGGCTAGAGGTAACTATTCTTTGCATTTTTATTACAATTTATTTATTTATTTTCCTATATAATCCCATGCAAGGATGACAAATAAAATTATTAAAATTTAAATGGCATTTGCTCTGCCTTTCAAGCTGCGTAACAGACCAAGCATCCAAGCCCGGTTTTGTCAGATCTACAAACCTCTGTCTTTATCCCATAGAACTTACCTTGCATTCCATTTGTTTAATATTCCTGGGTGGCATATGTCATAGCTCAAAGGCATTGGAATTATTCTTCTGTTAGAATACAATTTTAGCTCTTCAAATTTAGAAATGTCTCCCAATTCAATAGGAGATGTTAGAGTAAGTCTAGTGTTGGGAATGTTCGCAATGACGTCTGCATCCCAGTGAATGCCTTCATGCAAAAATAAAACATAATTTTCATGACATGTCACTCCTGACAAAATGGATGTAGAAAATTAGCATATTATAAAAGTGATTCATACATTAGTTTTGTTGTAAGTAGTTATTATTACCTCCTGAAACCCGTCAAAACCTGCGGAAACACTTGAGCTGCTAACTCATTTTATAGGTAGAATCACATTCTAAAGAGTGTGAAAAGGTATGGAAACCGCATGCTGTTTCCTCAGCTTGAAATACTCTTCTATGCTATGACTCATCCCTAGGCCCTTCATATCACAAGTTCACACAGATCTTTCCATGTAGGTTTCCTACTGGTCCTGCAAGCTCAGGCATCTTCCTCTTGTATAAACTGTCTCCTGAGTCCCCACCCCTGGGCAGAGTTGCTCATGCCTCTTTGTCTTCCCACAGTGTACCCAGCTCCTCTCTCCACTGGAGCACACACCAGAGGATAGTTGCATAGCTCATGTCCTTGCCTATCTTCCCACTCTCCACTTGAAGATAGCCATTGTTTCTTGATTTTGTTTGTGTGTAGATACATAGCAGTTGTGCTAAAAAGCATCTGAACAAAGAACGTATGCTATATTCAAACATCATTGACGTACAAGCCTGCTACCATGGAACCTGGAAGGAATTCAACTTTATATTTACATGAAGCAAATGGTGGATATGCTCCAGTGTGGTAGACAACAGTAAATTGGGGCAGGGAAATAGAAGTTTGCAGGAAGTAGGGCAGATGTCTTACTAATATGAAAGCAATGTTCTCAAAGACTTTAAATCAGGCCTAGCCTTCATTTATCTCATTGTATTTTCAATGAGATACAATATTAACAAACTTACAGTTAAACAAATATTTAGAGTTTAAACAAGGTCCTCATTTGCATGTTATGTTTTAATATTAAGACTATTTTAAATTACGTTAATAAGTCTTAAGTATTTATAATTGTAATATTCATACAAATGTGACTAGTAGTGATAGCTGCATTATTCTAACAAAACATATTGATTTATTTTGATGAGGGAGAGAGAATATACATGGCTTTGTGCTATTAATGAGGACCTCCTGGTACTTGATGCTTTAGATGGCAGAAGATGTTAAATTATAGGCAGTGAAATTATACAGTGAAAACCTATATTGGTTGCTTTCATATGGCATAAGTTAGCCACCTTCTCTAGGAACATTTAAAGTATCATAAGTTACTTTCTAAACTAACAGATCAATTTTAGGTAAGATATATTTATTCACAGAGCACACTAATACGTTTCAACTTTACCTTAAAGTATTTTAAGGGCAATCATTTAATATCCATTTGCAACAACATTTTCATATTTATCAACAAACATAGTTATACGGTTTACATTTATTCTCAAAAAGCATCTGGTAGATCTGGCCCAATGTGAGCCCTGCATCTTCCCTTAGGTAGGTTCTCTTGGTCCTCAGATAAAGGAACTATAATGCACATCAACTCAAAGGGAGCTTGGCTCTTAGTTACTCATGCCAGCAGTTACATGCCCATCCCCTATGCCTGCTCTTCTGGAAATAGCAAACAAGATATTACATAACTTGGTCATTTCTCTAAAACAAAAGTAACATAGAAATAATTTTGATTCTCTCTGAAATGATATTATTCAAAATAATTATTCTTTCCCTTCATGGGCATATACCTATATGAAAGAACAAACTTTGACAATAAAAATATATATGGTTTGTATTCACCCAGAAGAAAAAAATTATTTATACATCAATTAATAAGTGTGAATTGAACAAACACTATTTAGTTATCATTATTACTTGTACAAAGCATGATGAGAACTCTATAATGTTATAGCTATTATGCTTATTATATATTGTCTGTATGTCTTCATGAATAAAATAGAAACAAGAGTATAGTAAGCTTGAATTTTTCCAGCTGAATTTTCAACAAGGCACACTGTTTATCTCTCTAATATCAAGGTTGTAAATTAGAATCAGCAGTGGGAACATTTTTAAAATCAATGTTTTATAAAAATTATTGTATTTCTTTGTATTGCATTTCTTTTTTTTATTATTATACTTTAAGTTCTGGGATACATGTGGAGAACGTGCAGGTTTGTTACACAGGTATACACGTGCCATGGTGGTTTGCTGCACCCAACAACCCGTCATCTACATTAGGTATTTCTCCTAATGCTATCCCTCCCCTAGCCCCCGACCCCCTGACAGGCCCCTGTGTGTGATGTTCCCCTCCCTGTGTCCATGTGTTCCCATTGTTCAGCTCCCATTTATGAGTGAGAACATGTGGTGTTTGGTTTTCTGATCCTGTGTTAGTTTGCTGAGAATAATGGTTTCCAGCTTCATCCATGTCCCTGCGAAGGACATGAACTCATCCTTTTTTATGGCTACATAGTATTCCATGGTGTATATAGGCCACATTTTCTTTATCCAGTCTATCATTGATGGGCATTTGGGTTGGTTCCAAGTCTTTGCTATTGTGAATAGTGCTGCAATAAACACATGTGTGCATGTGTCTTTGTAGTAGGATGATTTATAATCCTTTGGCTATATACCCAGTAATGGGATTGCTGGGTCAAATGGTATTTCTGGTTCGAGATCCTTGAGGAAGCACCACACTGTCTTCCACAAAGGTTGAACTAATTTACACTCCCACCAACAGTGTAAAAGCATTCCTATTTCTCCACATCCTCTCCAGCATCTGTTGTTTCCTGACTTTTTAATGATCACCATTCTAACTGGCATGAGATGGTATCTTACTGTGGTTTTGATTTGCATTTCTCTAATGATCAGTGATGATGAGCGTGTTTTCATAGGTTGTTTGGATGCATAAATGTCTTCTTTTGAGAAGTGTCTGTTCATATCCTTCACCCACTTTTTAATGGGTTTGTTTGTTTTTTCTTGTAAATGTGTTTAAGTTATTTGTAGATTCTGGATACTAGCCCTTTGTCAGATGGGTAGATTGCAAAAATGTTCTCCCATTCTGTAGGTTGCCTGTTCACTCTGATGATAGTTTCTTTTGCTGTGCAGAAGCTCTTTAGTTTAATTAGATCCCATTTGTCAATTTTGGCTTTTGTTGCCATTGCTTTTGTGTTTTAATCATGAAGACTTTGCCCATGCCTATGTCCTGAATGGTATTGCCTAGGTTTTCTTCTAGGGTTTTTACGACGTTAGGTCTTACATTTAAGTCTTTAATCCATCTGAGTTAATTTTTGTACAAGGTGTAAGGAAGGGTTTTCTTTCAGTTTTCTGCATATGGCTAGCCAATTTTCCCAACACCATTGATTAAATAGGGAATCCTTTCCCCACTGCTTGTTTTTGTCAGGTTTGTCAAAGATCAGGTGGTTGGAGATGTGTGGCATTATTTCTGAGGCCTCTGTTCTGTTCCATTTGTCTATATATCTGTTTTGGTATTGATGGAATGTATCTCAAAATAATAAGAGGCATTTATGACAAACCCACAGTCAGTGTCATACTGAATAGGCAAAAGCTGGAAGCATTCCCTTTGAAAACTGGCATAAGACAAGGATGCCCTCCCTCATCACTCCTATTCAACATATTATTGGAAGTTCTGGCCAGAGCAATCAGGCACGAGAAACAAATAAAGGGTATTCAAATAGGAAGAGAGGAAGTCAAGTTGTCCCTGTTTGCAGATGACATGATTGTATATTTAGCAAATCCCATCGTCTCAGCCCAAAATCTCCTCAAGCTGATAAGCAACTTCAGCAAAGTCTCAGGATACAAAATCAATGTGCAAAAATTACAAGCATTCCTATATACCAATAATAGACAAACAGAGAGACAAATCATGAGTGAACTCCCATTCACAATTGCTACAAAGAGAATAAAATACCTAGAAATCCAATTTACAAGGGATGTGAAAGACCTCTTCAAGGAGAACTACAAACCACTGCTCAAGGAAATAAGAGAAGACACAAACAACTGCAAAAACATTCCACGCTCATGGATAGGAGGAATCAATATCGTGAAAATGGCCATACTGCCCAAAGCAATTTATCAATTCAATGCTATCCCCATCAAGCTACCATTGACTTACTTCACAGAATTAGAAGAAAACTACTTTAAATTTTATATGGAACCAAAAAAGAGCCCTCCATAGCCAAGACAACTCTAAGCAAAAAGAACAAAGCTGGAAGCATCATGCTACTTGACTTCAAACTATACTACAAGGCTACTACAGTAACAAAAACAGCATTTCTATATTTTTTAAAATGCATTAAAACAAATGTACCAGAGTTTGGATAGGAAACCAGAAAGACATCATTTTCTTCTGCACAAACAAAACAAAACAAAACAAAACCAGGGAATTTAGAAGATCTTCTGAAGACATGGTGGAAAAGAGGACCTCCTTGAAGTTATGAAGAATACTTAACTGGTCCTGGGATGGCACCTTTCATCAAATCTATCAAAAAGTACTTACTAAACACTGATATTACACAAGACACAGAGCAAGTATGGTCTTTAATCTTAACCCTAGCTCAATGTGAAAGTAACCTTAGAATAACTAAGCTAACATTCGAACTGGGGAACACTTTGCAATTCTTCGCAAGTAGTTTTTAAACCTTACCAAGCCAAGGTCTACTGTGAAAATGATATCTGAATTTTGATAACACACATTACAAAATATTTCCTCTAACTGGACACTCAGGATGGTTTGCATAAAAAGCTACCAAACTATCATAATGTAATCATTATATTAAGGAACAAAATTAATCAAATTCTTTGGCCTAGATAAGGAAAGGCTATTAGTGGCTGTAATGGATTCTGTCATTGTGGAAATGATTCGAAAAATTAGATTTCTTCTTATTAATATTAACACAGAGATGAGGAAGTAGCTAGTATTGCATTTCATGAAAAGAGAATCATAGAATGAGAAAAGACAAATATAATTTTTTCTGGAAATTGGCAAATAAATCTATGACTAAATACAAACCTTACAAGCAGTACTTTAGCTAACACGGGAATCAGGACACCTAAGCCAGAAAATAAATATCTTGAGCTTTCCTGTAAACATAAATTTTTAGGCTAATGTGTATAAACCCTTGTCTGAGTCATTTGTAGTTTTTGTCACTAATATTGTGACATTCTGGATTTGGTTAGATAGGGCAACAAAGTGCCCAATTATTTCAGTGAACCAGAGTTGAATCTTTGCTGGTCAAACCCTTAAAATGATTGTATACCAACAAAGGACTGACCAACATTTCAAGTGAGCACAAAAAAATATAAAGGTCTACTGTGGGAGAAATGAAGAGAAATATTCACACCAGTGGCAAAAATAAAGTTCAGAATCATCATGTATGCAGAAAATCCAAAGAATCTCAATTCGAATGAAATATAAATTGAACATGACTGTTAGATTATGAGTCAATACATGAAAATAAATTGTATTTCTGTGTTCCGGCAACAATCAAGTGAAAAATAAAATTTGAAAAACAATACTATTTACAATAATATAAAAAATAAATTTTCTGAAAATAAATCTGCTACTGAAAGGCATGGAAAACCAGAAAGTATTACTAAGACTAGTTAAATAAAGAAATAGAAATAAATAAAGAGAAACATATACTATGTCCACGTACCAGATGAGTTAATATTATTAAAATGACAAAATTCACCTTATTGATTTATAAAAGTCAATTTAACTTGGTCAGAATCTCAACATGTGCATGCGTGTGTGTGTGTAAATTGACAAGCAATCATTTATATGAAAATGAAAAGGCCAAGAAAATCTGAAAGAAGAAAAAATTCTGTATGACTTATACTATCAGATTTCAAGATTTACCACAAAGCAAATGTAGTTAAGATAGCATGACCTGAGCTCAAGGCTACACATATAGAACAACGGAACAGAATAAAGAGTGTAGAGAAAGACACACACATAAATGGTCATTTGATTCATGGCAAAGGTAAACTTTAGTGAAGAAAGTTGTCTTTTAAAATGAGTGGCACATGGGGGGGAGGAGCCAAGATGGCCGAATAGGAACAGCTCCAGTCTACAGCTCCCAGCATGAGCGACGCAGAAGACGGGTGATTTCTGCATTTCCATCTGAGGTACCGGGTTCATCTCACTAGGGAGTGCCAGACAGTGGGCGCAGGTCAGTGGGTGCGCGCACTGTGCGCGAGCTGAAGCAGGGCGAGGCATTGCCTCACTTGGGAAGCACAAGAGGTCAGGGAGTTCCCTTTCCTAGTCAAAGACAGGGGTGACCCATGGCACCTGGAAAATTGGGTCACTCCCACCCAAATACCGCGCTTTTCCGACAGGCTTAAAAAACGACGCAGCACGAGATTATATCCCACACCCAGCTCGGAGGGTCCTATGCCCACGGAGTCTCGCTGATTGCTAGCACAGCAGTCTGAGATCAAACTGCAAGGCTGCAGCGAGGCTGGGGGAGGGGCGCCCGCCATTGCCCAGGCTTGATTAGGTAAACAAAGCAGCTGGGAAGCTCGAACTGGGCGGAGCCCACCACAGCTCAAGGAGGCCTGCCTGCCTCTGTAGGCTCCACCTCTGGGGGCAGGGCACAGACAAACAAAAAGACAGCAGTAACCTCTGCAGACTTAAATGTCCCTGTCTGACAGCTTTGAAGAGAGCAGTGGTTCTCCCAGTATGCAGCTGGAGATCTGAGAACGGGCAGACTGCCTCCTCAAGTGGGTCCCTGACCCCTGACCCCCGAGCAGCCTAACTGGGAGGCACCCCCCCAGCAGGGGCACACTGACACCTCACACGGCAGGGTACTCCAACAGACCTGCAGCTGAGGGTCCTGTCTGTTAGAAGGAAAACTAACAAACAGAAAGGACAGCCACACCAAAAACCCATCTGTACATCACCATCATCAAAGACCAAAAGTAGATAAAACCACAAAGATGGGGAAAAAACAGAACAGAAAAACTGGAAACTCTAAAAAGCAGAGCGCCTCTCCTCCTCCAAAGGAACGCAGTTCCTCACCAGCAATGGAACAAAGCTGGACGGAGAACGACTTTGACGAGCTGAGAGAAGAAGGCTTCAGACGATCAAATTACTCTGAGCTACGGGAGGACATTCAAACCAAAGGCAAAGAAGTGGAAAACTTTGGAAAAAATTTAGAAGAATGTATAACTATAATAACCAATACAGAGAAGTGCTTAAAGGAGCTGATGGAGCTTAAAACCAAGGCTCGAGAACTACGTGAAGAATGCAGAAGCCTCAGGAGCCAATGCGATCAACTGGAAGAAAGGGTATCAGCAATGGAAGATGAAATGAATGAAATGAAGCGAGAAGGAAAGTTTAGAGAAAAAAGAATAAAAAGAAATGAGCAAAGCCTCCAAGAAATATGGGACTATGTAAAAAGACCAAATCTACATCTGATTGGTGTACCTGAAAGTGACGGAGAGAATGGAACCAAGTTGGAAAACACTCTGCAGGATATTATCCAGGAGAACTTCCCCAATCTAACAAGGCAGGCCAACGTTCAGATTCAGGAAATACAGAGAACGCCACAAAGATACTCCTCAAGAAGAGCAACTCCAAGACACATAATTGTCAGATTCACCAAAGTTGACATGAAGGAAAAAATGTTAAGGGCAGCCAGAGAGAAAGGTCGGGTTACCCTCAAAGGGAAGCCCATCAGACTAACAGTGGATCTCTCGGCAGAAGCCCTACAAGCCAGAAGAGAGTGGGGGCCAATATTCAACATTCCTAAGAAAAGAATTTTCAACCCAGAATTTCATATCCAGCCAAACTAAGCTTCATAAGTGAAGGAGAAATAAAATACTTTACAGACACGCAAATGCTGAGAGATTTTGTCACCACCAGGCCTGCCCTAAAAGAGCTCCTGAAGGAAGCGCTAAACATGGAAGGGAACAACCGGTACCAGCCGCTGCAAAATCATGCCAAAATGTAAAGACCATCGAGGCTAGGAAGAAACTGCATCAACTAACGAGCAAAATCACCAGCTAACATCATAATGACAGGATCAAATTCACACATAACAATATTAACTTTAAATGTAAATGGACGAAATGCTCCAATTAAAAGACATAGACTGGCAAATTGGATAAAGAGTCAAGACCCATCAGTGTGCTGTATTCAGGAAACCCATCTCACGTGCAGAGACACACATAGGCTCAAAATAAAAGGATGGAGGACAATCTACCAAGCAAATGGAAAACAAAAAAAGGCAGGGGTTGAAATCCTAGTCTCTGATAAAACAGACTTTAAGCCAAGAAAGATCAAAAGAGACAAGGCCATTACATAATGGTAAAGGGATCAATTCAACAAGAAGAGCTAACTATGCTAAATATATATGCACCCAATACAGGAGCACCCAGATTCATAAAGCAAGTCCTGAGTGACCTACAAAGAGACTTAGACTCCCACACATTAATAATGGGAGACTTTAACACCCCACTGTCAACATTAGACAGATCAACGAGACAGAAAGTCAACAAGGATAACCAGGAATTGAACTCAGCTCTGCACCAAGTGGACCTAATAGACATCTACAGAACTCTCCACCCCGAATCAACAGAATATACATTTTTTTCAGCACCACACCACACCTATTCCAAAATTGACCACATACTTGGAAGTAAAGCTCTCCTCAGCAAATGTAAAAGAACAGAAATTATAACAAACTATCTCTCAGACCACAGTGCAATCAAACTAGAACTCAGGATTAAGAATCTCACTCAAAACCACTGGAAACTGAACAACCTGCTCCTGAATGACTACTGGGTACATAATGAAATGAAGGCAGAAATAAAGATGTTCTTTGAAACCAACGAGAACAAAGACACAACATACCAGAATCTCTGGGACGCATTCAAAGCAGTGTGTAGAGGGAAATTTATAGCACTAAATGCCCACAAGAGAAAGCAGGAAAGATCCAAAATTGACACCCTAACATCACACTTAAAAGAACTAGAAAAGCAAGAGCAAACACATTCAAAAGCTAGCAGAAGGCAAGAAATAACTAAAATCAGAGCAGAACTGAAGGAAATAGAGACACAAAAAACCCTTCAAAAAATTAATGAATCCAGGAGCTGGTTTTTTGAAAGGATCAACAAAATTGATAGACCGCTAGCAAGACCAATAAAGAAAAAAAGAGAGAAGAATCAAATAGACACAATAAAAAATGATAAAGGGGATATCACCACCGATCCCACAGAAATACAAACTACCATCAGGGAATACTACAAACACCTCTACGCAAATAAACTAGAAAATCTAGAAGAAATGGATAAATTCCTGGACACATACACTCTCCCAAGACTAAACCAGGACGAAGTTGAATCTCTGAATAGACCAATAACAGGATCTGAAATTGTGGCAATAATCAATAGCTTACCAACCAAAAAGAGTCCAGGACCAGAGGGATTCACAGCCGAATTCTACCAGAGGTACAAGGAGGAACTGATACCATTCCTTCTGAAACTATTCCAATCAATAGAAAAAGAGGGAATCCTCCCTAACTCATTTTATGAGGCCAGCATCATTCTGATACCAAAGCCTGGCAGAGACACAACCAAAAAAGAGAATTTTAGACCAATATCCTTGATGAACATTGATGCAAAAATCCTCAATAAAATACTGGCAAAACGAATCCAGCAGCACATCAAAAAGCTTATCCACCAGGAGCAAGTGGGCTTCATCCCTGGGATGCAAGGCTGGTTCAATATACACAAATCAATGAATGTGATCCAGCACATAAACAGAGCCAAAGACAAAAACCACATGATTATCTCAATAGATGCAGAAAAGGCCTTTGACAAAATTCAACAACCCTTCATGCTAAAAACTCTCAATAAATTAGGTATTGATGGGACATATTTCAAAATAATAAGAGCTATCTATGACAAACCCACAGCCAATATCATACTGAATGGGCAAAAACTGGAAGCATTCCCTTTGAAAACTGGCACAAGACAGGGATGCCCTCTCTCACCACTCCTATTCAACAGAGTGTTGGAAGTTCTGGCCAGGGCAATTAGGCAGGAGAAGGAAATAAAGGGTATTCAATTAGGAAAAGAGGAAGTCAAATTGTCCCTCTTTGCAGATGACATGATTGTATATCTAGAAAACCCCATTGTCTCAGCCCAAAACCTCCTTAAGCTGATAAGCAACTTCAGCAAAGTCTCAGGATACAAAATCAATGTACAAAAATCACAAGCATTCTTATACACCAACAACAGACAAACAGAGAGCCAAATCATGAGTGAACTCCCATTCACAATTGCTTCAAAGAGAATAAAATACCTAGGAATCCAACTTACAAGGGATGTGAAGGACCTCTTCAAGGAGAACTACAAACCACTGCTCAAGGAAATAAAAGAGGATACAAACAGATGGAAGAACATTCCATGCTCATGGGTAGGAAGAATCAATATCGTGAAAATGGCCATACTGCCCAAGGTAATTTGCAGATTCAATGCCATCCCCATCAAGCTACCAATGACTTTCTTCACAGAATTGGAAAAAACTACTTTAAAGTTCATATGGAACCAAAAAAGAGCCCACATCGCCAAGTCAATCCTAAGCCAAAAGAACAAAGCTGGAGGCATCACACTACCTGACTTCAAACTATACTGCAAGGCTACAGTAACCAAAACAGCATGGTACTGGTACCAAAACAGAGATATAGATCAATGGAACAGAACAGAGCCCTCAGAAATAACGCCGCATATCTACAACTATCTGATATTTGACAAACCTGAGAAAAACAAGAAGTGGGGAAAGCATTCCCTATTTAATAAATGGTGCTGGGAAAACTGGCTAGCCATATGTAGAAAGCTGAAACTGGATCCCTTCCTTACACCTTATACAAAAATCAATTCAAGATGGATTAAAGACTTAAACGTTAGACCTAAAACCATAAAAACCCTAGAAGAAAACCTAGGCAATACCATTCAGGACATAGGCATGGGCAAGGACTTCATGTCTAAAACACCAAAAGCAATGGCAACAAAAGACAAAATTGACAAATGGGATCTAATTAAACTAAAGAGCTTCTGCACAGCAAAAGAAACTACCATCAGAGTGAACAGGCAACCTACAAAATGGGAGAAAATTTTTGCAAGCTACTCATCTGACAAAGGGCTAATATCCAGAATCTACAATGAACTCAAACAAATTTACAGGCAAAAAACAAACCCATCAAAAAGTGGGCAAAGGACATGAATAGACACTTCTCAAAAGAAGACATTTATGCAGCCAAAAAAACACATGAAAAAATGCTCATCATCACTGGCCATGAGAGAAATGCAAATCAAAACCACAATGAGATACCATCTCACACCAGTTAGAATGGCAATCATTAAAAAGTCAGGAAACAACAGGTGCTGGAGAGGATGTGGAGAAATAGGAACACTTTTACACTGTTGGTGGGACTGTAAACTAGTTCAACCATTGTGGAAGTCAGTGTGGCGATTCCTCAGGGATCTAGAACTAGAAATACCATTTGAGCCAGCCATCCCATTACTGGGTATATACCCAAAGGACTATAAATCATGCTGCTATAAAGACACATGCACACGTATGTTTATTGCAGCACTATTCACAATAGCAAAGACTTGGAACCAACCCAAATGTCCAACAATGATAGACTGGATTAAGAAAATGTGGCACCTTGACACCATGGAATACTATGCAGCCATAAAAAATGATGAGTTCATGTCCTTTGTAGGGACGTGGATGAAATTAGAAATCATCATTCTCAGTAAACTATCGCAAGAACAAAAAACCAAACACTGCATATTCCCACTCATAGGTGGGAATTGAACAATGAGATCGCATGGACACAGGAAGGGGAACATCACACTCTGGGGACTGTTGTGGGGTGGGGGGAGGGGCAAGGGATACTATTGGGAGATATACCTAATGCTAGATGACGAGTTAGTGGGTGCAGCGCACCAGCATGGCACGTGTATACATATGTAACTAACCTGCACAATGTGCACATGTACCCTAAAACTTAAAGTATAATAATAAAAGAAAAAAAATTAAAAAAAAATAAAAAAATAAAATAAAATGAGTGGCACTTACATATACACCATGGAATACTATGCAGCCATAAAAATGGATGAGTTCATGTCCTTTGTAGGGACATGGATGAAGCTGGAAACCATCATTATCAGCAAACTATCACAAGGACAAAAAACCAAGCACCACATGTTCTCACTCATAGGTGGGAATTGAACGATGAGAACACTTGGACACAGCAAGGGGAACATCACACACCGGGGCCTGTCGTGGGGTGGGGGAGGGGGGAGTGATAGCAGTACAAGATATACCTAATGTAAATGACGAGTTAATGGGTGTAGCACACCAACATGGCACATGTATACATATGTAACAAACCTGCACGTTGTGCACATGTACCCTAGAACTTAAAGTATAATAAATAAAATAATAAAAAAATAAAATAAAATGAGTAGAACTTATTTTTTTGATCCATCTGGGAAGTAAAATGAATTCTACTTTATACTATATACAAAGAAAAAATAAAAATTCATCAGATAATTAAATTTAAAAAATAAAAAGCTTCTAGATGAAAACATGGGAGAATAGTTTTATAATCCTTGGAAAGGTAAAGATTGCTTAAACAGGATACACGAAAGCCCTAAGCATTAAGGAAAGAAATTACAATTAAATTTCATTAAATTGAGAACCTCTGTTGACTAAAAGTCATCATTTAGAGAGTGAAAAATAAGCCACGGTCTAGAAGAAAATAGGGTAATACATATTAATATATTCAATACTGTATGCATTTCCAGACCCTTTAATAAACTCTTACCAATCAATAATTTAAAAATAAAAAATCTCAACAACTAAAAAGAGCAAAAGACATAAATAAGCCTTCGAAAAGGTATTTAACATTATTTGTCATTAAATAAAAACTAGCTGGAGGAGGTGGAACAAGAGGCCAAATAGAAGCCCCTATCAATCATCCACCGCCTAGCAGAAACACCAAATTTAACAGCTATCTACACACCCAAAAAGGACCTTTCAAGAAAATCACCAAAAATCAGGTGAACAATCACAATAACTGGTTTTAACTTTATATCACTGAAAGAGGCAATGAAGAGGGTAAGAAAGACAGTCTTCACTTGCTGATGCCACCCCTCCCTCATACCCTGGCAGTGTCATGTAGCACAGAGAATCTGTGCACTTGAGGGAGGGAGGGCACAGCCAGTAGGACTTTGTATGGCCTACAGTGCTGTCAAGACTGGACAGAACTCTGCTGACACCCGCAGAGGGAGCATTTAGACCAGCCATAGGCAGAGGGGAATTGTTTATCCAGAGGTTGTAATTTCAGTTCCAGCAAGCCTTGCCTCCATGGGCTAAAGTGCTTTGGGGTCCTAAATTACCTTGTCAGGCAGTCTAGGGTACAAAACTTGCAACTCCTAGGCAAGTTCTACTGCTGTGCTGGGCTCAGAGCTAGGGGACTTGGTGGGCACATGACCTACTGAAACGCCAGCCAGGGCAGACAAGGGAGTGTTGCACCACCCCTCCCTCAATCCCAGGCAGCATAGCTCACAGCTCCAAAAGAGCCCTCCTTCCTTCTGCTTGAGGAGAAGTCCTCACCAAATGAACTAAATAAGGCACCAGAGACCCATCCTAGAAAGACAGAGGTATGTGACCTTTCAAACAGAGAAGTCAATAGCTGTGTTTTTTTGCTTTTTTGTTTGTTTGTTTGTTTTTTGAGATGGAGTCTTGCTCTGTCACCCAAGCTGGAGTGCAATGGCATGATCTCGGCTCACTGCAACCTCCACCTCCCAGGTTCAAGCGCTTCTCCTGCCTCAGCCTCCCTAGTAGCTGGGATTAAGGGTGCCTGCCACCACACCCAGCTAATTTTTTTGTATTTTTAGTAGAGATACGGTTTCACCATATTGGTCAGGCTGGTCTCAAACTCCTGACCTCAGGTGATCCACTAGCCTCGGCTTCCCAAAATGCTGGGATTACAGATGTGAGCCACTGCAGCTGGCCAAATATCTGTTCTGAGTGAAGTCAATGAAATTCCAAATAACACAAAGAAAGAATTCAGAATTTATCAGATATCTTTAAAGAAGACATTAGAATGACATAAAAGAATCAAGCAGAAATTCTGGAGTTGAAGAATGCAATTGACATACTGAAGAATGTGTCAGAGTCTCTTAATAGCAGAATTGATCAAGCAGAAGAAAGAATTAGTGAGCTTGAAGACAGGCTATTTGAAAATACATAGAAGAGACAAAAGAAAAAATAAAAAACAGTGAAGATCTAGAAAAATAGCCTCAAAAGGACAAATCTAAGAGTTACTGGCCTTAAAGAGGAGGTGGAGAGAAAGATAAAAGTGGAAAGTTTATTCAAAGAGCAAATAACAGGAAACTTTCCCAACCTAGAGAAATATACCAGTATTCAAGTACTAGAAGGTTATAGAACACCAAGAAGATTTAACCCAAAGAAGACTACCTCAAGACATTTAATAATCAAACTCCCAAAAGTCAGGGATAGAAGAAAGGACACTAAAAGCAGCAAGAGAAAAGAAACAAATAACATACAATGGAGTGCCAATACCTTTGGCAGCAGACTTTTCAGTGGAAACCATGAGTGATTAGCATGATATTTAAGGTGCCGAAGGAAGAAAACGTTTTTACCCTAGAATAGTATATTTGGCAAAAATTTTCTTTAAACATGCAGGAGAAATAAAGGCTTTCACAGATTAAAAAAAAAAAAAAAAGCAGAGGGATTTCATCAACACTAGACTTGCCCTACAAGAAGTGCTGAAGGAAGTTCTTCAATCTGAAAGAAAAGGACATATTAATGAGCTATAAGAAATCATCTGAAGGTACAAAACTCACTGGTAATGGTAAGTACACAGAAAACACAGAATATGGCCGGGCGCAGTGGCTTATGCCTGTAATCCCAGCACTTTGGGAGACCGAGGCAGGCAGATCACGAGGTCAGGAGATCGAGACCATCCTGGCTAACACGGTGAAACCCCATCTCTACTAAAAATACAAAAAATTAGCCGGGCGAGGTGGCGAGTGCCTGTAGTCCCAGCTACTCGGGAGGCTGAGGCAGGAGAATGGTGTGAACCTGGGGGGCAGAGCCTGCAGTGAGCCAAGATTGCGCCACTGCACTCCAGCCTGGGTGACGGTGAGACACCGTCTCAAAAAAACAAAAGAAAAAAAAAAGAAAACACAGAATATGATTATCATTTAATTGTGGTTTGTAAACTACTTATATCTTAAGCAGAAAGAGTAAAAGATGAACTAATCTAAAATAATAAAGGCCGGGCACAATGGCTCATGCCTGTAATCCCAGCACTTTGGGAAGCTGAGGCAGGCAGATCACCTGAGCTCAGGAATTTGAGACCAGCCTGACCAACATGGTGAAACCCTGTCTCTACTAAAAATACAAAAATTAGCCAGGCATGGTGGCACATGCCTGTAGTCCCAGCTACTTGGGAGGCTGAGGCAGGAGAGTTGCTTTAAACTGGGTAGGCAAAGTGGCAGTGAGCCAAGATTGTGCCAATCCACTCCAGCCTGGGTGACAGAGCACGATTCCATCTCAAAATTAATTAATTAATTAATAATAATAACAAATCTTCAAGACACAGACAGTACAGTAAGATATAAATAGAAACAGAGAGACCTAGCAAGATGGCCGAATAGGAACAGCTCTGGTCTGCCACTCCCAGTGAGATCTATGCAGAAGGCGGGTGATTGCTGCATTCCCAATTGATGTACCCAGCTCATCTCATTGGGACTGGTTAGACAGTGGGTGCAGCCCACAGAGGGCAAGCCAAAGCAGGATGCCACATTGCCTCACCTGGGAAGTGCAAGGGGTCAGGGAACTCCCTCCCCTAGTCAAGGAAAGCTGTGAGGGACTGTGCCATGAGGAACAGTGCATCGTGGCCCAGATAGTCGGCTTTCCTCATGGTCTTCACAACCCACAGACCAGGAGTTCCCCTCGGGTGCCTATGCCACCAGGGCCCTGGATTTCAAGCACAAAATTGGGCAGGCATTTCTGCAGACACCGAGCTAGCTGCAGGAGTTTTCTCATATCCCAGTGGTGCCTGGAACACCAGTGAGACAGAACTGTTCATTCCCCTGGAAAGGGGACTAAAGCCAGGAAGCCAAGTGGTGGGGCTCAGTGGATCCCACCCCTACAGAGCCCAGCAAGCTAAGATCCACTGGCTTGAAATTCTCTCTGCCAGCACAGCAGTCTAAAGTCAACCTGGGACACTCGAGCTTGGTTGGGGAAGGGGCGTCTGCCATTACTGAGGCTTGAGTAGGCGGTTTTCCCCTCACAGTGTAAACAAAGCTGTGGGGAAGTTCCAACAGGGCGGAGCCCTCCACAGATCATCAAAGCCACTGCAGCCAGAGTGCCTGTCTAGATTCCTCCTCTCTGGGCAGGGCATCTCTGAAAAAAAGGCAGCAGCCCTAGCCAAGGGCTTATAGATAAAACTCCCATCTCCCTGGGACAGACCACCTGGGGGAAGGGGAGGCTGTGGGCACAGCTTCAGCAGAGTTAAATGTCCCTGCCTGCCGACTCTGTGCAGCGGATTTCCCAGCACAGCATTCAAGCTCTGCTATGGGTCAGACTGCCTCCTCAAGTGGGTCCCTGACCCCCATGTCTCCAGACTGGGAGACACCTCCTCCAAGTAGGGGCCAACAGACACCTCATACAGGAGAGCTCTGGCTGGCATCTGGTGGATACCCCTCTGGGACGAAGCTTCCAGAGGAAGGAATAGGTAGCAATCTTTGCTGTTTTTTTAGCCTTCACGGGTGATACCCCAGCAAACAGGGTCTGGAGTGCACCTCCAGCAAACTCCAGCAGATCTGCAGCAAAAGGGCTTGAGTGTTAGAAGGAAAACTAACAAACAGAAAGGAATAGCATCAACATCAACATCAACATCAACATCAACAAGAAGGATGTATACTCAGAAACCCCATCTGAAAGTCACCAACATCAAAAACCAAAGGTAGATAAATCCATGAAGATGGGGAGAAGCTAGTGCAAAAAGGCTGAAAATTCCCAAAACCAGAATGCCTCTTCTCCTCCAAAGGATCACAACTCCTCACCAGCAAGAGAATGAAACTGGACAGGGAATGAGTTTTGACAAATTGACAGAAGTAGCCTTCAGAAGCTGGGTAATAACAACCTCCTCTGAGCTAAAAGAGCATATTCTAACGCAATGCAAGGAAGCTAAGAACCTTGAAAAAAGGCCAGAGAAATTGGTAACTAGAATAACCAGTTTAGAGAAGAACATAAATGACCTGAGGGAGCTGAAAAACACAGCACGAGAACTTTGTTAACCATACACAAGTATCAATACCCGAATTGAACAAGTGGAAGAAAGGATATCAGAGATTGCAGAACTTAATGAAATAAAGTGAGAAGACAAGATTAGAGAAAAAAAGAATAAAAAGGAACGAACAAAGACTCCAAGAAATATGGGACTATGTGAATGGACCAAACCGACGTTTGAGTGGTGTACCTGAAAGTGATGGGGAGAATAAAACCAAGTTGGAAAACACTCTTCAGGATATTATCCAGGAGAATTTCCCCAACCTAGCAAGACAGGCCAGCATGCAAATTCAGAAAATACAGAGAAAACCACAAAGATACTCCTTGAGAAGAGCAACCCCAAGACACATATTAGTCAGATTCACCAAGGTTGAAATGAATGAAAAAATGTTAAGGGCAGCCAGAGAGAAAAGTCAGGTTACCCACAAAGGGAAGCCCATCAGACAAACAGCATACCTCTCTGCAGAAACCCTACAAGCCAGAAGAGAGTGGGGGCCAATATTCAACATTCTTAAAGAAAAGAATTTTCAAACCAGAATTTCATATCCATCCAAACTAAGCTTCATAAGCGAAGGAGAAATAAAATCCTTTACAGACAAGCAAATGTTGAGAGATTTTGTCACCATCAGGCCTGCCTTACAAGAACTCCTGAAGGAAGCACTAAACATGGAAAGGAACAACTGGTACCAGCCACTGCAAAAACATACCAAATTATAAGACCATCGACACTATGAAGAAGCTACATCAACTAACGGACAAAATAAACGGCTAGCATCATAATGACAGGATCAGATTCACACATAATGATATTAACCTTAAATGTAAATGGGCTAAATGACCCAATTAAAAGACACAGAGTGGCAAATTTGATAAGGAGTTAAGACCCATCGGTGTTCTGTATTCAGGAGACCCATCTCATGTGCAAAGACACACATAGGCTCAAAATAAAGGGATGGAGGAAGATCTACCAAGCAAATGGAAAGAAAAAAAAGAAAGCAGGGGTTGCAATCCTAGTTTCTGATAAAACAGACTTTAAACCAACAAAGATCAAAAGAAACAAAGTAGGGCATTACATAATGGTAAAGGGATCAATGCAACAAGAAGAGCTATCTATCCTAAATATGTATGCACCCAATAGAGGAGCACCCAGATTCATAAAGCAAGTTCTTAGAAACCTACAAAGAGACTTAGACTCCCACACAATAATAGTGGGAGGCTTTAACACCCCACTGTCAATATTAGAAATATCAACGAGACAGAATATTAACAAAGATATTCAGGACTTGAACTCAGCTCTGAACCAAGTGAACCTAATAGACATCTACAGAACTCTCCACCACAAATCAACAGACTATACATTCTTCTCAGCACCACATCACACTTATTCTAAAATTGACCACGTAATTGGAAGTAAAACACTTCTCAGCAAATGCAAAAGAACAGAAATCATAACAGTCTCTCTTACCACAGTGTAATCAAATTAGAACTCAGGATTAAGAAACAGCACAACTACATGGAAACTGAACAACCTGTTCTTGAATGACTACTGGGTAAATAACGAAATGAAGGACTACATGGAAACTGAACAACCTGGTCCTGAATGACTACTGGGTAAATAACGAAATGAAGGCAGAAATAAAGAAGTTCTTTGAAACCAAGGGGAACAAAGACACTGTGTACCAGAATCTCCGGGACACATTAAAGCAGTGTGTAGAGGGAAATTTATAGCACTAAATGCCCAGAAGAGAAAGCAGGAAAGATCTAAAATTGACACTCTAGCTTCACAAATAAAAGAACTAGAGAAGCAAGAGCAAACGAATTCAAAAGCTAGCAGAAGTCAACAAATAACTAAGAGCAGAGCAGAACTGAAGGAGATAGAAACACCAAAAACTCTTCAAAAAATCAATGATCCAGCAGCTGTTTTTTTGAAAAGGTCAACAAAACAGATAGACTGCTAGCCAGACTAATAAAGAAGAAAAGAGAGAAGAATCAAATAGACACAATAAAAAATGATAAAGGGCATGTCATCACTGATCCCACAGAAATACAAACTACCGTCAGAGAATATTATAAACACCTCTATGCAAATGAACTAGAAAATCTAGAAGAAATGGATAAATTCCTGGACACATACACCCTCCCAAGTCTAAACAAGGAATAATTTGAATCCCTGAATAGACCAATAAATAATTCTGAAATTGAGGCCATAATTAATGGCCTACCAACCAAAAAAAGTCCAGAACCAGACAGATTCACAGCCGAATTCTACCAGAGGTACAAAAAGGAGCTGGTACCATTTCTTCTGAAACTATTCCAAACAATAGAAAAAGAAGGACTCCTTCCTTACTTACTCATTTTATGAGGCCAGCATCATCCTGATACCAAAACCTGGCAGAGACACAACAAAAAAAGAAAATTTCAGGTCAATATCCCTGATGAACATTGATGCAAAAATCCTCAATAAAATACTGGCAAACTGAATCTAGCAGCACATCAAAATGTTTCTCCACCATGACCAAGTCTGTTTCATCCCTGGGATGCAAGGGTGGTTCAGCAGATGCAAATTTAAAAATGTAATCCATCACATAAACAGAACCCATGACGAAAACCACATGATTATCTCAATAGATGCAGAAAAAGCCTTAGATAAAATTCAACACTGCTTCATGCTAAAAACTCTCAATAAACTCGATATTGATGGAATATATCTCAAAATAATAAAAGCTATTTATGACAAACCCACAGCCAATACCATACTGAATAGGCAAAAGCTGGAAACATTCCTTTTGACAACTGGCACAAGATGCCCTCTCTCACCACTCCTATTCAACATAGTATTGGAAGTTCTGGCCAGGGCAATCAGGCAAGAGAAACAAATAAAGGGTATTCAAAGGGTATTCAAATAAAGGGTATTCAAATTGCCCCTGTTTGCAGATGACATGATTGTATATTTAGAAAACCCCATTGTCTCAGCCCAAAATCTCCTTAAGCTGATAAGCAACTTCAGCAAAGTCTCAGAATACAAAATCAATGTGCAAAAATCACAAGCATTCCTATACACCAATAACAGACAAACAGCCAAATTGTGAGTGAACTCTCATTCAGAATTACTACAAAGATAATTAAATACTTAGGAATACAATTTACAAAGGGTATGAAAGACCTCTTCAAGGAGAACTACAACCCACTGCTCAAGGAAATAAGAGAAGACACAAAGAAATGCAAAAACATTCCATGCTCATGGATAGGAAAAATCAATATTGTGAAAATGGCCATACTGCCTGAAGTAATTTATAGAGTCAGTGCTATCCCCATCAAGCTACCATTGACTTTCTTCCACAGAATTAGAAAAAAACTACTTTAAATTTTATATGGAACCAAAAAAGAGCCCACATAGCCAAGACAATACTAAGTAAAAAGAACAAAGCAGGAGGCATCACGCTACTTGACTTCAAACTATACTACAAAGCCACAGTAACAAAAACAGCATGGTATTGGTACAAAAGCAGATATCTAGACCAATGGAAGAGAACAGAGGCCTCAGAAATAACACCACACATCTACAACCATCTGATCTTTGACAAACCTGACAAAAACAAGCAATGGGGAAAAGGATTCCCTATTTAATAAATGGTGCTGGGAAAACTGGCTAGCCATATGCAGAAAACTGAAACTGGACCCCTTCCTTACACCTTATACAAAAATTAACTCAAGATGAATTAAAGACTTAAACATAAGACCTAAAACCATAAAGACCCTAGAAGAAAACCTAGGCAATACCATTCAGGACATAGGCATGCACTAAGACTTCATGACTAAAACACCAAAAGCAATGGCAACAAAAGCTGAAATTGACAAATGGTATCTAATTAAACTAACAAAATTCTATAAAGCAAAAGAAATTATCATTAGAGTGAACAGGCAACCTACAGAATGGGAGAAAAATTTTGCAATCTATCCATCTGACAAAGGGCTAATAGCCAGAATCTACAAAGAACTTAAACAAATTTACAAGAAAAAAACAACCCCATCAAAAACCAGGCAAAGGATATCAAGAGACACTTCTCTAAAAAAGACATTTATGCAGCTAACAAACATGAAAAAAAGCTCATCATCACTGGTCATTAGAGAAATGAAATCAAAACCACAATGAGATACCATCTCACACCAGTTAGAACGACTATCATTAAAAAATCAGGAAACAACAGATGCTGGAGAGGACGTGGAGAAACAGGAATGCTTTTACACTGTTCGTGGGAGTGTAAATTAGTTCAACCATTGTGGAAGACAGTGTGGCGATTCCTCAAGGATCTCGAACCAGAAATACCATTTGACCCAGCAATCCCATTACTTGGTATATACCCAAAGGATTCTAAATCATTCTACTATAAAGACACATAAACACGTTTGTTTATTGTGGTACTGTACACAATAGCAAAGACTTGGAACCAACCCAAATGCCCATCAATGTTAGACTGGATAAAGAAAATGTGTCCAATATACACCATGGAATACTATGCAGCCATAAAAAAGGATGAGTTCTCGTCCTTTGCAGGGACATGGATGAAGCTGGAAACCATCATTCTCAGCAAACTAACACAAGAACAGAAAACTAAACACCGTATGTTCTCACTCATAAGTGGGAGTTGAACAATGAGAACACATGGACACAGGGAGGGAAACATCACATACCTGGGCCTGTTGGGGAGATGAGGGGCTAGTGGAGGGATAGGATTAGGAGAAATACCTAATGTTGATGATGGGTTGCTGAGTGCAGCAAACCACCATGGTACGTGTATACCTATGTAACAAACCTGCACATTCTGCACATGTACCCCAGAACTTAAAGTATAATAATAAAAAAAAATTAAAAAGATTATAGGTGAATACTGTGAACAATTATATTAAAACAAATTAGACAACTTAGATGAAATGAATTAACCCTGGGAAGATACAAATCATCAAAACCGACTTAAGAAGTAATAGAAAAACTGAACAAACTTTAAAAAGTTAATAGATTAATTTGTAATCAAAATTATTTCACAAGTAAAAGTCCAGGTCCAAATGGCTTCAGTGGTAAACTCTACCAAACATTGAAAGAAGAGTTAACAATTCTTCACAAACTCTTCTAAAGAATAGAAGAGGGGAGAACACTCCTCAACATAATCAAAGTTTTATTCTGGCCTTGGTATCAGGGTGATACTAAAGCCAGACAAAGGTTACAAGAAAACTACATACTAATATCTTTGGCACAAATGTTCAGTGGAATGCTAAAACTAAATCCAGCAACATATACAAAGGATTATGTACCATGACAAAACAATTTTAACTGAAAATAAACTAATGTAATACACTACTAAAAAGTAATGACAAAAATCAAATAATCATTGCAATAGATACAGAAATAAACTTGAAAATTTAAACAGCCCTTCAAGACAGAAACATTCAATAAACCAAGAATAGAACAGAACTAATAAAGGTCATCTACAAAAAACCAACAGCTGACATCATAGATAATGATAAAAGACTTAATGCTTTTCCAGTAAGACAGCAACAGAACAAGAATATCTGCTCTCATCACTTCTATTCAATTTTGTACTGAGTTTCTTGCCAGAGTAATTGGGTAAGAAAATGGGGGGTAAAAAGCTATCTATATTGAAAAGGAAGAAGTAAAACTATTTATATATACAGATGACACAATCTTGTATGTAGAAAATCTTGAAGAATCCACTAAAATGTAGTAGAACTAATAAACTAATCCAGCAAGTTGCATGAAAAAGATCAATATATGAAAACAATTCTGTTTCTATACATTAGCAAAGAATAACTCAAAAATGAAATTGAGAAAATTCTACTTATAATAGCATGAAAAGAATAAATTATTTCAGAATAAATTTAACAAAGTTTACATCCTGAATACTATAACATATTGTTGAAAAAAACTAAAGAAGATCTAAAACAGTGGGAACACATTCCATATGTTCATGATTTGGAAGAACTAATCTTTTTAAATGGCAATACTCTCCAAATTGATGCAGAGATTCCATGAAATCTGTATTAAATTTCCAGCTGATTTCTGTAAAGAAATTGAGAAGTTGATCCTGTAATTCATATGGAAATACAAGTGACCTAAAATAGCCAGATGATTCTTGAAAAGGAAAAGAGATGCAGGACGCACACTTCTGGATTTCAAGACACACAATAAAGCAAAATCATCAAGACAGTATGGTACTGGTATAAGGATAGACATATAGAATCTAGAAATAAACCCTCATGTTAATGGTCAATTGATTCTTTATAAGGATCTCAAGACTATTCGAGGGCAAAAGAATAGTGTTTTTAATAAATATTGTTGGGATGAGTGAGTATCCACATATAAAAGGATAAAGTTAGATCTCTTCCTCAAGCTGTATCTAAAAATTAACTAAAATGCACTGTAGTCCTAAATATAAGAGCTAAAACTGTAAAATTTTTTGAGAAAACATCTAAGGAAATCTTCACAGCCTTGGACTAGACAACCTTGTCTCAGATCTGATACCAAAGGCACATGAACAAAAAAGAAAGAAAGAAAGATATATTGGACCTCATTAAAATTAAAACTTTTCTCCTTCAAGGTACCATCAAGAGAGTGAAAATACAACCCGTGGAATGGGAGAAAATATTAGCAAATTATATACCTGATAAGGAACTTGTGCCCAGAATATGTAGGAAACACTTATAATTCAGTAATAAAACAAAATCCAATTAGAAAACTGTTCAAAGTATCTGAACAGACATTTCTCCAAAGAAGATATCCAAATGACCAATAAGCACATGAAAAGTGGCTCAGCAACGTTAACCAGCAGTGAAATGCAAATCAAAACCACAATCAGAGAGCTTTCACATCACTAGGATGGCTGTAATAACAAGACAGATAAAAAATGATGACAAGTTGTGGAGAAAGTTGAACCCTCAGACACTGCTGGTGGGAATATAAAATGGCAGAATTGCTTTGGAAAACACTCTGGTATTTCCACAAAAGGTTAAACATAGTTACCATCTGATGCAGCAATCTTTCTCCTAGCCCGATGCCCAAGAGAAATGAAAACACAGGTTTACACAAAAAATTACACACAAATGTTCACAGAAGCATTATTCATAATAGTAAAAAAGTAGAAACAACTTAAATATCCATTAACTGGAGCACATGTGTGTGTATATATACACACATATATACATACACACACACACACACATATATGATGTGGCACATCAATATGTCTTAATTTCCTATTGCTTCTGTAAAAAATTACCACAATTTGATGGCTTAAAGCAATGCTAGTTTACTATATTATAATCCTAGAAGTCAGAGATTTTAAAATGAGTGTTTGCAGGGCTATGTTCCTTTTGGAGGTTCATTCTGGGAATTATTTTCTTGACTTCTTCAGCTTCTAAAGGCTTCCCTCATTCATTGTTTCATGGTTCTGCAAGACATAGCCTCTTTTTCCTCTCTGTTTCTGTAGTCACATCACCTTCTCCTTAACTTTGACTGTCTTGTGTCCCTCTTATAAAGCCCCTGTGATTACACTGAGCCCACCCAGACACTTTAGGATAGTCTCCCCATCTCTAGACTATTAACTTAATCAGATCTTCAAAGCCTCTTTTGCTATATAAGGTAACATATTCACAGGTTCTGAGAATTAGTATATTGACATCTTTTGGGGAGCTATTATTCTGTCTACCACACCATAAAATGGAAACTTATTCAGCAATAAAAAGGAATGAATTACCGGTAGATATTTCAACATGGACAAACATTGACAACATTATGCTAAGTGAAAGAAGCTAGTCACAAAAAACCACATATTTTAAGATTCAATTTATATTAAATGTCCAGAATATGCAAACCTATGAAGCCAGAAAGCAGGGTAGTGGTTGCCTACTGTCCGAGGAGTTGAAGGAAAATTCACAGTAACTGCTAATGGGTATGGAGTTTCTTGTGTTCAAGGTGATTAAATGTTCCAAAATTGATTGTGCTGATTCTTTCATAACTCTGTAAATATATGCTAAAAACCATTGAATATTCTATTTAAATGATTGAATTGCATAGTATGTGATATATAAAATAAATCTGTCATATTAAAAAAAATCAACCATCTAACACTATACATCCACCAGAATCTCTCACCAACAAAATATAAGAATTCTAGTTGATTCAAATCCTTACCAACATATGATATTGTCATACTTTACTGACAGGAGTGTAAATTGGCTACAATATTTTGGAAAAGTATTTGGCAGTATCCTGTTTTTCTATTGCTACTAACCACCATAAAGTTTAGTGACTTAAATACAACAATGTGTTATCTTTCACTGTTCTATGGGTACTTTAGCTGAGTAGCTCTTGCTTCAGATCTCTCAAGCAGCTGGTGGCAGGTGGCAGTAAGTACCATATTCATCTGAAAATTTGATTGGACGTGACATAGAAGATGGCTCACTCATGTAGCTTACAGTTGATTATGGCTGCTGACTGTGAGTTTAGCTGGGTCCTTATATGTAGCTTTTCCATGTGGTTTGGGCTTTTTACAGTATGGCAGCTGGATTTTGAAAGGGAATGTTCCAAGGGTAAATATGCCAGGAGACTTAAGCAGAAACTTCAAGGCTTCTTATGACCTAGCCCAGGGAGTCACACAGCATCACATCAGTCATATGTTATTGGTTATACAGGGCTAGTCCAGATTCAGTGTGTGCAGGAACTACACAAAGGCATGAATAAAGGGAAGTGTAGTTCACTGGGGTCATCATGGGAAACTAGGTCTTGAAGTCTTCCTTTTACTTCTAATGATTTATTTTCATTCTACCAGCAAATTGCTCTCACAGCCTTCTCAAACCCCGAAAGTCTCACTGTATTAAGTCACGAGGGTCAGGTTGTAAGTCTGTGATTTCACCTAAAGCAGGTCCAGGTATGAATGGGGCTCCTTGGGGCCAGTTCTTTGCTGAAGCACCTTGAATGCACTCTTGGAGTATGATCCCTCTCAATCTGAAGACTTGTGAATTCAAGAGACAAGTTATCTGCCCTTACACACCCAAGTACAATGGTGAGACAGGGATGAGAGAACTGTATGAAACACTTCCACTTAAAAAGGGGGAAGATCAGGAGGCACATCACTGTCGGTGGACTGTAGAAATAGTGCTGAGTCCATTCTCCACCCTACAGGTAATTCTCTGTGGGATTTTTTTTTGAGACAGAGTCTTGATCTGTAACCCAGGCTGGAGTGCAATGGCGTAATCTCAGCTCACTGCAACCTCTGCCTCCTGGGTTCAAGTGATTCTCTTGTCTCAGCCTCCCAAATAACTGGGATTTCTGGCACACTCCACCACGCCCAGCTAATTTTTTGTATTTTCAGTAGAGACAGTGTTTCACCATGTTGGCCAGGCTGGTCTAGAAATTCTGACCTCAGTTGATCCACCAGCCTCAGCCTCCCAGGGTGCTGGGATTACAGGCGTGAGCCACTGCACCATGCCAATTCTCTGTGGTTCTAGGCTCTGTCTTTTGAGCTCTTGATTCTGCACTCCAGGACATCTTTCCTTTCCATAAGAGATAGCACTGTTAACAGCTGAGCTGATTTCATAGATTTATTCAGGCCCGAAGACGGTTGGGGCCTCTGTGAGCTCTTTTCCTTTTGAATTGCCCGTGTTCCTTTAAGTCCAAGTAGGTGGGTTGTATGTGTGTTTGTATGTTTCTCCAACACAGTGCTCTTTAAGGTTCCCAATGAATATTACTGGTGCTATTTCCATGAGACAAATCCACACACATGAATATCTTCAGGATAGGCCACATTCTCCTTTGGAATGAGCATCAGGTGCTTTGAGATGATGCCAAGGTTCTCAGAAACTTTTTGCCCAGCAGATTAGGACTGAGTGATACGCCCTTAAGATTGCTAAATGCTTTCTTGT
Organism: Homo sapiens; assembly: GCF_000001405.40. Taxonomy (NCBI): domain Eukaryota; kingdom Metazoa; phylum Chordata; class Mammalia; order Primates; family Hominidae; genus Homo; species Homo sapiens. The sequence goes on from NC_000012.12 coordinate 22,157,783, forward strand.
CTACCTCAGAGGTCTATGAGGACATTAATTTTAACTTTTCTGAGATATCTACAAGGGCCATGTTTTTTATTTAATCTGTACCCTGAAACTATGTGTTGCTGGTAGTGCCATGGGTATAATCTTTGCTCTGAGCCAATTTCTTACTTTGAGAAGATTTTGCTAGCTAGAAAGACTGGCATGGATCCTATTTTCCAATAAATTTTAATAAAAACTGGGCAGTTTCATCTTTATTTTAACCTTTCTTCTATTTCATCATAGACACTAGAAGACGCCAGTCAGCACTTTCAACATTCTGCCTGGATATTTTCTTTGCAAAGCCAAGTGTTTGTTAAGTACCCTTTTTGTATTCCACAGGAACTCAGGAGATAGTGTTGCTAATTGTTCTGCTATATATAACTCCCAGCCTTTTCCATCCAGCAACAAATAATAACTTCCTTACTGTTCTTCAAGAGTTTGCCAACATTTTTCCCAACTGCTAAGGTTCCACTCAACTGTTCAATCCCAAAGTCAATATTACATGTTTTAGCTGTTTGTTACAAAAACACCTCACATACAGGTACCAATTTCTGTTCCATTATCTATTTGCTATGTAACAAACCACCCCCAAATGTGGTGCCTTGGAACAACAGTTTATTATCTCTCATGGCTTTATGGTGTTACTAGGCTCACCAGGGCAATTCTCATCTGGAGTCTTTCATGGTAGCTGGGACTGAAGTCCCCTGAAGGCTGACCTGGTCATGCAGATGGCTCACCTACATAGCAAGGAGTTCATGCTGGCTATCATTTGGGAGCTCATCTGAATGTTTACCAGGTAACTTTCCTTCCTACTTATCTTCCTTCTTTCCTTTGTATTTGTGTATATATAATGATGTGAGCAGTAGAAAGATATGAAAATTTACAATACATAGATATTATAGTCTTATGAAAATGCATATGAGGAAAGACGTAATTTTTTAAAGAACTAGAAGATTGTTTCTGACAAGAACAGCAAGCATATGATATAAACTATGTGAAAATATATACACATAATATTTGTCTATTTGCATGATGAGATATATAAAAGGAGAGTCACTACATATTAACGGTGGTTATCACAGGATAAGTGGATTTCAAGAATCAGTTTATTTCTTCTTCATATATTGTTTGCAGTTTTTTACAGGGAGCATATATTGTCCATCTTCTCAAGAAGTGAAATTGTTTTCATTTTAAATTAAAAGGAAGAGGACAGATGAGGGCTAGATAAACTTTTGGAGCAAACACGCCTGGATATAGAAGAGGAATGAAGGGATGACTGGTTGATCATGAGCAAGAAATGTGTTTAGATGCAACCCTGGGTGATCCTGCAAAAAAAAAGCCAAGATAGCTCTAATTGTATGGGCAGGAAAACCCCTTCCAGCATCGTATTCACAGGAGTGCTTCCTTCTTTTCTGAGAAAGGGTTCCGTATCCTCCTGGGTGTGGTGACTGAGCCAATAGCAGTGTTGGAATGAGAGAAAGAGCATCAGTGTGGGTGATAGAGGTGTGTGCTAGCGGACAACTAGCAAGAGCAACGCCTGTGTGGTTCTCTCCCTCCCTCTCTCTCCTCCCTGTAACCCTTGGCGGCCAGAAAAGTGCAGGCTCTCTACTTGAATCTTGCTGTCTGGGACTCCTTATGGAAAACTCTAACCTCAAGAATCTAGTTATGAGGCTAAATATGCTTATCTTGATATGCTAAAAAATAAGAGTTGGGGAGAATATTAAGGAAATTTTAAAATCTTCTCTCAAAATGATAATCTGTTTTACCAGGCTATTGTCTTTTTTTTTTTTTTTTTTCTAGAGATAGAGTCTCACTTCATTGCCCAGGCTGGAGTGCAGCAGTGCGATCTCAGCTCACTGCAACCTTTGCTTCCCAGGTTTAAGCGATTTTCATGCCTCAGCCACCCGAGTAGCTGGGACTATAAGTGCACAATGGCTAACTTTTGTATTTTTAGTAGAGACAGGGTTTCACCATGTTGGCCAGGCTGGTCTTGAACTCCTGACCTCAAGCGATCTACCCGTCTCAGTCTCCCAAAGTACTGAGATTACAGGCATGAGCCACCATGCCTGGCCTAGGCTATTGTCTTGATGCATAAATTCTACTTTCAATGTCAAATATGAAAAATAATATTTTCATTATTTTTCTTTTGTAACACTGCTAATTTCCTTTCCCCATCTCTAGTAGTACTGGGGTAAAGTTTTTACACCTGAAAAGTCACAAGAGGAAAGTACATTAATTATTTTAAAATTATTACCATTGTCACAACAGGTACCATTTATAATGTGCTTATTATATCACGCCGAGCATTGTGATAACTGTTTTATGTTCATTTAATCTTTTTAACAACACTATGAAAGAAATATTAAACCTGTAGTTTTTTAGTGATAACAGATTCAGTGGGATTAAGTACTTCACCCCAGAATAAATTTAGCTAGAATATCACTGCTATTGGTACATATGACTAACCTGAAAACCCATTCTCCAAATCACTGTGATATTCTTCCTAGAAGTGTTTGTGCAAGAATGTGTGTGTATGCATGTATAAGTAAAATGTCCTGAGTAATAAATCTTTAAATGTCAGATGTTTATATCTGCTGTTTATTGTCCTAAGCTTTTTTTATTCTCTTCCAGTTCTAAAAATATTATTTGCGTCTTTGGAGCTTTCCAGAACCCTAGACATAATACCTAGTGGGATATTAAAACTTAAAGCAGAATATAGGCCCCATAAGTGCAGTAGAAGAACAAAGCTACGGAAGCTGAGAGGAAGGAAGCCACATCTGGCAGACAGATCAGTAACGATTACTAGGGACAGTCGCCTTTGACAAGGGCCAATTTGAAGATAGAAAGGCTTTTCACAGAAAAAGTGTGGGTGGGCTGTGAAGTCTGAAAAGAGTGGGGCTATAGGAAAAAGATTTTAGGCCTGCAGGACAGTGCATAAGAAGTTTCAGCCACAACAATCTTGGTTGAAGATAGAATAGGTGCAGCAGTAGTGAGGTTAAAAAGTCCACCTGGGCCTCTGCGGTGGAAAGTGCTGAATGTCTGAGTGAGGGATCTGCTCCCATTCTGGGGTATAATCACATGGGGTCACAAATTCTCTTCTCCACAGAGGCTGGGTAGGAAATGGAAGAGAGTAAATAGTGCTAAATGTATGATGAAGACATATACAAGTTTTTCCATATTATATAGTTAGAAATGGTCTGCATTCCCATAAGCAAATATGTAGCCTTCTCAGGTTTTCATTTTCTTATGTTTGAAAAACAGACAAGGTTAGAGAAATATTTCTCCACTCTAAGAAAAACAACAGCACAAGAGTAACATAAATAACAACTTATGCTTGGCTCCAGCAGGGAGATAACAGGGAGTGTTGGGGACTCTGGCAAACTGGGGAGTATTTACTTTGTTTATAGGGAGCAGACAATACTCAGCTGTTTACTGTCTCATGAAAGCCTAGGTCACTGTTTGCAGATCTTTTAGTTTTTATGAGAAATCAGATTTATATATAAAATCCCTTAACTATTTAACAAATGGGTAAAAATTTTGTTTTAAAACTGAGAAACCCAAACAAACAAAACATATATTCCATCGAAATTAGAACCATAGGTGGCTCATTTGCAACCTTTGCCTAGAACGTCATTCAGGCTTTTTTTTGATAGAATAAAAGGTGAGAATTTACTTTGGGAATGTTATCTAGATGCTGTGTGTAAAGCGAATGAAAGCAAAAGGGGAACTTGGAAGCAGGCAACTCAGTCAGGATAGGCAAAAATCTTGGCTTGAACTGACTAGGTAGCCAAGGAAATGAAAGGTATTTTCAGGTGTAGGACTATGAAGAAAGAAAGTCTGGGATGCGGCAGCAGGATGGAGGGTATATAAAACAAACAAACAACAACAACCATCAAAAAAAGTGGAGTGATTGCTTACAGAAATAATAAACTCAGGAAGGAAGTTATTTTTCTTTCTCCCATTGCTTTGGCACCAGAGATAGGTATGATGATGACTTTGAGGTCAGGATAAAACAGATTCCAGAACAGGAAATGTTAAGCAACAGGAATCACAACTGGTAGAATGAAATCACTGGTGACATGAACAAAGAAGTCATAAGTAGAGATGGAGTGTAGATGTCAGTGAGCTTGGAGCTTCATTGTGGTGCTATTTTTTTCTTTATATATATATATTTATTATACTTTAAGTTCTAGGGTACATGTGCACAACGTGCAGGTTTGTTACATATGTATACATGTGCCATGTTGATGTGCTGCACCCATTAACTCGTCATTTACATTAGGTATATCTCCTAATGCTATCCCTCCCCCCTCCCCCCACCCCACAACAGGCCCCGGTGTGTGATGTTCCCCTTCCTGTGTCCGGAGTGTTCTCATTGTTCACTTCCCACCTATGAGTGAGAACATGCGATGTTTGGTTTTTTGTCCTTGTGATAGTTTGCTGAGAATGATGGTTTCCAGCTTCATCCATGTCCCTACAAAGGACATGAACTCATCCTTTTTTATGGCTGTATAGTATTCCATGGTGTATATGTGCCACATTTTCTTAATTCAGTCTATCATTGTTGGACATTTGGGTTGGTTCCAAGTCTTTGCTATTGTGAATAGTGCTGCAATAAACATACGTGTGCATGTGTCTTTATAGCAGCATGATTTACAATCCTTTGGGTATATACCTGGGAATAGGATTGCTGGGTCAAATAGTATTTCTAGTTCTAGATCCTTGAGGAATCACCACACTGTCTTCCACTTTTTAAGACAAGTTGATTTTTCATTTGAAATTCTTTCCATTGGAGCAACGCTGTCAGGCCAGAGCTGGAAAATACTCTTTCAGCATTTTATTCAGCACTTAAAATGGGCCAGATATTATTCTGGCTAAGGGAAATATACCCTGAATGAGATTGAAATGTGTATGTTTTTATGGAGAGAATTTTAGCTCACAGGATGAGAATTATTTTTAATTGACAAATTAACAAGAAAATATCAAGTAGCAATAAGTACAATACAAAAAACAAAACGAGGGTGATACAGTATGGAATAATTGGGGGATGCTACTTTAATTTGGGTGGTCATGGAAAGCTTCTCTGATGAGGGGCTGGTCTTTATTTTCTGTATTCAAAGGGTGATCCTCTAGAATCTTAAGCATGTCTTGTTGTATGAAATAAAAAGAGCTAAAATTAGAAAGACTGACCACACCAAGTTTTGGTGAGAATGTGGAAGAACTAGAACTCCCTACTTCGTAAAACAGTTTGAGAATTTCTTGAGATGTTAAACATATTTCTGCCGCATGATTTAGCCATTCTACTCTTAGGTATTTACCTAACAGAATTAAGAACAAACCTCCACAAAAAGACCTGTACATAAATGCTCACAGCAATTTGATTTGCAATAGCAACAAACAAAAAGGTGCATCAGCAAGTGAATGAAAAAACAATGTATGATATATATCATATTCACCAATAACAAGAAAGAAACAGTTGATATGTGCTCTACATGGATGCATCTCAAAATAATTTTGCTGGGTTAAGAGAAGCCAGAAAAAGGGTACATGTAGCGTGATTTTATTGATATAAAAATCTGAAAACTGCCAGGCATGGTGGCTCATGCCTGTAATCCCAGCACTTTGGGATGCTGAGGCAGGCAGATCACTTGAAGTCAGGAGTTTGAGACCAGCCTGGCCAAGATGGCCTAACCCTGTCTCCATTAAAAATACAAAAATTAGCTAGGTTTGGTGGTAGGTGCCTGTAATCCCAGCTACTCAGGAGGCTGAGGCAGGAGAATCACTTGAACCCAGGAGGTGAAGGCTGCAGTAAGCCAAGATCGTGCCACTGCACTCCAGCCTGGGTGACAGAGCGAAACACTGTCAAAAACAAAACAAAAATCCAAAAACTGCAAACTTGTCTGTAATAAAAGAATGCAGATCACTGGTTCCTCAGGGTAGGAAGGAAGTGGGCAGAGGCAGGAGGCAGGGACACAAAGGGGCATGAGGCATGAGAAATCTTTTGGGTGTGATTGATCTGCTCAATATGTTGATTGTGGTGATGGCTTCACAAGTGTGTACATATGTCAGCTGCACACTTTAAATATGTAGTTTGTTGCATACCAATTATACCTGAATGAAGCAATTAAATGATTGAAGAAAATATTTACATAATTAAAGCCCAACAATCAGAAGATGACCGTAACACTCCATGTGATGTGTGTCATGTGTTCACTATAAAGTGGGTCTTGAAAATTATTACTGAAATTATCTGATAAATCATTTTTTATCAACTGTTCGAAGTCTTTTTCATTAGAAATGCGATCAGTAGTTTTTTTATTAATGTAAAATCTATTGGAGATATCATGTAATCATTTTGGTGTCTTTCTTGCTAAAGTTATTGCTTTTTAATGTTTTTCTTCTCAGTGGCTCTGCCCTTATTTTCTCCGCCCTCACTGCCTGCCACTTCCTCCTCCTCTCCTCTGTCCTTTTCAGTGTGTTACTTCCTCTCAGCCATAAAAATATACTACATCAAAAGGCAAATGAACCAAAGCATTACCGACTTTAAATATCAGGGCTTTATTTCCTCATTTAGCTGCTGATTCCGACACACTTTATGCAGATGAGGCTCAGATTGGGGAACTATCTTATACCTGGATTGTGGGTGTTTTTCTGTAGTTCAGAAGATTAATTGCTTTTCTTCTTTTAAGTTTCACACAGGTTTTGGTCCATAGTTACCAAGGAGCTTAGCGATGAATAAATAGGTGTACTGTAGAGATTGTTATGGGAGGAGTTATTAGGGTTTTTCCATCAAGTAGGTCTTGTTTATTGATTCAGCTCAGTTTATACACCATGCTCACAGGTACATATGAATTCTGAAAGGTTGCTGTGATGGTTAATTTTTTTTTCTTTTTTTGAGACAAAGTCTCACTCTGACGCCCAGGCCGGAGTGCAGTGGTGCGATCTCAGCTCACTGCAGCCTCTGCCTCCTGGGTTAAAGCTATTCTCCTGTCTCAGCGTCCCAAGTAGCTAGGATCACAGGTGCCCACCAACACACCCAGCTAATTTTTGTATTTTTAGTAGAGCTGGGGTTTTGCCATATTGGCCAGGCTGGTCTCGAATTCCTGACCTCAAGTGATCCTCCTGCCTCGGCCTCCCAAAGTGCTGGGATTATAGGTGTGACCCACCACATCTGGCCAATGGTTAATATTGAGTGTCAATTTATGATACTTTGGACTTGGACTTTCAGGTTAATGCTGTAATGAGTTAAGACCTTGGGGGACTGCTGGAAAGGCATCGTCGTGTTTTGAAATGTGAGCACATGCGATTTGGGAGGGGACAGGGATGAAATGATATGGTTTGGCTCTGTCCCCACCCAAATATCATCTTGAATTGTTATTCCCATTATTCCTACATGTTGTGGGAGAGGCCTGGTGGAAGGTAATTGAATCATGGGGGTGGTTATTCCCCTGCTTCTGTTCTGGTAATAATAAGTGAGTTCTCAGGAGATCTGATGGTTTTATAAAGGGCTTTTCTCCCTTTTGCCAGGCACTTCTCCTTGCTGCCGCTGTGTAAAAAAGAATGTGTTTGCTTCCCCTTCTGCCATGATTGTAAGTTTCCTGAGGCCTCCCAAGCCATGCTGAACTGTGAGTCAATTACACCTCTTCCCTTTATAAATTACCCAGTCTTTGGTATTTCTTTATAAGCAGTGTGAGGATACACTAATACAGTTGCTAAAAGTAGCACTAATACCAAGTGAAGTCAGTGTTAATTGAAGTACCAAAGATGCAAACTTTCACTTTTTTCTCATGAACCTTGGAAGGGTGACCTATGAAAAGCTAAGACGATTTGGGATCAACTATCGGATAAAATCATTGGTGCAAACAAGAACTCAAAGGTTGGTGCAAACAAGAACTCAGAGGAATCTGACAAATCAAGAACTCAGAAAGAAAAGAAAATTTAATCAATAAGAGCAATTTCTTTCCTCTTCCCTCCACCCATAACCCTTACAATACTTGATTGTTCCGAATGAATTGGAAAGGTTCCAGTGAACAATTTACAGGGGTAGAATTAAACTTTTAGCTCAGTTCCTTTCTTCTTAAGACCTAACCACTGATCCCAGTATACAGTTTTCTAAATGAAAAAGAAGATTACTCTACAATGGAGAATAATGTCTTTGGAAGATACAAAATCCTATCACAGAAGGTTTATAAAATATTATTTGATAATAAAGTTAGAACTCATAAAAATGACCTCTTGAGATTTCCACAGATATTATACTTCTGCCATCCTTTGAAGGCTTAGTGAATTGACACAGTAACAAGATGAATAAGAAAATTCAGAATGAAGAGTGTATTTTATTTAAATTAGAGGAATTCCATTTTAAATATAGTCTGTATATTCAGGCCACCTAAACTGAGGATACAAATAACCTCCTTTTGATAGTTTCTGAGGGTTTCCATGGCATGATCCCAAGCAGTCATGACTAATTCAGCTCACCTACCTCCAAAGTCTACCAGATACATCATCTCATGGGCAGTCCAATTTTCCCTCACCAGCCGCGTGTATGCCCTGCAATACACTTTGCAATTACCACTACAGATGATTGTTCTGAGGCCACAGATGTGACAGAGGACAGCTTGGGGAAAATTCTCATTCACCCAACCTGCCTCTCCACCCAGTTCCCTACAATACTGTAAAAGCCACTCTTTTGGCTTAGCATGATGTGGGAAGATGATTAGCAAGTACTGAATGATACACATGGAAATTAAATATGATACTCATAGTTTTCATCCCTAGTATTGATGACTAGGTTGACTTAGACCAACTTCCCTATTGAAAACAATAAAAAATAGACAAATTTTTAAAAAATCCATTTGAAGACATAAGAAATGGTGAGAATTTTAAAGGTGAAAGTCTAGAAGAAGAGAGAATAAGAGATGAACAGAGCATTTGAGTTGAAATTTTACTTCAATTTACTTGGTAATTTCAAAAGCAAAAAGCATAGCTGAAAACCTAAAAATTAGGCAGAACTTCTGCAGTCTCAGGAGAGTTAAAGAACAAAAATGGCAGGTTAGGACTCTTCAAGGAGGAGGGGCTTTTGGTAAAGATCCCTGACATAGAAATAAGGGTGACCTGGAAGTAGAATATACTCACAGAGACTGAAGTCTTTATATCAACTAAGTCTTTAAAAAATTTAAGGTGACCCACCTCTATCCTAACCTTCTGTCAAAGCAAAATAAATTATTCAGGAAGGAAGATACAATAATTAAGAGCACCCAGTTATCTTGAAGGTTTTTAATATGCAATTTCCTGCACTCAATCCAAAATTGACATATTAAAAATTTTGAGTCAAACGCCAGAGAAAAAGCAGACAAAAGAATCAGATATATAGGTGATCTAAACATTAAAGTTGCCAGACACATAATTTAAATAAGTATGACAATATATTCAAGAAAATAAATGAAAGAATGAAGAATTTCAACAAAAATTGAATATAATTTATATAAAAAACCAGGCCAGGTGTGGTGGCTCACGCCTGTAATCACAGCACTTTGGGAGGCTGAGGCAGGTGGATCACCTGAGGTCAGGACTTCGAGACCAGCCTGATGAACATGGGGAAACCCCGTCTCTACTAAAAACAAAAAATTAGTCAGGCGTGGTGGCGCGCGCCTGTAAACCCAGCTACTTGGGAGGCTGAGGTAGAATTTCTTGAACCCAGGAGGCAGAGGTTGCAATGAGCCGAGATTGCACCATTGCACTCCAGCCTGGGCAACAAAAGCGAAACTCTGCCAAAAGAAAAAAAAAAAAAGAGAAATTTTAGAGCTTAAAATTTTTTAAATGGAATTCAGACCTCAGTGAATACATTTAAAGTCAAATCACACAGAGCTAAAGAAAGAATTAATAAACTGGGAGAAAGGGCAGAAGAAATTATACAAACTAAATCACAGAAACCAAAGGATGGAAATACACAGGCAAGAACATAAGAGATATATGCCATACAGTGAAAAGATCTAAAGTATGTAAAATTCAAATCTCAGGAGAAAAGGTTAGAAAAGATGGGCAGAGCATTTTGAAAAGCTAATAGGCAATAATTTTTCAAAGTTTATGAATGACATCAAGCTTCCAATTTAAGAAGGGCTACAGCGACAAGCAAGATAAATACAAAGAAAACTACACACAGGCACGCTGTTAAAAATTAGAGACAAATTTTTAAAAAATATTAAAAGCAGTCAGAAAAGGTGACCCACTTCTAACAGGATAAAGTAGTTCACAACAGGTCAGGGACACCAAACAAATAAACAGAAAATCCAGGTAAATTACATCAGTCATATATTTAAGAGCATCAGAGAGGGGTGAAAGCAACAATGACTTGGAGAAAAATTTCAAAGAAGGAAAATCCTTCAGAAGGAAGTAGAAGATCTGCAACTATTCATAAAGGCATTTGCTGATTCTGGGCACTGCCAGGGTGAAAAAAATCAGGCTTGTCCCCTGAGAGAAAAATTTTCTTGAGAAACAAAGTGGTGGGGGGATAAAAAGAGATTTTCATGAAGCTAGAGTGACACAAGATTTGAGATGCTCAAAATAGATCACAGACCTAAAATGTAAAGCTAAAACTATATACATACATATATACTATAAACATACACACATATTTTTTTAATCTCAATGTAATTAATTTTTTAATTTTTATTCTATTATTCTTTGTTCTTGTTTTTAATTGACAAATAAAAATTATATATGTTTATGGGGCACAATGTGATGTTTTGATATATGTCTACATTGTGATAAAACTATAAATATTCTAGAAGAAAACATGAGAAAATCAACCCACGCTTATGGCATGTTTTCTTAGATATCACACAAAATGCACACCATAAAAGAAGAAAAATGATAGGTTTCATTTTGTCAAAATTAAAACTTCTCTTCAAAATATACTTAAGACAATGAAAAGACAGGCACAAACGGAGAAAATATTTGCAATCTGTACATCTAAGTATTTGTTAAACTCAGTAATAGACAAACAACCAAATAATAAACAGGCAAAACATTTGAAAAGAGACTTCACAATACAAGATATACAAATAGCACATAAAAAGATGCTCAAAATCATTAGTTAACATAAACATGCAATTTAAACCACAATGGGATACCATTACACACCCACTAATTCTAAATTAAAAATAATCATACCAGCTGTTGGTGAGAATGCAAAGAAATTGGAACTCTCAAACATTGCTGGCAGGAATGTAAAATGGTACAACCTCTATGGAAAGCAGTTTGGAAAGTTCTTATCAAGTTAGATAGACACCTACAATATGACCTGATAACCTCATTCCTACATATTTACCTAAAAGAAATAAAATCATAAGTCAACACAAAGACTTGTTCATAAATGCTCATAAATTATTTATAACAGCCACGAATTGGAAACAAAACACCATAAAAAAGACAATGGATAAATAAATTGTGGCATAGTCACACAATGGGATACTACTCAGTAATAAGAAAAATAATTTGCTGGTATATGCAGCAACGTGGGTGGGTTGCAAAAGTGTTATGCAGAGAAACAGAAGCCAGGGCAGACACAATGTGTACATGCCTTATGTCTTAGCTTGTTTGTGTTGCTATAAAGGAATACCTGAGGCTGGGTAATTTATAAAGAAAGGAGGATTATTGGTCTTGTGGTTCTGCAGTCTGAGTGCCTCAAGCTGCTTCCACACATGGCAGAAGGTGAAGGAGAGCTGGTGTGTTAAAGATCACATGGTGAGAGAGGAAGCAAGACAGAGGAGAGGCAGGTGCCAGGCTGTTTTTTTTTTTTAACAACCAGATCTCTCAGGAACTAGTAAGAGTGAGAACTCACTCTTGCAGGCATTAGTGTATTCATGAGGGATATGAATAGGATGGAGTAGTTCAGCCATAGAGCATGACCTAACACCTCATATTAGGCCCCACCACCAACACTGGAATCAGACTTTAACATGAGGTTTGAGGAGACAAACATCTAAACTATAGCATCGGCCGGGCGCAATGGCTCACGCCTGTAATCCCAGCACTTTGGGAGGCTGAGGCAGATGGATCACTTGAGGTCAGGAGTTCAAGACCAGCCTGGCCAACATGGTGAAATCTTGTCTCTACTAAAAATACAAAAATTAGCTGGGTATGGTGGCGCACGCCTATAACCCCAGCTACTCAGGAGGCTGAGGAGGGAGAATCACTTGAACCCGGGAGACAGAGGTTACAGTGAACCGAGATCACAGCACTGCACTCCAGCCTAGGTGACTCCTAGGTGACAGAGCGAGACTCCATCTCAAATAAATAAATAAATAAATAAAATAGGAAAAAGAAAAACTATAGCGCCTTATGATTCCATTTATATGAAATTCTAGCCTCCACAAATATAATCAATAGTGTCAGAAAGCAGATCAGTGTTTTTCTGGGGCAAGAATTTGGGGGGATTTAACTGAAACAAAATGATAAACTTTTTTTTTTTTTTTTTTTTTTTTAAACGAAGTCTCGCTCTGTCACCCAGGATGGAGTGCAGTGGTGCGATCTCAGCTCACTGCAAGCTCCACCTCCCGGGTTCGCGCCATTCTCCTGCCTCAGCCTCTCTAAGTAGCTGGGACTACAGGTGCCCGCCACCACGCCCGGCTAATTTTTTGTATTTTTAGTGGAGACGGGGTTTCACCTTGTTAGCCAGGATGGTCTTGATCTCCTGACCTCCTGATCCGCCAGCCTCGGCCTCCCAAAGTGCTGGGATTACAAGCGTGAGCCACCGCGCCCAGCCAATGAGAAACTTTTTAAAGTGATGAACATAGTCTGTATCTTATAAGTGTTGTTGAAATTCATCACATTGTGTGCTTAAAATGGATCCATTTTATTGCTTTCTAATTCTACTTCGATGAAGTTTATTTCTTAAAAACTGCATCAATATATCATATTATTCATCAATCATATTGGCAGTTAATGCAAAACTTGACAACACACTCTGTTGGTGAGGCTGTGGGGAAATCAGTACTCTTACATTGCTTGGGGAATTTAAAAAAAATGGTTTAACCCCTAACAAGGGGAATCTCTGACCTCCTAATGTAATAGTCTCAAAATATGCTAAATTCCTGCCAAAAATGTATTAATGGAAAGAAATCATGTGAAGACATCAGACAAACCCAAATTCAGAGACATGTAATTGGCTTGAATTTCTAAAAAAATCAATGCTGGGGCCGGGAGCAGTGGCGCACGCCGGTAATCCCAGCACTTTGAGAAGCCAAGGCAGGCGGATCACGAGGTCAGGAGATCGAGACCATCCTGGCTAACACGGTGAAACCCCTTCTCTACTAAAAATACAAAAAAATTAGCCGGGCGTGGTGGTGGGCGCCTGTAGTCCCAGCTACTTGGGAGGCTGAGGCAGGAGAATGGCGTGAACCCAGGAGGCGGAGCTTGCAGTGAGCCAAGATCGTGCCACTGCTCTCCAGCCTGGGCGACAGAGCGAGACTCTGTCTCAAAAAATAATAATAATAATAAATAAAAATCAATGTTAAAGATGATGAAAGATAGAAGAATAGTTCCAGATGAAAGGAGACTAAAGAAACATGACAATGATTCAATGTGTGATTCTAGATCCGATCCTGGAATGGGAAAAAAAAATCACCAAAAAGGACATTAATGAGAAAATTGGTAAAATCTGAATAGGAACTGTATATTAGACAATATTATATCAGCATCAAATTTCTTACCTTATTATTATACTTTTGTTATCTAGGAAAATGTCCTTGTTAGGGTATATACATTGAAATAGTTTGGAAGTAAAGGATTATGGTATCTGCAACTTACTTTCTAATTTTCAGCAACAAGAATAAGAATAATAATTAGATTTTAAAAAGCAAATATAGCAAAAACATTAATGATTGTAATGAGTAAAGATTATATGGGTGTACTATATTTGCAACTTTTAAAATTGATGGTTTTTTTTTTTTTTTTGACATAGTTTCACTCTGTTACTCAGAATGGAATGCAGCAGCAAAATCACAGCTCACTGCAACCTCGGCCTCACAGGTTCAAGTGCTCCTCCCACCTCAGCCTTTCCGGTAGCTAGGACTACAGGTGTGTGCCATCATGCCCAGCTAATTTTTGTATTTTTCGTAGAGACGGGATTTCACCATGTTGCTCAGGCTGGACTTGAACTCCTACGCTCAAGTGATCTTCCCGTCTTGGCCTCCCAAAGTGCTGGGATTACAGGTGTGAGCCTCTACACCCAGCCTGATAGTTCTTTTAAATTAAACATTTAAAAAATAAATGAAACAAATATTTAAATAGATCTTTCTCAACTACCAAACATACGACGGAAAGCCAAAGTGAGAAAGCAGGGTATTTTTTTGCCATGGGCTCCTGAACAGTGTAGACCTTGGTTCTTGTAAAGAATTCATAATGGATTTATAACTTCACTTGTATAGCCTGGTTAGAAAGTGGGCAAGAGGGTGTGTGCGTGATGGTAAAGGAAGGAGGGCCACAGCTCTGCTCCTGCACCTGCTCTGCCATTTTGCCTCCCTAATTCAAAGGGCTATAAACATTCTCTTGCAATCCTGGCAACATTTGAAAATGCACAAACCATTATATCAGCAAACGGTGTTTGTGGCCACAGTAACTTTTGAGGAAAAAAGATGTCCCAGAATTTACCTGGGAGCTGGGGTGAGCAACTTCTTTAGTCCAGAATGCCACCTGAAAGATTACGACTATATTTACAGTCACTGCCAGGTGATTATGGTCTGTAGTACCCCAAGGAAGAAGCCAAAGGAGGGAAGTCGGAAAACAGGAAGGAAGGAGAGGAGGACAAGAGGAGGAACATAGTGACTAAGATGTGGAATAAGCATGTGCCCTGGTATTACCCAGCTGCCCCTCAAGGATATTTGCAAGAGGCAGCTGCTTCTGTTCTTACGCTGCCCACAAACTGTGGTCAGGAGGATCCCCTGAAATACACAGTCTGGTCAGTCATTAAGGATACGGTTAAATTTTTTCCAACTCAAACGAATGTCAACTGATGACCTAGGCCAGGGGTGTCCAATCTTTTGGCTTCCCTGGGCCACACTGGAAGAAGAAGAATTGTCTTGGGCCACAAGTAAAATACACTAACACTAGAGATAGCTGATAAGCTAAAAACAAACAAACAAAAACACACACACACACACACAAAATAAATCTCATAATGTTTTGAGAAAGTTTATGAATTTGTGTTGGGCCACATTCAAAGCCATCCTTGGCTGCCTGCATCCCATGGGCTGTGGGTTGGACAAGCTTATCTAGACAAAGATTCACTACTCTTTTGAATTTTTGTAATTCTTTGGTCCAGTTTTATGCCTCACTTTATTTTAACTTTTATCCATGCTTTGTCTCCCTTACCAAATTATAAATCTCTTATAGGCTGAGTACAGAATGTAGTCATTTAATATTCCTTACAATGTTCAGCCTAACAATTCATGTTCAATAAATGTTTGTTGAGGAAACAAAATTTAAAAACAAACAAAACAAGCTATCAATATTTTTTTTAACATGTTGTGTGTTACAGCCCCCTAGTGTACAGAAACATCTGTCTAGAGGAGCCTGAATTAACTGGAATTTGAACAAATTGCCAAGGGAATGATCTCTGATTCACTCCTTTAATTCAAGATTCCTTTGTTTTCTTATCAGCCTAATTTATTCTTCTGAGGGGAAGGGCCAGTTTTAGAATGTTATAACACTTCCATTCTCCATGACTGCATCCCTGACTTGTGCTTCATCCTCCTTCCAATATGCCTTTTCTTTCATCCCAATGATGGAAGATAAAAGTATTTGTTGATTCTAAGATACACTTTTTTCACATTTTAACATTTCTGAGATCAAACTGTATCTTACAATTGATGCTGTCACTATTACTGTTAGGTATGCAGTCTGATGACATAACCGTCATTTCCTATACATATACAAACTCTGTTACAGCACTTCTCAATCTCACATTAGTTGACTAATGGGCATTGTTTGTGTCATTTTTGTTTAATTTAACTGCCAGTTAAATATCTTTAAAAAGATATGATGAACCAACAATTACATATACACATACATGTAGTCTATAGAATGAGTCGTAATTGGGCATTAAGACACAAAGCTATAGTATGTGTAAAATGGCAGGAAAATTATGTAGTGAGATGTAAATTGATTATTGTAAGTTGACTATTTTTTGGAAGAATGACTACATTTCCAGATTATGCTGCAACACAACAACCAAGCTTTCTATAAGACCTAAGAAGGAAAGATACTCAGAAATGAATAAAGCTGGATTATATTTTATTGCTGAGATTCATGCAAAAATATTGCTTATTGTGTGCCATGCAATCCAACTAAAGGCAGAAAAATTTGCAATGGTACCTCCAAATAGATTAAACTTCAAAAGAATGAGATACTGATGTGAACTATTCATTCGTTATGCAAGACTATCAATAAAATGTCAATTTGTGAGCATCTGCCTGATAATTTAGAATAGAAGCTGATTACTTTAGTGATACATGATTCATTCAGGGAAAACATGAAAATGGTAAATTAGACATCCTAGTGAAAGCCAAGGTGGAAACATTCCTCAAAGTCATATGGACAATGTTAAAGTTATTAAGAAGACCAAGATCGTGACCACAAGCTATAAAAATCAGTATATTGCTGATAATATGCATAATTACTGAAGATCAAAAATTATTTTCACATATTTCATTTTAAGGCACAGCATGAAATCTAAGAATGAGAGCTCCAAGTATGCCAGTGCCTATAAATTTCAAAATAATTGGATGGATGAACTAATGATAGACTGGCTGAAAGTCATTTGGAATTGATACCTAAGAGCTTCATGCAACACATACAAAAGTTTGGTTTTCAATTCATTTCATGTTCCATGTATCTTAACAGTTAAAGAAAATGCTTACCAAAATCTATATCAATGTGGAGCGTCTTGGCAATTATAAATCCTTGCTTTTCTATATAAATTATAAATTAAATTTTACAACAAATTCTATGGGTCTAGATCAATTTTAGCAGCAAAGACATCTTTATAATATTGAGTCTTTCTGTCTATGAATATAGTACATTTCTCAATTAATTCAGGTCTTTTTCATTGTCTTTCAATAAATTTCATAATTATTCCCTAAGAGACATGTACATTTTTTGTTGTGTTTATTAGGTCTTAGCATTTCATTATTATTGCTGCCATAGTAAATAGTTTCATTATTCAAATTGCATTTTCTAGCTGTTTATTACTAGCGCCGTAAAAATGAAATTTACTTTTATATGCTGATCTTGTATTTGGTAACCTTATCAAATTTGTGCATTAATATTACAAACTTTTCAAATTTTGATAGGAGAAATTATAGATAATTTTGGTTTTTCTATCTTTTAAAAAGAAGAGTTGTGTTTTTTCTTTCAAATCTTCATGTTTTTATTTCTTTCTATTTTTGGGTATGTGTCTTCTAGGCGCCCAGAGAAAATGTTGAATGATAAGATATCCTACTCCCTCCCTTCCTTCCTTCCTTCCTTCCTTCCTTCCTTCCTTCCTTCCTTCCTTCCTTCCTTCCTCTCTCTCTCTCTCTCTCATTCTTTCTTTCTTTCTTTCTTGACGGAGTTTTGCTCTGTCGCCCAAGCTGGAGTGCAGTGGCACGATCTCGGCTCACTGAAAGCTACGCCTCCCGGGTTCACGCCATTCTCCTGCCTCAGCCTCCCAAGTAGCTGAGACTACAGGCGCCCGCCACCACGCCCGGCTAATTTTTTGTATATTTAGTAGAGACTGGGTTTCACCGTGTTAGCCAGGATGGTCTCGATCTCCTGACCTCAAGGTCCACCCGCCTTGACCTCCCAAAGTGCTGGGATTACAGGCATGAGCCACCGCGACCAGCCCTCTTATCCTTTATTTTTAAAGGTATATTCTAATGTTTCACTGCTAAGAATGATGTCTACTATACATTTTTCAGGTACATATTATTATAAAGTTAGGAAAGTTATCTAAGATTTTTTTAAATCGAAAATAACTTAATTTTTTTCTCATGACCTTCCTTATCTATTGATATGAACATAAGATTTTTTTAACCTGGTTAATATGGCTAACTATGTTAATATGTTCTCTAATGTTGAAGCCTCCTTCTATTCTGAGATAAATCTAACCTATTCAATAACCAGAAAGATGAAAGTCTTAAAACTGTACCTAATAGCATAACTTTAAAATATATTAAACAAAATTAGACAAAAGTCCAATTTGACAAATCCATCATAAAGGTAGAACATTTGTCTTTCAATTGGAGACTTGAGTATATTTAAATTAATTGTGCTTGCTGATGTATTTGGTCTCTAGTTAACAAAGTGATCAATTCGTTGTTTCCCATACGCTCTGTACTTGCTTGCCTTTGCTTGTCTTATTCCCTCTTCTGGGAAGGTCTTCCCTACTACCTCTTATCTTTCTCACTCCATCATAATCTACTCTTCAAGGCTCATTATCCTCAAAGAATTTCCTGATTCAAGAATGGGGAGTAATCATTCTTTAAACTCCTATAATACATTATCGTTACCTCTCCAGGAGCAAAGCAAACTGAAAGGAAGTAGAAGAAAAGAAATAATAAAGCTCATAGCAGAAATCAATGACATGAAAAACAAAAAAAGAAAATGTACGACGACACCAAAAGTTGGTGTTTTTGGGTTTGTTTTGTTTTTTTGCAAAAGCAAAACAACTGATAAATCTTTAGTGAGAATTACTGTGAATAAAGTAGAAAGACACAAACTACAATTCAGAAATAAAATAGGAGACATCATTGCAGATCTTAGAGAAATTAAAATAATAATGGCCAGGCACGGCGGCTCATACTGGTAATCCCAGTACTTTGGGAGGCTGAGGCAAGTGGATCACTTGAGGGCAGGAGTTCGAGACCAGCCAGGCCAACATGGTGAAACCCTATCTCTACTAAAAAAATTTTTAAAAGTAAAAATTAGCCAATATGGTGACGCATGCCTGTAGTTCCAGCTACTTGGGAGGCTGAGGTATGAGAATCCCTTGAATCTGGAAGGCCAAGATCACACCACTGCACTCCAGCCTAGATGACAGAAGAAGACTCCATCTCAAAAAACAAACAAACAAAATAACAATATTATTAATAATTTTATGCCAAGAAATTAGACAAACTACAAAAATTAGTAATACTGACTTATGGGAATTCAAAATAGATCTATATACAGGGAAGATATTTGAACTAGCAATTAAAATTCTTCCCATAAAGGAAAGCCAATCCCTAGCTGGTTTTACTATGATTCTATCAACAATTTAATGAAGAAATAACACAAATCCCATGCAAACTTACAGAAAGAAGAGAAACACTCCCCAATTTATTTTCTAGAGTCAGTTTTAACCTGATGCCAAAGCCAGAGAAAGACATCACAAGAAAAGAAAAATATAGACCAATACACCTCATAAGCACACAAAATCCTTATTAAAATATTAGCAAACCAAATCCTGAAACACACAAAATCTTTATACACCATGAGAACATGGAGTTTATCACAGAAATGCAAGATTGGCTTAACATATTAACTGATTAATTTAATACACCACAGTGATAGAATAAAGAAAACAAGAACAATCATCTCAATAGATATACAAAAATACATTTGTAAGTAGTAAAGAATCATTAATAATAATAAATCTCAAGAAAATAGGAAGAGAAATCAAATTCCTCATTCTGATAAAGGGCATCTCTTTAAAAAACTTCAGTTAGTATCCTATTAATCTTGAAAGATGAAACTTCACCTAATATCAGGAGTGAGGCAAATATGTCCATTTTCAGGATTTGTATTCAACATTGTGTTTGCAGTTTTACCTAGTTTATTAAACCAAGAATAAAAAGCTAAATGCATGTATATTGAAAAGACAGAAATGTGTCTTTATTTGCAGAAGACACCAAAGGCACTCTCTTTATGCAAAAATACAAAATGGTCTTCATCAAAACGAAAATCCCTGGGAAGAAGGGTGGCATGGTTAATGGGCATAAAAAAAATGGTTAGAAAAAAATGAATAAGATCTACTATTTGATAGCACAACAGGGTGACTATAGTCAACAACAACTTAATTGTACATTTTAAAATAACTCAGAAATAATGCCGCATGTCTACAACCATCTGATCTTTGACAAACCTGAGAAAAACAAGCAATGGGGAAAGGATTCCCTATTTAATAAATGGTGCTGGGAAAACTGGCAAGCCATATGTAGAAAGCTGAAACTGGATCCCTTCCTTACACCTTATACAAAAATTAATTCAAGATGGATTAAAGACTTACATGTTAGACCTAAAACCATAAAAACCCTAGAAGAAAACCTAGGCAATACCATTCAGGACATAGGCATGGGCAAGGACTTCATGTCTAAAACACCAAAAGCAATGGCAACAAAAGACAAAATTGACAAATGGGATCTAATTAAACTAAAGAGCTTCTGCACAGCAAAAGAAACTACCATCAGAGTGAACAGGCAACCTACAAAATGGGAGAAAATTTTCGCAACCTACTCATCTGACAAAGGGCTAATATCCAGAATCTACAATGAACTCAAACAAATTTACAAGAAAAAAACAAACAACCCCATCAAAAAGTGGGCGAAGGATATGAACAGACACTTCTCAAAAGAAGACATTTATGCAGCCAAAAAACACATGAAGAAATGCTCATCATCACTGGCCACCAGAGAAATACAAATCCAAAACCACAATGAGATACCATCTCACACCAGTTAGAATGGCGATCATTAAAAAGTCAGGAAACAACAGGTGCTGGAGAAGATGTGGAGAAATAGGAACACTTTTACACTGTTGGTGGGACTGTAAACTAGTTCAACCATTGTGGAAGTCAGTGTGGCAATTCCTCAGGGATCTAGAACTAGAAATACCATTTGACCCAGCAATCCCATTACTGGATATATACCCAAAGGATTATAAATCATGCTGCTATAAAGACACATGCACACGTATGTTTATTGCGGCACTATTCACAATAGCAAAGACTTGGAACCAACCCAAATGTCCAACAATGATAGACTGAATTAAGAAAATGTGGCACATATACACCATGGAATACTATGCAGCCATAAAAAATGATGAGTTCATGTCCTTGGTAGCGACATGGATGAAACTGGAAACCATCATTCTCAGCAAACTATCACAAGGACAAAAAACCAAACACCACATGTTCTCACTCATAGGTGGGAATTGAACAATGAGAACACATGGACACAGGAAGGGGAACATCACACTCTGGGGACTGTTGTGGGGTGGGGGGAGGGGGGAGGGATAGCATTAGGAGATATACCTAATGCTAAATGATGAGTTAATGGGTGCAGCCCACCAACATGGCACATGTATACATATGTAACAAACCTGCACATTGTGCACATGTACCCTAAATCTTAAAGTATAATAATAATAAAATTTAAAAAAAAATAAAAAAATAAAATAAAATAACTAAAAGAGTGTAATTGGATTGTTTGTAACTCAAGGGATAAATGCTTGAGGGGATGGATACTCCATTTGCCCATGATGTGATTACTTCATATTGCATGCCTGTATCAAAATGTCTTGTGTACCCCATAAATATATACACCTATGTACCCACAAAAATTAAAAATGACATTTTTAAAAAAGAAAGACCTCTGATCTTGAGACACAATTAAGAAAAAGAATAAATAATTTACAGACAAAAAATGCAAATGTTATATCTGAAAAAGGACTT
Organism: Homo sapiens; assembly: GCF_000001405.40. Taxonomy (NCBI): domain Eukaryota; kingdom Metazoa; phylum Chordata; class Mammalia; order Primates; family Hominidae; genus Homo; species Homo sapiens. The sequence goes on from NC_000012.12 coordinate 22,179,546, forward strand.
GTATACAGATTATATTTTTTTATAATCTTACAACCATTTCCCCCAAATGTTCAATGTAAAAGATTTTAATACTTCAACAAAGCAGATATACAACTAGCTTTATTAGAGGTTTTTTTCTTTGTTTTCATTTGTTTGTTTTTATAAATACTTGCTCAACATCATTAGTCATTAGGGAAATGAAAGTTAAAACTACAAATGATATCATCACACAATCTCCAAGAGTAGTTATTTTTAAAAAGACCACCAATAACAAGCGTTGTTGAGTACGTGAGGAAACCAAAACAATCATAGATTGATGTTGGCTGGTGTAAAATGGTACCGCTACTTTGGAAAACAGTTTAGAAGTTTCTTAAGATGAAAATTTTACCATGAGAACCAGCAATCTGTACACAAATGTTTGAAGCAGCATTATTCAAAACAGCCAGGGACTGAAAACAAATCCAAATGTATATCAACCAATGAGTGGATGAACAAAATGTGGTAAATGCATACAATGGAATATTATTCTGCAATCAAAAGGAACAAACCACTGATATATGCAACATAGATGAACCTTGAAAACATTACGCTAAGTGAAGAAGCCAGACACAGATGACTACGTATATAATGCATATTGTCTTATTCCACGTATATGAAGTTTCCAGAAAAGACAAAGATGTAGAGACCAAAAGAAGATCCATGGTTGTCTGGGATCAGAGCTGGGAGCAGGGATTGACTCCAAACTGTAAGTAGAAAACTTTGGGGGGGGCGGGCAGAAGTGTTACAAAACTGAACTCTAGTAATGGTTGAACAACTATAAATTTTACTAAAAATAATCAAACTGTATATTTATAATGTAAATTGTATGGTATATAAACTATCCCTAAATAAAGTTGTTAAAAATTTATTAGAAACCCAATTTAGTTTTAAGTAAAATATAATATTCATCTTTCACACACATCTTGGGTAGCTTGTCTGTTACACAATAATAATAACAATCATAAGCCAATCAAGCTATTGGTACTTGGAGCAGAAAGGGCTGACTGGAGTCTGGGAAAATCTCAGATGCAACAGTGATTGCCTTGACCTGACATCTCCTTCTCTACCAAACCAACACCACCAACCATTTTGATATGAAAAGGTTAGTTAAGTTAGACCTGAAAAACACAGAGAAGAATGGTTTTTAGTCTGGCTCATAAGAAACTTGGAAATCACCACTCTGTTCTAACAACAGGTAAAAATCTAAACAAAGTGAACATTCAACAGCTCTTTAAATGGTAATGAATGAATTGTGGGGAGCTCAGTGTGGAGAATTCTGAGAGTTAAAAACTTCAGGGAGACCCAGTCATAGGAAAGCCCCCAACACTTTCATGAGTTTTACCTCCAGGAAATCAACTGGGTCCTCACAGTGACTATCAGAGAAAAATCCCCATGTACTTCTGGCAAGGAAAGGGAAAAAGGAACTATTTTGAAATAGGCCAGAGCACTTCATTCTTCTTAACAAGGTCTGCCCTCAGGAGAAACTAACCAGAGCCTAACCTACGGGGGTTTTATCTGAGCCTTAATGACCTGGGGGAAGAGAAATCTTAACTCTAGGCAGCTGTAGTCTTCCACATGGGAGAAGAGAAATGCCTAACTCCAACCCACTTAACCAATTCTGTTCCAGTTGCTTTTGTTGTTGTTGTTGCTTTTAGGGAGAAAAAATGGGAAGCATTTGTGACAGTCCAGAGGCACAGGCTTTCTGAGGACTGAGACCTAACCATAGAACTATAAGATATTCCCCTCCCCTACCACCTTACAACCACACGAATAAAGGATTATTTACAGAAGTTCCTTTTACTCAGTACATTATCAAGAAAATAATATACTAATTTACATTAGACTGAATAAAATAATTTGCTCAGTCTGGCTATTAAGAAAAAAATTACAAGATGTGCTAGAGGCAAAAAACACAGATTGAGGAGACAAAGCAAGCCTCAGAACCAGATTCAGATATGGCAGAGATGTTGAGATTATCAGACCAGGAATTTAAAACAACGATAACTAATATGCTAAAGTAGACATGAATAATGGATAAAGCAGACAGTGCACAATAATAAATGGGCCATGAAGGCAGAGATATGAAAATACTAAGAAAGAATCAAAAAGAAGTGCTAGGTATCAAAACAGTGCAATAGAAATGCAGAATGTCTTTGACGTGCTTATAAGTACACAGGACACGGCTGAGGAAAGAATCTCTGAGCTTGAGGATATGTCAGTGGAAACCTCCAAAACTGAAAAAGCAAACAGAAAAGAGACTGGGGGAAGAAACAGAATAGAATATCCAAGAACTGTGGGATTACTACAAAAGTTGTAACATATATATAATACATAATGGAAATATCAGAAGTAGAAAGGAGAGAAAGGGACAGAGAAATATTTAAAACAATAATGACTGAAAATTTCCCCCAAATGAATGTCTAATAACGAACTACAGACTCAGGAAACTCATAAACCAATAAGCAGAATAAATGCCAGAAAAAAAAACTATATCTAGACATATAATATTCAAACTGCAGAAAATCAAGGATAAAAAAAATTTGAAAAAAAGCCGGAGAGAAAAAAATCCTTATCTATAGAGAAGCAATTACATCTGTTTTCTCACAAACTATGCAAGCAAGGAAAGTGAAATGAAATATTTGAAATGTCATGAGGAAAACAACCCACCAATCTGGAACTCTGTTTTCTAGAAAATCATTCCTCAAAAGTTAAGAAGAAATAAAGACTTTCCCAGACAAATAAAAATTGAGGGTATTTGTTGCTAGTAGACCTATTTCGTAATTAAAAATTAAAATAAGCTATTCAGAGATAAGGGTTATATAGGTCAGTGTGTTAGTCCATTCGCACTCTGCTATGAAGAAATACCCAAGACTGTCCTCTATAAAGCAAAGAGGTTCAATTGACCCATGGTTCCTCAGGGCTGGGGAGGCCTCGGGAAACTTACAATCACGGAAGAAGGCAAGGAGAACGAGGCACCTTCTTCACATTGAGGCAGGACGAAGTGCCCAGTAAAGAGGGAAAAGCCCTTTATAAAACCATCAGATCTCATGAGAACTCACGATCACGAGAACAGCATGGAGGTAACTGCCCTCATGATTCAATTACCTCCCGCCAGGTCCCTCCCATGGTATGTGGGGATTATGGGAACTACAATTCAAGACGAGATTTGGGTGGGTGTGCAGCCAACCATATCCGTCAGAAACTCAGACCTACATAAAGAAAGGAAAAACATCAAAGAAGAAATAGATGAAAGCAAAATAAAAATTATTTTGTTTCCTATTCTTAATTGACCTAATAAAGAAAAGTTTGTTCAAAATTATGATAGCAACAATGTATTTTATTATTTGCATATATACGCTATGTATATGTGAAATAAATGGCAGAAATAATACAAGTGATGTGAGGAAGGAATTAGGAATATTTTACTATAAGGCACTATTTGTGAAGTAAGTATAGTTTTATTTGAAAGTGGAGTTGAATTAGTTGTAACTGTATATTGCAAACTCTAGAGCAACCATTAAAAAAATTAAAAAATACAACTGATATACTAAGAAGAAAAGAGAAAATGGAATAATGTGAAATGTTCAATCAAAGCCATAAAAGGCAGAAAAATAATGGAAGACAAAAATAGGAACAAAGAACAGGGACAACAATGGAAAACACTAAAAAATGTGGTAGATATTAATCTGACCCATATCAGTAATCTCTTTGAATGTCGATACACCAATTAAAATACAGAGAATGTAAGAAAGGATCAAAAATAAAACCCAATTGTATGTTGTCTATAAGAAATTTACTTTAAAGACATATAGATAAAAGTAAATGGGTGGAGAAAGATTTATTGTCCTAACACTAATCAAAAGAAAGCAGGAATAACTATATTAATTTCAGACAAGGCAGAGTTCAGTGCAAGGAAAGTTATCATGGATAAAGAAGGGCATTACATAATGAAAAAATAGGTCAATTATTCAAGAAGACATGGTAATCTTTAATGTGTATGCACCTAACAATATGGCATCAAAATAAGTGAGGCAAAAATTAATAGAGCAGTCCAGATATTGTGGCTCACGCCCCTAATCCTAGCACTTTGGGAGACCAAGGTGGAAGGGTCACTTGGGGTCAGGAGTTTGAGGCCAGGCTGGGCAAACATAAGATGCCATCTATACAAAAAAGTTTTTTTTAATTAGTTGGGCATGGTAGTGTGTGCCTGTAGTACCAGCTACTCAGGAGGTTGAGGCAGGAGGATCACTGGAGCCCAAGAGATAGAGGCTGCAGTGAACTATGACTGTACTACTGCACTCCAGCTTGGGTGACAGAGCAAGACCCTGTCTCTAAAGAGATAAATAAATAATTTTTTAAAAGCTAATCAAACAGCAAGGATAAATAGATGAATCTATTATTTTAGTTAAAGATTTCAATATTCCTGTATCAGAAATGGCAGATCTAGCAGGCAGAAATCAAGTAAGGACACAGTTGAACTCAACACAATCAATCACCTGGATATATAGGTATTTATAGATTGCTTCATCTAACAGCAGAATACACATTCTCTCAAGTTCCTATGGAAGATTCACCAAGATATACCACATTTTGGGCCATAAATCATACCTTAACAAATTTTAAAAGCACAGAAATTATACAATGTCTTCTCTCAGACCACAATGGAATTAAACTAGAAATCAATAATAGAAAGCTAGCTGAGAAATCCCCCAAATACTTGCAGATTAAAATGTCTGGACTGCTCTACTCATTTTTGCCTCACTTATTTTGATGCTATATTGTTAGGTGCATACTTTTAAATAACACATGGGTCAAAGAAGAAATTGCAAGGGGAAATTCAAAAATATTTTAAGCTAAATGGAAATGAAAACACAATGTATCAAAATTTATGGGATGAAGTAAAAGTAGTGCTTAGAAGGATATTTATAGCATTGAATGCATACATTAGAAGAGAAGGGCCAGGTGCAGTGGCTCACACTTGTAATCCTAGCACTTTGGGAGACCAAGGTGAGCAGATTGCTTGAGCTCAGGAGTTCGAGACCATCCTGAGCAACAAGGCGAAACTCCAACTCTACAAAAAATACAAAAATTAGCCCGGCATAGTGGCGCAAACCTGTACTCCCAGCTGCTTGGGAGGCTGAGGTGGGAGGATCACTTGAGCTTGGGAGGCGGAGGTTGCAGTGAGTGAAGACTGCGCCACTGTCCTCCAAACGGGGTGACAAAGGGAAACCCTGTCTTAAAAAAAAAAAAAAAGAAATGGAAAGGAAAAGGAAAGAAGAAAGATCTAAAATCAATGAGTTAAGCTTCCCCCATAGGAAACTTGAAAGAGCTTGAGAGAAAATAATTGCAAAAAGACATACCCAATAAAGGAGTGTTATTCAAAATGTACAAAATCTTAAAACTCAACAATAACACCAATAACCCAGTTAAAAAATGGACCAAAGACCTTAACAGACATTTCACCAAATAGAATATACAGATGACAAGCAGCACGTGAAAAGATGCTCCACGTCATTTTTCATCAGAGAAGTGCAAATTAAAATAACAATGAGATATCACTACACACTTATAGAATGGCCAAAATCTAAAGCACTAACATTAATGCTGGTGAGGATGTGGAGCAACAGGAGCTTTCATTCAGTGCTGGTGGAAATGACTATAAAATATAACAGCCACTTTGGAATACAATTTTCCAGTTTCTTACAAAATTAAATATACTCTTACCATACAATATAGTCATTGTGCTCCTTGATATTTATCCAAAATAGTTGAAAACTTATGTCTACACAAAAACCTGAACTCAGATGTTTATACCAGCTTTATTTATATTTAAGTGTTTATTATTAATTCATTACCAAAACTTAGAAGCAACGAAGATGTCCTTCAGTAGGTAAATGAATAAATAAACTGTGGTATATTCAGACAATAGAATACTATTAAGTACTAAAAAGAAATGAGTGATCAAGCCATTAAAAGACACGGAGGAAACCTTAAATGCATATTGCTGAGTGACGAAAGCCAGTCTGAAAAGGATATACACTATGATTCACTATATGACATTCTGGAGAAGTCAAAACTACTGAGATAGTAACAAGATCAGTGGTTGCCAGAGAGTAGGTGGGAGGGAGGAAAGAATAGACAGAACACAAAAATCGTATAGGGCAGTGAACCTACTCTTTATGATACAGAGTAACATATGATAAAGGGTAATGACAATGGTGGAAACATGTCCTTATACATTTGTCCAAACCCAAAGAATTTTACAACACTAAGAGTGAACCATAATGTAAACTATGGATGTTGGGTGATAACTTAGTCAATGTAGGCTCACTACTTGTAACAAATGTACAACTCTGGTGGGAGATGTTGATAATGGGGGAAGGTCTGCATGTGTGGGGACAGAGAGTATTTGGGAAATCTCTGTACTTTCTCCTCAATTTTTTTGTGAACCTAAAACGGCTCTAAAAAATAGGGTATCACCTCCCCCCGCCCACCCACACACACAAAGGAATTACATGGTTTTGCACATTCTAGTGATACCTGGAACTGCGGACGCTATTGTTAAATCTTTATCAAAGTGCTGAAACCTAAATGAAAAAAAGCACCCTAAAATACAGGGCCTCAATCTGTATAGTTCAGTACTACAAAAAAATTATTAATAAACTAGGAATAATAATAGTAAAGCAATTTCCTCTAATGATTTATAAATTTTCTTTTATTAAATTATCTATGCACACATTTTTCATCTGCAAAACTAAACGTTTTCTTTTTAAAATATGAATCTGGCTACTGTACTTCAGAAGTCACTTGTGCCTCTGTGATTTGAAATTGACTCATCTGTAATGTAGAAGGTTTTGATCAGATCATCTCTGAAATAACCCTTGGTTTTGTTCAAAAGCAAATGGCGGTGTTTCTTTTCCTTTGAATCTCTATGAATTTGCAAAGAATCATAGGTTTTATGTTTCTGGTGTTTTGTCCTTACTTCAAATCTAATTGAATACATCAGCAGCATTAGTTGGCTCATTGAGCATTTCAGAACTCTTTCCCTTCTACCCAAAGAAAAGAGAAAGAGACAAAATGACATTATTGGTGGCTACAGTGAGTTCATCTGAAAAAGACCATGCTTTAACTATTTTGTATTTACTTCAATAAAGCAGGGGCTCTAGTCTGCTGGGGGGAAAAATCCTTAAAAGAAGTTAGAGGGTGAAAGGAAAAGCAAACATCACCTGTAATTCAATGGTGATAATTCTAGCAAAATCTTCAGAAACATGGTAAACTGGAAAACAATGGGATGATACATTTAAAAAGCTGAAAGAAAATCTGTCAAGCTAGAATTCTATAGCCAATAAAAATATACTTCAAAAATGAAAGTGAACTATAGACATTTTCAGGTAAATAAAAGCTGAGAGAGGCCAGGTGTGGGAGCTCATGCCTGTAATCCATGCAATATGGGAGGCTAAGGTGGGAGGATCACTTGCACCCAGGAGTTTGAGACCAGCCTAGACAACATAGGGAAACCCTGTCTCAAAAAAAAAAAAAAAAAAAAAAAAAAAAAAAAAAAAAAGGAAAAGAATGAAAGCAGAGAGAACTTGTTACTAGCACTACAAGAAAAGCTAAAGGAAATTCTTAGGCTGTTGAGAAATGGTATCATTTCTACAGAAAGGATTAAAAGCAATAGATCTGTACATAAAGGGGTATATAAACAAAAGTGTATTTTCATATTCTAATTTCTTTGAAAGGCATCTATGTTTTTAAAACAAAAAACAACAATGTTGTATTATGGAATTAATCAAATATACAGTAGTAATACACATGGCAATAGGAAAAAGGATCGGGAGACAGAGTAATGTGTCATACTAATATAACCTTCTTATTTGTGAAGTAGTATAATATTAATTCAAGTTATACTGTGATTGAAGATGCATATTATAATCCCTAGAGCAACAGATAAAAGTATAGTAAAAAAATGATTAATCTAAAAAAGGCAAGAAAGCAGCATGAAAGGCAAAAAGAACAGAGAAAACCAATAAAAAACAAAGTTCTGCACCATACAACAATATTTCTATCAATGATGAACTGCATATATGACATTGGTCCCATAAAATTGTAAATTTAGTACAGCCTAAGTGTACATTGTTTGTAAAGTCTACAGCAGTGGACAGTAATGTCCTAGGCCTTCACATTCACTTATTGATGCACCCAGAGCAACTTCTGGTCCTGTAAGTTTCACATGGTAAATGCCCTATATAGATATACCATTTTTTAACCTTTTATACCATATATTTACTGTATCTTTTCTATGTGTAGATACACAAATACTTACCATTATCTTCCCATTGCCTACAGTATTTAATACAGTATCATTCTGCGTAGGTTTGTAGCCAAGGAGCAATCGGCTATACCATTATAGCACAGGTGTGTAGTCAGCTATAGCATCTAGGTTTGCATAAGTACACGCTATGATGCTTGCACAATGATGAAATCACATAACTCATTTCTCAGAATGTATCCCACCGTTAAGTGACACATGACTATAATAAGATGATAGACTTAAACCCATCGATATCAACAACTGCATTAAATATAATAGTGATAAATGCCTCAGTTAAAGGGCAAAGATTGTTGAAATAGATAAAAAAGCAAAATGAGACCTAAGTATGTTGTTTACGAGAGGCACATTGCAAAGATATAATAACTACAATAAGCTGAAAGTAAAAGGATAGAAAAAGATATACCAGGTAAATATCAACCGTAAAAAATTTTGTAAGTTTTCATTAATGTCGATGTAGATTTCAAAACAGGGTATTACAAAAAAAGAAAAAAGAAAAATTTATGTAATTATTTTGATACTTATTCATATTGTAATACTTATATTGTTATAAAAGTTAAGAATAAAAGGGTCACTTCATAAAGAAAATATCACAGTCTTCAATGTGTATTTCAAGCAATCAGGTGTTGGTCAATTAGGACAATAAGCCAACTGAAAGCAACAATCAAGCCTTTATTTACTTACTATGACACTGCAAGGAGGAGGCACCAGTTTCCTAGGGTGTAGTTTTTCCCCATGGAACGCTACTGGCCGAGAGTTAACTGAATGCAGTGTCGATGGGAGAATTGTCTCAATGCCAAGGAATCCTAAACAAAAGGCTCTTTCTCTCTTTATGGACCTATGGGCCAGGGGGAAGAAGAGAGGGCAGGTCTTCTAGCAGTGGAGAGATACTGAGTCAAAGTGGAAAAGTGTCTCCACAAAGGCCCCTGATAAAAAGGCCTCTACATGAAGGTGCTGGGTTAGGAATGCCAATATGCATATGAACATGGCTCTCCTAAGAGTCCTAAGTCCTTGACTGCAACTCATTCTAGAAAACTGATAATTGGCTATGCACCAAGGTGTGAGGAGGTGATATGGTTTGGATGTTTGTCACCTCCAGATCTCATGTTGAAATGTAACTCCCAATTTTGGAGGTGGGGCCTGGTGGGTGGTGATTGTTTGATGGGGGCAAAACTCACATGAATTATTTAGCACTGTCCCCTTGGTAATAAGTGAGTTCTCACTCCAAGTTCACACCACATCTGGTTGTTTAAAAGTGTGTGGTACCTCCCACCCTGCTCCCACTCTTGCCATGTGATGGGCTTGCTCCTGCTTTGTGCTTTGCCTTTCAACATGATTATAAGCTTCCTGAGGCCTTCACCAGAAGCCAAGCAGATGTTGGTGCCCTGCTTGTACAGTTTGCAGAACGACGAGCCAATTAAACTTCTTTTCTTAATAAATGACCCAGCCTCAGATATTTCTTTATAGCGATTCAAGAACAAAATAATACAGGAGAGCAGCTTCTCTCCATTAGGCCTGCCAGACAAAGCCTTATGATTGCCTGTGGTCAGACAGGAAGAATTACAGATAGGACTTTGGTCTGGAAGTCAGACTCCTCAATGAATGAAACTTATAATAAATTTCAAAGTAAATTCAATAAAGCTAAAATGTATGGAACTAAAAGGAGAAATTGGCACATCATACTTAGAGACTTTAATATACATTTTTTCTATAGTTGATAGAATAGATAAAATATATCAGTAAGAGTGTACAGTTGACCCTTGAACAACAAAAGTTTGAACAGCACAGATCCACTTATATGAGGATTTTCTTCCATCTTTGCAACCTGGAAACAGCAAGATTAATCCTTCCTTTTCCTTGTCCTCCTCATTCTACCCAACATTAAGGTGATGAGGAGGAAGACCTTTATGACAATCCACTTAATGAATAGTAAATATGTTTTCTCTTTTTTATAATTTTCTTAATAACATTTCCTATTCTCTAGCTTACTTTATTGTAAGAATACAGCATATTATTTATATATATATCATGCAAAATATTTGTTAATCAACTGTTTATGTTGTTGGTAAGGTCTCTGGTCAACAGTAGGCTATCAGTAGTTAAATTTTGGGGGAATCAAAAGATACATGCAGATTTTCAAATGCATTGGGGTCGGCACCCCTAACCTTTACATTGTTCAAGGATCATCTCTACTTGACCTAATAAATGCTTTCAGTACACTATTGCCAACAACTGCAGAATGGATGTTCCTTTAAAGTACTCATGGAACCTGCGCCATAAAATAATTCTTAATAAATTTTAGAAAATAAAATCACACATAGTATATTCTCTGGTCGTGCCAGAATTAAATGACAAAGAGATAACAAAAAGATACTAGGAAATCTTCCATATATTTGGAAATTTAAAATATACTAAGTGACAGGTGATTTAAAGAAAAATCACAAGATAATTAGATAATATTCTGATTTAAAAACTGACAAAAGCACAATGCATCACAACTTGTGGAGCAACTTCTACTTCCATCCCTTGGTTCCCAGATCCAGATATTCTTAATACAGCCCAAACATATAATGGGAGAAACTAGTCACTGTGCAAAACATATACCACATCCTATAAGATGGTACCCCATACTCCCAACATTGTCTCTCAGATGGTCCTCAAAATGAGTCTTTATTAGGCCATGCCAACTTTGTGTAAGGCAGACACTTCTAGATCAGTGTTCCTCAAACTTTTTCTAATTATCCCCTAAATAAACGTTTAAGATATTTTTTCCTAACCACTATAGTATCTAATTTTCTTTTTTACCTCTGTCATTCAAAAGATACCCGGATGGCTAGATAGTAGAAAGGAGAGTTTTATTAGCAATAATTGGTTTTCAAGCCAGGAAAAGAATGTCTCCAGCATAGACCAAAGGTGCTCTGTTTTTGTAGAGGGGAAAGACAGGTTGGGTTATATGCCTGGCAAGGTTTGTACAGTCATAAATATTCAGCAGGTTTGAAGGGAAAGCTATACATATCTATGAGGGGAGCAGAGTGCATGCCCAATGGGCAAACATCCACATAACATACAGCCATGTTCACTTTTGGGCTGAGTTTTAGCATTAAAATGAGGTGGAATTTGGCTCTTTACATCAGAAGTTGAAGTATAGGATGCAAAGAGTTTGTGTGTAGCCTTTATAAGCTGCTGAAACTGGCCTAAGGTCTTCAGTAGTTTATCAGAAGAGAATGTTGATAAGGCTGATCCCCTGTCCAATCAGAGTTGCAGTGGTCTGGGTTGTAAATCAGAGTTAGGACAACTTGCCTGAAAGCTCTTATTGTTAAGGAGGTTGGTGAGAGTGTGGTTTTTCTTGTAGGAATTTAGAAACGTGTCATGCCAGCCAGACCCTGAATCCTCCACCCATAGGTTAACTTTGTTTCCTTAATCTTTAGGCCTGTCCTGATTGATAAAAAGGCATCTAACTTGGTCTAACTTGGTCTCTCAGATCACACTCCCTAAAACCAATTTTTTCCTCTTTAGGGGGCAGTATCTCTCCTGTTGATAATGTATGTTCTATATGGTATGGTAAAGAGTAATACTAATACAAGCTAGTTCCATGAGAATTAGTTCCTTGCTACATTTCTTTAGCCATAAAGTGTGTGTCCCTTGGTCAAAAGGATATTATATGTTGTACATGATGTCAATACGGTAAATGAGTCACTCTGTAAGTTCATAGATAGCCATGCTGGCAGAAGCATTGAGGACAGGAAAGGCAAATCTGGAATACATGTCTAGTTCAGTTAGAATAAATTGTTATGTGCTCCAGGATAGAACACATTGATAACCACTCCAGAAATTAACCTCACTACTGCAGTCATAACCTTTATAAGAGGCCCAGACTAAACAATGTGTTGAGTGGGTAACAGCTGGTCTCTTTTCTCAATTACTCCACTACTTTCTCAATGGACTTCTATACAAAGTGGTTTTGGTAACAGGCATGGAGGTTATGCATGGAATTAATATCAAAGACTAATGATAATCTGGCTTCCACCACTGCCAAGTGCCCAACCAACAATAGCAAAGGCTAATGTTAAACCCTTGGTAGAAAAGCATTCTCTTTGTAGAGATCAGTAATCTGCCTGGTAGGAAATGGATTATAGTGGTCCCACCCAATGAACACTTGTACCTTATTCCTACTGTCTCCCTTGCCTCCATATGCAAAGGTTGGAATCTCAATTGGCATCTATCTTGAGACTCACAAATTCTTGATTGCCTTTTAACCTAACATTTGATTGCACTGTTTACCATGAAAAAGTTCCCAAGTATTGAGGCTGACTTTTTAATTCTGGCCCAGAATTCATGACTATTGAGAAGGAAAGAAATAACTTTTACTCTATGTATATAAATGAAACAAAGAACTTGTTTTCATATACTTCTAAAAGCTCATAAAATGGAATAATATAAATTATAAATGAAGTCAATCCTCCTACATCTATAATTGTTCATATCATCAGGAATCTAACCGTATATCCAAAATAATAAGTTTTCAAGTAAAAATATAGTCTATGATTTATAATTATCCTCCTTTTAGGTTTAGGGGGAATTCTTCAGTAATTAATGCCTTTGAAGTCTTAATATCTGTTTTTGAATGCTCAAATTGAAACAAAGTAGAAGAGCAGGACTCTGTCAAATCTAGATTTGGGGACTTAATGATAGTTGGTGAAAACAAGTTAAGTCTGTTTTCCTTATATCGTCTGAGAATAGGTTAGGGTAACCCACATTTATACTAGAGTATTGCATTTGTTTCCAAGTGATTCAGCTAAACACCATGTAGATTTTCCATTAGGTAATAGAATGTCCTTTCTTAAAATAGCTGTAGCCCAAAAAGCTATGTCGTGTGAGAATGAAGTCAGAGAATTAATAAGGAGATCTGTACAGAGTACCTTGATCAATTTCTGAGGAGAAATGTATAACAAAGGATGAATCAAGGTCACTTTTCCTGATGTCACTCCCTCTGAGGAAGAGTTTGGCAGAACTGGGCCAACAGCGCCCAAGGGGAATGGGAGTTTGAAGCAATTGTCTAAATAATTCAGACTAAAAGGCACACTTGGGTTTTGAAAGTCACCCATATGTGCAGAAGGGGAATCTAAATGTATTGCATCTTGTTAGGAATGTATTAAAGTATCTCTTGGACACACATACTGATATTGACGAAAAGGAGAAGTTTTATCACTGGAAAAACTAGGCTTATCTACATTAATCATATTAAATAAATGCTCAGTTTTCTTTCTAGTTTGCCCTATAGATAGTCCTTTCATCCACATAAGAAGTACCAATAGTGTTCTTATATTCTAGCAATTATAATTCAGGATTTCTAAAATGATTTCCTCACTAAGTCTCATGACTTTTCATCTGTAAGAAAAAAATATCAGTGTAGCTGATATGGATACAAAACAAAGCAGGAATAGAAGATGAAAGAGCGTCACCCATTTAATTCTGGAAAATGAAAAGACTTCACAAGCTATAAAAAATCATTTTATTCACAGGGTACATTTACAAATTTTCTCCAAGTAAAGGAGGTAGAGAAATTGAGACTTACCGAACCTTCTCACTGCCAGCCATAATTACAATGAATACACCAAAGAAAAAGACATGTTTTTACAGCAAACCTCCTCCTATGACATTGCATTTAGATTCGGTGGAAAGAAGCAAGTCAGCAGAACCAACAGAGATAGATACTAATTTTTCTAATCACACCGTAGAAAGTACCAATTAAAGTTTTCTTTTTTACCTGCAACATTTTAGATGAAACTCTACAAAAAGAATTGAGCACACTGATTTTCTCCACACTTTTTGCCAATGTAGGTTGGCTTTAATAGAAAGAAGCAATTCCATATACTCTTCAAAGGTGATTTCAATTTTATAGTTTAATCTAAAATTTTTCCCAGAATTATTATATCCATGAACTAGTAGTCAGATTATATTATATGAGAAAAAATAATGTTTTAATTTTTCTATTTTCTTAACTCCAGCCTCAAACTTTGCTCTTGAGAAATAGTTTGCACACATGTGGAATAATATTAAAATGTGCCATAATAGAATTAAAGAGACCAAAAAGACACCTTTTTCCCCAGTGCTTTTTAGACTGACTATGCTGCACGGTAACTGGAATTTTAGTAATATTTCAGACTTGTTAAAGATTAAGCAGGCTTTTTGATGGAGCTATATTTGTTCTCTTCTCTCTAGTGTCTCTATGATGTACCCTAGTGGCCATCAGACATCCTAAATTGTGAGTCCTGTATATTAATTATAAGGGGAGTGTCTATAGTAACCTATCAACACCCAACGGTGCTCAAGACTGAATGATAAACAGTGACAGATTGATTCCTTGCTTCCGGTGTTTACTGGAGAAACAAACATTAATCCTCTTGCAGTTATCACCTATGGAGCTTCCTACTAGAAGGTTCTATGACTTCAATGAAGGATATTTACATACTATTATCAGACTTCTCCAAGGCCTATAAACTATTGTGCATTTCTATAAAATAGTCACATTTGCTACATTTATAGGACTTCTTGATAATAACGATACAACTTGGAACAGACATGATTACATCTCTAAAGTGACAGAGGTATATGAAGGAAACACATAAGGAAGTAGGGGTCAAGCCAGAAAAAGTTAAGGCACCCTCTGCCACTCCCCACTCCCACTGAATCAACCATCTCCCTCTTCTCCACAGGTAAAGGGCTTATGTGTGTTTGTGTTGTGTACACTAGAATACAGGGTAGAAAATGCATCTAAGTCAGCTTAAGTAATCATGGATACAAAAGCCTGTTACTGAAGTAATTGTGGAAGCAGGATTAGAACCTCCTGTTCTAACTCTAGCTATGCATAGCCCACTTTCCAAGGGTGAGGGTCAAAGTGACACTTGCTGCTATCACTGCCTCATCATGACAGATGTAAATAATAATCTTATTTGGGGAATATGTACCAAAGTACAGACAAAAAAGGGCTATGAAAACAGGAGTGTGGGGCTGGGCTCGGTGGCTTATGCCTGTAATCCCAGCACTTTGGGAGGCTGAGGCGGGCAGATCACCTGAGGTCAGGAGTTCGGGACCAGCCTGACCAATATGGAGAAACCCCATCTCTACTAAAAGTACAAAATTAGCCGGGTGTGGTGGCGCATGCCTGTAATCCCAGCTACTCCAGAGGCTGAGGCACGAGAATCGCTTGAACCTGGGAGGCGGAGGTTGCGGTGAGCCGAGATCACGCCATTGCACTCCAGCCTGGGCAACAAGAGCAAAAAACTCTGTCTCAACAAAAAAAAAAAAAAAAAAAAAAAAGAAAGAAAGAAAGAAAGGAAAAAGAAAACGGGAGTGTTGTTTCACTGTGATCAAACTCCCAGGAGAGCACCTCTTGGGAAGGGACAGCAAGGGGTGGAGCCTTGATACTGTCATGGTCCAAGTGGGTAAACAGGTACCACTCTGTTCTCTCCGTCAGCATCTCATGATCTGTCTGTCACACTGCTTCCTCTAGCATCTTTTCTCTCTTTTTTTTTCTGTTTGTTGTTTTGTTTTGTTTTGTTTTGTTTTTTGTAACCAGGTAAAAGCAGGAACACAGTCCCCCATTACCACAAATTATGCAGGCAACATTCCAACATTTGGGGAAATCGCAGGGGCCAGCACATCAGGTGTGCAATGGATAAGCTTCACCCAGAGAAAACTATTCATTATTAACCATAACAGCTGGATGACAAGATATTTCCTTTAAAATATTTCAAAAAGGTTCCATTCTTGAGGCTGCACTCAAGGTCAACAGCCTCTTCCTTGCTTCCTGCTGAACTCTCTTCTGAGATCACTCCCAATCATCTTTTCAAATTAAAACCAAGATTTTGTCTCTCTTTTTTTCAGTTTGGTTAAACCTTTTTTTATTACAATTTTCTGTTCGTAATGCTGTGCAGATAAAATAGACATTAACTGATTCTTACTTTTCTTTGCCTTGGATTATATCACATCTCTTAGATGTTTATTGGTGTTGTGTGAAGCATACATTTTAAAAATAAACATCAAAAGAAAGTTTAATTACATAGAAGCAGAAAGAGGCAGGATCAATATATTTGGATATTATTCTATAAAATTCTCAGACAGCTTGGCATCATTGATTATATCCCACAGCTTCAACAAGAAAAAAATTACCTGAAAGAATTTTAGCACAATATAGAGATCAATAGAAACACAGAGGAGTGACCATAAAATATAATTCCTCTTCTGTGCTTTAAAAAGTTAGAGTCATAGGCTTTGATTATCTGGCAAATGCTCGCAGGCATGTAAGTCAATTTAAAATATGGTATTTATTCCTTATGTATTAGAGACAGAAGAAATCAGAAATGTTGGCACCAGAGAAAACAAATTAGAGGGAAACAGAAACATGTATTTTCCCTTACTGAAATGGTGAGCAGGGGCTGTGTTATGTTTCAATAAGCTTTTCATTCATGCACTTGTTTCAATCTCTCACCCCTAAGATGTATGTAAAAAATTCAAAAGACAAGTCTGGGCTGAGGGTAAAGCAGATGGTATCCATTTTCTTATGATAGAAGGGAAAAAAAGCTACAGCAATTATAGATTCAAGTCTCCTTCCACTTGCAAAATAGAAATTTTCTAGTGCTCAACCTAAATATTGTGGCCTCATATTTAGGAGTTTATAAACAGACGCTCTGGGCTTCAGACTTCCTGTGAGTTAGTCTCTAGGACTTTTAAAGAAGCTATGTAGGAACTGGTAGAATATTTGATATCTCCCTAGCTTCAAGGACTCAGACTATCCATATGAATGAGGGGGAAAAGTTCCACTTTAGAATCACTGGCAGGGCTATAACTAGGTCGGGGTGATCAGACTCTGCCACAAAACACCCACATTTAGACAGCACGAGTTTAAGCAAAAACAAAACAGTTTAAGGCAGTGTAAAATTTTGAGGTCCTCAGCGAATTTCCACACTACCTCTCTAGTCACAATGCTACTAGCTCAACTCTGGAGCCAAGGCAGCTCTCCTGGGAGAGGACAGAGACTGACGGTGCTAAAAAGCCAAGGTTAAGGGTAGAGAGCACTCTGCCCTTTTACATCCTGAGAGTGTGGGGATAGGGTCATCTCCTTTCAACTTGCCTCACCCTCCTCCTAGCACATAGTGGAATGAAGTTGCTAGTTATGTTTACTGCTGACTTTATTAGAGGTTTTGACCTAGGTTGCCAGGCCTTGAAATTGTTAACCCACTTCTACCACTTCCACCCCTGACGTGTGCCCAATAAAAGTCATATAACCTGAGAGTCGACCTATACGACGGGAAGATAAAGAAAAAGCACAACATTACTCTCAGTCCTTATTCCTCCACAAGTTTGCGTCAAGTTCACATAAACGTCCTTACAGCTTTTGATCTTTGGAATTCTACAAACATAGAGAATATATTACCTGGTGCTGGTGGGAAAGTATTTACACAACACAATGAACATTTCCTAAAGTTTTCAGTGGACTGGTAACATTCCCCTCCCCCTTAGGTCCCTCCTAACAAGTATTTGTCAGTGAAAAATTTCACAAAGTCAATATTTCAACCACAGAAGTTAAAACTCTGGATGGCTGACTTTCTATTAATAATCAAAAAATGTATATAATAAAGTTATAAAACTGGAATATGTAGCTGCTGACGAAAAGAAATGTTATCAATATTGTTTCCATTTTGGATCATCTATAACACTCTTGTAAAGCCTTTGACTAATCCAAGGGTATTTTTGGCAAATTTAAAATCCCAGGATTTTTTCAGTTATTTTCCATTTTAAGCCATGTTGTCCAGATTGCTTCAGGTACAAGTTATATATAGCCTAAACAATTTTTTTTAGCCAAGAGAAAGACATGAGACATCACAAAGCCAAACACAGTATTGTCTGAACATGTGCCATTTGAGATCATTTACTTCCTACCCTTGTGAAGACAGATAAAAGTGAACTATACAGAAGCAAAATCCAGTGAGCACTTCCTTAACTTCTTGTATGAGAATTATGCAGTTTAGATGTGCAATTTTGTATAAACTTTTGGCAAAATCCTCTATACAAAGCATATGTGTCTGTGAGTCATTGTCCATATAAAAATCTTTCATATAAACATTACTTTTCTTAATTATGGAATGACTTAATCCTTCACCTACCTTCATGATCTTTGGAATCAATGCAGTTCTCAAATCGAGGCTAATAAAAACTAAAATTCTATCAGGGTACTAGTTTTTAGTCTCTTCACCCTTCCTTTTGCCCCTATGGATCAGCCTAATTTTTATGACTACACAACAATTTTTTTAATTAGTCTGATGGTACAAAGTGATGCCCCCTCTTGGCAGGTGCATCACCAAAAGTGATTAAAGATTTTCTTATTGAATGTCTTCTAAGCTGAATTTTAAGAGTCAGTTATATCAAAATGTAACTGATCAAATCTGGAAAAGTACCAGGCCTAATTCTGAAGGTCTTAATTTCAGATAAACAAAGAAAGATAATGGGAGCTTAGAATTGAAGATCTTAATAATAGAGTATTCCAGAGCACTCTACAGGATGATTCTAGCGAGGTCCTTACTTAGGAACACATAGCACAGTTAAGGATAGAGATGCCTAACTTCATGCTACACACACACACACACACACACACACACACACACACACACACACACTCCTATCTAACCAATTATGTCCAAAAGGCATATGTATGGTGTATCTAGTGAGTTGTAATCTACCATAAGAAAATATTTTCATTAAATTGTAGTCATATTTTGAATGCTGTGAGCATGTATATCTATCTTTAAGTGAAGACAAGGTGGAACAATCAAAATTTCATTTTGGTCTAATCCAGGTCTAATCCAGGTCTGAGATGTCAACCTTGATACTACTGACATCTCAGCCTGGATAATTATTTTGCTGTGAGAGGCTGACTTGTGCATTGTAAGATCTTTAGCAGGATCCCTAACCTCTACTAAGTACATGCTATTAGCACCCTTGAGTCATGAAAATAAAAAATGTCTCTGGTCTCCAGACATTGCCAAATGTCACCAGAGAGGGATAATGAATCACCCCAGCTGAGAAGAGCTGGTCTAATCAAACATCACCAGCACTGGCCATTTCTGTTTTGCCTTTCAGAACCCACATGAAATAGTTTCACAAGTTTGTAAACTAAACATTATATATAAATCTACTGCATAAATCTATCCCAGGCATCATAAAAAGATGAAAAATTTCCACATAATATTTTCTTTCTTTTTCTTTTCTTTTTTTTTTTTTTGAGACAGGGTCTTGCCCTGTCACCCAGGCTGGAGTGCAGTGGCACCATCTTGGCTCACTGCAACCTCCACTTCCTGGGTTTAAGAGATTCTAGTCCAGATGATATTTTCAATGGAACTGTGATGTATGGGCTCTATGGAGCTCATTAATTACATTTTAACAATTAAAGTACTAATCTGAGTAACATTTTATTAACTTTTATATGCGTTTTTGTTAAGCCTTTTATATTTTTAATGGTAGACTAGTAAAAATGTATTCTTTTTTAGGTAACTGCTAAATAACAGTAGCTCAAAAGAGGAAACATATTTAAAGTTTCACTCAAAGTGAATATTTAACACAATTTCTTCATGGTACATTCTCATTATGTTTTTGCTGCCGTATAGCAAACCAGTTCTCCAATAGCATCATTACTCTCGAATTCTTAACTTTCTAAGTAACATTATAATCTGCACTATCAACAAGTCATATTTTAAATTCTAATTTTTATAATAACCTCACTATTTAATTGCATTTAGAAATGGTCTACTTCAATGATGTAGAATTTTGCCAAGGGCTTTCCTATGTTTATGTCATGTTAAATTAACCCACAGAAAATACCAGCCATTATTGTTTACGTGGTAACATGGTATGCTGAGTTTTTACTGTTAAAATTAAACTAGAACTTTTTGGTACAGTTTACCTACAATTTAGTGACATTTAAAATAAAAAAGAAATTGAACTCTAGTGTCACATTTTAGCTTAAGACATTCCAAAGTATGAAGACAACGAGAGGCTTCCCTTACCCTTCTCTGAAATGTAAACACATTTGGCTGCTTGTAATCTGTCAGTAGAGTTTTCTTACTGTGTATCAAAGCTGTTGTAACAAGCTAAGTAGTCCTACCTGCTACTAAGGAAATAAATAGCTACTAATTCACATTTCTTTACTTGTACAAACTATACCTTGTGTGACCACGCTCAACAGCAAGCCCATTCATGAGATTTTGGGTAAAATCAGGATGAGTAAGACAATTCTGCTCATTCCGGGTAAGCATTTGGGGGTAAGACTTGCATCTTGTGCTGCTATGGGTATTATGTGCGGCAACCAGTGAGCTCGGTTGTCTTATATCAACATGTAATGGATAGTGCATAACACATTTGTGATTCTCCAACACTGGTTACAAATTTTTGCCATACCAGGTCATATGAGTTCAGCTTTCATAGTTGCACAGTAATGAGCTTTGTTTAACTTTGTGTGTGTGTATGTGTGTCTACATGTATGCATACATGTTAAGCCTTTTACATTTTTAATGGTATACTAGTAAAAATGTATTCTTTTTTAGGTAACTACTAAATAACAATAGCTCAAAAGAGGAAACATATTCAAAGTTTCGCTCAATTCATTCTTGCATGTATGCATACATGTCCTTTACCTTGCAGTGAATATGCCACAGTAGATAGAAAAGGGATTTGTCTTCTGGTCTGTCTTCCACAGAGACTAAGCTTTTCATCAACGTGCTTTACTGCATTTCTGAACATTAAATTATGAAGACAATTATGCCAATTTACAAACAAATAATTCACTCATATTGGTAGTCTTTTGCACTAAAATAAAAATGACAATGCAAACAGGCTTACATAATGCAGACCTAAAATTGGGTTTATGTCCTAAATTCTGAGGAAGGAAAGTGGCTCCTGTTATCCAGACTATGAAGCAACACAGTCTAAATTCAATAATGCTTCACATTGTCTCTGTGGACTTGACAAAAGAGGAAGAAGCAATTCTTATGTAAAATTTTAAAAATAGAGGGGAGCTATAGTTAATATAGACGTGGCTCAACAAATCACAATTATCAGCAGTAACATTTTGTATCTTTATTACTCAGGAAGGGATTTTTTAAATCTACCCACCCACTTCCCCAAAGAGGGCAAAAATAAATAATAATTTTTTAAAAAAACCTACGGTTCTAAAGCCAGTCTTAATAAGACAGGTTCTTATTAATATTATTAAGCCAGTTTGTGTTGACAATCAGCAACACTTTTACCCCAACATTTTCTTTGTTCTACCTTGATTGGTTCCTCAGCCCTAACAACTCGAGTCTGTCTTGTTTTTGAACTGCATCTTCTAGATTTGAACCATGTGCTTTACCAACAGCATTTCACCAGCATTTTACTAGTTGCAAATCTGCCATGTGCTATAAAGTATTTCATAGGATGTTTCATTTCTTATTTGTCCTCCAAGCCAACGCTGAAAGTAAAGTTTTGCTTGGATCTTCATTGCTCCTTTCCTGTTTTTCCAAGGGCCCATGCAAACTCATGAAACAACTTGACCATTCCCTCTTGGAGTCACATAGAAAACCTAACAAAAATACCCTGGTTCAGTCCTTTCTTCTTCCATTGTTCCTAGGAAGTGGGCTGGAGTGAGGTATCTTCACATGGGTCCAGCTGCATTCTCAGTGCACCGATTTTATGAAGATACCAGAGTTGGAGAAATTCCTCGGGCATGGCATGGAAGCCAGAAAAGGGTAAGACGTTGTCATAGTAGTGGTGGCTGATGGGCTGCTCATGCATATTCACAGAGAAGGGCCAGAAGCCATAGATGGCCACCTCTTCACAGAGACCCAGAGCTGCGCTCACCAGAAAAAGTCCTGTGGACAGGCGCTTGGCATGGATTCCTCTACTTTTCCAGAACTTTCCAATGCTACGCAGAAAGTTGGGGTTGGCAAACAGCACTGTTTGATTGGCACCAACATCTGACAGTGTATAATAAACCCTCAAAGATGGCTCTGTTCCTGTCTTCATAGAAAAGGCAGGCATGTAGATGTAACTGTGGTTATAAATTTTCATGTTGTCCACAAATGTCTTTCTGGACCACAGAAGGTTCTGAAACCTATTGAAGAAAAAAAAAACTGTTCAATTAAACCTAGAGAAAAAGAAACTCACCAAAACCCACTCTGTTGTCTTCTGGTGGCCCTGATACCTCAAATCATCTCAATGAAACACATGAAAAACACTTTATTTGTATTTAAAATCCTCCTTGAACTTATCAATTATCTCTCATCAAATAGCCTGACTTTTTCCCTGACCCCAACTTCTTAAAACGCAGTTAACATTTGTTAATGGGGCTCCCTCTAAACTAAAATGCATTATACATTTGTTCTCTCCCAGAACGTTTTTGCCTGAAATGGAAAACGGTTTAATTCTCATAAATTCCTGAAGGTTGTTGGCTGGGATTTTGATGAAAGGTACTTAGGTGGTCTAACATAACCACAAGACTGGTTTCTTCATCTGCAAATCAAAGGAATCACTTCTAAGATACCTCTCCCCACTGAAATTCTATGATTCTATAAATATTCAGATTCATCAATGCTACAACTATAATATTACATGGAAAAAGGAAAGCTTGTTACTATTACAAAATGATGCAGGGAGTTGCCCATATTGCTTGCTCCAAAGAACTCTACTTTCCTATGTTCTTTCAGTTTGGATTACATGAAATTCTAGTGCAGTTGTAGAAACAAAGATACAAATAAGTACAATAGAATGTTCTAAATACAATGTTGATACTTGTATAAAGTACTATGGAATACAGATGAAAAAAATAATTCTGCCTGGAAAGAGGGAGTGTGGTCCAAGAAAGCTACAGAGTGGGAATAACATTTAAATACACTTCTTATAGGGAAACAACAGAAAGAACAGCAACTAAACTCGAAGGGATACTTTGGTTACAGGCAAGAGTACGCAATATACTGAGGCAATGACAAGGATTCCCTGTCCCTAGAATGTAGGAGGTGCTAATGGCGGCAGCAGTGGCTGAAGACAAGGCATTCTTCGAAAAACGTCTTATATCTGTTTTGTTTGTTAGAACATCACTCTGTGGTGACAGGAAATCTTCACAGCAGTGACTGCTTACAGCACTTATGGCAACTGTCAGTCTGTGTAAAAAAAAGGTACTCTAATAGAATAGAAGATTACCTTGGAAGGAAGAGGCTGGTAGCCTGGAGACCAGGTAAGAGGCTGCTAATACACTCAAGTTAAAAAAAAGAGAGAGAGAGAAAGAGAGGGAGAGAGAAGGGTAGAGAGAGAGAAAAGCAATGACCTAGATTAGGGCCTTGCAACTTTTAATTCCTTTCACCATGGGAGCTGCCCATCTTGGGTTATATGCAGGTGGAGCAGCAGCATCAAAGAATAAACTGAGCCACAACTAGCAGAGGAAAGTCTGGCCTGACATGTTGGCAGGCTCATCATAATTATGTGAAATTAAAGTTCTGAATACACAAATCCACAGGATTGTATGTAGCAATCAGCATTATTGACTCTGCCTGCCCAGAAAGGTATGTTTCTCAAGGCCAGAAGGAAGGGAAATCTCTCAAGTTGTCTTCATGTCCTTGATCCAGTAGCCTGCTTTCTTGATCCAGTAGCCTGCTTTATCAATTTTTCCCTGGGTCCTGATACAGAAGTAATAACAGGGTCTTTAGGTAGATTCACTTTAACTTAGAAGAAGCCATGGAAGCACATTCAACCATATCTGGAGCTGGGCCAGCCTCTCCAATACAAATTCCTGCTTCCCAACTTCCAAATGGGCTCTGCTTAGCAATTCCTTTCTTCCATCGCCCACCCATATCTTCTAATATGGGTGGCACTAATGCTTTCCCAATCATATAGACACACTGTGTAGATAACCTGCTACTCCATTTGAGCCATTGGTTCTCACACTTTAGTTAGAATAACCCAGAGAGTTCACTAATATCACAGCTTCCTGGGTTCTGATGAGAGTGATCCAGGGGCTGAATTTTTACCTAGTACTCCTGGGTAATCTGACACAGGTGGGACATACTTATTTAGAAGATCAAAGCATCAGTGTAAGCTGTCTGGCTTTCTGCATCCATCTCTCACCACCTTTTTCTTTACATCTTCTAATCACATCCTTGCTGCCATTCTAAGAAGTGCTCCATCTTCCCCTCTGTATCTTGAGACAAGCTGTTTCACATATCCTAAAGAACTCATGTTCCAAAGTGGATCTCTCCTCTTCAAAAAAAAAATCAACCTCTCCATCTCAACTGAATTATTTCCTCTGTCTTCTAAATACGGTTAGAACTTTCCCCTTCAACGCTACTAAGGTATATTTTACAAATAAAAATCGTGTATATTTAAGGTATGTAATGTGGTGTTTTGATATGCACATACATTGTGAAATGATTACAACAAGCAGGTTAGAACTAAAAAACTCTTCTTAATATGCTCATACCGTTCCCAGTGCTACATTCTCATTCTGTCATTTCACCATCAACCTTCTAGAGCAGTTAGGATACCTCTATTGCTTTCCTTGCTTCCTTCCATTCCTCCTTATTCCTGTACAGAATGGCTCCCATTTCACAGGGCCCTGCTGGCTGATGGAACTGATCCCTGTCTCTGTGGACTACATACTAGCAGAGAATTACACACTGCTTCAATAAAGTCAAGATGATTGATTTTGTGTTTCCTGTCTTAAAGCCAACTGATTAGTCTTGAAGGGAGTAGTTTTCCCTTTCTGTGTTTTCACTTTGAAAAGGAACACACAGCTTGAATTTACTATAGTCCTAATTTTATTGACAGTTATTATTTTTACCTCTCCCATTCTGTGACAAATGACATTATTATTTAAGAATTAGATTCAATTCAATAATTGTTATGGTATACTGAATATGTTTAATATTACCCTGATCAAGAGTTTAATGGGGTTGGTATTGAATTTTATTACATTATTACAAAATTAAGCTGGAATTAGAAAAGAGTGGTGCTCCAGTTTGTCTCTCCAGCCTCATACTCAGCTACTCCTCATGTCCTCACCCTATGCTCCAGCCATCCCTGTGTGTGTACCTGTCCACAATTTTTATTGCATATATTCATTTTTGCTGATCTAGTCATTGCCCTGGTGAAGTTGTGCCTATAAATCAAAACTCAACTTAAGCTTTCCTTTATTAGGCTTATTCCTTCCTTCCAACTTAAGCTTTCAAAAGTCTTCTTTGAATTCCTGAATAATAATTGCTCATACTCTCTAAGACTATGTACTCCTTGAAAACAAAGGACAAGTTCTATTCATCCTTTAATTTTTATAACGTAGCTCAGAATATTTGTGTACTATATGAATAAAAAACTACTAAACAGTAATTTTTAAAAATAAAAAAGAAATCAGACCAGCCTATGAATTAAAAATAAAAATGAAGATCAGCCCATGAATTATTAAAATAGAAATGATTAATTTATAATCAATATGAGCATAAAAGGAAAAACAAAAACAGAGTGGAAAGGACAAAAGTATAGCACATTTTATAAAGGAATTGAATACATGATAATGGGGACAAAACCAATAAGATTTTTTAAATTACTTAATAAACAATATTGAGATAGTTAGCTAACAATTTGGAAATCTGAGAGGGAACAGATTCATACTTCACGAGACAATTACCAAATAATTTTAAGATAAGTAAGATAGATATTTAAAATCTAGCTGGCACAGTGACTCAAGTCTACAATCCTAGCACTTTAGGCAGCTGAGGTGGGAGGATCACTTGAGGCCAGGAGTTCGAGACCAGCCTGGGCAACCATCTCAATAAATAAATAAATAAAATCTATGTTACAAAAACTAAAAAAAAAATCATGAACTTATCAGACATTTGCAAAATATATTTCAACACAGGAAAATATTAACAAAATTGATTATGTCATGTTGTAAAATTTCATTACCATGAAGAATAAGATAACTAAAGTAAAAAGGGAATTACTCTGAGAAATATTTACAGCAAATATAACAAACATAAATTGGTATCGATAAATTGTAGAGTCTGAATATATGGATACATTGATATGAAAATGGACAATTAATCTTGAAAGAATTTCAATTAAAAATGTTAAAGCATTCAGTTACAGTTACAAGACGCAAATTGAATACAAAAAGGAATATTAATAGAATAGAAAGGAACACAATAAAGGGTGAATAAAGCTCTCACCTCCTATGACAAATCTCTAGAAATAGGAGAAAATAAGTTTTTAAAAATCTATCTCCATTCTGAAAATAAAAAAGAAAGCAAACCTCAGTGGATCCTGAATCTAGGTTACCTCAAAAAAACAGACAGTTTACCAAAGGAAACCAGAGCATGAAGGAACTTGTTGAGCATTCCTCTGAAAGGCAGCAGTAGCAATGCCCTATACCTGGAGGCAGGAGATACTAGGGAAAGTGGTGTCTAACAGCAATCAGCAAGGTTATTGTTCAGATTATGGGGTAGCAGAGACACCCAGGTGGGCTGAACCCTAAAATCCTGCACCGATCAATTATCACCGTGTATGTGGAAGGACGCGTCAGTTTCCAGGTAGGAAGAGTGGGTAGGTGTCCAGAAAGCTGGCTCAGCCCAGGGAAATGGAATTCTCGACTCATACAATATCAGCAGTCAGGCTTGTAGTTCCCAAGTGGAATACTGACACTGAGTAGCCCAAGGAGAAGACCTACAAGCAGTAACATTTGGGAACTGCCCAAGAGAAAGCAACGTTGCCACCATCTCAACCCAGAGTAAAACCCACCTGTTGACAGGTGCAGTCTCTGCACAGAGCTTCCAGTCACCAAACAAGAACACACAGCCAAGCTCAGAAGACACTGATGGATAGTGTCCAACATAAGAGTCAGAGCAGAGGGACTCAGAGGAAACCAAAATCATTCAAGGGGCAGAGGAAACCTCTTAAACATCTATAATTAGTTTGTTTATTCATGTTCATGGCTACCACATCTGGGCTAGGATGATATAAAAAGAAAAGGCATTTAGGTAATAAGAAAGTGCTGCTGGCAATTTAAAAAATATAACAAATGATGGATTTGGGTAAAGGAAAGCTCCAGAAAAATAGCTATACAGTAGGCCTAGAAAGCCATCAATCAGGTTCAAGTAAGAGAAAAATACAGCTCCAGATGAATGTCTCAACAGAAACAGTGTCCCAGATAGGCCAATGTGCAGCAGGGATGGAAGAGCTGCACTTTCAAAGGATTCCAGAGATGGATTCGCGACTGCTGCATGGAAGGGCTTTATGCACTCTGGGAGAAAATTTACATGTGGACAGGCTATCAATTCCTGTAATAAACTTTTTATCTCAGATGTGAACTACATTTAGGTAGACACTGACTATTGATTTGATTGCGATATGTCTGGACTGAGAGGTCAAGAAAGTATAAGTGTATAGGGTAGACAGCCGTGCTGTGAGGAGCACATGAAGAGAACTCAGTATATTTTTCCATAAGAAATCAATAGACAAGTTGAAATTTTAAGAACTGTAATTAAGCATGTTGTTTTCACATGTGACAAAAAAAATCAGCTGAGGAAGTTGAAAGGTATAGATTTCTTGGAACATAACTTGGGGGAGTGGGGGGCGGTCTGAGACAGGAGATTGCTGCTTTTCAGTTTGAGCTCTGTCATACAAGTTAATTTTTCCACGTATGTGTATTATTTTGGTAAAAACAGAAATTTAATGTTTAAAATTATAAAAAAGATAAAACAATTTATATTGACCAAGTTCACAAGACTACCAAAATAATAATAGTCAAGAAACTTTAAATACCTAACATGATAGCTTTTGAAAAATATATAGCATAAACCAA
The DNA here is from genome assembly GCF_000001405.40 of Homo sapiens. Taxonomy (NCBI): domain Eukaryota; kingdom Metazoa; phylum Chordata; class Mammalia; order Primates; family Hominidae; genus Homo; species Homo sapiens. Next base: position 22,207,769 of record NC_000012.12, read on the forward strand.
TAAAAACTACAGATAGAAATTCACAAGTCCACAATCATAATGAGTTTTCAATTTTAAAATATATTATTTAAAACACATAAAATAGAAAATTTCTAGCCAGGCGCGGTGGCTCACGCCTGTAATCCCAGCACTTTGGGAGGCCAATGTGGACAGATCACGAGGTCAGGAGTTCGAGACCAGCCTGGCCAATATAGCGAAACCCCATCTCTACTAAAAATACAAAAATTAGCTGGGTGTGGTGGCAGGTGCCTGTAATCTCAGCTCAGGAGGCTGAGGCAGAAGAATTGCTTGAACCCAGGAGGTGGAGGTTGCAGTGAGCCAAAATCGTGCCACTGCACTCCAGCCTGGGTGACAGTGTCTGTCTCACAAAAAAAAAAAAAAAAAGAAGCAAAATCAATAATAAAACAATTATCATCATACGGGTCACACTGTCTGATCGAAAATGTAAAAAAATGAGAAGTCAACAACATAAAAATACACACACACTGCATTAGAAAAATTTTTTAAACATATTTCAATTATGTATATAAGTGGAAATCTGTCAATATTTGAAGATGTTATAATTACCTATCTAGAATATACAAAATAATCAACTGAAAAAAATATTTATTGGAACCAATAGAGTCTTAGCTTCCCTATACAGCAGGAATCATATATTAAAATAATACAATAAAACAAAAATTTCATTGTTAATAGCAACAAAGCCCCCAAACACTTTGAAATAAGCCTAAAAATAAATACAACATTTTTATGTGGACAATAAGGAATATTGAAAGATGCCTCCCCAGATAAATTTGTAGGTTCAAATGCAATCTCAACAAAAATCCCAACATTATTTTAAAGTAAAATTTGATAAGGTAATTCTAAACATCATATGAGAGGTATAAATTAGTATGTATACTGACAGTAATTTTGGACAAAAGAATAACAGAGAAAACTTAACTTACCAATGTCAAAACTGATTATAAAACTATAGTAATAAAAACACTATGGAACTCACACAAGAATAAACCATGTATGATGAAACAGGAGAATGAGTCTAAAAATGTACCTAAGCATTTTTGGAGATTTCCTTTATGCCAAAAGTAATATTTCAAACCAATTCATAAAAATCTACTATTCCATACATTGTACTGGGTCTACTGGCTAGCCAGTAATAGAAAATAAGATAAATTCCTACCTCACATTGTCCCAAAAATTAAGCTCCAGATGGAATAATCATATACCATAAAATTAAAAGAAAATAGGAGAAAATATCTTTAAGACCTTTAGGACACAAAAGACAATGTAAACATGAGGCAATTCCTTAGCAAAATCCATAAAAAATTGTTAAACATGACTGCTTTAAAATGAAAGTCTTCTACAAACATATTTTTAAAGAGACAAGCAGCAGATTGGGATGAAAATATTTACAACATACATGACAAGGGATTAGTATCAAGGATACAAATGATAAAAATCAATAACAAATACAGCAAATAGCACAACATAACAAAACAGTAGTATCCAGAACACAAACAATAAAAATTAATAACAAACATGCAAATATCACAATGGGTAAATGAACAACGATGTAGAACTGCCAAATCCGAGATGAGGAAATTCAAAGGGCCAATATGCATATTAAAATAAGCACGACCTCACTCGCATTCAAGTTATAACAAAACTATAGCAAACTAACAGTCTTCCACACATCTGACTGGTGCAAATTAAGGAAATTGATAATAACAAAGAAATCTGTGAGAAACAGTACACTTTTATGCTTCAAATGGGAGTATGAATTGCCACTGACAGCTTGGAAAGTGATTTTGCATTTCAAATATGCACACCTATTGACCCTGCATTTCCAGTTCTCAGCTGGTGCCTTTGATATTTGTAGGGCACCATCCATCACTTCTTTTAGGTCTTGGCTCAAATGAAAGCTCCTCATAGAAGCCTTTACTGCCACCTACTCTCTCATCTTTGTTTTCTTTCTGTATGTTTTTTTACAACATCTTTGTTGTATTCTTTTTATATTTTCTTCCTCAGATATATTTTAATATACATCTTTACTGTCTCTGTTGTATTTCTTCTATCATACAACATAATATTTTATTACATATACATGTCTTCATTTATATTTGTCTCCTCTTACATGCCCATAAGAAGTATTATTTTGTTTACTATTAAATCCTCCAAACCAGGAAGGGTGCCTGGCACGTGGCATTAAGTAAATATCCATGAATGTCTGCTGGAGGATGCAGGAAATTAGAAACCACCTAAATGCCATCACTAATAGAATGCCAAATAAATTATGTTATATCCATATTATGATACATGGCAATTTTTTTAAATGACATAACTCTAATTTACATTGAAATGGAAATATTTCCAAGACAAATGTTATATAGAAACATGAAGAAGTTGCAGAATTACGACTGCAGTTTGTATAGTGGATTATCATATATACATATCATAAAAGATAAAGATAGAAATTTTCTATAGTTACATATACATATGTGGTGCATGGGAAAATGTTGAAAGGATACACATAAAGCTGAAAAAAAATGGTTACCTCCAGGGATAGCAGTGGTATGGAGGTAGTGGTAAGGGTCTCTGTGTAGAAAAAACAAATTCAAAGTGATTTTTCTGTTCTCTCACTCAACACTAATCAACACAGAAAAATTCTGTGACCTATATGTGGGTTTTTTCCCCCACACATCAAACAAGCAATCAGTTTTACAGCAGACACCAGCTGGGGGTCCTCCACTTCAATTCCAACACTATCTACCTAGAGATAGCGTCAGACCCCACAAGACACCCTTCAACCCCTTAGACATCAGTTGCAAGTCTGGGCCTCCAGAACTTCTGACCAGCTGGCTGCACGCTGAGGTTCCTGCAATCCCTTCTTCATGTTGGATTAATTTGCTACAGTAACTCACAAATCTCAGGCAAACGTTCACATTTACTGGTTTATTATAAAGATTACTGTTAAATTAAGTTTAGTCTAAAGCTGCCTCTTCACATATTTTAGGTTCAGCCTAAAGATTTCTCTATACACAGTGAACTGTAACTTAACAGGATGTGTAAAAAGACCATAACCTACTCTTGTACCAATCACCAAGTTTCAGCCAAAGGTGGCCAACCGTTCCAGCTGTGTTCAAGTAAGACAAACACCAAGCTGTAACCAATCGTGCTGTTTCTGTACCTCAGTGCCACTTTCTGCGTGTCATTTTCTTTTTTCTGTCCATAAATTCTCTCAGAAAACACAGCAGCTTGGAGTTTCTCTGAACCACTTCTGATTCTAGGGGCTGCCTGATTCATGAGTCTTTGCTCAATTAAACTCTGTTAAATTTAATTTGTCTAAAGTTTTCCTTTTAATATTACAAAGGATACAGAGGGAGAGATGCATAGGGCAATGTATGGAGGAAGGAATCTGCAACCCTCCAGGAACTTTCCCATGTTCAGCTATCCAGAAGCTCTCCAAACCCTGTCCTGTTAGGTTTTTATGGAAGCTTCATTACATAGCCATGATTGATTGAACCGCTGGCCACTGGTGATCACCTCAACCTTCAGCCCCTCTCTCCTCCCTGGAGACTGGGGGGTGGGGCTAAAAGTCTCAATCCTCTAATCATGCCTTGGTCTTTCCTGTGATCAGCTCCCAGCCTGAAGCTACCTAGGGGCTGTCAACCATGATTGCATGCTAACGATTGGCTAATCATTAGCATACAAAATACATCACCTTGTGGACATTCTAAGGATTTTAGGGGTTGTATGTGATGAAATAGGTTGAAGATCAAATATGTATTTCACAAGGTCAAAGCCTTATCTGTAATGCTTTTAATTTTTTAGAAGGTGAATATATGTATGTTACTTGTGTTATTAAATATGTCCTTTTAAAAGGTTAGGGTCTTTAGTAATCCTATAAATGCAAAGTAAACCAGTTGTGATTTTCTAATTTACTATTTTCTTTTTTTTGAGATGGCGTCTCGCTCACTCTGTCGCCCAGACTGGAGTGCAGTGGTGCAATGTAGGTTCACTGCAACCTCCACCTCCTGGGTGCAAGTGATTCTCCTGCATCAGCCTCCCGAGTAGCTGGGACTTCAGGTGCCTGCCACCATGCCCAGCTAATTTTGTATTTTTAGTAGAGACAGGGTTTCGCCAAGTTGGCCAGGCTGATCTCGAACTCCTGACCACAGGTGATCCACGCACCTCGGCCTCCCAAAGTACTGGGATTACAGGCATGAGCCACTGCACCCGGCCCTAACTTACTATTTTCAACACAATGATAAGTGAGGATTATGGCGTACTTTTATTCTTTTGATTTTTTTAATATTCTTATAATGTTGTCTGTGCAGTATAAAACACATTTATAAAAAATAACTCATATAAATTTTCAAGTTAATTTATCTCCTGACCATATTGCGTTTTAAAAGTCCACTTCTTTTACACACAATATTTGTTCTACTTTTTCTCTGTATAATAACTTTAATTTGAACACTTCCTTTATTTACTTCTTCTTCAAATGCTTCAGCAATTTTCCAATGGGTTAATTCATTTCCTCATATTATTTACTTGCTTTTCTAATATTTGGGGACCATTTTCCATGTTCATGGCTGCTTACTGTCATTTTTCTGTCTCTGAGCAGCTGTTTGTTTACCCAGCTGTTACTTCCTTTCCTTCTGTCAATGAATGTTAATTTTATGTTGATTTACAATACTTTCCTCCTCCATACCTTCTCATTTTATGGGTGTGTTTCTTCCACAGGAAAGTACTTTGCCAGATTGCAATGAACATTCTAGGTCAAGCTATTCCATTGATAGATAAGACATGAACTGCCTTTAAAAAAAATTGTAACAGTGAGAGAAATCTAACATAAACTGACTCCATCTTGCTCTTCACCTCGCAAGCTAACTGCCCTTGCTCATGCCTGAGCACAGGTTAAGCTAACTATAGGAAGAATTTAGCTTACAGTTTAACTTTGAAGCAAGGATGATAATAGTCCCTTTCCCAAACTGATCCCTGGGGACTGACACCATCTTTGTAAGACTACAGTGGGGCCTCAATTCTGCTAAGAGGTAGGCATAGTTAAACACTAACCAGCCATTGTTCCCTAGATTGCTTTTCCATAACTGCTCACTGCTCAGGAATCATATAACCAGAAGTCACAAGATTTGTAACTTTCTCAATTGCTCCTGTATATTCATCACTATTGTAAAACCTAAGACTGGTCTTTGAGATCATTTTCAAACTTTTGCATTCAGGTAGACCAACTCATGCCACCTGAATCCATGACCCATACCAAAGAACTGACTCGACAGGTCCACAGGTCCTGTTACCCACCCCTGCCAGCCAGAAACTGACTCGGGACATGAAGATAGTTTCAACATCCCTATGATTTCATTCCCAACCAATCAGCCGCACCCATTCCCTAGCCCCCTGCCCACCAAATTATCCTTAAAAACCCCAGCCTCTCAGTTCTCAAGGAAGTGAATTTGAGAAATATCTCCCATCCTACTTGCTTCACACCACACAATGATTAAATTCTTTCTCTACTATAATACCTGATGTTTCCATGTATTTGCTTTTTCTGTGCAGCAGGCAAGAAGAATTTGTTGGGCTATAACAATAATAAAATATGACTTACAAATGCAAGCTTTTAAAATACTTGCAGCATGGGGGTTCCAAACCTAGACTGGCGATGTTGCTAAGAGAGAAGAAAGTTAGGGCAGGCCTTTCAGATATGCATATATCTGAAATGAATTTTGAAGAATGAGTAAAAAGTAGCTATGCAAACGGAGTTGAAGGAGAAGAGCACTCTTTGCTGAAAGACCAGCATGGGCAAGGGCATGTGGTAAGAGCAGGTAGTACCTGGGGAAATGCAAACAATTTAATATGGTAAAGTTGAGAGCCTTGGGAGCAGCTAGAGGTGTAGCTAGCTTGATGCACAGGACAGAAAAAAGGAAGGATCTATTCCACTCAAGGTTGAGATTTTACCTACAAGGAAAATGAAAACACATTAGCATGTGAATAGTCCATGGTAAAATGATGTTACCACAGAGGCAGTAGGAGCTGGCTTGGGTAACTGAGTGTGGAGGGCTGATCTTTAGCTGGGAAGCAACAGTGAGGTGTACAGGGCACTGTCCAGTCTTATTTAATGTCTACACTGTGCCAGTTGTTGAATATTTATTATTTCTAGATGTGAAAGTGGTTTCAGTTTGGGGGATTGAATGGCTTGGATTTCTGGCGACTGCTTTCATTGTGATATGTAACACAATAGGAGAAAATGGTTTGAAGAGAAAGACTATTATCCAAATTTGAACATGTTGAGCCACAGACATGAGCCAACAAGAAGAACAGTGAGCTAAAATAAAAACACTGACAAATTATCGCACTTAAATGGTGGGCAAAGGAGACAGAGCTGCAGCAAAGAGTAGACAAAAAAGGAAGGTGACAGAAAACAGAGGAAAAAAGAGTTTCAAAAGTTTATCAACAGTGGCAAATGTTGAGGCAAGATCAATAAAATAAAGACAGAAAGTGGTCTGTGGGGATTTTGCAATATGAGAGTCATTAAAGGTATGAGATATTTTATAGTAGAAATCAATAGTAGAAATTACTATGAAATTGATTTCATAGTAGAAATCAGTCTAGATCATGGGTTGTCTACAAAGGCCAAGTAAATTAGGAAAATATATGAAGAGCCCAGGCAAAAGACAAGAGGGAGTAGACCTGGAAATGGATTGTTGCATGTCCCATTTAAGGATTTCAAGTTAAAAAGAAAAAAAATAATGTTATAGCCAAGTGAAATAACTCTGCAGGCCGGATTTGGCTTGTTGACAACAAGTTTGATGTTAACCCTCAAAACTTATTCAAAATTCCAAAGGACATGAAATCCCAAATCCTTTTGGAGCAAATGAAACAAAAAAAACATATAATAGATAGGGCCTCTTGTTTATTTATGACACTAGTAATAATTTGAGATAAAAATCAAAAGATCTATAATTAAATTACAGAAATAATCAACAAATTCCATCACAAGATTCTTGCTTAATGCATGTCATGTCATTTAAGCCTTGCAGTAACTCTATGAGGAAGGCATTATCCCTTTTCTGCTGTTGAGAAAATTAAGGATCGGGGCAGTTAAGTATTCTAGCAAAATTTCATAGCAAGAATGTAGTAGACTCTGGCTTCCAACTCAGATCAGCCTGACACTTGATTCTATGCTCTGAATTATATTGTGTAGCTTTTCCCTGAGTAGAAGACATAGCCCTCCTGTCCTGTGAATTCATTCCCTGGTAGTCTGGGTTCCTTCTCACCTTCTGCAGGACCTGGTCCACATCATTCTCTTTGCCTACTCCACATCATTGGCCCCTTCCTCCATATAGACTCTTTTCCAAGTCTCCCCCAACTGAAAACTAACATAACAAACAAAAATTTGCTCAAAAGTGCATCTTTCTCTAGGTACTTCCCAATCTGTTTCCTTCTCTCAATGACTGATTTCTTCTCTTGTGTCACCCATACTCTCTGGAAAGCCTCATTCCACTGACCATTTCCATTTGGATTCATTCACACTCCTAGCAATTATTTATTGAGTACCTATCATGTACCAGGTGCTGTTCTATGCACTGAGGGATGTAGCAATGAACAATGCTAACAAAGTCTCTGCTGTCATGGAGCTTTCATTCAAGTAAGAAGAGACAACCAGTAAACCAAAAAATGAACAATATTTGGGAAGAGCTATGAAGAGAATAAAGTGGGATAATAAGAAAAGACAGAGTGAGAGTGTTGCTGTTTTGTTTAGGGTGACATTTTAACACAAGTTCAAAGAAAGTTAGGGAGTCAGCCCTGTGGAGATCTGTGGGAAGCATCTCAAACTCACAACTTTCCTCCAATATCTATTGTGACAACCACATTCCTTGCATGAAAAGATTGCACAACCATCCATCAGTGACTCAACCAAACTAAAAACATATATTCTTCCCTTTTCTGTAACTTCTACATCCAGTTGGTCACTAAGTTCCATTTTCATAGCATCTCTTAAGTTTACCTTTCCATCTATCTATTACAGTGTTACAGGCTGAGCCACATAAAGTGGCCATTATGCAGGTCAAACACAGTTGTTTCCTCTGCCAGCAACAACAGAATCCTTTCAGCAACAACAGGATCTACTCAAGGACTCTATAGCCCTAAGGGAATGGTGGAACCAGAGATGGAATAATTTGGGGTCCATAAATGACAGTGCAGAATAGAACCATTCCCCTTTTCTGTGCACCCTCAAATTGTGTCTGGATGAGAAAGAACGCTTTGCTGTATTACGTCATGAAAGTTTGGGGTAGTTTATCATGGCAGTTGGCCAACCCTAACTAATGCATATCCTCAGTACCACAGTTTAATTTCAGGTTACCTTCAAGCCTCCTCCTTCTTATTTTAACAGATCGGTCTCTAACGCATAATTCTCAATCCTCCCCAAGTAATTGTCCCAAGTCCAATTTGACCATGTCACTTCCTGTCAAGGGGGCATTCTTCAAGGGCTTCTCCTCATCTTCAGATAAAGTCTAAGCATGATATAATCCCTGCCTACACCTTCAGCCTCTTTTCTTGCCACTGCTCGTCAGCACTCCCTACCCTTGCCCTGCCCGATTACTTGGTGTTCATCAAAAGGGTCATGCTCGCTGAAGCCTCTAAACTGTTGCACATGCTACTTGTTCTGTCTAAAGTGAATGCCCCCTTTGCCCTGCTAATTCCTACTAATCTTTCAGAACTCAACTCATGGTATCTACTATAAAAAGTTTTCCATGACCCTGAGCCTGGATTAGGTATCTAACTTTGTGTTCTCTTATCACTTTATTTTTATCAAGGTACTTGTCATCTTGCCATGTCTTTATATCTTAATTTTTAGATCTCCTTTATGGAATTCCTTCAGAAAAGACTAATGTCCTTTATCTTGCTGTTCCCTAAGGCTAATGCTATGCCTGACATAATGCAGTATCTAATAAATATTTGTTGAACAAATAAATGCATAATGAAATGAGTGAATTTCTAAGCATTTTTGTATCTTTGTCACAAAGTGCATTTAATTCTTACCAAAATATGGTATACAAAAAGCAAAATATGCTATTTCTTTTTTAAGGAATACCAAGATAACATAAGAGATACTTTGATTGCCTTCACATTTGTCATGCAACATTTTCTATCACTGGCTTTTATGCAAGCTATTTTCCTGCCTGAAGCCAGAAAACGGGTAATTAGGAACTGAATAGCACCCTTAAATACAAATCTCTCATTAGGCACTAGTTCATTTTCTTGTAAACAGAATATGGTAATTTCCGAGAAACATCAACCTTTCCACAAATCACACAACCATTTTTAATATCAGGAATCTTTTAGAAAAATCTCATTTTTTTTCCAGGACAAATAAAATTGTACTTGCTGTTGTTTTGACCATAGGTGTTCATCTCTTATGGTCTCTCCCTTTTGAACTTCTCAGAAGAGCAATTTATTTGTTTAAGTTTCTTTATATGAAATTAAGGCCATACTAAACTTTAAAAACAGATATTAATTTATTTTGAGACATAATATTAAGTGAAGTATACTCTAATCTATAGACTATCACCATTTAAGTAAAAAAATGGAGATGATGGCGTAAAGCAACACCTTATATTTTAAAAATAGACTGTATCTTGGAAAACCCATTGATTTTCATGTTCATATCTGTGTCTAATATAGATGATGGTCTCAAATGTGGTTTCAAATTTTAGAGAAGGTATTTTGAGAAGCCTGTATGTCCCGCCTTTTCCACAGGCAAACTGCACAACCTTAAGCTGGTTACTTCATTGCTTTATGCCTCAATTTTCTCATTTGAAAAAAATAATAATAGCGTGTATTTCATAGGGCTGTTGTGAGGACTAGATGAGTTCATATGTATAACACACTTAGAATAGTGCCTGGCACATAATAAGTCTTACAACTACTAGCTTTCATCATCATCATCACCACATCATCATTATCATCATCATCATTACTCTCCTCTTTGCAAAAGCAAGTGATGAAAATTTGAATCTTAAAAGAACCCTTCCAAAGAAATAAGCATTATCTCCAAGGACACAAGTTATAAATTAATAGGAAACCACTTCCTAGCCTTGGTATGTCTGTGCATTTGTTTATATAGGCATTATCAGAATAATGAGATGAATGTAAATAACTGTTCATTTCTCATGTCTCATTGTTTTGTGAAATAAAATTTAAACATGTGACTGACATTCCAAACTGTCAGTGAACACTTAGAAATAACAAGAAATAGGCCCGGTGATTCATGCCTGTAATCCCAGGACTTTGGGAGTCTGAGGGGGGCAGATCACTTGAGGCCAGGAGTTCGAGACCAGCCTGGCCAACATGGCAAAACCCCATCTCTACAAAAAATACAAAAATTAGCCAGGTGTGGTGGTGGGTGCCTGTAATCCCAGCTACTCAGGAGGCTGAGACACAAGAATTGCTTGAACCTGGGAGGCAGAGGTTGCAGTGGGCCGAGATTATGCCATAGCACTCCAGTCTGGGCAACAGAGTGAGACTCTCTCAAAAAAATAAAATAGACCAGGCACAGTGGCTCATGCCTGTAAACTCAGCACTTTGGGAGGCCAAGATGGGAGGATCACTTGAGGTCAGGAGTTCCAGACCAGCCTGACCAACATGGCAAAACCCCGTCTCTATAAAAAATACAAAAATTAGCCAGGCATGGTGGCGGGCACCCATAATCCCAGCTACTCGCGAAGCTGAGACACAAGAATCGCTTGAACCTGGGAGGCAGAGGTTGCAGTGGGCCGAGATCATGCCATTGCACTCCAGTCTGGGTGACAAAGCGAGACTCAAAATAAATAAATAAATAAATAAATACAAAAAGTAGCCAGGCCTGGTGGCAGGCGCCTATAATCCCAGCTACTCAAGAGGCCAAGGCAGGAGAATCTACTCGGGAGGCTGAGACAAAAGAATTGCTTGAACCTGGGAGGCGGAGGTTGCAGTGAGCTGAGATTGAGCCACTGCACTCTAGCCTGGGCAACAGAGTGAGACTTGGTCTCAAAAAAATAAATAAATAAAATAAAATAAAATAAAAAAGAAATAGCAAGGAATAATAAGTGCAGGGATCAGTGAAAATGGTGAATTTCATGTTCTTTGTCAGAGCAGAAAGGGAATACCAAAGAATCTCTTTTCTATAATCCAAAAGAAACAAGCTAAATGTAAGCAAAGTTTTATAAGAGAATGGAATCCCACCAAAATATTATAAAATGTATCATCTTTATTTTATGACAAAGAACTTGGCTATGCCCTCTCTATACTCTAATTTAAAACAACTGATAGAACTATTTGCATTAGCATTGAAAGCTTTAATATATTACATATTTATTATAGGTATCACATTTATTTAATTAATGATGAATTTCATTATTCAATTATTATTTTATTAAAAGTTCTTGCCAGTAACATACCACAAATGTAAATTACACTGTGTTTTAATTTTATTATATTTCTATAGTTACATAGACAGGATATCTGTATAATCTCTTTGATTATCCTTCAATTTAAAAGTTAAGAAGTAATTTGGAATTTCCCTTTGTGTCATAAACTCAAACTGAAAATCTGAGAAGGGTGTGAAGACAGGGATCCTTCTCTTGGGATGCAGCAGTGGAAGGGAGCACCAGCTGCACTTCAGAGCCAGGATAGGGTGGAGGCGAGGGCACTTGAAACCATTTCCCAGGCCTCAGACTACATCTGAAGAAGCAAGAGAGGACTTAATATTCCACTCACCTTGCCTTTGGTTAGGTGACCCGGCAGGTTGATTGTTGTCTACCACAAGCCACAAGATAATTAATTTGGGGAACCTTGTTATGGAGGATTTTTTAAAATGAAATTATCATGAACAAATCATTTACAGGATCTTTAAAGCAGCTAGAGAGTGTATTTGCTAGTTCTGGGAAAGCAAATGGAAATTTCTCACTGGTATGTGCCTGCCATCTACACCTTGCAATGACTACGTTAGGAGGCTGCTATAAGACATCATGCCAGGGTATGCATGACCCATCTGCAATGAATTTCCATTGTATATGGTGTGATAAAAACTTGACCCACATAGAGGAATCATTATATTTAAAAAAGAACCAACTACCAGATTTGACTTTCACATGAACCTTTTTAATCCATTTTCAGTAAGATCACTTGAGTACCAGAGTATCATAACACTCTACAAACTTCCTCCACTTCTGAAGATCAAAACAGAGTTCTAGTTTGTATGTAATCACAACATAGCCTAAAATAGTGAATGAAAAGGTTTGCATGGGAATTAAGCTCTACATAAGCCCAGCAAAATGATTCCTGCAAACCTTGGAACTTATATTTAACTAACCTCAAAAACATATACTGAGGAACAGAACAGTCAACTCCAAGGCCTTGTTTTCAACTCACATGATGAGACACGAGCACTCAAATACTACAGTGAGTGAATAGGATAGATTTATTTTTAAATAACAGTCAATTATGTCTTCCTCTTCACAAAAGTAAAACAGAAATATATTATTTGTAGAGAAATTTAGAAATAAAGATAAGCACAAAGGAGTATGTTTGGCAGAGGGACAGTGTTTAATAAATGCATATTGAATAAGAGAGAGAGACAGAGAAGGAAAACAATAACCACCTAACAATTCTACCATTCAGAGTTGACCTCAATTAACATACGGATTTTTGTCTTTCATATACACACCCCTAATAGCAGAATTGAAAATTTATACACAACTCACATGTGCAAAAGTCTAACTTTTTTCCCCCTGCAATTGCCTTCATCTTACTCTGATGTTCCCATCCTCACTGACGGCGGAAGAAAAACCCTTAAATTTGCCAATTAAAAGCAATTAAGTGTCTTTCAAAGTAAAAACAGTGTTGGGGGCAAATATTTCATTCATTTAAAACGCAAAACTCCTTCAGAGCTAATTTTTCCCTCCCAGGATCCTCACGGAAATAGTAGATCCTTATGCTGTCTCCAATGTGGTGAAGTTGATCTGAGCTTGTCCTTGGGACCTGGCACTGGTGGTGTCTGCATGGCTGGTATGTCTGGTTTTTCTGGACACCAAGCTGACAACCAGAACTCAAGTCTCTAACCTTCTCTGCTGTCCCAGTAATCCATGCCTGCCTTTTCTCTGCCTTCAGCCCTTTTTGCTCCATCAGTACTTTTAGTGCTTTTCTACATATTGGCAGTGTGGAAATGTCATGATTCCCAAAATATCACATGCAGGCTATGGAGAACTGGAGGTAGCATCTCAAGTCCATCCCTGGGCATTCCCTTCAGCCATTTTTCATTCTCTCCTAGCACCAAGATGGCTCCCTCCTAGGCCACCAGTCTCCTTGGAGAAGCATGCAGTTATTTCAGACACCTACCTTGCCCACCAGCAATACCACTACCCTAACTTTCCAATTTACATCATCACCTGGAAAGAAAAAAAATGATGAGTGGAGACAGATGGAGAAGAAAGGGAAAAAAGAGAACAGAAGAATGGGAAGCAAAAGGACAAGAGGAAGAGGAGGTAAATAAAGAGGTATTACCAAAAACAACAGCAAAGATAAAATAGGCAATCAAAAACTTGTATGATTAAAGAGGTTGAGATGCAAAAAGAGAAAAAGAACAAAAATCATTTTCCTTCCTATCACTCATCCCATTATTTATCTGCCACAATGAATAAAGACGAAGAGAGAAATAGCAAAGTGTAGAAAATAACAAAGAAGAGGAGGTGAGAAGAAATGTCTCACTTGCTCTCTTCAATTTCAAAGACTAAATTATACACTCATTTCATTTCACCTCCAATTCTTTAAATCATGTGCTGCAAACAGCCCCAAACAAACCACAGTAGACTGCAAAACAGTTGATTCAGAGGCTAAGTAAAAGCAGAGCCTAAGAGTTAATTATATTACAGTTGTTGAAAACAGAACATCTATTTTCATTTCACGTTGTGATTCAAGTGTTAGTGGATTAGCTTTTAAAATAAACCTTTTCCTTGCTTATACCTATATTAGATGTAGGGCAAATAGTAATTTCTTCCATTTCTAAGTGTCCTCAGTTACTGTCTGCCTAGCCTAAAAAGTATTTTGAATAACGAATTGCATATGTTACATGTATATACAGCAGTCATTCTCCTCTCTCTCTAAAATATGGCTAATACCACCATTCTTCACCCATTTTCAAAAATGGAAAAGAAAGTTAAAAAAACTGCACAATACAGTGAACTTTGGAATCTTCTTAATAGTACATCTTATAATTGCAATGTATTAGGATAAGAAACCAAATATATTTATATTAAGAATAAATTTCAAAAAAAAAGTTTATTAACATTTAACAAACTTAAGTAAACAAACTTAACTTATTTAACTTGTTTTATTATTGGGTTAATTTTAACACATTAGTCCACACCTTTTAACATCACACTGAAGGAATTCCTTGTAATGAGGTAGGGCAGTCAAATCATCCCTCAGAATCTCCAAGGGAATCGTTGTGCTAGATCACATGCTAAGTTGGAAAGTTTGGTCCAAACATGTTCAGCAAGAGAAGCTGCCTCACGAGGGAAAAACTGTAGACAGTAACTTTTTGCTCTACTCGAGTATTTTTATTTTGGTAGTGGATTTACATTAGAAAATCTCTAATTTTCCAGAAAGAAAATCTCTAATACTTAAAGAAGTGAGAGAAAAGACATTGAAGAAGTTATTATTTTTATCACAGTTAACAAGCAGTAAAAAGTATTCATTCAAAATACCAATAATATTTTAATTAAAAGTAGCACTGTATGTGAAAGAAGTGTAAGTAATCTTATTGACAGTTAACTAGAAAAAGACCATATATATATATATACACATATACATATATACATATACTTATATACACTGTATCTCTAGGTTTTTGTTTTCTTTGGAAGCAATCACTGTACTCATTGATTTATTTATGATTGATAAATAAAATTAGTTTCTTTACATTTTAATATTAAGTAAGATTCTAAATAGTCATATACTTTAACCCAAATATTATATATACACACATATATTTATATATTACCCAAGAGAAACACATAAATACACAAATACCCCTAAATTCCAGTCTAAATGACTAGCCTGTGCTACCTCTAGTATTTCATCAGCAGCTACAACTCATGCCTGATGTGAAAGAGCCAAATTTAGAGGGAAATTAACAAGCCTTTTTGGGATCTCTTCAAACCCTAAAACAGCGAAAGAAACAGCCATGGATATATTTATTTTCTTTTCATTCATGTCCTCAATACTTCCTTCATTTATTTAACAAACATGTGTTTGCTTGTTTTGATGGGAAATGAGAATTATAAAATTAATTTATGTTCATTTTAGGAAACAGAAAAGGTATAATTAAGAAAAAGAACAACTCCTACAGTTTCATGCAAGTGTTTAATGCACTGACATATTTCTCAGGTGTTTTGTCCTCTATATTTTACATAGATGAGATCATGCATTATATATGCTTCTATTTCATGCTTTTTAAAAAATGTTTAATCAAAAGTATTTCAGAGTCATTTAAAGCCATTGAATACATTTCTTATAATTTGAATGTTTAGAGTGTGGTGCATGTATGGACTGGATCACAAAATAATCATTTCAACCTCCTTCTGTATCTTCCTGTAGTCCAAAGTGGAAAAGCTAAGAACTGCCTTTCTCAGACTTCTTTATAGCCGGGATTCCAGCTGTGATGCTGGCGCAGCCAATGTCATGTACCTGTGTGAGTCCTGACTTCTGAACTGGGTTAAATGAGGAGACAGGGGCCCATTTTTCAAGCCAGATTCTGATTCAAGCAGCATGAGTCTGGAGTGAGCAGCTGAAGTTGTGGCTTCTCAACGTGGCAGGGATTCTGATTCTGACTGATTCTGCAGTCTATTGATTGCTGGAGACGTTCTGTCATTTGGCTTTTGGAGCTGTTTTCCATTTCCTTAATCAAGAATCTATTTCTTCACCCTCTCGACAGCTGTAAAATCCCTTTAAATAAACCCATTTATGCTTAGGCTAGTTAGAATGAATTATATTCCCTGCAATATCCTTAACAATAGAATGTTTCTAATTGTGCAAAATAATACTTAATTCTGTTATATCTTCTTTTGCTTTCTACATCTTTATCCTTTATACATTGCTAGATTATTACTTTCTGACTTTTTTAGAAGTGTTATTATGAATTCAAAAGGTCGGAACATTTTCAAGATTCTTGATACATGTCAATTCTTTTGTTTTCCTAAAAGAAAGGTTGTACTAATTTATACTCCCACTAGCAGTGCATGAGAATATACAGCAGCATTGTTATCATTTCTCTTTATTTTTCTACTTTGGTTGTTAAAAATAGATAATTTGCTTCCAGCTCTAATGTGAGTATATTTATTAATATGACTGAATACTTATTTTACAAGCCAACTGTATTTACTCCTTTGTGACTTTTCTACCTCTACATCCAATTATCTCCTGAGACTACAATATTTTTCATACCTGTTTACATATCATCTTTATAAATATATAAAAATATATTTATACTTTTTTTTTTTTTACATGGAGTCTTACTCTGCGCCCAGGCTGGAGTGCAATGGCACAATCTCTGGTCACTGCAACTTCCTCCTCTTGGGTTCAAGCGATTATCCTGCCTCAGCCTCCTGAGTAGCTGGGATTACAGATGCACACCACCAGGCCTGGCTCATTTTTGTATTTTTTAGTAGAGACAGGGTTTTGCCCACCTTGGCCTCTCAAAGTGCTGGGATTATAAGCATGAGCCACTGCGCCTGGCCTATTTATACTTTATCTTGGTATCTCTGATGCAATTTTTTCCCAAATAATTGTCGGTTTTTAGATTTTATGTTTTTGACAAGAACACATTTTAAATTTTTGGAGTCAAATGTATAAATCATTTTTCTTTGATTTCTGCCAGCAGAAAGTACTCTATCCTCAAGACAAATAAGTATTCACACTAATGCTTTTAATTTTTGTAGTCTGTTTCTTACATTTAATGTGTGAATCTTTCTCTTGGGTCAAATCCTTGTACTGATCCCCAGAAAGTTCACACCCACTCAGAACTTCAGAATGTGACTTTATTTAGAAACAGGATCTTTGTAGATATAATAGTTAAGTTAAAATGAGGCCACAGCACATTAGGGTGAGCCCTGATCCAATGACTGGCAGCCTTATAAAAAGAAAAAACAGTGACATAGATCATACATAGGAAGAATGCTGTGTGAGGACAGAGGCAGAGATGGAGTGCTGAGTCTATCAGCCAGGAAAGCTACAGATTGTTAGACAGCACCAGAAGCTAGGACGATGTAAGGAAGGACCCTCCTCTAGAGCCCTGGAAACTTCACAGAGAGCCTGACCTTGCTGACACCTCGATTTCAAAATTCTAGCCTCCAAAATTCTGAGAAAACAAATTTCTGTTGTTTTTGTGGTTTGTGGTAATTTGTGGTAGCAGCCCTAAGAAACTAATAAAATGATTATACAGTTAATTTTGATATATGGCCTCTGATGAAGATTTAAGTTATTTTGTGCTCAAAGAGTGAACTAATAGGTCCAGATCCTAATTATTAGGATCTGGATCCTACTAGTAGCTGGATCCTAGTAGGCATGTGAGGACCAATTGCTCACATTTCTCCTATTAAAGTAAATTAAAATGGAGACCACGGCTGAGGAATTCCTGAGCAGACAAAGCCAGTCAGAGCTCATAAGTGGCCTTAACCTTGCTTGATTTGCAAACATAAGTGAAACAAAACTTGAGCTATTAATATTTCTTGTAAACACCTATGTTAAAGAAAAATGAAACTTTTTAAGCTCAATAGCCACCAACGTACAAACTTATGGTTATATAACTAAACACTTTTCCGCAGGACAGACCAATTAAGGCAACTCTATAACTGTTACCAATCAAATGTTTTCTTGCTTTATTTCAGCGTTCACCCCATAAAAAGCCTTCTCCTTGCATTCCCTCTGCAAAGCCTGAAACCACCTTTGGTTTGGTGCTTTGTGAAACAAGAACCACTGTTTGCTCAAATCAACTTTTTAAAATTTTAGTGTACCTCAATTTACCTTTTATCACTCCCCAACTCCACATTAACATCACAATGGCAGCTTGAATTGGCCGTGGGGGCGGCACTTACACCATGTATATCAGCAAACACTAAACATGAAGGCTTTCTTCCCCACCCCAGAGCTGGTTTTGGAATATTTACCAGCACACCGTTTCAATCTGTATACTTTTAATTGCTTTTGAATTACTATCAGTATCTTATACTGCAAATTTCTTATTCTTGAATATTTGACTCTCAGCTGTAGTGCATATTCATAATACATATGTATATAGTACATATTTTATACTCAAAAAATTCAAGAAGAATATTCGAGAAATAACCTTTCTCAGCCCTCGTATTATATATATGACAACTTGGCTAGACTTTTTAAAGAATCATTCACATCTTGGTACTTACCATGACATCTGTCCTGAAATTTAGTGATAGGGAAAAGTTTGAAGCTACCTTGACTCTTACTCCATTGTAGGTAAATCACATTTTTCTGATTGGATGCTTGTAGAGTTTTTCTCTTTATCTTTGAAGTGTAAAAATTCATCACAATATGTCTAAATGTGGGTCTTTTTGCATTAATTTTACCTGGAATGTAACTAAGTACTTCTGCCTGTGGACCCAGTCCTGTTTCAGCTCTGGAAAGCCTTATGGCTGTTAAAACTTTTTTTTTTTTCCTTATTGGGTCTGATGATTACTTTTTTTAATTCTTTATTGATTCTTCTTCAGCAAACTTGTCATCTTTAGGATGAATCTCCTTTCCCTTTCCTTCATCTTTTTTTTCTCATTATATTCATCTCTCTGAGTTTTTTTCCTCGACATTCTTAAAATGGAAATATTAAGGGGTTTACTTTCTGCACTGTAACTCTGCTCTTTGCAACATCCAACATGAACTTTATTGCTTTCTTTGCAATTCTGCCTGCTCTCAGCCATCTCTCTTTTCATCTCAACTTTCAGCTCATCCTTTGTTCTCCTAACCACTCTGTGCACCTAATGGGTCAATTCTTATTAAGTCACCAAGCTAAGGCTTTGAAATTTTTTCTATTTCCTCTGCGAAAGCATGTTTATATGCGTGTTTTTCCTCTGAGTCTTTTTTGTTTGTTTGTTTGTTTGTTGTTGTTGTTTTGAGATGGAGTCTGGCTCTGTTGCCAGGCTGGAGTGCAGTGGCATGATCTTGGCTCACTGCAATCTCTGCCTCCCGGGTTCAATGATTCTCCTGTCTCGGCCTCCCAAGTAGCTGGGATTACAGGCACCCACCACCACACCTGGCTAATTTTTGTATTTTTAGTAGAGACGGGGTTTCACTATGTTGGCCAGAATGGTCTAGATCTCTTGACCTTATGATCCACCTGCCTCGGCCTCTCAAAGTGCTGGGATTACTGGTGTGAGCCACCACACCTGACCTTTCCTCTGAGTCTTTAAGTCACATTTTCTGTGTTACAAAATGTTTTGAGGCCAGGCGCGGTGGCTCACACCTGTAATCCCAGCACTATTGGAAGGCTGAGGCAGGCAGATCACGAGGTCAGCAGTTCGAGACCAGCCTGGCCAACTCGGTGAAACCCCATCTCTACTAAAAATACAAAAATCAGCCAGGCATGGTGGTGGGCGCCTGTAATCCCAGCTACTCGGGAGGCTGAGGCAGGAGAATTGCTGAACCCGGAGATGGAGGTTGCAGTTAGCCGAGATCGTGCCATTGCACTCCAGCCTGGGCGACAGAGCAAGACTCCATCTCAAAAAACAAAACAAAACAAAAACACACAAAAAAAATGTTTTGAGGTGTTCTATACCAAATTTTTTTTCTATTATTTCTCTTAAATAGTAGAAAAACAAACATAAAGCAAGAAACTTATTCCAGAACCATATTTGTTTCAAAAAGGTATATATGGTATCCTTTTATCTTCAGGCACTAATCATTTGAGTATTTGTGCATTTTCTTTCTTAGACCTAGACTTACAAAGAATGCCACAGTGCCAAGTCCTGAGCCTGGTTTCTCATGTCTAGCAAACAATCATCTAAAATTTTTGCTAAACTGAGGGAAGATCTTCTACTCCAACTGACAGGTTGTCTGATGATGGTTAGGGAGTCATACGCAGAATTTAATTCTTCCTTTAGTGATAGAGATAAAAATTGCACCTCCAGCTGCACTGTTCTAAGGGCTCTTCTTCTCATCTTCCCTCCTTGAATGGTTTCCTAAAGTCTTTACACAGCTCAGCCTGCAAAGTGATACTGCCTCTACTTTTCCCTCTCTACCCATGGCAGTTTTGTGTATTGTGAAGTATGGTTGTCAAGTGGATGAGGAAAGAGAAGAACTGATTAAGAGCAGAAAGGGCATGGCCCTAGCCAGCTAAGAAAAGAATTCACACAGCTTTGGGATTTTCTGTGTTTCTTTGCCAGTGGATAGAGTGGGATTGAGTCACAGTCTTTTCCCATCTTCTTCCCAGATTTCTGTGCTATTCTGGTTCAGCAGGCTTAGTTTAGATTATGACTCTCAACCCAACCCTCTCCTTGCTGCAGTTAGTGGAAATTCCCTGCAGATTCTAGCATTTTATTTTTCTCTTATCCCTATTTTTCAGTTCTCTTGTAGATTTTTTTGTCTATGTGTTTATTTATGCTAATTTAATTTAAAAGTTGGAATACAACATTTCACCAGAATGGCACATACTAACCCAGATACTTGCTAATGACTCACTGTGTTAAACACTCTGCTAGATACTGAGAATAAAAAGATAAAAAGAGACAGAGTCATTGCCATTGGAGAGCTAATCCTTGTAAGGGACAATACAAAGAAAGACTCTCTAGGCAGAGGACATTGCATGTGTGCAGAGCTACTGGTGAGTGTGGTCCCTGGAGAGTGACAAGTGATACTGGCATCTGAAGAAAGTAGGAGACAGTGGTGGGGATGATGACCCGAGATTCCATTTAAAAATTAGTGGGGGCTGGGCAAGGTGGCTCATGCCTGTAATCCTGGCACTTTGGGAGGCCAAGGCGGGTGGATCATGAGGTCAGGAGTTCAAGACCAGCCTGGCCAACATGGTGAAACCCCGTCTCATCTAAAAATACAAAAATTAGCTGGGCATGGTGGTGGGCATTTGTAATCCCAGCTACTCAGGAGGATGAGGCAGGAGAATCACTTGAAGCCGGGAGGCGGAGGTCGCAGTAAGCTGAGATCGCACCACTGCACTCCAGCCTGGGTGACAGAGCAAGACTCCATCTCCAAAAAAAAAAAAAAAAAAAGTAATGGGGAGCCAGTGAAGAATATTGACTCTGGATTTTAAAGACAAATCTATACTGTAAAAAAACAGGGGAGGGGTGTTGAAGGAAGATCTTAGGACACTATTTTCAGCAAGGGATTAGAACAGCCTGAACAAAGACAATGGCAGTGGAAATACTGAGACAGCAACAGAGTTCATGGATAATGTAAAAGTGATATTAACAGTGTTTGTAGATTAATAGATAGGGATGATGACAATGAGGATGTACAAGAATGACTTCAATGGCTGAGCATGGTGGCTCATGCCTGTAATCCCAAAACTTTGGGAGGCTGAGGTGGGAGGATCACTCCAGGCCAGGGATTTGAGACCAGCCTGGGCAACATAGGGAGAACTTGTCTCTACAAAAATCAAAAAATTCACTGGGCATGGTGGCATGCACCTGTAGTCCCAGCTACTTGAGAGGCCAAAGTGGGAGGATTGCTTGAGCCCAGGCGGTCGAGTCTGCAGTCAGCTGTGATGGCACCACTGCACTCCAGCCTGAGTAACAGAGCAAGACCGGGTTTCAAAAAAAAAAAAAAAAAAAAAAGAATAACTTCAAGGTTATCCACCATGATGGCTTGAAAGATGGTGCCAATAACTGTGATGATAACTACAGGATCAAGGATGGTTTGATGGGAGAAAAATTATTCACTTTAAGGACATATGAAACATGAGGTACCTGGGGATTTCTAAGTGGAGTTGGCCAGTAGACACATAGCTGTCTGAAGCACAGAAGAGATTCAAGGCCTGGGACAGGTCTGAACTAGTGGTAGTTCAACACTTGGGAACACCAACATTAAGGTAGCAGATGAAAGGAAAACCAACAAAGGAAGATAACAAGAAACAGTAAAGAGAGCTGTGTTGGGACATAGGGTGGAAAGAATATCAAGAATGCAGAAACATGTGTTAAGTGCAGCAGAGATCAAGTAATGTAAGTACCGGTAACCACTAGTTTCATTCGTCCAGGACTTTAAATCTCTGTTTCAAAATATTTATTTAACAATTGTTCAAACAAATAGTGTCAAGCTCTTACAAAATAATGCTCTTACACAAAAATCAGAAAACCTTTCCATCTAAAGGTTATGAAATCTTTGCCTTCTGGGGTTTTAGTGATATCAGGCACATGTTATGATCTAGCATATATTTGAGGAATGAAATCTCTTTTTTTCACAGAATTTGTTGCCATGACATGTAAACCATGAAAAAGGCAACCTTCTAAGAGCCTCTAGTCTTAGAGCACAGCTATAGACTCTGAATCCTGCCCTCTCTGGGGCTCTGTAATACAAAAGAGTAGAGTCTGTTTCCCATTAGTTCTCCAAAAGCCATCATTAATCTTGTGGTAGCAAGGTCAGCCCTAGGAATAACTAGCTGTATAAATGGAATGATGTAAAGAACATGAAGGATTCCTTTCCAATCCCCCGTCTAAAATCCCCTGCCCAGCCCTCACTCCCAAGACAGTCAAAGTGTCTGCAGTTTCTCCAGTTAAAGAATTATTCTATTTCTTTAAAGCATTTAGTTTCCTCAGGGTGGCTCCAGTTAAAATGTAAAACCACAGAGAGAAGTAAAACATTACCCCTTATAAACTACTAACATTTCAACAAAGATATGTTTATCAAATGACTCACTATCATCTTGAATAGAGTAGAGACTAGACATTGAGTTGAGAAGATCTGAATCACAGGGCATTGCTGGGGGACGGGGCTCTTGGAACCAAGGAACACCACATCACTGGGAATGGGAGCAAGGATACCACAATTGGGGAGGGGGTAATGGAAAGCAGCAGTCCCCAGGCTGTTGTTTCTAACCCACATTTATCTTTAATAAACATTAAGATCTCTTGGGCCACTGCCTCTGCCAATTCTGATGCACTTCCCAGGGAAAGTGAGGCCTCTTCTAAGAATCACATCTCTGCATATCCCAAAAAACTAGAAATATGTTGGTGAGCTTGATGTTTTGTAAGTTGAGTTGTGAAAATAAGTGAGCATGAGTATTTAAATATATAATTATATACTTTATAGATATAATTATACTTAATTATATATAAATATATAATAGACATAATAATACATATATAATATTATATATTTAAATACTTGTATTTGGAAAATTTAATGAATTTCCAAATGAATTAAATGAACAATGTTGCACGTGATTTTCCAAAGACCCATGTCCTGCTGGAAATGCTGACTTGACATTCCAACTGTTCCACGATCACCACCCTATCACTAACACCTTCACTCCAAAACAGGTAAGAGACTAATAATTTTATCAAATTAATTAGAATAAGCTTTTTTTTTTCTGAGCTGTGAAGAGTACCACAGGATACAATTGTAAGATGAAATGATAATTTAAAGTAGAAAAACCAGCCCATGTGGGAAGAAAATGCCTGGCTAGAATAAAGAAGCATAAGAGTTTGGGATGGCCAAGGATAAACTAATTCTTCTACTTTGTGCTAATGCAATAAGATTTTTATTTTTATTTTTGTTTATTATTTTTTTTTTGAGATGGAGTCTTGCTCTGTCACCCAGGCTAGAGTGCAGTGGTGCGATCTTGGCTCACTGCAAGCTCCGCCTCCCGGGTTCACGCCATTCTCCTGCCTCAGCCCCCCGAGTAGCTGGGACTACAGGCACCCACCACCACGCCCGGCTAATTTTTTGTATTTTTAGTAGAGACGGGGTTTCACCGTGTTAGCCAGGATGGTCTCGATCTCCTGACCTCATGATCCGCCTGCCTCAGCCTCCCAAAGAATTGCTTTATTCTTAGACTGGGTTGTTGTGGTTTTACAAATGTCAAAGTTTAAAAGACAAGAATAAGAATCTCTTACATGTGTGTTGACTAAGTTTAAAGTGCTGAGAAATGCTGCCACTTGAATTTAGCTACTGCTATGGAAAAGAATGGTTGCTAGGGTTATTCTCATAGGAACCACAAGGAGACAGGAGACCCACAGGACACCAGCAGGAAGGAACAAATCTCTTTCCCCTTTCAGCCTCCCATAGTGTCCCTCTAGTGCCCCCAGTCAGAAACTAGCTGGCAAGGGGGAAACGTGATTTGTAAAATCATGGTTTCAGCAACACAAACCAGGGTATATGAAAGTGGTTTTGCAGCTGAGAGGCAATAAGTTACTAAACAGCACAGTGGTGAGGCTGGAAGCATAAAAACTTATTGGGAGATGACTGCAATTATTCGGGAGACACATGGACCAAGGTCATGACAGTGGAGGAGGTGAATAATGGTCATAAAATACGAAAGTAGAGCCACCGTAATTTAGCAGTGGATTTAATAAAATAAGCCAAGGGGGACTCCAATTCAAGGTTTTTGAGCTGAGCAAATGAAAAATGGAGTTTCCATTTCTTTGAGATGGGGAAAATGACAGAATACACAGGTTTGCAGAAAAGGGGGAATTAGGAGTTCTGTACTGGTTATTTTAAGTTTGATATTCATATTACATATCCAAATAGATTAGCCAAGCTGGGAGTTAGGTATATGAGTCTGGAGATAAAAGAATAGGTCTCAGAGTACAAATTTAAGAGTCATCAGAGGATATACATATAGTATTTAAGCCCTGAGACTGGATAAAATCCTGTAGAAAGTGAATAAAATAGGCCGGACATGGTGGCGCATGCCTGTAATCCCAGCTACTCAGGAGGCTGAGGCAGGAGAATGGTTTGAACCCGGGAGGCGGAGGTTGCAGTGAGCCAAGATCTCGCCACTGCACTCCAGCCAGGTGACAGAGACTCTGCCTCAAAAAAATAAAAATAAAAATAAATAAAAAATAAAATGGCAAGAGAATCTAAACAGCATTGACTTGGAAACTAAGTGAAGTAAGTGGTTTAAGGAGAGAAAAATCAATGTGTCACATGTTCCCGGTGGGTCAAATAAGAGAACTAACAACTG
Organism: Homo sapiens; assembly: GCF_000001405.40. Taxonomy (NCBI): domain Eukaryota; kingdom Metazoa; phylum Chordata; class Mammalia; order Primates; family Hominidae; genus Homo; species Homo sapiens. Next base: position 22,232,985 of record NC_000012.12, read on the forward strand.
ACTACTGCAATTGGCAAAGCAGAATTAAGGCAATAACTCAAGAAAAATATCCAAAATGAAAGGACATAACCTTGCAGATTGAAAAGGTCCACTGCGTGCCAGCACAATGAATGAAATTAAGCCAATCACTAGGCGTATCACTGTGAAATTTCAAAATATGAGGCGAGGAAGACGACCAGATTAGAATGCAGGGGTAAGTAGACGTACAGGTCATACACAAAAGATCAGGAATCACAATGACATCAGTTTTCTCAGAAGCAACACTGAATCTAGGAAGAAACATTGGAGGAACATCTTCGAAATGCTAAAAGGATTTCCAAAGTAGAAATAAAATCCCAGCAAAAATATCAATCAAGTTTAAGAGTAGAGTACTGTGGTGGTGTATTTTTTTTTTTAACATTTACTGAGCATGCATTCTTTCACCTTTCATGTATTCTGTTACTGTCAGAATCTTTGAAATACAGAGTACAGAATCATAAATCACCCTTTTTTGTCTCCCCAGGAGTTTCACTCAAGTATCTCAAGTCAATAAATCCTCCTTTTCTCTTTTAAATGGTAAACTCATTATTGACCTCTTGGAATTTTCTTGTTTTCTCTTCTCTCGCAGTAAAACACGGGTAAGCTGCGATGCCAACCATAAACCCCTCCACAGTATCTCTCAAACTACTTCTCAAAAAAAAAAGGGTCCAAAGACCTAGGTTCAAGTGCCTAATCTGCCACTTAATAGCTGATTGAAGCAAATCACCTAACTTGTCTGTCACAAAAGTTTTCACTGAAAAATCAGGATAATGCTAATACATGCATTACTTACCTCTCAGCGTATCAGTTCTATGTGCCTCATGGTTGTGCAGTGCTTAGTATTTTCTTTTATGTGCCATGCTTCCTCCAAATATTCCCTGTTTTATTTTCTATCTAATCATTTGTATTTCAGAGGAATTGGCAGATTTTTTTGTTTAAAACAAATTATATTTTATCAAATATAATATATTATTTGGCTGGGTGCAGTGGCTCACGACTTTAATCCCAACACTTTGAGAGGCCAAGGTGGGCGGATCACTTCAGGTCAGGAGTTCGACACCAGTCTGGCCAACATGGTGAAACCCTGTCTCTACTAAAAATGCAAAAGTTAGCTGGGCGTGGTGGTGGGTGCCTGTAATTCCAGCTACTCGGGAGGCTGAGGTAGGAGAATCACTTGAACCCAGGAGGCAGAGGTTACAGTGAGCTGAGATCGCACCACTGCACTCCAGCCTGAGTGACAGATCAAAACTCTGTCTCAAAAAAAAAAAAAGATATTATTTACTAACTATAAAGAAAAAAACACTGCCAATAAAACCATGCCTCAGTGTTTCTATAATAGTATTGTGAATAGTCCTGTACTAGTCTCTTCTTGCTTTGGCATTTTTCATCCATTCTAAGGAACATAACAATTTTTCCTACTTTCATCTGCCTTGTCTAGACAATCATTTTGCACACATCTTAGTAACTACTTAAAATAAACCATCATCCGCTGGTGGTTATTTTCTTCTTCTTTTTTTATGTTGCTTTACAAGAAAATATAAAATTGCTTCCATTATTTCTCTGAAGTAATCTGCTTACAAATCAAATTTACATCCCAGGCTTTGTTTCCATCTTTATACACAATAGATATTCAATCTTTTTGGAGATATTTTAAATGCCAATCAAACTCAACATGTGCAGTACAACAATGTGCATAATTTAATTAGGAGGACAGCATAGGAGCAGCTATGAGCAAGGTGACAACTATGTACTCCCAGTGCCAACTATGCCTCAGCTTCCAACTGGACAACAGAGGCTGTAAGAAGCAGCTGTTTCACAGATGTTAAAATATTAAAAACTGTGCAGCTCACAATCAATAAAATATGGTAATTTAACCATGTGGGTAGCACTTCCTTTTTCTGCCTTTCCCTTCATTTGTATTTGCAATAATATTTATCAAATATGATATCTGTCCCACTAATTTATATTCTGACCTTGTCAACAATTTGCATTGTGATTCTGATTCTCCTTTGTCTCATTAGTGTGTGTATGTGCACGTGTGTGAGCGCATGTATTGTGTGTGTGCGCAGGGTGTGTGTGTCCAAAGAGATTCAGATATGAAAGCTACAGTGGAAACTTCGGTTAAAAATGCATATCATGATTTATAAATGCAATAACACTAAAGCTCTGATTTTTAAAATTCTATTAAACAAATTAAAGCAACTTAGTAACAGAAACTTATACAGATATGTTTTTATAATTCCAGTTGGAAAGAAAACTTTTTTAAAATAAAAATATTGTTTTAAACAATATATAATCCAATGCAATACAATTAGTAATCATTGGGACTATATTCTATTTAATCTACAGGGTTTCTATTCTCCAATAAAATGAATTACAAATATAAATTTAGCAATAAAGTCATTTTTATTTTAATAAAGTAATAGAAATATTCACATACTAATAAATGTTACTGTCATCCGTTTTCATGAGGATAATGAAGAAAGTTCATTAGTAGCTGGACAATCTGAAATCACGGAATACATAATCAACTCTGTGCAATGAATTGTTCACAGATGGACCCCTACCATCTTGCTCAAAGAGGCTCTTGGCATATATGGAATTGGTAAGATAATTAGCCAGTTTCACACTTTACACTTAAAGTTTGCCTTCCACAGTTAAGCTGGGGCACAAATGCCTTGGCTGTAATGAAATAGCTTTGTAAGTCAAAAGGTTGTCTGTACGTTCCAAAAGGGGTATGCAGTCAACTGCTAAAGTGGCGTTTCCCAGGATTTGCATCTGAACATCCCTAGGAGGGTTATATTCTCCAGGTCCTCTCTGTCCCCTCAGTGCCATTACCCAGGAGAACAAACCATGTTGATCCCAAATGAATGAAGCACATTCCCTTCACCACACACACACACACACACACACGTGCACATACACACGCTAATGTCACATACAAAACTGACAAAAATGCATGGCTACATTAGAAATCTGAAGAGTCATAGAACTTAAGAGAGAATTAAGGGGAAATAATTTCAGGACACGCACTCTCTGAAAAACAACTTACAATTGATTTTAGACATTTCAGTTTGTTTCTAGCCAACATGCCTAAGTTTCCCAAAGATTTCTCTCCTGCTCCTTTACCACGTCTCCCTTCTCTAGACCTTCTTTCTTCCTCAACCCCTCTCTTTTGCTTATCCCAACAATTCCACACTCACCTATTACTCAGATTCCACTCCCGAAACAACACAGGCCCTTGAGTTTCTCCCTGATCCCTAGAATTCAGCAAGAAACAGTTCCATATACAGACAGCACACCTTCAAAACAAAATTCTGGTGCTGACTTAAATGTTTTCTGCCACATTCCATGCAGAGAGTGGTTGAACAACTCATCTTTCATCACACAGCCAATGCTGTTCTATTAGCTGACAGAAACCCCTCCGCACATTTTCTTTCACTGAAATTGCAACTCACTGACATTTTACTGATTTGAAAATATATTTAACTGAAGCACACTTTAAAAAGAGGGCTGAGGAGGGGTGGATGGGAGAAAGCTGGTACAAATTGTTGGCCCAGTGGCATATCGGCATATCAATATAAATCCTGGGTAAAGATTCTCCACCTCGTACCCTTGCTGGGTCCTCCCCTAATGTTTCTCCACTGGGTGCAACCCACTCTCAGTGGGCCTGCATGAAAGTGCCATGAGAACTTGGGCTATTCAAATATTTATTTACTAATTATGTGCTAATTTTGCTTTTAGAGTAATGTTTGATCTGATCTGCTATTAACACTGAAGACTAGAGCTTCACAGAGGGAAAGAAAGAAAGAAGATAAATGGACATTTATGCAGTAACTCCTGTGTGTCAGGTCCTGTGTTCTTGGTGCTATGCTCACCTTAGCTGCTCTCAGGACAAGGTTACCGGAAAGATGTGGAGAACGTTCTGACTCTGAATTAAGTACATAAAATTTGGAGTTCAAGTTAATCTCACTTAAATCTGGAAGGGCAGGAACCCACACACAAAATCAGGGCTTTATTCATATTGTTTGCCCCTCCAACTCACAGGGCTGTGGTATTGTCAAAATAAGTTAACATTAGGAAAAATTATAAAATAACAAGGCCTTTTTTTAAAGAGATGGGGCCTCACTCTGTCATCCAGGCTGGAGTACAGTGGCATGATCACAGCTCACTGCAGCCTTGAACGCCTAGGCTCAAGTAATCCTCCTGTGTCAGCTTCCTAAGCAACTAGCACTATAGACGCCATGTCTGGCTAATTTTTTATTTTTTATATTTGTAGTGATAAGGTCTCACTATATGGCCCAGGCTGGTCTCAAACCCCTGGCCTCAAGCAGTCCTCCCACCTCAGCCTCCTACCTCCCAAAGAGCTGGGATTGCAGGTGTGAGCCACTGTGCCCAGCCAAGGTCTGCTTTTTAAATAATTTTTTTCCCCATTATAAAATTTTGCAACTTTGGAAAATGTTGATTTTTTTTCCTTAGAGATTTTCTCTGAACATAACTATATATATAATTTTATATATTTACACATTTATATATTTATTTTTTTCACTTAATATTAGAACATGAGCATTTCACCATTTATTGAAACCATTTATGTATATTAATCCATAATATCTTTGTATAGTATACCATCAATATGGATATATCATAAGTTACAAAATCACTGGCTTTTTTTTAGGTTTGGAGATACCATTTTATTCTCATTATCCATTTATTATGTATGTAATATATTTGTGTACAGTAGAGTTTTTTCTTGTTTTTTTAGTATGGATTTGTAGAAAAATCATGAAAAGTCTATTTTAAAATAATTATTATTTATTTATCAACTTTACTAAAGGTTCGTTAATTGTGGTAGACTTTTCAAAGTATCAACTTTGGCTTTTTGGACCCACTCTGCTGTATTTTTGTTTTCAGTTTATTCTTTTCTGGTTTTTGTTGTTGTTGCTGTTCCTCTTTCAACCTTTTGGAGATCCTGGATTTTAAATTGATGCTGTAATGGAATAGATCTTGAGGGTCTTCAGGAAGGCAATGAGTTTATTTTGCATATGTGAGGGATATAAATTGTTGTGACCCAAGGGCAGACTGTGGCAGATTATATTTTCCAGAGATGGCCACAAAAACTCTCCTACCATGCATACTCTAATAATGTGACTTGAGAACTCCCCCCCCAACAAGAGGTGGATCTGTGCTAGAACTCTTCTCTCTTGTACCTGGGTGGGACTTTGTGATTGCTTCAAGCAATAGAGTATGATGAAAGTGATGCTAGCACACTTCCCATGTAAGGCTATTAAAACATCACGCAATTCCAATTGTTCTCTATGGACACTAGCTTTGGGGAAAGCCAGCTGCCATGTAAACAGTCCAACTTTCTGGAGTCAATCATGCTGTGAGGGTGCCCACACTAATTCACAAGGAGAAACCACACAGAAAGCCCTGAGACTACACAGGAAGGGAGATGTTTGGCCAGCCCCGGCTGCTCCAAGCCTTTGCTATTTCAACTCCAGCCACCATGTGAGAGATCATGAGACAGATCTGTTCAGCCTAGTTCTTCCTGAATTCCTGACCCACAGAAACGTGAAAGATACTAAAATTATTGCTGTTGCTGCTTAAGACCAAAGGATGACCTGTCACTAAGAAGTAAAAAACTGAAAGAAGAGCTAAAAACACTTCAATCTCCCCCTCCTAACTTATGCAATGTCATTTTCCAGTATTTTAGTTGTCTTTCGTTTTGATCACACAAATCATCTGCAAAAATAATGTATGATAATAATTATTGTTTTATACAGATAAAATTGTTTAGATTTATTGATATGTTTAGCAATTCATTTGCATCCCAGGTTTTTTTTCTGGAGTAACATACTCTTTTTCTGAGGTATATTCTTCAGATTTTCTCTCAATGAAGGATCTTTGGAGGTAAAAAATCTGTGTCTGTTTTTCAGAAAACATTTTCTATTGAAACAACTATTGAAGAAATAGATTGCAGAATATACATTTCTATGTTGATAGTTTCTCTCTCAGCACTTTGAAGATACTCTTCCACTGCTTCCTGACATCCATTTTTACTGTTAGAGGAAGTTCGTTTTTAGTATAATTATTCTTTTGCAGGTGATCTGTCTTTTCTTTCTGTCTGCTTTTATAAGCTTCTTATTATCTTTAGCTCTGTTTCACTAAAATTGTCTGTTTGCATTTTTAAAAATTTTAATTGATCTGCTTGATACTTTGTGTTTTGGATCACATTACTTTTTACTTATGGATCACATTAATCATGAATTCTGAAAAAGAGTTCTTATCCCTATTTTATACTTCCACAATTCCACTTTAACATACTCCTTCTCATTCTATCGTCCATGTTTCTTTGTCTTGCCTTTGTATTTTCTATAGCCTCATTATCTGGAAAATTATTTGCTCTGTATTCCAGTTCACAAATTCTCTCTCCAGTTATGTCTAATTTGATGTCTTTCCATTTCAACAATTATATTTTTCATTTCTAAAAGTTCAATTTAGGTCTTTTTCAAGTCTACCTATTTAATTTGGATATTCTCTTATTGGCTTCTCATTCTTTTTATTTTCTATAAAGATTACATATTTAGTAATCTACTGCATCTGACAATTCCAATAAGTTCTCAGGCATTAAATTCATCTGGTACTTTTTGTTTGATTTTTGTCTCTGAGAATTTACACTATTGATGGCTTGTGTGCATTTTGAGTGTTTGCTTATGAGCTATCATTTGTTTGAACATAGTATGTGAGAATTCTATGAGCTTTCTTCCAGAAGAAATTTGTGTGCTTCTGTTGGAAGCCAGGGGCTGCTACTGACCTGGAACCACAATAGGCTCCTTCTCAGGACTTAATATGGGACACCCTCAACATGGTGAGTCCAGAGATTGGTCTCTTTTCTAAGTTTTGGTACCTGACTTTTATAATTCACACCATTTGGTCTGGTTTTTGTTCCCTCATTTTCTGTTTTTGTTTTTTTTGTGGGGAAGGTGGGCATGCAGATATTCTTGGAAATTTCTCTAAATCTGATGAGTACAATAATGTATTAAATAATATGTTTTATCCAAGAACAAAATGTATTGCAACTGGAGAGTCCTCTTGAGTAGCTAATTTGGATATCAGTCAGAATAGCTTCTACTAGATGCAGTTACATTATCTCATTTATATCTCTCAACAGTCCCCAAGGTAAATAATATTTATACTCAATTGACATATGGTACATTAAGTAACTAAGGTTACATAGCTAGTAGGCAGAAACACTTACTAGCACTAGCACTATAATTTGAAAACAAATCCGTTCTAATCAAAACTTGTGTTCTTCACTGCTATATAATATTGCCTCTCAGATACCAACTCCATGTATCCATATTTTTAGGGGCTTTTCTTTTCTATCTCCTACTTGCTATCTCTAGTTTCAGTTTTATTATCTGCCTTCTAATTCCCTTATTTCAGAACAGATGTTAGAATAAATAGCTATCAATGACTTTGAAGCCTTGATACAAACAATGATAAGCTGCTCTGAGTTTGGAGGAAAAAAAAAAAGAAGTCAGACAGCAAAAGAGATATGGAAGTTTTAGGAACACAGTTTGAAACATGCATGTATAGTTTGTGTACATTGAGTTGTACACAATTTTAAAGATAAATTGCTGTAATCTTGGACCCAAGTTATTTTCCTCAAAGCTCAAGTTATTATTTAAAAAGCACACTAATAACATAAACAATTGTTCCCCCTGCGATTATCTCTACATTCTCAATTCCCTTTATTAAACTTAGAGGCACTAACCATTGGATAAAATCTCTTCTACTTGTATGGGAAGATATTTCTCAGGTTATACCTCAAAATAAATATTGAGGTCTCATATCAAGTCCCCTTATTGAATTAAAAGTTATGCATTTACAAATTTTAAAAGTTTAACTCCACCATGATTTTTACTACATTTGTTCTAAATACATTTCTGTTTCCTAGTTCATGCCAACTCTTTTTTTTTTTTTTTTTTGAGACAGGGTCTTGCTCTGTTGCCCAGGCAAGACTGCAATCATGGCTAACCTTAACCCTAACCCTAACCCTAACCCTAACGCAACCTTCTGGGCTCAAGCAATCCTCTCACCTCAGCCTCCCGAGTACCTGGGACTACCAGAACATGCCACCATGCCCAGCCAAGTTTTTATTATTTTCTGTAGAGAACATTTTGTATAATTTCAGAAGGTAATATGTTTTGTATCTGTGTCCACACCCAAATCTCATATTGAATTGTAATCCCCAATGTTGGAGGTGGGGCCTAATGGGAGGTGATTGGATTATGGGGACGATTTCTCATCAATGGCTTAGTACCATCCCCTTGGTGCTTTCCTTGCAATAGTAAGTGACTTATCATGAGACCTGGCTGTTTAAGTGTGGCAGCTCACTCGCTGTCTCTTGCTCCTGCTCCTGCTCGGGCCATGTGACATGCCTGCTCCCCCTTTGCCTTCTGCCATGATTGTGAGTATACAGAGGCCTCCCCAGTTGCTGGGCAGATGCCAACATCATGCTTCCTGTAAAGTCTGCGGAACCAGGAGCCAATTAAACCTCTTTTCTTTAAGAATTACCCAGACTCCGGTATTTTTTTTTTTTTTTTTTTTTTGAGATGGAGTCTCACTCTGTCACCCAGGCTGGAGTGCAGTGGCGCGATCTCTGCTCACTGCAAGCAATGTGGGAATGGACTAATATAGAAGGATTCCCTCAAATTTATAAAATCCCTTCCATGGACACTACAACCATGGACATGTCTGCTTCTGTGAGCAACTTCAGGGTTTGAGGCCATCTCATTCAACTTTGTAATGTCATGTCCCAGAGTAGATTTCAAGAAATATTTGTTGGCTCTCATTTTATTCCTCCTCCCCCCCATAAACTTCCAGACCTTCAAACTCCATATGTATATTTTTCTCAAATATATTTGCTCAAGACCAATCTGACAGTCTAAAGAACTCTCTTTTCCAAATTCTATTTCCATAATTTTTCTTTTTCTATTTCATAAAAGAAAGTCATGCCTCCTATTATCCCAAATATTATAATGATTCATTGCCCCAAAGGATAAAAGCCACTAAGCCACCAAACAAAGAAACATTTCCAAAATACATACCTTCTGAGGGAATATCCCCTGAACAAAAGCAAAAATGTATTTAGAAGAAATAGAAAGGAGCTGTGTCTTATTTTATCCAGGGGACAAACTCTTGACAGTTCCCCATACTGTATATGTTGAATAATTAAGCCTGAGAAGTGGGTTTATATTAAATCCAATATAATTAAACCCAATCATTATATTGGGTTATACTGTAACACTTATTTGAATTACAGTAGTCCATCGTCCATCTTTTCTGACAAAAAGTTAATAAATTAATTTGACAAAGAGACTGATTTTGCCAAGAGGACATGTAACATTGGAAGAACTAGATCTGCACTTCTGAAATTCTGACAATATATATATTTAAAGCATATGTATATAATGCCCTGAAAAGTCCGTACTTGGCAACAATTTAACCTATGCCACAAAAATTAGGTTAATTAAAAATAATCAAGGGAATGATGGATTTAAAAAATCTTTTAAAGGATATTTGAACATTAACTTCACCACTACACAATATAGCCATGTAACAAAATGGCACTATATCCCTTAAATTCATACAAATAAAATAAAGAGTATTTGAACCAAAATGTTTTAAGAACAAGGGCTACAGATGGTGCATTGATGAAGGGTAATGATATGTATGAATCCTCTGCCTTCCACCTGCAAAGGCCAGCAAAGGAAGAAAAAGGATAATAGTAAGGAGTTTAAATATCCAGCTGCCAGATTAAAACCACCTCTCTTCTGCCCATAAAAATTCAATCAGAGGATGAATGTGACTGCAAAGCCCTTTCTAATCTTATGTCTCAGGCACCCTAACTAATCTTTTTGTTCTGGGTACTGTCAAGAAGAATGCACTCCAAACAAGATATCCTAACAAAGGCTGTAGCAAAGCTCCTTCTTACTGTAGCAAAGCTCCTTCTTACTGAGAATTTCTTTTAGATAGAGTAATAAGTATTGCCTTCTCTAACTTTCTTTTTTTCACTATAATTATGAGTGCCTCTCACATATGTATGCTTAATTTTTCTAAAACCTGTTTTATCTTGTTACTGATATTTTCTAACAGAATTTTACAGTGAAAACTCTTAATGCTTATAACTTCTGATAGAATATTTTTAGGAGAATCAAGGTTTTGGAGACAGCTATGAAAATTAGCATTTCCACTGCACATCTCTGCCCAACAAGTTTAATTTTTCATCACATGAAAGTACAAGATAACTACTGATGTCTTGGATTTGCACAGCTTTGAGAGAAGACTACGAGATATGAATAAAATATCTAATATAAATAGGATAATCTTCTAATATAGAAATACATACTGCCTCACTTCAATATTATTTCCTCCATTTTACTGTGCCATGAGAGTATAGCATCATCTATATTTTAATCCCTATATACAAGTGTTTGCACTTTGTTTACCACCCTGTTTGCATATACTGCTAGCCACATGAACAAGATGCTATGAATGCAGTCTCAGCTGTATTTAACCAAGTTTCCAGCACTTGCTACCTGTTTGATCCCTTCTATAAAATGGAAAGTTGATAATTGATGGCTTAAAACATTGTATTCCAATTTGAGCACAGAGCTTCACAACACTGACAGTGGTGCTGATAAGGCTTTAACTATATTTCTATTCAAATATTTTTATTGGCCGGGTGCAGTGGCTCACACCTGGAATGCCAGCACTTTGGGAGGATGAGGCAGGTGGATCACCTGAGGTCAGGAGTTCAAGACCAGCCTTGCCAACATGGTGAAACCCCGTCTCTACAAAAAATACAAAATCACCCGGGTGTGGTGGCACACGCCTGTAATCCCAGCTACTTGGGAGGTTGAAGCAGGAGAATCTCTTGAACCGGGAGGCAGAGGTTGCAGTGAGCCAAGATCGCACCACTGTACTCCAGTCCGGGCAACAAGAATGAAATTCTGTCTCAAAAAAAAAAAATGTTTTTATCAATCCTTATGTTCAAGACACTGAGATCCTTTTTATATAGAACTTACACTCTAGTATACGTCTCGAACTCAATTATGTCAAAAAAGCAAACTGAGAACCTTTAAAATTAACTATAAGTTGTATAGTCCTCCATCACTTAGCATACTCTTTTCTTATGTTTTTAGTAAAGTATATCTATTGAAGAGTGCATCTAACATACATGTGCAGCCTAAGCAATCATTATAAAGTGTATATCCATGTTACACCAGCCTGGCCAAGAAAAAGAACACTTCTAGCAATCCAGAGGTCCCATTATTCCACACCTGAACCAATACTCTTCCTACCCTGAGAAGTGACTACTTATTGTTCCTTATAGTTTTACTTGCTACATCTTTGTCCCTAGCCATATTGTTAGTTGGTTTTATTTTTTATTTTAAATAATTATTATTATTTTACTGTCTCACTCGACAGACTTCGGTTCAGTGGCACAAACATGGCTCACTGCAGCCTCGACCTCCTGTACTCAAGCAATTCTCCTGCCTCAGCCTCCCAAGTAGCTGGGACTACAGCCACGTGCCACCATACCTGGCTAACTTTTGTATTTTTTGGTAGAGACGAGGTTTTGCCATGTTGTCCGGACTGGTCTCAACTCCTCAGCCAGTCCACCAGCCTCGGCCTCCCAAAGTGCTGAGATTACAGGCGTGAGCCACCAGGCCCAGCAACTTCATTTTTAGGTCTTAACCACCTGAAAATAATTTTTGGTATAAGTTATGAGGTAGAGGTTTAATTTATTTTTTTCCCATGTGTAATCTAATTATCCCAACATCATTTTGAAAAGTTTATACTTCTTTGCTATTCTCGGCTCTTCATATTTATATCACTCATATAAATATGACATCTGTCATATATACTGGTTTATATCTATGTGGAAATATTTGGGAGTAGCCTATTCTCTTTCACTGCTCAGTTGGTTTATCCTTGCACCAGAGCCACATTGTCTTAATTATAATAGCTTTTTAATAAGTCTTAACATCTTATAGAGCAACTCTGCCCATCATTTTTTCTTCAAGAGCTTCTTTGCTATTCTCGGCATATTTCTACATAACTTTTTAAGTTTAACACACACATACACATGCATGCATCATTAGGATTTCTATTGGAATTTCAATGAATCTGTAGATAGATTTGGGTAGACCTGGTGCCTTTAAATACTGAGTCTTTCAATCATGCACATGGTATTATAGTACATCTAATCAGGTTGTCTAAAGTGTCTCTCAATAAAATTTCATATTTTTTCCAAAGAGGACTTGCTTTCTTGTTTAATTAAGTGTATCATATTATTTGATGCTATTGTAAATGTAATTTTTTCTTATGTCACAAAATGGAATTGGTGTACACATATTGATTTGAACAGAAACCTTGTTACATTGAATACATTTTTTAAAATGAAGAAACTTTCATTCACTTTTACAAAATTATTTATAACCTGTGAAAATGCTACTGTCTCCTTGTGCAACACATGAATCATGGAGAAAGATCAGAAGGTGTGATAGTGTAATGTTGTGAAATATATATTTGATCTTCGACTTCGTAACTCCTAAAATCTTTAGCAACTCCCAGTGATACCTTTTTGCATCTTAAGGAGTTGACTGACGGCTGGCAGCCCTATGCAGCTTCAGAGTGGGGGGCTGGTCACTGCAAAGAATCAAGGCAGGATTCTAGGACTGGGACTTCAGCCCCACTCCCTGACCTCTGGGGAGGAGAAAAGGGTTACAGGTTAAGTTGATCACCAGTGGTTAATGGTTTCATCAATCACGCCTGCTAATGAAGCCTCCATAAAAACCTGAAAGGACAGGGCTTGGAGAGCTTCCAGATAAGAAGGTGGAGGTTTCTGGGGGGTGGTGTGCCCAGGGAGGGCATGGAAGCTCCATGTCCCTTCCCCCATCCCTCATCCTACACACTCCTTCATCTGAATCCTTTGTAACATAATAAACCAGTAAACGTAAATAAGCGTTTCCTTGAGTTCTGTGAGCTGCCCTAGCAAATTAATCAAACCCATAAAGAGAGTTGGGGGAACCCCAACTTGAAGCCAGTCAGTCAGAAGCTCCGGAGGCCTAGACTTGTGACTGGTGGGGGTGGGGGGTAGTCTTGTGGGACTGAGCCCTCAATCTGTGGGATCTGACACTATCTGTAGATAGTGTTGGAATTGAGTTGGAGATACCCCGCTGGTGTCTGCTGCAGAATTGATTGCTTGCTTGGTGTGTGGGGGAAAAACACAAACACACTTGGTGGCAGAAGTTTTCTATGTTGATTATTCTGGGAAAACTATATTGTCTCCTTGTGCGACACATGGATTTTGGAAAAAGATCAGAGGGTGTGATGGTGCAATATTATGAAATAGATATTTGAGATCTTCGATCTCATTCCGTAGCGTACAATGCCTAAAATCTTTAGAAACTCCACAGTGCTATCTTTTTGCATGTTAATGAGTTGATTGAGGCCTTATGCAGCTTCAGGGTGGGGGCCGGGGACCGGTCACTGGAAAGAGCCAGACCCCCCAACCCTGGTTCTTTGTCACAGTCTTCTGTGTTGTAGTGTGAGAACAGAGGAAAAAGCAGTTTGGGTTTTTTTTTTCTCTCAGAGATGGTCACTGGTTGAGAGCACGGGCTTTGGAATAAGAGAGGCCTGGTGAAGTCCCAGGCGATTATTAGCAGCTGTGTGCATGAGCAGGTTCCTAGATTCACCACATCACAGGTTTCTTCTTCTGTCAAATGCATAAATTAAAATAGCTTCTGTCTATTAGGATTGTTTCAAGGATGAAGTGAGGAACTGCCTATAAAGGGCACAGAACCTGGCACACAGCAATGTCAACTAAATACTTACCAATGTTAGTAATAATGATTCTTGCTTGTCCATGCGTGTTTTCTTCATAGTGAGCTTAAGTCTTAACCAACAGTTCTACTTTCCTCTTCAAAATTTAATTTTTGACCCTGTCCTTCCTCCATTTGTATTTATATTTTTTCCCCCAAAACAGTCTCTCCCTCCCTCCCTCCCTCATCTCCTTCCCTCCCTCCCTCGTCTCTTTCCCTCCCTCCCTCATTTCCTTCCCTCCCTCTCTCCCTCAGCTTGTTCTAAATCTTGCTCTGAACATTCTTTTTCACATTCCTTTTTAAATCTTACATCAACTCCACATATTCAGGTAGAAAAACAGAATCTTCTGGTCCTCAATACAATATTGAATGTTTCATTTCCCTCCAAAGGAACATGTGTTCCTTCTTAAAAGTTATTTTATTCCTAAATCAAAATAATAGTCAAAGATGTCACCTTTGGGGGAAACTGGGTAAAGATTATGTAGAGCCTTCTTGTAAATTGTTTTTTGCAATTTTCTGTGAATCTACAGGTATTTAAAAATAAATTGTTTTAATAAAAAAATTTCTTGTAAGTGTTCTCTTATTTCTTCTTTGTACTTTTCTGTTTGAGTTATTATAATGAACATACATTTGTGTTGAAAAATAATAAAATTACTCTTATAAGAACAAAAATAAATACATTTACATGGATTACATTTCTAAATATATACTATAAATGCATTAGAAACATTCAGGATATTTTTTTCAGGGAAGGGAGGAGCATCAGAGTAAGAAAGATCATCCAAAGAAAGATTGTTTTTATAAAAGAAGCCATAAAGGAAAATACTAACAAGTCTCATCGCATAAAAAATTTTAAATTGCAATAGAATATAAATTAAAATATATGTGACAGGCTAGAATAAAATATTTGATACAAAGACTTAATATCCATAATATAGAGTTCCTATAAATCAATAGAAAAATATTTTTTAAAGCAAGTCGAAAGTAGGCAAAAAATACAAAGGAGCAGAAGAAAAAATACTAATAGTCAATACCACTCAGCTCTTATTATATTCAGAAAAATGCAAATTAAGTAGAATATAATGTATCCTTTTTTTCCACAAATAGTATTGTTTTACATATGGGTAACAAGCAGTCTTATCCATTATTGAAGATAAATGGTACATTTGGGGAGGGTAATTTAACAATATCTCCCAAAATTAAAAGCTGATTGCATTTCTAGATATCTATTTTATGGGAATACTTATGAACCAAAACAAGTAGTGCCACGTTGTGAATAAGTGAACACACATGCTGATCACTTGGACGGGACTTAGATGACAAGCGCCTGGGCCCAGAACATCTGGATGTTTCCCTCCTAATTGCCAGGGACACAGGAGGACCTAAAGCAATGCTTGATTCCTCTTTCCTTGGAGACGGACTCCTTCTCTACAATGAACAGTCCTTGGAGAAACAGCTGATAGCTCGCTGATGCACTTCATCAATTAGAGACTGACCCCCTCCCCCACCCCCGCAGCTCCCACAGCAGCTTCCAAGATTCCAGGCAATTTCAAGATTTCTGGAATTGATCCTAGAACAAGAATTTTACATCTGCTCTCCCAAATATGATTGAATATAATATAATGTAATGTAATACAGTATACTATAACCACATATTCTTGTCCATTCTGACAATATTGCTATTTTAATGCATGTATGAATTGGCCAAAGCAATGTAATGGATTGGCCATTGCTTTGTTTTTATTCTTGATATTAATTCAGTTCACAGTTGCCAATCAATAAATTGGGACTGAAGCCAACAAATTGAAAAGTAGCAGTAATGAGTAAACAGAGTATTGTGCTGTTCTTTGAGCAAAACAATTGATCTTCTTGTTATTTCTATCATCTCTAAAGGCAAGAAACAGAATCCCAGAGGAAGCATAAAATATTGTTTGGATTCCCATAATCCTGTTTTCTTTATTTACAATTCCCTTCATCCTTCCTGCCTGTCCAGATGGTTTTCCTCTTGATTTCCCAAACTGAATTATGCTCACTGCCTTTGAAATGCTAAGTACTTGAGAAGACTTCATCTTCGTTCGTCACAAACAGAAGTCATAAACTCTTACCTTTGCCGAATTATGCTGGGATTAGCTGTCACTAACTGACTTTTGGATCCAACATCCTTAGTGTATTCACTTGACAAAGGAGGGAGATTGCATCTAGAGAAACAAGAACAAACATTTTGGAACAATTTGCATAGTTTTAAATCATCAGTTAGAATAATACAAATAGAAATGTTATTAATTCTAGCTGAATTCACGAGTAACTGTTTTGTTTTTTGTTTTTTTTTTTTTTTTGAGATGGAGTCTCGCTCTGTTGCCCAGGCTGGAGTACAGTGGTGTGATCTCCGCTCACTGCAAGCTCCACCTGCCGGGTTCACGCCATTCTCCTGCCTCAGCCTCCCGAGTAGCTGGGACTACAGGCACCTGCCACCACACCCGGCTAATTTTTTTTGTATTTTTAGTAGAGACGGAGTTTCACCGTGTTATCCAGGACGGTCTCGATCTCCTGACCTTGTGATCTGCCCGCCTTGGCCTCCCAAAGTACTGGGATTACAGGCGTGAGCCACTGCACCCAGCCAGTAACTGTTTTTTGTTTTGTTTTGTTTTGTTTTGTTTTTTACCACCTCTCCCTTTTAATAGACATTGGATGAATAATTAACTATCAGCATCTTCCAAATGCTGTCATAAAAACTACTCCTGTTTAGTAAGAAAGATAATGTCAGCCAAAGGGGCAAATTATCTACAAAAAGAAAGAGACAGTAACTAGGAGGTATTTATTCCATTCAAAATATTTTTGAGAGGGTAGGACAGACATTCTTAGACCTGAATTAAAGCTCAGGACAGTGTGATACACTAGAGGACATGGGACCTACAGTACCTCTGCACACCCATAAATCTCAAAAGACAAGGAGGAATTAATATATTTTCTTGTGTTTTTCTTTTTCCAAAATCAAAATTATAAGAGTGCATTCAGGGCCATGTACTATTCACTTAAATCACAGCATGTCTGACTTGTGTGTGTGTGGCCAATGGGTAGGCTGATTACTGGTGAAGGTATAATGGCTCATCATCCAAAGAAATGCAGTGATCCACCATCCCAGTTCAGCCAAAGGAAAGAGTACAGGTGATGTTTCCCTGGTGATGGGAACAGCCACCCCACTCCCACTCCCAAAACCCCACCCTGCCCCAGTTGCTCTCCTTGGCCACCATGTCTTATGAATGCTTACAATGGGAAATATGACCACTGCGAATTCAAATCCCATGGCTTTCTGCCTGTGGAACATTAGGCAAGTTAATTCATTTGCCTGACTTCAGTTTCTCCATTATACAAAATGAGGATAATGATTTTTCCTCTTTTCTTGAATTGTTGTTAAGGACTAAAAAAGGTATGTAATATAAAAATTCCCCAACCTTGATGTGTACACTTAGTAAATATTCAAAAATATCACAGGTCAGAAATAGCATACAAAAATAATTAAATATGTATTTATTATCTATGAAAATGCCAAATGCGCCTATAGTTTCCATTATGCTTTCTTTTATTACTGAGTCCTCATTTCTCCTCTTCAACCATATGTCTAACTTGATTCCTACCACATTAGGGCATCTGTAACTTTTTATTACTTCAGTAAACCAAAGCATCATTTACTTGTAGGTAAAGATATCTTACAAATATTGCAGTCTCTGCTAGTTCCCCAACTACTAAATTTTCCCTACAAATTACCCTCAGTATCCAGGCACCCACTCAGCTGATCAGCTCAAGTTCTCTGATTTTGTCTCTTATTTACCCTGTGAGTATCAACACATCAAGGCATCCTAGGCAGAAACTTGTCTCAGTTGATTTAGAATCTTCTTTTTATCTGCTCTTCGGTGATAAGATACTGGTTTTTCTGGTAGCTACCAACAGGTCAGTTAACCAGTCAGTGGCTTTTGCTGAATGCCCACTGAAAGCAAACACAGTGGGCATTATGGGGGCCTTGGGGGTGGAGCCCAAGTCAGAGAACCTACTCTTGAAGTATCCACAGTCAAGTGGTTGCCCCATATCCCATGTGGTTTCCTGAGGATTCTCATGAGGGAGTGAGTTTATGCATTAACAGCCAGGCTCATCCGGCTGTGGTAACTGATTGTGGTCTTGTGATTTAATTGATCTTTGCAAAGAGGAAGATGACTTCCAGGATAAAACACAGACTAAAATTTGGATACTTATCTCTTAAAGAAGCTTTGATCTTAATTGCCCTTGGAAGCAGGTGAGAATCAGCTATGTTACGCTAAAACTGTAAATTCTGAGTATTGCTGGAGAGTACTGTCAACATGTTTTGTCATTATTAAACAAACTGGTTTTCATGAGTAAATACTTTGTTTTCCTGTGTGTTCCATGGCTCATGTGTCTGGGTCTTTTCATATTTACTGCCACAGAGTAATAGCCCAATAAAAACTTGCAGGTATTTATTATCTTCTAGAACAGAGGTGAATGCTTAAAACCATGAAGATAACATTTTATATGAATTTTGATGTATTTCCAGAAAATAATGACAATACATTTTGGTGTAAGTTCTTCTGGGTAAACTTTTTCTCTAAGTGCAAATATCTGTGACACTTTCCTGTATCTCTTCTCTCAGGAAAAGCACACCAATAATTTTAGTTCCTCAACTCATAAATTGATAATTACAAAGATGTACACAAAAGGCACATTTAATACAGTCAAATTGTTTTAATAAGGCATAATTGTGGTGTAAAATGTTTCAAAGTTTGCATTATCGCTGTTGGCACAATTAACAAATATTAATGACTAAAGTGTCTTAGCAACTGTGCTCATGATCCTAAAAGAGATCTGATCAGAGAATTAATGAGAAGTGAATATTCTTTGAATTGGGATGTGGAAGTAAGTGGGAAATGGGCTTGAGAGAAAGAAATCTTAAAGCAGAAAAATCATGAAATTACTTTAATTTTTTTGTATATGTGAGCAGGCAAAACATACATTTGAGCATAATTCAAAAGGCACCAAAATTATGTTCCCTCATTCATGTCCCCAAGCCAACCAGTTCCTTTTGAGGATGCAATCCCTGTTAACTTTTGTCTGGCAAATCTTCCCAATAAATTGAATTCAATGATATTATTTTTTAAAGTACTGCTTTTGGCTACAGAGCAAATGTTTACTTTGAGAAATGGGAAATTGATTTTCAGCACTAGAAGATGTGTTTGAAAACATTTAAGCAAAGAAAATTATGAAATTATTATATCCTAGTCCTAGAAGACACTTTGAACTGTAATCTGGTATATCACTGTGTACAGGCAGTGCTATTTTTGGATGTTCTCTCTCACTGTATCTGTCCATTACACACCCTACAGTCTAGGACCAGACATACGACATGCTTTCTAATCTACGTTTATTCATTAAATGTTTAATTTTGAATATATAATATCTCGATACATTAAGCATGCCCCAAAATGCATATTAAGCAATGATTTATTAATAGATCTGCAAATGGTCAAATAATTTTGAAATAATTTATCAACTTTTATTACTCCTATAATTTAAAACATACATAAGGCTTTTAAACATTAAAATGTGTCATAAAACAGAACTATTCTTGAAATTAAATCAAAGGCATACGCATACATAGTTCTAGTTATGGTGCTACCTTCTTTGAGTTCTTTCAACCCTCATCTCCCCATATTTTAGAAACATTATGCTTAATACTGTGCCAGGCACTCTAATCAGAAGCGTTCATTAATTCTGAACTTGACTATATCAACACCAGATTGCATATAAGGCTAAAAAAGTCTTGTTTACTTGTGATAAATATGGCCCACTGGAAACAATAGATAACATTCTATGGTGCCTAAGCCTAGTCTTCTACACATTAGTAAACGTCCATCTTCACAAATGGATGACACACACACATACACACTCATGAATACAAAAATACACTTATTGTACTGCACGAAGTGTATTTACATTTCTACGTGTATCAAGGCCACTTGAAATCACTTCTTTGAATCTGTGAGTTGAATACTACGTATTCCTTCTTCCTTACATAATTTTTGGGAAGAGCACAAAAACTAATAATACTCAAGAGCAATTTGAAAATTTAAACTAAACTACATAAACGGTGTTACAATGATACGGTATTCATACAGTCATAGATAGAGTAAGAGTTGCCACAATGGGAAGGGCCTGAGGAATTGCCTACTCCCGCTTCCTCCTACAAATTAGAAAGCTGGGCCCCAGCAAGGGTAAAATAATGCACTGTAGGTCACAGACCTAGTCAACAACAGCAAGGACTTGTCTCCTATCTCGCTGTGTTCTTTGCTGGCTCTTCAGCCTCACCTAATGCCAAAGTACTGGAGAGGGTGCCTGAAGGTGGTTCAGGACTCCCTGCTCTTCTCACCTATTCATGCTCTCTAGGTGATTTTCTCCACTCCAATGCCTTCAATACCTCTCTGGCTCCATCTCAAGCCATTTTCCCCACTGTTCATGACACTGCAACAGCACTTGCTATCTTTCCCACCTTGGACTCTTGGGAAAGGTTGTTTCTCTGCTTAGGGTGAAACGAAGAGAAGACTCAGCTCACACGCCACTTCTCTTGAGAAGCTCCCGTGTGTCTGAATTCCCCCACGGTAGCAAACACATCTCTAGGATATAAATCCACTATAGAATTGTTCAACGCACCATTCCCAGAGCCAGCTCAAGGCCCATATGTCATGGGTGCTCAATGAGCAGGTGTTGCATTGACTGGAACTAAAAGAACTACATTTGTACTTTTTCCACTTTTCTGTTGTTTGTTCACGTTGAAAAGAAAAACTGCAATACAGAGGAAAAACTATGCTGAGGGTACCTGCATGAAGGAAAGGTGGGTATAGAAGGATCTAGACTCTCCTGCAGGCTTCACCAAGTGAGAAAAAAAAATGTCTTTCAAGGAGACCAACTCTGAGAGGGAACTTAGCCCCCACAAGTACATGGCTTCTCTTGAAACTCTCTCAAATAAAGTTTTTACTCTTCCCTCTCCCACTTAGCTCAGGGCTCAGAGGTGACTTAGCATCTTCTTGGCTACCTTTTTTCCACTCCTAGACTGTTACTCGTTTATACTTAAAAATAAACAGGAATACAAAATCTCGCTCAGCTTTCTGTCCTTGATGTTGCTGCAGTCTTCACCCTTCCTGGCCACAGAGTCTGCTGGCACTTGGTTCATAGTCATTTCCACCTCAGTGAGGCTTCAGGGTCCACCTGAAAGGTCCCTCAGAGTCTATCCTCAAGGCTCCTTTATTTGCTCCATAACAAATGTTTTCTTTTTCTACAACATGTCCACTCATCCCCGAGATACCCTGAGCTCTGAAATCTTGCCCTCCAGAAAGCCATTCTTTGACTTTAGCTTCTTCTTATTCCACGTCTCCTTCATTCATAGCCAGGAGCCACAACTTACCTCACCCCTGCTCTGAATGACCCCATCATCTGACCCCATCCTTTCTCCTTCACTCATCTCAGAGCGCTCTTCCTGCCCAGCCCTGATTTCAAGGTGTGTTACTTTACACCCTCTCTAGCCAGAGCCCTCCAAGTTGTCACTCTTTGTCCTTCTTCCCTCTCACCCAGATAATCCCAAACCTGTCCTTATCCAATCACTTGCTGTCTCTCCTTCTATACGTGGCTGGTAAGCATGTCTGGGCAGAATCACCCAGCAGTGCAGGCTGCTGCCCCTACAATTTGGCAGTCTCTGTCCCTGGCTGAATATGTCTCAGCAATTCCTTTTCATGCTCCCGCAGGGGCCTCCTGTTTTTCCTGGAACTGACGTGCACATCACCACTCTGCTCAGTCCCTTTACCAAGCGTCCCCTCGTTTGAAATTTACCCCTGCTCCTTTGTTCCCGTTTTCCCACTCACTCAAAGATTTAATCCGTCTTCAGATCCCACTTGCTACTTACACATGATTTGATCAAAAACTAAGAAGAATAAGGTATAGAATAAAATGAATCCATTAAAGCATTTATTCATAGAGAGTGGTCCTTAAGGAAAAGAACAATTTAAAAAGCCAAAATCACCTGACTGTACAATCTAAAATGAGATGTGAGATTTTCCACTTTCCCCTGCTCCCTTTATTCACAGCAGAGTGGGTATCTCTGTTCCGCCTGAGCCTTCTTGGCTTTGTCCTTTCTCGGGGCATGTTCCCTCGCTCCCCTTACCCCTCTCCTAAACTCGCTTGTCTATGAGCTGGAAGTGAAGCTAAGGAGCGTGCTACAACTGATTCATCACAAGTGACTAGTTTTGAAAAGCCCCAGGGCTTATGGGAGGGGTGGGGAAAAGGAGAGAAGGCAGAGGCCGCGCTGTGGGTGCTCTCTCTTACCGCATGACAAAATTTGCTTCATCTATTTGACGGCCACAGCCACTCTTCTTCAGAATCCCACCATTTCCCACCACCGCGCATTTCTTCAATGGCAGCTGGAATGGGGTTGCCTAGCAACAGAAAACAAGGCGGGTTTTCACTGCAAAGAACACACAACCGCTCACAAAATCATTGTTTACAGCAGACCCTTTGGAGGAATTTGACTGAAGACTGAGTCCAGCAAAAAAGAGCATGTGAAAAGAAAGATGCCAAGAAGTTTGTAAGGAACAAACTAGTCTGTTGCCTTGAAATTTAAAAAGCAAAATTTTTAAAAAGCCTCCCTGAAGTGCATTTAAATATAACAACATTTATTTTTTTCCTCTCCAATTGGCCATGCACATAGTAGAAGGTGTTTGCTAGGGAAAATTAAAAAAAAAATACAAAGTAAACACAGGATTATTTTTAAAGCCATTAAGCTGGAAACAAATGAGCTCCATTCTCCTATGTGATTGCAATCTCATTCATTCATACAATCAGCCATTCACTTGATAAATGTTTCTGAACATTTCCTTTGCTAACTGTTGGGGAGAGATACATGTGGACAGAAGTCACAGGCCTGAGGGTTCACAATTTGGGATGTGAGGAGAGAAAGGGATGATGAGAGTGTGAAAACATATACCTAGGTAACAAACTCTATTATAATGCTGAAGTTGCTGCCAAAGAGATGCACACTGAATGCTATGGGGCAATCCACAAGGAGGAAGAAGGCATTTCTGCTGAGCCAACTCGGGGAAAGCTTTCTCACTTGGGATGAACCTTAAAGAATACGTATGATTCCTCCAGGCACAGAAAGCAGCGTAAACAACGACACAGAAGTATTTGCTGAGAGTGATGCTGTGTTTATGAGCAAATGAACACTCTGGGTGGGTCTGTCTAGAGCTTAGGACCCACTAAGGGGCAAGTGACTTGTGTAGAACCACACAGCATGTGACTTTCTTTCTGCCAACACTGAACTGGACTGTAAAGAAAATGTTCAGTGTATCTGAGTGTTCCCTGAAGTGCTATTTATAGTATGAATATGAAAACCCAGCAATAGCCCCTGAAAGTGAAATGCGTCATTCGGCCACTTCTAGCTGGGTCAGCAAGAACTGCCAGGTACAGAATTTCCTGCTTGCTGAAACGACGCAGAGCAGCTGGAGTTCTTTAGGGAAAGACCTTTCATATACACAACTGGCATCAAAAATAACCACCCTACATGAATCTCAAGCAAATAATATGGGTTATTCCAAAAGAACAAATCCAATAAGTATATGAATATACACTGTAAGGGCCTCATATAGGCAGGAAGTAGTTAAACCAGAAATAAAATTCCAGGAGTTTCTGTATTCATTGGTAACTGAGGTGGCCACTTAATGCAGCATAAGAAGAGGATTTTATTCCTTTGATTTCTAGTTGTCAAAGGAACAGCCAGAGCTATGGAAATATTGTTGATAAAAATACAGTACTTAAAGTGTAATGTCTAAGCATTTGCCAGCAGAGAGTTAAGAATTTCCTGCATTACTACACCAGAGACCAGCCCAACAAACATCAGAACAGATCCAGAGAGAAGAGACGGGCAAGAAACAGAGGGCTTGGAATCAACACTAGAAAAACATCAGTTAGAGCTATAATTTGTCAGATGAAGATTTAAATACTTACATTCAAAGTAGCTGTTTGTTTATTCCACAAGTATTTACAAAGTGCCTACTATGCGTCAGGCACTGCCCTGGGTGACAAGGACATAAGTAAAAATTTCTGTTCCCAGAGGTTATATTCTAGTGTGGAAAACAGATGATAAGTAAAGATAAATGAGTAAAATGAGCAGTGGGTCAGATGGTGACACGAGCTTTGGAAAGAAAGAAAGCATTGCCATGAAAGGATTAGGAGATGCTTTCAGAGAGGAACTGCAATTATTATTATTATTATTTTCTTTTGAGACAGTCTCGCTTAGTCACCCAGGCTGGAGTACAGTGGCATGATCTCGGCTCACTGCAACTCCCACCTCCGGGATTCAAGCGATTCTCCTGACTCAGCCTCTTCAGTAGCTAGGATTACAGGTACACGTTACCATGCCCAGCTAATTTTTTTTTTTTTTTTTTTTTTTTTAGTAGAGATAGGGTTTCACCATGTTGGCTAGGCTAATCTCAAACTCCTGACTTCAGGTGATCAGCTTACCTCTTCCTCCCAAAGTGCTGGGATTACAGGAGCGAGCCACCGCACCTGGCCCCAGGAACTGCAATTTTAATAGGGTGATCAGGGAGGAGTTCAATTTGTGAGCAAATTCCTGCAGGAGATGAGGTAGTGAGCCTCACAGATCTCTGCGGGAACCCCTGGTGCAGAGACCCTAAGGAGAAAACATTCCTGGGATGGGAAAGGGGGAGCAAAGAGCCTGTTGTGTCTGGAGATGAAGAAGCGAGGCAGAAGAGGGAGGGAGAAGTAGGAAGGATATCAGAGAGTAGACTATTAGGGAGGTTGGGAAATACATTCTGCAGGGCCTTATAGGGTATTGTAAAGACATAGGTTTTTATTCTAAGATGAGAATCAAGTCAATGTTGGGTGTGCAAAGGAGTGACATTATGACATATTTTGGAGCAATCACTATACTGCTATGAGAACAGGCTGTAGAATGTCATGGGCAGAAAGAGAGAGACCAGATAGGAGTCTTTCATAAGAGATTTTGGTGACTCTTGGTCACTTTGGTGACTCCAGAATATGTCCAGAATCTGGCTGCTTCTCACTACCCCTATCACCATCACTGGGGTAGTGAGAAGTAGCCAGAAGCTGGATATATTCTGGAGAAAGAGCTGCCTGGATTTGCTGATACAATGAAAACAGGGCAAGAGAAAAAGAGAGAAATCAGCGATGATGCCAAGAGTTCTGCCTTGAACAACTGTAGAGATAGACTTGCCATTTACCAACATATGGAAGACTACAGGAGGAGCAGGTTTCTGGGGAACGATTTGGAGTTCAATCTTAAATATGTCAAGTGCATGATGTCCTTTAGATACCCAGGTGGCAATATCAAGTAGGGAAGTGAATACATGACTATGCAGTCAGGGAGTTGGTCTTTCCTGGAGATAGAAAATAGAGAGTGATCAGCATGGGTATTTAAAGTCAGGAGACTGGATGGTGAATGAGTGCAGATGGAAAAGAGAAGAGGTCTAAGAATTGTCCAAGTTAAAAAAAAAAAAGTGTCTAAAGAAGAAAAGAAAAAAATTACATCAAATGCTATTGATAGATTAAGTAAGACAACAGCTGAAAATTGCCACTGAACTTAGCAACAGGAAGGTCACTGGTGACCTTGAAAAAGGTAGATTTAGTTCAGCGATAAGAACAAAAACCTGATCTGAGTAAGTTATACATGCACATTTGCATATTTCTTTTCATATAGCTTATTTGAAAAATCTGGGTTCACTCATGTTCAACTAATATTTAGTTTGCTCTATAAAAGCCAACTAAAAATCCCTTTAATTGTTGTCAAAGAGTGGTTCTTGCTTGAGCCTATTAGGCTGGCAATTCCAGGTTTTCTGTCAGGAATCTGGCCGCAAAACAAACAGATCTTGGAAGCAGCAACATAGTCCTAGTTATAAACATTACCTCCTAACTTCCAAACTGTGGAACTATGGAATTGGAAGGTAGGCTGTCAAACCCCTCTGTATTCTGCTTCCTGTCCTGGAAGGGGTCTAACCTCACACAGGCTTTCATGAAATTCTATGAGTTTGTGGATGTCAAGCATCTAACCAAGCCACTGGCATGGAAGTCCACTCATCTTCCTTCCCTTTTTCATTTCTTTCCTCCTTCTAGCAGAGTCTCCCTGGCTTGTTCAAGCCATGAAATGCCTAGATTTCACGGTTTCTGTAGAACACGGTAAAACAGTAATTTAACACACTACCTTAACAATTAGTAATAATTTTTATTAACAGAAAACTTAGCTATTATATCCATGCACTAGTAAATACCACCCCCCAAAGCCCTCAAACAAAAGTCCAGGGGTTTTTTTAAAAAAAGCCATTTTGACTTTTTATTGACAAGCAATTTCATTTCATTTCAATAAATATTTCCTGAGTGCCTGAGTGCACTCTCTGGGCACTTATAATACGTCAATGAACAATAACAGCACACCAAAGCTTTACAGACAAAAAAACTTAATTGAGAAAATACTATGGATTTTTTTTTCTTTTTTTTTTTGAGACAGAGTCTCCCTCTCGCCCAGGCCAGAATGCAGTGGCGCGATCTGGGATCACTGCAAGCTCCGCCTCCCAGGTTCACGCCATTCTCCTGCCTCGGCCTCCCGAGTAGCTGGGACTACAGGCACCCGCTACCATGCCCGGCTAATTTTTTTGTATTTTTAGTAGAGATGGGGTTTCACCATGTTAGCCAGGATGGTCTCGATCTCCTGACCTTGTGATCCGCCTGCCTCGGCCTCCCAAAGTGCTGGGATTACAGGCATGAGCCACCGCGCCCGGCCAAAAATACTATGGATTTTTTAAAGTAATTGAGATAATACTCTCATTAATACTCACAGAATACCTCCTCAATTTCTCAGTTTGGCAATGGTCCATGTTTTCCAGAATGATGTATGAACAAGATGTTTTCCTTTATGAGTATACTTATATAGAAAGAAGTTTGGTCATCCATTGCCACATGAATATTACTATTTTAACAGAGAATATTTTTATTGAGGCATTGCATACTGTCTTTTCAAATGTGTCTCCTTGTACCTATGCAAGAAAATAATCTACTGGATTTGAGAATATAATATACTATAACACTCTTGCTAACCTTAAAAAAATCTACTCTAAATGCAAGGATAGATTAGACAGATTAACTATAGTAATGAGCTCAAGGGTTTTTTTCTTTTTTCTTCCTTTTTTTTTTTTTAGAAAGGGTCTAGTTCTGTGTCACCCATGCTGAAGTACAATGGTGCCATCACGGCTCACTGCAGCCTTGATCTCCCAGGCCCAAGCAATCCTCCTGCCTCAGCTTCCCAAGTAGCTGGAACTATAGGTGCATGCCACCACACACAGCTATTTTTTGTATTTTTTGTAGAGACGAGATTTCGCCGTGCTGCCCAGGCTGGTCTCAAACTCAGGTTCAAGCAGTCTGCTCGCCTCAGCGTCTTAAAGTGTTGAGATAAGGCATGAGCCACCGCGCCCAGCCTCACAGATTTTCTATTCTTGCTCAGCCACTAACCATCCTACGGATCTTTGTCCAGAGTTTTTTATCTGTAACTGTTCCATCTGTTAATGGCCATCTTATTAGTGACCATATTATATGAATCATCTGGATTCAGATTTGTCAGGCCCTTCAACCCCTCAGTGCCTCACTGGAAACAAGGCATGATAAAAAACCATTTGTTCCATCTTCCAGGACTATTACGAGAGTTAAAATAAGGTGAGGCATTTACCATTATCAGTAACCTCTGAAGTCCCATATAAATATATTATATTAATTCATTATTATGTACTAACAAAATTGCATTCCTTAGGGGAAAGTTAGTATTTTGCTAGACCACTGTAGTATTTAGTCTATATTTGTGTGAGATATTTTCAATTTCAAAGATTTATATAGTTGTTGTTTTTTTTTTTTTTTTTTTTGAGACACAGTTTCACTCTGTCCCCCAGGCTGGAGTGCAGTGGTCCAATCACGGCTCACAGCAGCTTCAACCTCCTGGGCTCAAGCAATCCTCCTGCCTCAGCCACCAGAACAGCTGGGGCTACAGGCATGTACCACCATGCCTGGCTAATTTTTGTTTTTTGTTTGTAGACACGAGGTTTCACCATGTTACCCAAGCTAATTTATATATATTTTGAACAAATCAATATTTTTTGTCATTGGTCCTTTGAGGGTGTATTTGTTTGTTTTGAGACAGAGTCTTGTTCTGTCACCCAGGCTGGAGTGCAGTGCCGCAATCTTGGCTCACTGCAACCTGAGCCTCCTGGGTTCAAGCAATTCTCCTGCCTCAGCCTCCCGTGTAGCTGGGATTACAGGTGCCCGCCACCACGCTCGGGTCTTTTTTTTGTATTTTTAGTAGAGACGGGGTTTCACCATGTTGGCCAGACTTCAGGTGATCTGCCTGCCTCGGCCTCCCAAAGTGCTGGGATTACAGGCGTGAGCCACCATGCCCAGCCAAGGGTGTACTTATGAATACAACTTCTATCAAGCCATGAGTTTTAATAACATATTTGTGTAGAAATCATTGCAGGTATCATATCTTTTTTTTCAACACCTCATATCTGGACTAAGTACAGATGAGATGATCAACAAATTGTTCAATAATTAGTTATTTAATCACAAAATTTTCCTGGAGCATCTAATCCATTCTCAGCAGTTTCCGGACCTAAAATGGCATTTCCTTATATTGTAATGAATATATAAATTAATCTCCAAATTTGAAGAACAACCGTGAGCCCCATCACTCTAAATATGAACCGGTCAGTAAGCCCATCCAGTGTGTTGCTTCTGAGATACCCCTTATCCTCATTTTCCACAGTCTGCCTCACTCGTGCCTCTTCTCAAACAGCCCTAATACCTAACTTCCCTGTTCATTCATCAACTTTTCATTGAGCACCTAGTATGGGCCAGGAGCTGTTATGGATGCTGAAAATGTGATGGTGGACAAAATAGACATATACCCCACTCATGCAGCTTACACGCTAAATAGAAAAACAGAATTTAACAAACATGACAGCAAAATGCAGCGTGCTATAAGGTTAGGAAAAATTTCTCTGAGGAATTAACATTTAAGCTGAGATCCATAGCTTTAAGCATATGAAAGTAGTTGAGATTTCTGGTCTATTAGATAATATTAGGAAGGTGAAAAAAAGACAAACAAAAATTAGGATCTTTGGTGTTTTATAGCATGCATGAGAGTGAAAAGACTTGTTAAGTGCCAGCTGCAAACATATTCCTAGCTGACAAAATGACTTATGGAAAAACGCTATTCAAGTCTGAAGAATTTAAACCCTGTTTGTTGTGCCTTATGTAAATAGTACTGGAGCATCTCAGAATGGTTTTTATAATTAAGTTAACAAAGCATCATTTACCAGAGTCACTTTCAAAGCCCGAAGCCCACCTCTTCCTCCTCTCCTTGTGCAATCCACACAAAGCAACAAAGAGCTGGCCAGCTGGGACTCCACCCCCAACCCTGAACAGCAGAGCCGGCACTGACCTCCACCACTGGCACAAGGAGACTTTACACCTACTCATCTTCCAACCCACAGACATAACTAGATGTCTTGAATGATAATTGTGTGACCTCTAGAAGCACATGAGTTAACCACCATAAATCATTCATTGTTGCAGAGTCTGAGCTGGTCTGGGAGGCAGGGCAAAAAGTAGGAAGTGCATGGAGAAAAAGAAAATGTAAACCACTTAGTGGATAGAGAATTGGATGCAACAGTAATTTTCACAGGAATGCACAACATTTTATTAAGAGCACTTCTGATTACAAATTAAGTTACAAGAGCCTTTGTGAGAGGCTGCCTTTGAGGCATGTCTACAATTTTAAAAATCAGCATCATGCATTGGTATGAAATCAAAATCTAAGAATTAAAAAGAAGTTCTTTAAAACCACTAAAGGGCAGAACAAGAGATTGCGGGCAGGCTGCAATGTCCTTACCTCCACGTTATAAAAAATAACTAACCTTAAATATAGATTTCTTGAATCCTTTTCGGATTCTTTTTGAATCTAAAAACTTCAGAATCCCCGAAGCAACCAGCTCACCAGGAATCTTATCAATAGTGGAGTTCTGTCAGAACTGACCTAAGGCCTGAACAGATATGAGGAGGCTCTGAGGCTCTGGTATTTATGAGAATTGAGTGCTAGATTGAATCAATTTAAGCAGACTACTGGCCAATTAAATATGTTTAATTTCAACAATTATCTAAGCAACGAACAGATATTCGAAATGTTCTCTAGCTTTTGAAGACGACAACAGGAGTCTCCGTGTTTTAAGTTTAATATAGGATATATCAGATTATTATGATCACTCTTACCATACTTCACTGCTTAGTTTCTGAGATGCGCTGAGTAATTTTTCACCTACTTTGCTTGTGATCATTCTTCTCCTGGCTCCCTTCTGCCACTCCCTAGTTCCTCTTTTATCTGCAGCCTACATTTGTTGCTTTGTTGCTTTTATATGTTGGGAGGATGCCAAAATTATTTATGAAAGCGTATTGTTTTAGAAATTTAAAATAATGAGGCTATCATAACTAAGTTTTGTTGATTTTGTTACACATTTATGTTTATGTGATACTCTTTTAGCTAAAAGAGTGATGCTTACTTTCACACTTGGCAATATAAAGAAAAATTGGTGTTTTGGTTGTTGGTGGCAAGAAGGTTTTGTTGTTCTTGTTTGTGTGTTTATTTGCCCTAGTAATCCCCGCCAAACTCTTTTCTCTTTGACAGGAAGGGGGAGCAGGTCTTCCTTGTCATGTAATTGTGTTTTAAAGCTAGAAAAATTATCCAGACACTCAGTATTTAGAATTGTGGCACCAAGTGCCACAATCAAGAAGAATCAATAGCAGTGTTAGCTGCAGGTCTCAAACCATATTGGAAAAGCACAGAGTTTGCTTTGCAAGCCTTCAGAGTGGTCTGAAAGGCTGTCACTACATGCCACCTGCTATCAGTCATGATGTCAAAACATATGTTTGCCCTTCTTAATGAAAATCTCAAGTTTTTGACCATAAGAACTCAACTCACACATCTAATTGCATTCCGACCCTTTTCTTTCTATATACCCTCACCCACGTATCCTCCTGGACTCCCACACA
The DNA here is from genome assembly GCF_000001405.40 of Homo sapiens. Taxonomy (NCBI): domain Eukaryota; kingdom Metazoa; phylum Chordata; class Mammalia; order Primates; family Hominidae; genus Homo; species Homo sapiens. The sequence continues at coordinate 22,264,073 of NC_000012.12, forward strand.
CAATTATGCTTCATCCACACACATAATTTAATTTCTTGCCCATATGTTAATTATATCCTCAACTTAGGCATCTAAATACACACCCCTGCCTCATATTTAATTATAGCCCCCCTCTTATGAATGTAATTACATCATTCAGCCTCCCACCTAATTATGCCCTCCTTAACATATTTAATTGCACTGCCCTGCTCCAGGACCTAATTACATTCTAACCAGTGCACCAATCAAGCCCCCAACTCTCCAACAATACTCCTCACATGAACATCTCTTTATCCCTGTACCCCAGTCACTTTATTACTTCAGTTAAGGACTGGCAAATTCCCACAAGCGAATTCCTAGCGAGCATGGTGCCCAGCTAAACAAACAAAATAATAACAAGATGCAGCCAAATCAAAAGCAGTTTTGGTTCTTTCCAGTAAGTAAACTAACACGTATTGGCTTTTTCAGTCATTTAACTAGCCCCTTGGCAGTCCAAATTAAAATTTCAGTTGTTTTCTTACTTTGCATACGTAAGCATTTTATGATGAAAATATCTGGTAATTAGTTCAATTATTTCAGAGAAAAAAAACTTCTCATTATAGGTACTTAATTATTAAACCCTTTAAAAAACGTTACACATAATTTTCCCTTAAGATATATATTTGTACATGTTAATTATAGAATATTTGTAGTTTCCTACCACTCAAGGACTTTTAACTGTTCTTCAATTATATGAAAACAAATTTCCAGAAAGCTGCTAAGATTTGTATTCCCCATTCTATTAATAAAATTGTGATTTTAAAAGGATAGCTTCAGTGTTATGCTTTCTACACAGGATGCTTCTTTGGAAATTGAATGATGTGAATATTTATATAGTGGATGCTATTTGCCTATTAAAATTTCTTACTCAATCCATTATAAAAAATAACACAAAAGCATTCCAAAAAGTGTTTTGTATGTTTCACATATGATCTGTTATTCTGGATACAACTCATGTGGCATCAGTTCATGTGCCCATGCAGCAGATTTATTAAACATTTCATAGTCAAGTCCCAATGAATTGAAATTTTTTACTGATGTTGTTTCTGAACCATAAGGTGACAAAGACTGTGTCTATACTTCAGGGCAGAGGTTGACCACATTTTAAAAGTCCTCAAAACTGTTTTCTTTTCATGATGGAAAGGGAAGGAAATACGAAGGGCAGGCCCAACATTTCAAAGGTAGGGCCAATCATCTTAGCAGTGGAGCAAAACACGGAATAAGCAGCAGCAGGAAGTACTAAGCTTCATGCCATTGCTAGACGTCATACTTGCAATCCCCTCATTGGAAATACCACTGAAAGATTCATTTTCTCCAAATACAGAAAGCACATCTTCATGTTGATGAGCATCACCTTGTAGCCCGCCTGCCTGCATCCAGTCCCTGCTGTTAATGTTCCCCTATGACAATTGGCAAGTTATTTAACCTTAGGGCCTTAGTTGTCTCACTTGTAACAACTGTACTGACTTCTTACAGTTGTTGTGAGAATTAAATGACTTATGTCTGGCACAAGGTAAATGATCAATAATTGTTATTTTTATCTTTAAGAGATCAACATTTTCTCAGCAACACAGCCTAGAAATCTCAGAGCCATTTTTGCTCACCTCTCTCTTAATATCTACGTAACACCTCCCTCTGCAGAGGCTCTTCTGTTCTTCTCCTCTTTCCACTCTCACTGTAACTATTGTTTAAAATGGTTTAATGCTGTAAATTGGCCTCTAGTTCTTGCCTATCATCAATCCTTCACTCTCATATCCTAATTCTTCTAAAACAAAAGCTAGTGCAAATCACTTTTCTAATAAAAAAAAAAGTACCATGTTTTCCCTTGCCCACAGACAAAAACACTTCCGATCTTCATTGAAGCACCCACCCAGGACCTCTCAACACCCTAAACTTCCTGTTCATTCTTTTCTACCAGCTGGTTATCTATGCATACACCCAATATTCCCTCCACACCATTTTACGCACCTGTGTTTCCTCAGACACAGCCTGAATTTCTTGTCTCCCTACCTCTGTTAAAGCTGCTTCAATGGCTCGCCCTCACCCCTTCTCCTTACTTTCTCTACTCTATTACCTGCCTTCCAAATTATTTTTCAACCTTAAGATCTATGAAGGGTCTGCAGGTACAGTGTCCAATAAAATTCCCTACAAGTGCAAGGAATGCTAAAAAAAACTCAAGCAGACAAGAGGCACACCGGAATTCATTTATGCCCCATGAGTCATGAGATTATGTATTAAAGCTGTGCACAGTGGCCGGTAAATGCACGTGGAATTGAAACAAATCATTTATTCAATACTTCAGAGACTTCCAAACTTATTACTGTTGCTACTGTTATTTTCTTTGCTTCAAAATCGAAGCCTTTATTGTTTCTCAGACAAGGTTATACCAGAAAACCCCTATTTAAAAAAAAAATATATATATATATAGGCCAGGCATGGTGGCTCACATCTATAATCCCAGAACTTCAGAAGGCTATGGCAGGAGGATTGCTTGAGGCCAGGAGTTTGAGACCAGCCTAGTAAAACTCTGTCTCTACTAAAAATATATATTTTTTAATTAGCCTAGCATCATGGCATGGACGTGTAGTCCCAGCTACTCGGGAGGCTGAGGTGGGAGGATCTGTTGAACCTAGGAGTTGAAGGCTGCAGTGAGCTATGATTGTGCCACTGCATTGCAGCCTGGGTGACCGAGTGAGACCCTGTCTCTTGAAAAAATGTGTGTACACATACTCACACCCACACACATACACAAAAGTATACACACACACACACACACACACACACACACACATATACACAAAAGAGAAGATGAGGTAAAGTGGGCACCCTTCCCCAATTTCTTGGTCTCTCTATTTCTGGAAGTGACACTTAGACACCCCAAGGAATTTGATGGTGTAGAAAACCATGAATAAAATCCAACTCCATTTTTTCAGAAATGAAGAACTACAAATACCAAGCAAGTTTCAGTTAAGAACATTTGGCAAGTATTTATTGAGTGCCAACTAACCATATACCAGTCACTGTATGAGATGCTGGGTCAGAAACTGTGAGCTTCAGTTCAGTATTTGCTACACTAAAAGGTGGTATCAATTAGGGCATCCATTTTGTTTTCAACTATAAATAGTGTGCAATTACTTAGTAAGTAATGCAGCAGACTGCTAAACTGTTAATCCAATTTAACTGACTAGGCACCTGAACTATCAGGACCAGGATCAATTGCCTGCTAATTAACTATTATTTTCATTTAAAAAAAAGCATGTCCATGATTGATTGTCTCATATATAACTATTTTATTCCATTAAAAGATAAATAAGCCAAGCAGAGAATATTCCTTTTGGGAATAACTGGCTGCTGCTGATGCTTTATTTCCCCAATTTAATAAAATGTATCTGCCATCCTTTCTTACTGATAAAAAGGAAAATAAGTGATTTCCAGAGCATCCTTCTCTTCCCAGTATTCCTGCCTTAATTATCTCTCAGGACTCTGCATACAAGCATCCAATCAACTGAGTTTTGCAGCCTGTAAATTACCTTCACACATTCCTACCTTTACTTATTTCTCCTGACCTGCTTGGCTTATCGTCTACCCTTTTTTCACAGTGTAACTCACATATTTCAGAGACACATGGAATTCATATTAAAGATGCATATTCTTGGTCTACTTCAGCCCTCTAGAAATAGGATCTCTGGGTAGAGCTTAGGAATCTGAAGTTGCCCTACACGATACAATTCACATGCACAGTGATGTTTGTGATCCACCTGATCTGCCAACTCTCAGATATGACCTGAGGTCTTCCTTCCCTAGAACCTTCCCTGACCTATGTCATCTTCCAGGATTGGCATGCACATCCTGCCCATTCCCACAGAAACACCTACTGCACTTACTGTCCGTCTCACTAAGCAGACATTCTAGGCCCTTAGCACTGGGTAACACTTGACTAGCTACTGTTGTGTACACCCATCTTCCACAACAGCGAATAAGCCCCTCAAGGGTATAAACCATGTCTTTGTAACTCTTAGTGTCTCCAGAGCCTACCACATAGGTATACAGATGTTTTCATTAATTAATTGATTTAATCCAGCCCCAGACTTTCTGGAGAAATGCCAAGAATCTATCTAAGCAAATGCAGCAAACCTGTTCCCTTTTTCAGACCACTGACAGAAAGGTTAAGGAAATTGCTAAATGATCCACAGACGAGCTTTTTAGATTATTTTAAAGTCTAGCACACCAGAGGTGCAAAATGAAATGCCTACACAATTCAAGCGGGTAACATAAACGAGTGGAAGGAAGGCAATAGGAAGTGCTAGAGACTGTGGCAAACAAAGGGCACATGGCCAAATGTATTAGTCTGTTTTCACACTACTAATAAAGACATACCTGAGAGTGGGTAATTTATAAAGAAAGAGGTTTAACTGACTCACAGTTCAGCATGGCGGGGGAGGCCTCAGGAAACAATCACGGCAGAAGGGGAAGCAAACACATCCTTTCTCACGTGGCAGCAGCGAGAAGAAGTGCAGAGCGAAGTTGAGGGGAGGGGGGGAAGCCCGTTATAAACCCATCAGATCTCGTGAGAACTCACTCACTATCGTGAGAACTCACTCACTATCATGAGAACAGCATGAGGGTAACCACCCCCATGATTAAATTACATTCCACCTGGTCCCTCCCTTACATGTGGGGATTATGGGAACTACAATTCAAGATGGGAGCTGGGTGGGGACACAGCCAAACCAAAACCATATCACCAAAGCAGCAGGATAAGAAGCTGCTCATGCCCTACTCATGGGCATGGGAGCCAGGACTGCCAGATATTCTGATTTTTTTTCAAGTGATACTAAAAATCCAGGTATTAATGTAAAAGCTCCTCATTTTTAAAAGTTGGCATATAGTTCAAATGATTTTTTTTTAAAGTAAAGCCAAAATTTGAAGGCCAGATTTATCTTAACTGGTAGCCAATTTGCATATCCTACTATAGACCCAGGCAGGGCCCTGGCAGACTTAATAAATAAATTTATTCCAAGAGTAGGCAGTTAGAGAAGAGTGCATATCTTAAATTATTCCAAAAGACACAGTAGGAAAATACATGCTTTAGGGAATTTTAGCCAAAGATTGGGAAAGACTCTTTTCTCTGTGCCAGATTTAAATGAAATACAGGGTTGTTTTTTTTTTATAAGGCAGTTAGTGAAAAATTCAGGATTCTAACTGACAAAGAGAAGTCCAAAAGTTTCTAAAAGTCTCCCTTGCTTCTTTTCAAAATAACATTAAGTAATATTTGTATATTACCTGCAGTGATTTCTCAGCCCTCTGTTGGGTGGACTTCCCATCCTAAATGGCTTGTTTTCTAACCAAAATGGGATCAGGTGATCCCATATGAATACTATTGTAATGTGTATGTTTATTTAACAAGATATTATGGATACCTTCCCTTCATGATTGTAATATCAACATGGTATTTAACTGTAGAGGTGATTCATAATTTAACCAATCCCTTAATGTTGAATATTTTAGGTTATTCCCATTTTTTCACTATGATAAACAATACTGTTATAAACATCTTTGAATTGTGGCAGAGCTAAGAAGGTAGCTGAGAAACGGGAGTATCAGCCCACTGTATTCTCTTCTTTTATATGGACAATAAAGTTTGCTTAATTGTATGTAAAACACCTCACATAAAAGGAGTCTTGAAGAGACAGAACCCTCTTTTAACAAGTTCACCATCACTAACCCATTCCATATAGAGGTCCTCCTGCTGTTACTTATCTGATACATATAGCCTGGAGCAGTTGTACAGTTAATTCTTTAAGATAAATCCTTAAATATGGAATTGTTAGGTTTAAACAATTTGGACCACATTACAGAAATTAGCAACTGAGTAAGTCTCCATCCGTTTCCAAGGAAAACAAAATGGGAATCTCCTTATACACTATTATAGGTATTTCAGACATATCAGGAGAGAGACTTCATTAGGTTGTAATCATTTTGTAGCATATTACCTAATTTGAAAGGAAATGCAAGGCAGTTTAAAGGGTTAAATTTGTAGATGTTAGCTTCAACAGGCCTCAGTTTGAATCTTGACTTGGAATCACAGCATGGAACCAGTGTCTAACTGGGAAATCCCAGGCAGGACACTTTTGGCTCAGCCTCAATTTCTACATGTCAAATGGAGACAATAATATCAGCATCATATGTTGGGATTATCAGATAATGCATGCAAAACATTTAGCAAAGAGTCTAGCACATAGTTAGTCTTCAACAAACTATAGTTGTAGAGTGTAGCCACAAAATTGAATCAAATTGAGAAAATATAACCAACCTACTCTTTGGTAGGTTTTCTCTAATACATTTGAGTTTCATTAATGTTTCCTACGCACTTTCCTTAAAGTGTCACATTTTGCGGAATTGAGTTTATTTATTTAAATTAACTTACTAATTATTTCCAATTTAAAATTAAAATACTGAATTAAAACAAAAATATGTTCAATATAATTTTTCCTCTAAATCTATTTCAAATAAACTTTTACGTGAACCTAGAGTGTGGAATGATAGACAATGGAGACTCAGAAAGGTAAAGGGGTGAAAGGGGGCTGGATAATGAGAAATTATTTAATGAGGACGCTGTATGTGATTCTGGTGATGGATACACTAAAAGCCCTGACTTCACTGCTACGCAGTATATCCATGGAACAAAATTATACTTGTACCCCATAAATTTACACAAATTTTAAAGATAGGAACAAAAAGAAAATTGAAATTTTAAAAGAAGAAACTTTTGTAGGAGTCGTAAACAGTTGACATTAATTGCTTTATTTGTACAGGTGGTCACAGATTCATAATTAGTAAATGGAAATACACTAAAAAGTTCATTGTGCCTTTTTTCCTATGTATTTGGCCATACTTGCACCTACCATGTCACTTGCAATCGTGGTAGCCTTTTACATGAGGTAGGTAGTTTACGTCTGCAGTTCCCACAGGCACATAGATTTCCTTTTTCTTTCCAATAGGAGCCTCAAGAAAATGAAGCTTTGGTTGTTTCATCAGCAGTGGCTTTGATGAACCTTTTGGCTCACATATCCATTAACTGACTCAGTAAGAAAACATCTGCATTAAGGATGTTTTCAAGGCTGGAATGACTTTCTTATAAGTGTACTAAACAGAATGCCAAGCCCACAGGAAGCACTGGCAACAGAAAGTTCAGAGTTGGCCAATTTAATCCTCAATGCTTCTCAAGCACAACTTAATTGAGGAAAACTTCACAGACAGATGGAACGATAGCATATATAAACTCTATATGAATATACATAACATATCTAAATCACTCCTCAGTCATCTTCTAAGTGCCCAGGTCATGGAGAATAAAATGGTTATTTACACAATTACAGCATCAGAGGATTCTGCCACTTCCAATGTACTTTGTGATGGGTACTGAACCTTTCTTAGCCTCAGCTTCCTCATCTATAAAATGGGGTGAAGGGAAACGTAAGAAATTACCTCTACAGTTATTGAAAGAATTAAATAAAATGATAATTATAAAAAGTGCCAGGTCTGGAACTTAGAAATCATTCAGTCAATATGACCTATTAATAGCTGTAAAATACGAGAGCGCCAATCATCACATTGCTCTGGTGGCTTCCCTGCTCCAAGTAGTCATTCTGATGTTCTGTGTCCTACATCAGCCTTTCCTGTCTCCTTGTTCTCTGCATCCCTCCACTGTTCTTAGATCTCTCAACCATCTGCAAAAGTGAAAGGAAATTTCTACATATCAAGATCCCCATGGTATGACATAACCTAAAACATGAAATTTAAATTTCCTTCAGGTACCCTCTTTTTAAAGACATGACATAATCTATGACATTTTATTACCATTATTTTTATTCATATGATAACACTTTGCCTTTTTCCCCAAAGGTTTCCTGGCCCTTACTTAATCTATCTTACATCTTATAAATCCTTACCACTGAATGCTTATTTTCCTAAGCCCAAATCTTTATCTTCTAAATCCTTTCTTGCCCCTATTTGTTCATGATGCAATAAAAGGTCACCAATGAAATTACAAAATGCCTTAAGTGAACGTTTTAAGTGAATGACTATAATTTACTTTATAATTTTTGACCTGCTATGGTCTTACTTTCAAATATTGCAGAGAGCACTTTGCTACTTGTTTTACAGGGCCATTTCCTTGAAATGTAATTACAAGCTGAAAAAGCAGTCCTAGGGGATTACTTAATGTATGTCCTTTACTAATTCCAAGGACAGTCAAAAAGTTTTCAACTCGAAGGATGATTGTTCAAACTGCCCACACCAACCAAGGTTTAGTGTTCATAATCTGGATGAAACCATTTTCTTATTTAGAGTTCAAGGGGTTAAAAAATTATTACTGTCTCTGGCAAGAGGTTGTTTGGGAACTATATTGACTGGCTTGTTTCCTAAACATATTGGCTCCACGGCGCTACAAAGACTGAAAAGTATTTTCCTCCAGCAGCTGGGCCAAGATAAATTGAAAACTAACAGGGAGACAGTATGTCAATTTCAAAGATACTGGTATTATAATAGCTGTGGTTTTAAAATACAAATCCCAGTCATTCGCTTTGTGGGAAAATTGGTACAAGAATATTTGATGGCTAAAAGACTGAAGAGCACCAAGGCTCCAACACAAGAACCGACAGTCTGGAGATGCCAGCTCCTGGCAGGGAAGAGACCTCGGAACCAGTTCAGCTTTTTGCTCTGTCACTGCACTCTGCCATTTAGTTCTGGTTGGGGAGAAGGCAGAGACTGACTGAGCTGACATCTCTGACTGTGATTTTTACATCTTCAAAAACAGCAGCAATTTCTCCATTATGGTGTCCTTTAAGATTGATTTCATTGCAACATCTGAGACTTGTATTATCTAATGACACAAGAGTAACATGGTAACAAAAGCGCTCGGGGTCACCCTGTTTGACTATCTTCACAGTTAGCCTTAAAGGCTTCAGTCTGGGACAGTTATTCTGAGGTTTCTTACCGATAATGACAGGAGGCAGACAAATGCCTAGATAGACACGGGCAGGTCCTGGCGAAACCCCACCTCCAAGTTGCAGACAGTTTAAAGCCTGAAAGCCAAGCTACAAGTTAAATCCTCGGACTGGATTGAGACCCCACCTGCCCGTTTGGCACACTTTCCTCTGATTGATCCCCACCGTTCACCTATTTTTCATATACCCACACTTTCCTAATTGGCTTTCTACACTGTCATGTCCACCTTTGAGTGGCATCTTTGCTTTGACCTTTTTGCACAGTCACAAATCAATCAATACAAGCTACCTATTCTGAGCCCATAAAAAGCCCCAGGCTCAGCCATATTGAGAACTTTACTGCCTTTGGGTAGGGGGACCACCCCTGCTAAAAGCTGTTTCATCATTCAATGAAACTCCCCGCCTTGCTCACTCTTCAAATTTCTGTGTGCCTACTTCTTCCTGGTCATGAGACAAGAACCCAGACCTAGCTGAGCTAACGAGCAAAAAAATCCCTCATCATTATGTTGACTGCTTCCAATGTGAGGATTTTCCCCTCCACTCTCTATTAATGAACTCCAAGTCTCTTTATATTTATACCAAAACATAGGCTCTAGGTACACCAGGATACACTTGGTGATTGTATCCACCAAAACTAAGCAGCTGAACTCATTCATTCATTCATTCATCATTCCACTAAAATTTATTGAATCTCTACCATGTCTCAAGCACTATGCTACAAACTGAGACACATAACTCCCTATCATCCAGAATTAAACACTATCCCTGGAGAGGTTTCCAGCTGGTAAGAGAAGGCAACTTCAATCAAATACTTATAGAATTGAATATGAAGTTGCAAATGAAAGGTACCTGGTGCTCTGGGGACCAGCCCCCTCCTCCCCAGGAAATGGTTCTCAAACAAGATGTAAGGGATCAATGTAAGTTAATTAGGTAAGAGGAGGCAACAGTCTTCCAGGAAAATGGATAGCATGTGGAAAACCTCTACAGAAGAAGACAGCACAGTGTTTGTGAGGATATGAAAGAAGGCCAGTAAAGCAAGGTATGAGGATGAGAAGCAACATTGTGGAAATTGATGCTGGAGCCACAGGAAGAGATCAAGCCTTAAGGGGTTTATCTTTATCCTAAAAATCAATGGGAAGACAATCAAGGGTTTTAAGCAAAATGATTGCATGATCTGATTTGCATTTTAAAAAGCTAACTCAAGCTACAGCGTGGTAATGGACTGGAGAAGAGGCCAGATTAGATACAAAAAGCCCAGAAGATAACTTTTGCAGAATTCTAGACAAGAGGCCATTGTCATTTGAAATGAGATGGTAAAGACAATGAGAGAAAATAAGAAGTGGATGTGAGAAAAAGAAATTATCTTCACAAGTATCAAAATGTCCATCAGCTCCATCCAATAACAATTTCTTAAGAATAATATATGTCTTAAAAGAGAATAAGAATAGCGAAAAGAAATAAAAACAAAATAACTACATGCCCAGAACCAATATTGTGGCTTGACTTTTAAAATGTACGATCTTGTTATTTCAAGATTAGGATGAAGTCCTGCACACTTAGAGGGTGACTGTCCACACACCATCACACACGCCACGCTCTATCGTGAGCATCCAGGACCTTTCCTTCTTCCATCGCTGTTGCCTGGATTGACCTAGGTTGACGTAACTTGATGCCATGTGGGTGCAAAGGTTTTGGGAAAAGCAACCATCCATTTCATCATTCATTCAGCACATTTTAATTTACCACCTGCTATGTTATGTGCCAGACCCTGTCTATGTGCTGCCTTCAAAGGGCTCACAGTGTGGTCAGCAGAAAGCATGTGAGCCAGTAACTGTTATTCAATAACAATGTTGACAATTCAGTTATTGAATTGTTATACAATAATTGTTATTCAGTTGTATTAAGAGAGATATATACAAATTTGGGGGGGAGAAAATAGATTTTTAATCAACACTGCCAGGTGGTTGAGACTTGGGAGAGGGAACTGGGAAGGTTTGCAGAAATGATGCTTTGGCTGGATCTTGAAAAATAAACAAGAATTCATCAGATAAGGATAGGAAGGGCATTTTGGGCAGAAGGAACAACATGTACAAATGTGAAGACAAAACGAAAAAACGAATTGTTCTGGGAAATGCAAGTCACTTAGTAAAAGTAAAAAGTAATGAGGGGCTGGGGCTGGGCATGGTGGCTCACGCCTGTAATCCCAACAATTTGAGAGGCCAAGGGCGGGTGTATCACTTGAGGTCAGAAGTTCAAGACCAGCCTGGCCAACATGGTGAAACCCCATCTCTATGAGAAATACAAAAATTAGCCAGGCATGGTGGTGCACACCTATAGTCCCAGCTACTCGGAGGCTGAGGCAGGAGAATCACTTGAGCCCCGGGGGCAGAGGTTGCAGTGAGCAGAGGTCACACCACTGCACTCCAGCCTGGATGACAGAGTGAGACTCCGTGTCAAAAAAAAAAGCAATGAGGAGCTGGAGGAAGCAGATGGATGGCAATTGGTAAGCTTATATTAGCTGACATTCTCAGAGAGTTCATATCGTGAAGACCTTGTGTGACACTCTAAGGGATTTGAATTTTATCATACAGGTTGTAACCAGGAAGGATGAACCTGCTCAAGATTGATCCCCTGTCAACAGGAAAAAGATGTGGGCTCCTGTAGAGCTGCATGGAAACCAGATGGGGCTCAGTGCCCAAGGCCCTCTATCCTGATCAGTAGCAAGGCTTGGATTCCCACTACTCTCAGCAAGCCAAGGAAGAAACTAGCTCTTCTGCAACTATAAGCTGATGCAATAAATCCCATTTGTGTTCCCCATCCCTCACCCACTGCCTGAGCTCTTCTGTAGCTGGGGTGAGGTGCTGGCAGTGCTCCGGGAACTGGGCCTGCAGCCTTCCTATTCCAGTACTGCTGTGAGTCAGGGGAATGATATGGAGGGAGGATCTAGCGCAGCAGCCTCCAGGCAGGATTCAGCACAACACTGGGGAGTGATCTTTCCCTCAGGCCTCTGCCTACCAAGGACTGGGCTTGTCACTGGGAAAACACAAAACATTACACAACCCAGCAACAACAAAAAAACTAGTCCTCTTAGAATTTCATGCACTTTGATTTTTTTAGGGCTTGTGCCCTGTTTCACTTGTAGAATGCTTGTATTGAGTAAAAAGGAGATGTCCTAATATTCAAAGCAGCTAAACGTCCTCTTTGCCATAAAGACCCATGTAACTAACTGTGTGAACACTCGGGATTTTTCTCCTCTGTCCCGAGGTTGTCGTCTGCTTTCTTTTTTGGGTTTCTTTCTAGAAGATGGAGAAGTGCAAGTGACAGGGGCTGAGAGCACCCCCCAAACACGCAAGCTCTCAGCCATGGGCAGCTTCTCCACAGCCCCAGCTTAGCACAAGCTCCTGGAGGGCTGCCTGGGGGAGGCAGTCATGGAAGTGCCAAGGTGGCCAGATGGTTCCAGGACCACAGTGTCTTTATTTTTAACTGTTTGCCACTGCCACCCCCACCCCTGCCCGACTCTGGAGTACTGTCTTCCCCAGACAAGCAGGAGTGAAGTGGAGGGGGGAAAGCACTGATTCTCAGTTGGGGTGTTCCTAACTGAGCAGTAGGGATAGAAGGTGTGAGCCTGGGAGTGCTTTTATAAATTATTTTTCTTGTAGATTTTATTTTTAATTTATGTCTGTGACCTGCCAGGAAGAGGGGAGAGAGAGAGAAAAAGAGATGCTGTTGAACACATGACAAAATAAAATAAAATGGAAAAAAAAAAGGCCACCGTTTCTGGCCATCTATGTCATTCAACTGTATCTGCAAGACTTGTACCTGAGTCACCCATCATAGCTACACTGGCTTTCCATTCCCTACAAACACTAAGTTGATAAAAGAGGCCAAAGCCAGGGTTCTGCCCTATCTTAGTAAGTATGTTATATCTCAGTCTCTCAATCACCCCAGGGGAATGGTTGGTGCATCCCTAATTACAGAACTACAAAGCCCAGTGTAGTTTCAGGTTCCCTTTCTTAGAGGGTAGAATTTCCTTATTTTTAATAATAAAACGCAACAGCATATCTACTAGCTGCTCCTTGTCCTTCATGAGTTTTCTCTGTGAATGCTGCTCCAGCTGACTTAGTCTGCCGTTTAGCCACTTGCTCATCTGCATGGCAAGTAGTGAAGAGTGAGTTAAGAGATGTCACACACACCAGTTTACATTTTATAACAACAAAATTGGCAGAGGGTGGAGGATGTCACAGAAAGGCAAATTCATAATAGTGAACTTTTTTTTTTTTTTTTTTTTGAGATGGAGTCTCACTCTTGCCCAGGCTGGAGTGCAGTGGTGTGATTTTGGCTCACTGCAACCTCTGCCTCCTGGGTTCAAGCAATTCTCCTGCCCCAGCCTCCTGAATAGCAGGGATTACAGGTGCCTGCCACTACGCCCAGCTAATTTTTGTATTTTTAGTAGAGACAGGGTGTCATCATGTTGGCCAGGCTGGTCTCAAACTCCAGACCTCAAATGATCTGCCTGCCTCAGTCTCCTAAAGTGCTGGGATTACAGGCATGAGCCACCGCGCCTGTCTGTGAAACTTTTTTGAAAGTTCTTGAATTAGTATAGATAACAGATGATAAACCTTGACTTAACCCAGTGGCAGTGAGGTAAGAAAAGAGGGGATTGATTCAGGAAATATTTATGAAATAAACTTGGATTTGGACAGTGAAATTCAAACATAAGACCCTGGTGTCCAGCTCAAGTGACTGAGTAGACGATAGTGTCATTACCTGAGATCAGGAATAGAAGAAAAGAAGCAGGAGAAAGGGACAGAATTGTGAGCATGTAAAAGGTAAGGAACCTATGGAACATTGAGGACAGTATCCAATAGGTGCAGAACCGGATCTATTTTTACTCACTATTATTTCCCCAGGAACTAGCACAGTCCCTACCACACAGCAGTAGTTGCTCAATAAGTACTTCATGAATGAGTGGTCGAACACTTATTTTACTTACATAGAATCATGAAAATTTCAGGAAAGCATAGTTGTGCTGGCAGCAGGGCATATTTATTTAGGTGACAAGTCCAATCAATGTGTAAGGCAATCTTCTATGCATCAAATCCTTGCTTTAAATTTAATTCTAACCTTGATGTTATTTTGTAGATTTTTGATTTACATTAAATTTTATAGTTTGTGTAGAAATACTGTGTTTTTTTCTTGAGTCCAGAAATATCACTGAACTTTTTTGGATTTTAAAATATCCTCAAACAATCTCCATGTCAGGCATCTGGAAGCACCTACAAACTGTAGCAACTTCAGTTCTTACTGACCTTGGGTGTCATAGTCAAAGACTATGTAAGAGTATAACAAGAAAAGACAATCAGGAAATTTATAAATTATGGCTACAGAACTAACCATACTTTGTGAATATACTATCCTCTGAATAGTATATTAGACCCAAGATGTATATAAAATCAGAGTGGATTGAACTCTAGAAACAGAAAAATGTAAACAAAATAATCAGATGATACATATTGTATATGGGGCTGTTAGCCAGTGCTTCATTAACTGCAGACACCCCAGGTGAAGTGATTATCAAATTAATTTACAATTGCATTTCTCTCAGCACTTATTTTCTTTTTCTTAGCAAAGAGTTAAAATTCTGAAATCTCAAGAATAGAGTCTGAATAGACAGGAAAAATAAAACTTGGCAAGAAAAAAAACCTATGCATAATAATTTTCAGAGTATAAAATGTTGTCTTACCCTCAAAAAGCACTTTTGTTTCCTTTACAATCAGCAGATGTTGACCCATGCCCATCTATCCTAAATTTTCTCACCACACTTATCCACTTACCTATTTTTCTGACAAACTGCTAATATAATTTCTTAATTACCTAACAATTTTCCCAAATCCTCTCCTTACACTTAGTTTTTGCTCTCTCTGTATTGTCAGCCTCCACAGAGCTAGACATTGAAGACAGTAAGAACCTAAATGTTTTTGTCTGAAAAATTCTACTCATTTATCCAGCCTACTTCTCAATCTCTATATACACCTGAACCTACAGCTGGGGTTCAGACTGAGCCCTGAGCAATGTGGGTCAATCTTGGCCTTTAGGGGAATGATTGGGCATGGTCACCTGAAGCTATGGGAATCACTACCAAGTTACACTTGTGTTCTGGCCCTGGCTTTGAGGTATGGCTCTAGTAACTTGGTTTATGACTTAATTTCAAAACATAACCCCAGGCTGCCCTTCCAGGTCCCTGCCTCCCAGCCCATACCAAGTTCCAGTAACTGTGCTTCAGCCTTGCTTACAAAAACAGTCCCTAATTTTGGCCCCAGTGCTAGGATGCTCACCTGGTTCACTTGTGTTCCTGCTGTGATAAATGATCAGTTCCCAAACCTCTAGAAGTCAGAGGCTCTGGCTTCTTCTGACCAGTACCCTTGGAAGCTGCCAGTTGTCAAAACCTCCAGCGTAGAGACTGGGAACTTGAAGTCAATTGTTTTAAACGGATCTCTGGGTATAGCTCCATCCACCCCATTTTCATCTCTGCATTCTGCATACTAGCAGCACATCATGTTACTCCTTATTATCTTCTGGTTATTGCCAACAGTGTTCCACAGTAAGAACTGCAATACCCCTTTCTGGCTACTGGCTGGACTTCCTTTTAGCCCCCAAAGCTATGTTCACTCCCTATCCTATCCCTAGCCAACCCCTTTCCCCATTGTGTTGGGCAAGTCAAGCTTCAGGGTCGGTCTCTTCAATCTACTCAGAAGTTCTGAACACTGAAGATAACAGGGTAGAGCTAGTCAGGCCATAAGTGATTAAAAAATGTTGTGCTAGCTCACCTGTGATCTAAGAATGTTTGGCCATCAATGGAAGGAAGACAGTGAATTAGAAGGAAGATAGTGAATTGATCTGAACATAGACAAACACTCTGAAAACGTTCTCTGTGCATAGTCATACCTCTTGATTATTTGACCAAATTAATTAAGCCAGAGAAAATTCAGGGTTGAAATGATACCTCTCTATAAGTTAATCAAATATGTCTATGCATTTAAGCGACTCCTAATAGAGTTTAAAAGTACAAATGAGCATATTAATAGAAATGAAACAGAGGCTTCCTAGTATCCAAACAAATGCTCAAAACTAAATTAAAATCGGAGGCAAATTCCTTTCTACACTTGGACCTTTGTAAGAGCAACCAAGATTAAGAAACTAATCAAAGAAAAAAAACTAAAGGTATACCAGGTTCTCCTGCAGGGAAACACCCTGTCATGTCACCACACCTAAGAAGAAAATGTTATATGGAACAGTAACACCTCCTAAGAAAAGCTATCACTCCCGTCAGGCCTACGGGATGAGATGTGACTCAGTGGTAATTGGTGTCATGAATTCTTTTCAATTATTCCCAGGAAGCTAGAATCCTGAGCCATAATCGGTCTTTGTATGAAATTTTACACATTGTCAAGTAATTTAGAAAGATCTACACCATGGCAAGATAGAGCATTCCTTTATTTTTCATTTTGTTCTCAACCATAGACAACCTGCAAATTTTCATTAAAGAAAGGTCTTAATTTTCAATTATTTCTAAATTTGAAAAACAAGACATCTTAAAGTTCCCATCAGCTATTCTTCTGAGCAACTCCATTGCACTACCTCACTTCTAATCGATTGTTTTCCTTTCCCTATGAAGATAACAGATATTTGGACATCCAGTGATGATCCATTTTCCTGCTCTTCTCAGTTACACAGCAATTTGAAGAACAGTGGATATCAATTCATTGTTCAGATCACAATCTTAATTCACTAGAAGTTAATGATTTATTTCACCTTGCTCTTTTACTTTACTGTAATTATTATCCAAATATAATGAAACAAAGACTGTAACATTCTCTGTTACTACTTTATGTTTCCCGAAATCCCAGCTTCAACACCTTTATTTCTTTTCACTGTCCTGTAAAATTGATTTCACCCTTTTTTTAGTGGTGTTTTAGTTTTTGTTTTGCTTCATGGGTTCCTGGCATTACCCAAATGCCAAGGCAATGCTAAAGTCCGTAAACACTTTGAGAGAAAATAACAGTAATAATATTATCATATGTTTTTATGGTGCATTCATTACAAAGCACTTTTAAACCCATTATCTCATTTTAACTTTGTTACTCATAATAATGATACTGAAATATAAAGACCAGGTATTATTTGTCCCAATGTGCAAATTATAAAATTCATGCTGAGAATGGTTCCATGACTTGTCTGGGATCATAAGCGTCATCATAGAAAGGCCAGGCTTAGGATCCAGATTTTTAGACTGCATACCCTAAACAGTACTCTAGTGTTAGCATTAGGCCAAGAATGGCAGGGCCAATTACCTTAATTATTCAATAGTAGTGGAACCATGTTCTAGATTCCTATAACAAAGAAGCAATGCAAGGTTTCCCCTTTATAAAACTCAAAATAATGTAAATGCTCTTATTTCTCCTTTCAACAGGGGATACCGGGGAGCTCAAAGCCAAAAAGAGACTAGAGTATTGTATGGGAAACTATGGTGTTGTATAGGATTCCATATCCTGTATAGCTACACTCTACTTTTTCTCCCAAAAAGCTGCAAAAGAAATTTCTTGGCCAGGTGTAGTGGTTCATGCCTGCAATTTCAGCATTTTAGGAGGCCAAGATGGGTGGATTAGTTGAGCCCAGCATTCCTAGACCAGCCTGGTCAACATAACAAAACCTTGTCTCTACAAAAAAAAAAAAAAAAATACAATAAAAAAAATACAAAGATTAGCCGGGTGTGGTAGCACACGCCTATAATCCCAGCTACTTGGGAGGTGGAGGTGGGAGGATCACTTGAGCCCAGAAGGTGGAGGCTTGCAGTGAGCCATGATCGTGCCACTGCATTTTTAGTTTATCAAACAGAGCAAGACCCTGTCTCAAAATAAAATAAAATAAAAATAAATTTAAAAAATGAAATTTCTCCATTTCTTATAAAGGTATTCTTAGAAGTGAAAAACCTTAAAACAGTTTCAAGGTGACTGAGTGATAAGAATGAACTAATCCACTAGAATCCATGTCTTCTAAGGAAATAAACCATAGAGTAAACACTAATACCTTTGAAATCAGACAGGCCAGGTTTCACATCCCAGCCCTTCCACCTACCAGCTCTGGGACCCTCAATAAGGTATTTAACCCCTCTCAGTCTTAGCTTCATCCATGAAATGGAGGCAATAATAACAGCCACACAGAGTCGCTGTAAGGGCTGAGCGAGATAACATGTGAAGAAACTGAGGCAGCCCGTATAGTTGACAAACGCAAGGCATTTGCCTAAAGCTGGAAAACTGAACTTCCCAGGCTTTCTTGCAGTTAGACATGCCCATGTGACTCATTCCTGATTAATGATACATGAGCAGGAATCTGTCCAGCTTTCCTCTTCTGTTTACTCCTTCTTTTTGCTGGGATCCTGAACCGAAACTGCGAAGTTCCTTGGCCATCAGCTAAGGAGGTTTGAGTAGGAAGACAGGGGTCTGGGAGCTTGATGGCACACTATGTAGCCATCACTGAGCCCTAAACTACCTACCCTCTAATTCTTTATTGCTTGAGATAAATAAGCAATTATTTGGTTCTGCCCCCCATCAGGTTTCTGTTATAAAGCAGCCAGATGGAAGCCTAACAATAGAACCTAACAAAAGTCCAGCAAAGATCCATCCCCACCAGACATTAGACCCCTTAGTTTCCTTCCAGCCAAAAAGATATATGTCACGGGAAATGATTACAATAATATGAATAAGTGGAAAAAACTACCAAATTCTGTAGATTATGTAGTATAGTCCAAATTTTATTAAAAGAAAAAAAAATTGCTGTGAAACTCAGGGATATCCGGGAGCTCAGAGAATTCTATTAAGCACACTACTGTGAAGGAAAAAAAATGTGTATTTTCATTTTAACAAGGCTATTTTGACAAACTACTCCAAAATATCCTGCTGGGTTTCCCACAGGCCAAGAACGCTGCAGGTCCAGGCTCAGTGGAACATGACAGGAGCCTACAGCCAACCTAGGAAGCTGGAAATGAGTGTCTATGTGGGGTGCATTAAGGATGTTTTGTGATGCTTTACATATGGCCCTGGGTGAACGTGCTGAGGAGAAATGTAATTTATATCACAATGTAAGAGAATGGACAGCCAACCGTGTTTTTATAATACCAAAAGGAAATATTTTTCAGATTGTATCAGCACAGTTGTGGTTTCTAACATTCCTGCTACTGCCTCACTCATTTCCATGGAAATTTGTGTCCTTCCTTGGCAAGATATCTTAGGTCAAAATAGGGTTCATTCAATAATTCCTGTAAACACTGGACCATGCAGGCTTAAAAGGGGCAGTTCCTGGCTAAGCAGGAAAGAGCTGGTCCCAACCCAGGGGATTGGGAGCAGCTATTCTCAAAGTGGGAAGGCTGATACCATCACACCGTCCTCCCCAAATACAAACACGCACACATACATCGCATGTTTTAAAAATCCTGTGTGAAGGTTAAAAATTCTGCCCTTCATGCCTAATAATATTCAACAAATATTTCACCAAAATACATTTATAGAGCCCTTTGGAAACAGCTACCTCTGAATTTCCTGCTTGGTTTCCTATAGTTCAAGCAAGGGTACTGCAGGGGTCCAGCCCAAGTGAGACACAGACAGGAACGCCCTTGACAGACATGAGTGGTTGGGAATGACTATTTATACTGAGTGGGAAGCACTGCAGTGGGCACAAAAGGGAAAACCCTCTTGTTCTCAAGAGCTCACAAGATGGTACTGAGATAGCAGATAAGGACTTTTAGAACACAGAACACTGTCATATGGAGATATGAAGTTATGTACACCGCATTATGTGGCAGAATTGAATAAATTTGAACAGAAAGTTACAGAAAGTTGTGGAAGGTTCAAATAGCATAGAACTAACTAACTAAAAGGAGTTTGATGTGGCATCTCAATTCACAGACATTTCAATAGTTACCTCCTGAGGATACACTGCCCCAGCCATTATAGGACCTGTTGCCATTCCCTAATGTACCAGAGCATCTCCCTTCTTACACTGCATCTTTGTACCAACGACAAAAAAACAAAAGTAGGCAAACGAATAACATTGATAATGATGGCTAACATATACGGAGTATTTAAGGGGCAAGTGTAAAGGTACAGACATGGAATCGAAGTTAGAAATGAGTGACTTAGCATTATTTCACTGAAACTCTGGGAAAGGAGTGAAGCTTTGTTCATGCTGAAAACGCTGAGCCTGGCCCACTCACCTGCATTTCTACCTCACCTGCACACGCTATTTTCTTCCCACTGGGAACATAAATGAAGCGTATCAATTAACTGGCAACCCTTTTTGGCTGATAACAAACTAGAAACATTTTGCTAAGAAATAATAATGGATGAGAGCAGAGGGAAAATACCATTTTTTCCAGTGATGCAAACTGGTTTACCAAGATTTCTATGAATTAATTAGTCATTTCAGATTCTTAGCAGGAAAATACATACATATGCAATTAAAAAAAATCTACTCATTGAATTGGTTCTGCCTTTTGCAATGGCTGTGCCCATACACAATGATGTCATGACTTCTGATTCCCAAGAAAAAAGTATTCTTCCTTTATTATTCAAGGATGTTTCCTTGGTCTTGCAACTGGCACAAAGAGGCACAGAATTCATTTGCACAGACTTTACAAAGTAAATGTTTCTTATAACCCTATTGCTGCAACCGATAGATAATATAGGAGGCTAGTTTATATTTCTTTAATCATCCTTTTAAATCTATTTTCTAATACAAAGTTAGAATTCATTTGGTAAAACTAAAAGTCCTCATCTATAAAAAAAAGCTACTTTGGATTTCATTTAAAATGTTTCTATGTGAGGAGCTGTTAAAGGAGATTGCTTCCTTATCTCTTCCTCATGCCACAACTAGTTTGTAGCAGTTTTCATACATAGAATATCCTGTGGATTGGCTTGCTTAACCTCTGTACCACTCTCTTTCCAGCTTCCTGCTGAAGCATGACAGTTAAAAACTGCCTTTCCTGGACTTCTTCGCAACTAGTGTTCTGGATGCAAATCATTTCTCCATTAGAAGCATTTGAGGAAGATTTGAAATGAGGAGGAGAATTGGAACTCATATTCTTTCCCCTATTTCTAACAGAAGCAGTTGTGGCCACACTAACAGCAATGCCAAGTTGGGGCTTCCCAGTCCCTAGACCACAGTTACAGTAGTAGGTTCTTGTACTCAGTAATTCTAGGAACCACCCTTTGGCTCCCATTTCTCCATTCTTCCAATGATTTTTTTAAATGCCAAATTCCCTATATGAAATATCTTTCTGCTAAAAGTACCTAAAGAGATTTCTGTACCTTGCCTAAACCCTCACCAATACAATTCTGCTTTTCATGCCTCAGCCTCAAGATACTAAGTATGAATCAGCACATTAATACCAAACATATAATGCTTTGTATTTATAAAGTACATTTATTATGTTTTACAGTCGGGCGCGGTGGCTCACGCCTGTAATCCCAGCACTTTGGGAGGCCGAGGTGGGCAGATCACTTGAGGTCCGGAGTTCGAGACCAGCCTGGCCAGCACGGTGAAACATGGTCTCTACTAAAAATACAAAACAGCTGGGTATGGTGGCACATGTCTGTGATCCCAGCTACTCAGGAGGCTGAGGCAGGAGAACTGCTTGAACCTGAAAGGTGGAGGTTGCAGTGACCCAAGATCATGCTACTGCACTCAAGCCCAGGCAACAGAGTAAGTAAGACTCTGTCAAAAACAAAAAAAAAAAAAAAAAAAGGACATTTCCATGCATTATCTAAGTTGATCTTTTCCACAGCTCTGTAAGGTAAATAGGGCAAGTGCTGCTCTAGCCATCATAGAGACAAGACAGCTAAATCTCAGACGACTTAGGTAATCATCCAAGGAATTTAGTTAGTAAGAGATGGAGACAAAATTCAGTTCCATATATCATAGCTCTTAGTTATTTCCTTTGACACCTGGAAGCCTCCCAAGGGCAGATGAAGAGAGAAAACATGTAGATGCTGGCAATAAACTAAAGCTTCTACTTCTTATTTCAAAAATTAAAAGAAAAACCTTATCACTGCATTTTAAGACCATTAAACTAGACTAAAATATCTAAGGATGAGCTAGTCAGCATGGCTGTTTTATAGAGAGTGTGACTTTGGATCTGGTAGAACCTGTGCCTCAGCTTTGTGGGATTCCTCCTTTAAAGTCTCATGGGCTATTAACAGAGACACATGAAAGATTCAGTCCCACTTTCTAAGGCTTAAAAATTCTCTTTCTGTACAATCATCTGAGCAAACCAAGGGTGGCTAAAAGATGTCTTGGGGAGGCCATGATTCATTTCTGAATTTTTCCCTAATTGCAATTTTGCCTAAGATCTCCCCTCCCCAAAACTAGGGTTCCCTAAAATAAAATTTCCCTTTTCCCCCCTCTTGCTGCCTACATGTATATTAGAAAAACATTTTATTTCAATGCCCAGAAAACCAAGAATAAATATTAAGTAAGCAAAGCTTGATTTAGACCACTTCAAAAGTGGTCAAGTTGAATTATTCCTCTCCATATCCACCACTCCTCCATTTCACAGTGGTAATCTAACCACAGGGTTAACATTCAAGAGCTCTAAGAAGCAAACTTCTCACCATATGGTCCCCACTCCCTGAGCAACATCAGTCCTAAGAAAACATTCCAGTATCACACAAATCCTCATGGTCATTCCACAGCCAACCTCAGAACACTAGAATTCCACAAGTCCCTGATCATTCATTTCTTGCTTCCTTCAGTCTCATAGGACTCAAATCAGAAAGGCTAGGAAAACTGTAACTCTGTAACATCCTGCTTCCACCCTTGCATCAAAACACTGTGATTTATTCACACACACAGATGACAGATATAAAGAAAAACATTTAAAGAGAGAAGAAAGAAAACAAAAAGTCAATCTGATGAGTAAGGCAAACTCAATTATCCCTTTTCTATGACAGCAAGAAATTTAAGAAACCATACTGAAGGCAACCAACTCTATACTAACCTGTGGGAAGAGAGAGTAAGTTGAATTGTCAATGGTGAATGAGTATAAAAACTCCCCGTCATACCACATGCTCTTCCCCATAGGGGAATTCATTTTAGTCATAGCAAAGAGATGGGCAGGGTCGCAGCAGTCTTCCATTTGTTTCCTAGGAGAGAAAACAGAGAGAGAGAAAAGAACAGCAGGTTAAATGAGGAGCAGATTCATTCACTTGTCATTCCCACAGAGATGTGCCACCTTACCTCAGTGCCAGCTCACAGAAGCATAGCATCTCCAGGGTGATTAGACTACTATTAATTCACTCTTCTAGCCACCAAAATGCGTGACTAGACTATTTCACAGCAAAAAAAAAAAAAAAAAGTTTAAGAAAAATACATCAGATTCATTAGATTGTGTTCAGATTCAGGTGAGATATGTCAAAAGATAAAAATAACCATTACAGTTGCAGATGTACTGATTGATTTAAACATCCAGGTCCAGAAAAGACTTGGATAGCTAACTTTGGAGACTGTTGAGCTATTCAGCTACAGCAGAGGTGCATCTCTATCTTCATTAACAATCAGGTGGTTAAATTCAGTGAAAAGAGACTTCCAGCAAGCTGTATGGCAAGGGAATACACAGAGTGACCCTAAAGAGAGTGCACTCCCCAAAACTGGTGACAAGATAGAGAACAATCCCTTGAAAATCTTTTGAGTAGAAATAGAATGAAATGAATGATGTGATCTCAGACACTGGAGAGCAACCTACCTTCTCACTGCTAAACCTCATGGGCCTTTTTGGTTCTCACTTTGGCCTCTCAGAAGTGTTTGACACCGTGATGAGCTCTATGACTTTGACAGAAGTTTCTCCCAGCTCCCTCAGTGTCTGAAGCACCAGCATCACTGGGGTAACCTCACCCTTCTGGGCTGACTTGCAGGCTACTCCCCAGCTAGCCCCTCAAGTCTAAGCCATGTTTGTTCTATGGGGAAATCTTTATACGACCCTCCAATTAACAATCTGTCAGAAATAAATTCCACTTACTCATGAGTAAAAGAGCTTATTCACCACTTCCTCCTCTAGGAAGATGAATAAAACAAATTGCTGGCATAAACCACTTCTGAATGACCTCACCCAGAAACGCTTGCTCAGACATCTTTAGCTGAAAGGGGACGGTGGAGTGGGAGACTTGACTTCAAGTCCTGCCTCTGCAGCTTACTAACTCCATGACTGGGCAAAGAGAAGGGGCTGCAGAACTGCCCTATGAGACTTTCGTTGAGAGTTCACTGAGAACGTACTGGTAGAGCAAACACTGAAAGTTCAATACGTGGTAGGTGTTCTCCTTCTTATTGTCACACCGTCCCAGCCTCATTGTTGCCAGGAATCAGCCTAGTCAGTAAGGCTGCAGCTGCAGGAGCCCCGCGGTGTGGGCAAGCTTCCTCAGCCTGCGGGGGAGGTGCTCTTCCTGCCACACTGTGCCTCCCCTTGCACTCTCTGAGATCTTCGTTGGCTTTGCCTTCGTGAAGGTTTCAATGGAAAGAAGGACAGAAGAGAAGGGCTCAAGGCAGACAAGGGGAGAAGAGCTCGGGAAGAAAGCTTTCATCTTATCAAACTTGGTAGACCGAGTGTCTCTTCTTGCTCCTACGCTGGCCCTCCGTTTCTCATTAGCTGCTTCTCTTTCCTCTTCTTCTCCACCCTCATTCATTTTTATTGGTGTTTTGCCACCCAAAAGGTGGCTTCCAGAGATGGTAAAGGTTTTCTTTGTTGTTTGTTGTTGTTGTCCTTGTTTTTTGAAACAGGGTCTCACTCTATTGCCCAGGCTGGAATGCAGTCACTGCAACCTCAAACTCCTGGGCTCAAGCGATCCTCCTGCCTCAGCCTCTCAAATGGTTGGGATAACAGGCATGTGCCACCATGCCTGGCTAAGGTAAAGTTTTATACTGGACTGCAAACATTTTGTCAGAAGTGCATCCTAGGCTCTTATTGAGTCAACAGAAAACACCTGGACATGGTTTAAGACTATCTTTAAAAATAAGGAGCATTATCACCAGCACGATGCTAAATCTGGGGGGAGGATAGGCTAAATTTTTAGTTCCTATCCCATGTCTGCTGATATCTTATATTTTTTAGTCCTCAGAGCAACCCTAAGAGATAATTAAGGGTATGGTTATTATTATTATTATCATCATGATTCCTCCCAATTCTCATCTGAGGAAACAGGCTTAGAGCGGTTCCAGGACTTGCTCAGGCCACACAGGGCAGAACAGGAAGCCAGGTCCGCAGAGTCCAGGCTTTCTCCTCTTTGCGAGCTACCTGCTCAGAACCATTTTGATTCATTTGTATCTTTCTCTGCCCTAAAAAAAATGCTGTGTAAACACTGGCCAACTGCCGCAGTACACCAGGTGCCTTCATAGGTATTTTTCTACTGAATTCTCACAGTAACCCATGAGCTGGATGACTTTAATATTCTTTTCTCAAGTAATTTATCTCAGGTCACGTAACTAGGGAAACGGTGGGGCAGGGCTTTGCTTCCAGGTCTTTGTACCTCACATCAGGTACTTATTTCCAACAAGACCATGGCTCTGGCCTCCAACCAAGCTGAACTTGCCATTCTGTACAAAGTGCTACAGGAGGTTCAGAAGGAAAATTTGTCACAGCCATATAGCACCTTACGTTGCCTAGTACCTGGCAACTTGCAAATCGCTTTCATATTTGTTTCCTCTTTGCATCCTCAAAATAGCCTAAGAAGACAGGTTACATTATTCTGAATTTATGGACAGTGAAACTGACGCTGAGACCCAGAGACTTGTTTAAGTTCATTAGCTTAGCAAATGTTTTCTTAATTATTGATAAAATATGTATTAGATTATGTTGAATCACATTCACATCTCCTCCTACAGCATCACCATGCTAGGGCACTCATACCTTTAGTGGGGGAAAACAAATACGCCATAGAAAATACAAAGTTTCACATGTGTAGAAATATTTTTAAATCCAAGAGGTATAGCAAATTCACAGCGATCATACCACTATTTGCAATATGAGTGGTTTTTCTGTCATAAACTCTTAAACTTTTCCCTTCATCCAGATCTCCACATCTTCCCTCTGCCATGACCATCTCTGGAGGGTGGCTAAAAAGAAACCACAATGTGGAAATGTGTATGCATATCCCATGTGCCTGAGTGGGGTCCTCATTAGCTCACCAGCTACACTGGATATGGCAGCAGCAGCAAAAACAGGAATAGTACTAGTACTATAGTACTACCAGCTGCAGTACTAATAGTAGTAGTCATATTAGAAGTAGTAGTAGTGATTTTTACTGAGTTCTTACCTAAAGCTGTGCTAGGTTCTTGGGATATAAAATGGAATTTAAAACCAGATCTTCCTTCTGAAAACATAATCAAGAAAAGGGGCACCAACAAGCAAGTGACTTCCTGTGTATGCAGGGAGATGTGACCAAAGTCACAGCAGAGATGTGCACAGACATCTGTGGTTGTTTGGAAAAAGGAGGACATTAAGTCATATCCAGGGTTGCAGGAAGGGTTTCCTGATCTGAGATTTGCAGCCTGTTGTTTTTGATGTCTAGGAAATTGTCAGATTAAATAATGGACTTCACGTCCGTCTAACCTTCAGGTAATTCTGGAGCACAGCTATAGACCAGCTTTTAGAATTTTTAGCGAATTTGGCTCCTATCTCCTTTTTCATGCTTTGCGCTGATGCTGTGTATTATTTGCTTTTCTTTTGTGGCAGACAATAAAATAAGAGGATCAAAAAAGCTAAAGGAATTCCTTTTTCATATTCATGTTCAAATTGCCAGATCATTAAGTTTCAGTTGCGTGTGAGTTGAGTACTGGAATTACATCTAATTGCTTTTTATTTGAATTCAAGCTTCAGTAATAGTTGTAGCTAATGACGCTATAACCGCAACATAAAGGTAAATACTTACGAAGCCTGGGAGCCACTGGCTAGAACATCACTCAGGTTCTTATCCCTCCTAATGGAATTCATAAGATCAATTAAGCCAAGAAGCCCTCATCTGTTGACTGTGCCTACCGACTAGGAAGACAGATACTGAGGACACTTAACAGGCAAAGAAGGATGAAAATCCAACCACTCCATTAATTATGCCTAGGATCAGAGTGAACCTTGTTATGACGCTTTCAGATGCCATGTTCAACACTTTGGTCACCAGGCAGGAAGAAGGTTGGGAGGCTGCCACTCCAATGACTGATACTTTTGTGTCCCTTCCAAGAGATGACTGAATTTGAGACAGGAGGGGTGGGCAAGAATTTACCTCAGTTTCAGTATCTGGCCAAAATCTACTGTTACACTGTAGCTATTTAGACTTAGCTTTTGGAAGGTTAAATAGTCAGATATACAAACATCCAAATCAATGCCAGTGCTGGCATCCCTGAACATGCATGTGACAAATGATCATTTGATCTTGCATGTCCCCTTCATATCTAATCAGGGTATCAATGTGAGCAGCACAAACAGGGAGTGTCATCAGAGTTTACTGTTTGTAACCAAGTATGCAATCTAAAATTCTTATACGCAATATAGGGGTAAACAGTGACAATCTCTTTATGTGCTTTCTATGTTGAAATTCTATCAGTCAGGTGAAGTGTAAGTGAATATTTAATATTGCAAGAAGAAAATGCTGCAATAATAAATTTATTATGAAAGCTGTTAGTTTTATGTACAAAAAAATTATGAGGAATTATTTACTACCTAGGAGAGTAAATTGTCAGTTAAAGGAAATATTAAGTCAGAGCGTGTCTGGAATATAACCTTAGGAAAAATACCACATAATTATTCTGCCAACGAATATTTATAAAATTTTAAATAATATAAAGCAGAATAACAGAGTTGAGATTAAATAAGTCAGGTCTTCATAGAATTATTTTACATACTGACACTCAAAACATTAGACAAAATAACTTTGAAGAACTATATTTAATTTTCAGTTATTTAATTCCATTTAGACAATGAGATTTTCAAGGAAAAAAAAATGCTAAATTGGAACTCTTCACATCTTGTTATGAAGAACTGAAAGTTAAATGTTAAATCTGCCCTCAAAAAGTTCCATGAGGAATAAATACTCCAAAAATAATATCATGAGAAATCATCTTTGATCCAATCACAATAGAGAATTCCTCATATCCCTCTTCCCTGCTTTATTCTTCTCTCTAGCACTTAAAACTATTTATATGCTATATATTTAATTTATAGTCTTGTTTATTGTCTATATCCCTAAGACCCAGAATATAAACTCCATAAAGGCAGAGACTTCTATCTTCTGTTCACTGTTGTATCCCCATTTCCTGAAATGCTGACTGAGACATTATAAAGGTGCTTAATAAATATTTATTGAAAACCTAGATGCTCATCAACAGTGGATTGGATAAACAAAATGTGGCATATATATGGATGGAATATTATGCAGCCATAAAAAGGAGGAAATCATGTCCTTTGCAACATGGATGCAGCTGGAGGCCATTATCCCAGGTGAGTTAATGGATGAACAGAAAACAAATACTGCATGTTCTCACTTATAAGTGGAAGCTAAACACTGGGTACACAGGGACATAAAGATGAGAACAATACACATTGGGGAGCACTAGCAGCGGGAGAAAGAATGGGAGAAAAGAACTGAAAAACGACCTATTGGGTACTATGCTCACTACCTGAATAATTGAATCATTTGTACCCCAAACCTCAGCATCGCACAATATATCCAAACCTGCACATGTACCCTCTGAATCTAAAAGCCATAATTAAAATAAATGAATAAATCTGAATGAATGAATAAATAACAAATAGGAAGAAAAAAGACAGTGTTAGAGAAAGCAGAGAATTGCAATGTGCATTTTGCTTCCACAATCAAAATTCAAATTGAAGAAGTCAATTCCTTATAGTTTTCTTCTGTGTTGTCTGTTTCGAGACTAAGAAACAAACACTTGTCAAAATAATTGCTTTAGACTGACAAACATTTTCAGTAGTAGAAGATCCAGGATTTGGGGTATTTGCTGAGCAGCGAATCCCATTTCCTGCCACTGTATGCTAAATGTTAGTCTGGTTAAAGTAGGCATGTCTGTAGGACTGCAGACACGCAGCACAGAGACTACAGGAATAATCCACCAGTGGATGGTGCTGAGAAATTATTTTTCCTTCACTATATTGTCAAACATCCAAATGTTGACTTTGAAAATGTTTGGTAAGGTTTCAAATTTAATCTTGTCTCCCCAAAGTTCTTCCTATTCTAATGATATCTGACTTGTCAATTATTGATTTTAACATTTGGCTTTCAGCCAAAATGTGTATCTAATGCATTTCCTGCAGACAGCTAAATCAATAGTCCTTATTGTAAAGTGTCCTGAGCTGAGTTCCTAAAATTTCTTTTAGACTACAATATTGTTGACTCCTTGGGTTAATGTCACAGAGCCTGATTCATGACTGAAAATGTTCCCAAGCCTCTATTAGAGGACGGTTTTGAAATTGAGGTAAAAGATATAAATCACTTAGCACATTATATAGCCTCAGTAAGTAATTTCATTCTCCTTCTTAATAGTTAGAGACAATACAACTTTGTTTGCTTCACACAATATCAGTTTATAAATTTTTTCTGGCCATAATTTTTAATAGTTACTCCTTCTATTCTCAAACATGTCCCTTTCTGAATAATAAGTTGTACGTTCACCATATAAAGAGTAGAAGCTGAAAAGTTAAGCATCTAACAAAAGGGGGCTTTTCTTTAAGTGAAGAACCTAGTAGCCTACATAGAAATCAGAGAAGTTTCTTATTCTAAAAACTAAGCGGCAGATTTCACATGAAAGTAGAGTTTGGGCCAGCATATGCTAATTTTTTCCCCTGACTTAAAGAAATCTGTCTGAAATAATCAATTTTGAAGCAGGTATTTTTTTTTTTAAGGGTCACTGCTGGCTGATGGCCCAGACATATTTTCTATATGATCTAGAACAAGAAGTGGCAGAAGCTGCTCTGAAGAATTTCAGTGAATGTTTATTTTCAGTCTCCCTGTTTATACCTACTAGTCTATGTAGCTAGAAAGATTCTAATATTGTGTTTTGAGAATCAAGCAGCAGGGTCTTGCTCATGGAGGGGGAATGGAGGCAAGTGGTGATAATACTGCCTCTGGGGCAAAGACAATACCTTTGCCCCAGGTATTGGGGCAACTGTATTGGTTCCCTGCAGTAGGTAACATCATTGACCTAATAGGCCGAAATACACACTCCATATAGAGCAGAGATTTGTATTCATCTTATTTTTCTATCAAAATCTCTTAAATTGTATGAAGGAGAAGTACTTTCATTAGATTATTGCTTCAAAATAATGTTTTCTACAGATATAATAAAAAGTCTTTTCAAAGATTAATCTTCTGGATAATTTGCCAGAACTACAAACACAGAGAAAAACAACTCTTATCCACTACTTAAGCCAGAAAGTAATCTTGTATTTAGCAGTATTTTATTTTTCACATTTGAAATGACTGCATGATAAAGGAAATGTGTTCCAAAGAAAGGCAGATTAGTGCCATGTGTAATTTGTGTTTCTCTAGTAAGGGCAGAGAAAATTGAAAGAAGGAACTTTTGAAATATAAATATTTTAAGGAGGATTTGTTTTTTCTAATACATATTTGTTTTATAATTTATTGAACAAGTACACAAAATTATGTGGATTAAAGAATATCAATGTTTCTAGGAAGGATTTCAATGAATACTTATTTTCAGTCTTCCTACTCAGGCTTACTGATCTATACAGCTAGAAAGATTCTAGTATTATCTTTTGAGAACCACTTATTTGTTATTTTAGTAGCTGGAAGTGACTGGACCCATTCAGACCTCACTCATTCAGTCAATCAACAAACATTTGCTGAGCAACTTCTATGTGCCTAGTGCTGTTCTAGGCACTGAGGATAAGGCAGTGAATAAACCAGGGGCAGAGGTAGGGGGGACACCTTGCCTTCTAATTCTAATGGAGAAATCAGGAAAACAAAATAAATAATTTACTTGGGTGAATTGGGAAAGATGCAATTTTTAACAGGGTGGCTAAGTCAGTCCTCACCGGGTGATATTTGAGTAAAGACCTGAAGGAGGTGAAGAAGAAAGCCATGTGAATATCTGAAAGAAGAGTATAGTGGAGTCAAAACTCTCTGTCTCCTCGTAGGGTCCTGGCTGGGTCTGAGAATTAAATTGATACATGATAGATTAACAGGAGAAAAGTTTTAAAATTTATTTAATGTAAGTTTTACAGGATATGGGAGCCCTCATAAGAAAAGTAGGACTCAAAGACATGGCAAAACCTACATGCAGGCCAGGCACTGTGGTTCACACCTGTAATCCCAGCACTTTAGGAAGCCAAGGCGGGAAGACAGCTTGAGCCCAGGAGTTTGAGACCAGCCTGGGCAACATGGTGAAACCCTGTTTCTACAAAAAAAATTTTTAATTAGCCTGATGTGGCGATGCATGCCTGTGGTTCCAGCTACTTGGGAAGCTGTTTGGAGGATTGCTTGAGCCCAGGAGTTCAAGGTTGCAGTAAGCCATGATCACACTACTGCACTCCAGCCTGGGCAACAAAGTGAGACCCTGTTTCAGAACCAACCAACAAAAAGAACCTACTTGATTTTGTATAAGGCTGAACAAAGAGACCCATTTGTGGAAAAGTAACTAAACTATGGCAAGGCTAAAGGAAGACGATTTATTTTAACAAAGTCTGCTTGTACAGAATTCTCTTGGCTATGACTCCCCATCAAAGAATGTTTCTTTCTTCCTAGCATATGGAGGGCAGCTTTCACCTGGGAGTTTTTAATCTCCTGCCTTCAGGAAGAAAAAGGGAAGATAAGAATGTCCTTCTCACATCTGCTGTTCTTCAAGTGTCTTTAGCTTGAAGTCATCCCCGTGTGATAGTGGTCTGTTTTGGGGGGCATAATCTGCTGTCCTTCAAAATCATTCCAGATAGATCAAAGAACAAGTGCAGAGGCCTTAAAGAGGAGCATGCCTGGTATGCTGAAAGGCCATCAAGGAAACCAGCGAATCTAGAATAAAGTGAGCATGGGACGGACTGGTGTATTGGGGGAGAGGCTCACACAGGGTTGGGTGCATGCGGCACTTACTCTAAGTGAAAAGGAGAAGAATCTGCCCTCCCTTACAGATCCTCAAGAATAAATCCAACTCCAAAAGCACAGCAAGACATTTGAATTTGACTAGAAGTTGCAATGGAGGGTGTGGGGCCACTGCACAACAGAAACTTCACAAAATCTTCCAGTGGATGCCTGTTTCTCTCCTGGACATATTTCTAACATTTTCTCTAACCAGCCCCGTCAAGCCCACCCTCTCTCACTCTTGTCTCTGTCCTATCCACAGCAAAGTATCCCTCTATTAGACTCTTCAATTTTGATTCCCCTCATAATCATTTAACACCATGCTCAGATATGAGAAAACCCACCCAAGAAAATATTTCTGTTATACATGAATTCGTATCTTTATGAATAAAATTCTGTTCGTCTGTTAATGGCATCACAGAAAAACAGGGAAGTGGGTATCTATCACATCTGGAGAGTGTGTTTCAGTGGTCTGAAGTTTAAAACATATGTTTGGAGAGATGCAATGAATTCACTTCTGGAGGCTTGAGCAGGAGCATAGGGGTGGGCAGGTCCATCCACTCAGAGAGAGGCAGTAGTTGGGCAGTCATCGTAAGAACAGCTGAAAATACGGTCCAGATCACAAGTACCAGTCACCACATGAACACCTATACTCCACTGGGCTTTTAGACATGTGCGCAAGTAGCAGATGCTCCAAACTGCAGGCAGTGACTTATAATTGAACCATTTCTCGAATATACGTGTTTACACAGCAGGGTGGGATGCAGCGGGGATGTCTTTATCCAATCATGGCCCACGGTGCTCCTGAATAGCACTGGGGAGGCCAGACATTATATAATAGATATAAGAACTCCATTCAGAAACACTTTTTCTTTCTTGTTGTAATGACACCTAGATCTGAGATTATGTCTGTGAAAGATGGGGAGAAGTTTGTGAAAGGCAAAGCAAATTAAAGGAAGAGAAAAAAGATACAGAAACAGCATTATAAATTTCTGAATTATACAGATTTTTTAAGTCAGGGAACTGAACCAGCAAACATTAAGATGATAAGGGAAGTGACATATTTCAGAGGGTAAGACCCTGGAGTCAGCTCCATGGACTCATCCCAGCTGCACTGCCTACTAGATACAGGACTGGACAGTAGCGTCTGTCCTGAAATTTTTCCAGATCCTAATTGTCTCTTTCATGATTCATGGCATACACTTCTGGTATTTCTGTGGGTAAGATTCAAAATTATTTTCTGAGAAAAACTTTGGCTTTGTGCTATGAACCATTTTCACAGAATGGAATTCCGTGTAAACACAAGTCAAAGATTCCCAACTTTCTTTACAGAGTATTAACTGTGCCACCTGCTTGTCTAAAACATATGGGTCTCTCTTTACTCAGCACAGAATATCAGCATTTCAGGTTGTCAACAACCTTTAACTGACTGTCATCCACTTTCCATTAAGGAACATGCTAGCTGAATCTTATTCTGGGAGCTAGAATCTTTATATTTGTGAAATTATGAAATATAAATTTGCTCTTTGACCCCGTTTCCTGGCATACAAGTCTTAAAATCCTCGGAAACTCAAAAATGATGTCTTTTTGTATGCTAATGAGTTGACTGGTGGCTAGAGACCCCTAGGTAGATTCAGGATGGGGGCTGATCATTTAAAAGGCCAAAGCGGGATTACAGGATTAGAACTTTAAGCTGCATTCCCCAAACTGTGGGGAGGAAAGGGTGGCTGAAGTTTAAGTTGATCACCAGTGGCTAATGGTTTAATCAATCATGCCTACATAATGGAGCCTCCATAAAAACCCAAATTGGCAGGATTTGAATAGCTTCTGTATAGCTGAACACCTGGAGGTTCCTGAAGGGTGATGTGCCTCATGAGGGCATGGAAATTCTGCACCCCTTCCTCCATATCTCACTGCATGCATCTCTTCATCTGCATCCTTCATAATATCCTGTATAATAAACAGTAAATGTGTTTCCCTGAGTTCTGTGAACTGCTCTAGCAAATTAATCGAACCCAAGGAGGAGGTTGTGGAATCCCCAATTTATAGCCAGTCAGTCAGATGCACTGGTAAAACAACCTGGGGCTTGTCACTGGCATCTAAAGTCGGGGGCAGTCTCAGGGACTAAACCCTCATCCTGTGGGATATGACTCTATCTCTAGGTAGACAGTGTTGAAATTGAATTGGAAGACACCCAGCTGGGTCCACCACAGAATCAATTGCTTTCTTATTGGTAGGGAGAAATCCCCACACATTTGGTCACAGAAGTCTGTGTTGATTGTTGTTGAGTGGAGTTTGTGCATGGTTTTTTCCTACTCTCAATATTCTTTCTCTATATCAAGTCAAATCATGAGGAAGTAAGCTATTTATATCACATAAAGGTAATTCTTTTTAAACATCAGCCCTATAAATGATCATAGACATAAACAAAGCTATTTTCTACTTCCAGTGGGTCAACTCAGCTCCACACCAACATATTGTGAAAACAGTCAGGCAGGCACTGCCACCTCATCCACCCATTATCCCTCAACTTGTTGCTGTGTTCACTGCATTTGTACTTAATATTGTTTTGTGAATATCACTGGCCATCTTGATAGAAAAGTGCAAAGGTATTGAGAGACTTGAAAGCAACAGTTAAGGAGAAGCATAGGCTTAGAAACAAAAACAAAAGTAGAGATTTTTTTTTAAACTTGGAAGCATTGAGAAAATAAAGGATATTACAAATGTAGACGGAATGAATCATTTGACAAGGAGTGAATAAAGAAGCGACAACTGGCAAAAGGGAAGGAAAATGAGAAACGAAATGGAGTTTTTTTTTCAGTTTGCTGAGAAGATAATGAGGTAAATGTAATGGGATAAATACTTGTAGACAAACTTGTCATAATTTAGAATCTGAAGGTATATTAGATTAAATAATAGATATTTCATTATTTGGGTATTTTCCAATAAAAATATATTGTAGGAAAACATTCTTTCTAAAAAAAGTGTCCTTTTTAAAGAGGTGAACAATTTTTGTCTAATTCAAAGCTTATTTAACTGTTGTATATAAAACAAGGTAAAAAGAACCAGGAAATAAGACAGATGTAAAGAAAGTTATAGAAATAAAGAGGTATTTTCTGGTAAGAAAGCTTAAAGAGAAATCATTTTATATGAGAAGGAATCTTATATAGTAAATTTAGTCTTAGAATAAAAGGTCTGGTTGTTTATGAAAGAGGGATGTTCAGGACAAACCAGAAAGTCCAAGCATGTCATGAATAGTCTGTGTAAGTCCAATAAGAGGCTGTATTAAAAAATGTATAGAGTATAAATCCAATAAGATGATTTATTAAAAAAATTTTTATATGATCAAGTTGTCTATAATTAAAGGGAAATTATAATGGTCTTTCTAGAGATTGGGTTTGATGTAAAAGAACACTAATACACTAAAAAATTGATTAGAACAATAAAATTTTCTTAAGGGATTGACTTACTCTTAACAAATTATAGGAGATTTTAATTTTTTTAACCCAAAGTTCAACTTTTATTGCATCTGGCCATTTTCAGTTTTCTCTCCCCTTTTAAAAGCCACAAAATACTGACACTCTCCTTCAACTCATTTTCAGCTCATATAAGGTTTTTCCCCTCAAGTTCTGTTTGTTGTGGCCTGATGCTAACAATGTTTTCTTAAAGGTCTGAAGGAAATGATTTCTTCCAACATAATATATTCTGTGCACTACAGAAAGTCTTTTCTTTTGCCTTTTGGTAACAGGCCTAACAGATTTTACATTTTATCAAAATTATTCCTATGCCATTATTATTAAGTTTTGGTTTGCTTAGAAATAAAACTAAGATTTAAAAGAATTATTTTTTAATTAAGGTTATTACATCTGTGTATCTTTATGTGCTTTTAAAGTCCTCGTGAAATTGAGTTACAGGGCTTTGACTCCTGGGTCTAAAAAGGACACCAAGTCCTGCTAAATCTTAAAAACTGAAAGCAATTAAAGCCTCATCTCCAGGCCCACTATAAAATGCCAATCCAAAATAAACTGCATTCCTGAGACACAAGGCCAGAAATTAAAGCTATTCAACTCCTCAAGGTCCAGGGACTATTGCAGAAGAGGTGGGTATGTGAGATTGTAAGGCCAATATTGAGAGATGAAATAAGTTCAATTCCTCAGTAAATTAACCATTAACGTCAAAGGCACACTAATGCAAGACCAACATATGGGCCCCTGTATCAGATTAGCAAGGTTTTCTTGAAGCATTAACTGACTCTTTAATAAAACTTAGAAAGGTTATAAAAGGCTTATTGAAGTTATATCTCATGGTCAAGATTACAATTTTATAGATTGTTTATAAAATTTTGAAAAACAAGTTTCATTGGCTTCGTGCTGTTTTTATTAGGGCTTATTGTTTGGAAAACTAAGTCTCCTCTCTCGAAGACTGAAGGTTTTTGCCTTTTGTTGAAATCCTTGAGTTATCATTTTGTTTAAGTGAATGACTTATTTTACAATGACTTGTGATCCAATTTTGTGATAGCAAATGTCTTAACCTTTGATATTTGACAAACTTCTCAAAATCAAATTATAAATTTTGTATTTTTCTGACTTAATTAATCCTTTAAGATGTTAGGCTTCCTAAAGTCCAAAGTTGACATATTTGACGTATTTGGTATAAAAATTATATAGGAAGCATCGTCAAATCTGAAATGGTGTTTGGTTTTCTTTGGGTTGTATTTGTATAAATATGTTATTGGTATGTGTTCCAAAATTATGAGACACTCCTATCATTCTGATATGACTTAGTGTACATTTTCAGTAATAATTATAATTGTTATAATAAATTATTGTGTGCCACAGAGGTAATAAATTTCTTTGTCAATTGTGTCTTTGACTATGGCTGCCCTAAAACTTTTTGTCATCCATGGACAATTATTGTCTTGTTTTGATCCTCCTTAGAAGGTGGTTTTATAATCAGCTGTAAAACTCTAACAAGTGCTCTTGAATGAAGGTGTCTGATAACTCTGGAGATTGTGACATCAGAATAGTGGTAAAACTTTCAGGACCCATGGAGAGCTGAAATGTTTATGAATATCAAGCAGAATAGGTATTAACTGCACAGACTAAACTAATAGAAGACTGGAGTAATATTTTTGACTTTTTGCTTAAAATGTTGCTGATCCTTTGTTTTGTTTTTCAGAGTAAAGGAAACTTTTTTTTTGAGCTATTGACAGCTTTTAACAATTAAGTATACTCCTATAAATAAAATTTGGAGCATATTTATTTCTCTCCACCTGATTTCTCCAGAATTCAGAAACTATTTGTGAATATTCTTAACTTATGGCAATATAGTTATTTGCATAAGTTCAATAAGAATATGTTTTCATTTGTAACAGGACACAGTTGGAGAAACTGATTATTTTACCACGGCTTTGACTGGCATGGTGTGCTTTCCTTTAAGGAATCGAAGTTGGCTTAGAAAGCCAATAAAAGCCTTTTGGGAAAGCTGGCCTCATACCTTGTCTATGCAGTTCCTGTACAGGGTTCCTGACCTGTGTTAAGTAAAGAATGTCACTTTCTGGCAGGCTCAGGAGCCCCAGCCTTTTAATACCTTGGAACCTCAAGAAGAGAGTAATTCATCCAACTCATAGGTATTTGATGGTACAAATCCATGGCTGGGCTCAGCTTTAAAAAAATCTTATCTGAGATTCCTTTTATGGAACAAAGTTCCATCAAAGCCAATATAAAAAGCCTATGTGAAAGATAATTATTCTTGCTGTACTTTATACAAATAATCTGGGCAATATAATAAAGCAAATCAGTCCTACCATGATTTGTCTTTAGTAAAAATAGGAAACTGGAGACAGAAAAATTATGTTTCAAAAACTATAGTACATCTGATGTTAGATTCCAGTTTTGCCTAAGGTTTTTCAATTTTTATTATTTTCTAAGTTTAGACTGAATTCTAATTTTTCCTGGCTGCAAGTATCCAAAAATGATGTTTTCGATTTTTTTCTTTCTTTTCCTTTTTCCCCCCAATTTTCCTAATTTGAAATCACTAAAAACTAACCTTTGCTTTCTTAAAGCCCTGCTAACTGAATTTAGACAACTTAAATAAACTTCAGAAGAAAATAACAGCAACCTATTTACACACATAAGCCACTTTCATACCTGCCTACTGATGTATGGACTTCAGAGTAATGTGGCCTATACCAATTTTCCAGGATTGTTCTTTTGTTATTGTTTTTCTCCCTTCCTCCCCTATTTTCTCTTCATAGAGCATGAGACTTCTCAACCTGCTAAAAATGAGCTTTCCTAATAACTCGGGACCTACCTATATAGGAATAAACCATCCCAGACATGAGAGATCAGATAAAACCTGAGACCAAAGGCTAATTTTCTTGTAAAATGTTTTCTCCAAAAATTTTAGAAAAGAAAAGGGGGAAAATGTCAAAGGAAAATAAATCCTGGGGCCCTAAAAATTACTAAGCTAAAGGGAAAAGTCAAGCTGGGAACTGCTTAGGGCAAAGCTGCCTCCCATTCTATTCAAAGTCATCCCTCCCCTCACTGAGATAAATGCATGTCTGATTGACACCCTTGGAAAGGCTAATCAGAACTCAAAAAGGGTGCAACCATTTGTCTCTCACCTACCTGTGACCTGAAGCCCCCTCCCTGCTTGAGCTGTCCCACCTTTCTTGATGGAACCAATGTACATCTTACATATATCAATGGATGTCTTATGTCTCCCTAAAATGTGTATAAAACCAAGCTGTGCCCCAACCACCTTGGGCACATGTTGTCAGGAATTCCTGAGGCTGTGTCATGGACACACGTGCTCAACTTTGACAAAATAAACTTTCTGAATTAAATGAAACCTGTCTCAGATATTCAGGGTTCACATTTTGGTAACCACAAAGAGATTCTAAGTGGAGGTGCCTCTGACCTTTGCCAAATCTTCTGTTGGTGCTTGGTACCAGCTAGAGGTAGCTTTAAGGCTCAGGCCATTAGGACAATTTGCTGAAGCCTGAAAGAGCCCCCTCCA
Organism: Homo sapiens; assembly: GCF_000001405.40. NCBI lineage: Eukaryota > Metazoa > Chordata > Mammalia > Primates > Hominidae > Homo > Homo sapiens. Next base: position 22,303,260 of record NC_000012.12, read on the forward strand.
GAGAATCCCTGATCTCCCAAAATTAGGTCAAGATCTAAAGTTTATATTGCCATACAACTCCTTTTTTTTTTTGGAATTTGGCTTGCTTCCCACACAGGGAAAGCAGGTTTCCTGCTTCCTTGGCAATGGAAGGCAGAGGTAACTATTTTATGATGTCTGAACTCTCTTCCAACAGGGAAGATGAATTTGAGATTTTTCCTGCTTCTAGGATGGTAGAGAGCAGTCTTCAGCCTGAGACCCATTCCTAGGTAAGTAACTGAATCGGGGTTTGTTTTTGGCTAAAGTTAAGATTAACAACCAGCTGGTTTTAATTGCTCCTTATCATTAGAATGCTCAATAGTTGTATAAGTTGTTTTGCTTAACTGTTTGTTTTGTTTTGCTTAACTGTTTTTTGTTTGTTTTGCTTAACTTTTTTTGTTGTTGTTGTTTTTGTTGTTTGTTTCTGTTTTTGTGGTTGTTTCCGTCTTTTTCCCATTGGGTTTGATCAACTCCATCCGACTTAATCAAATTAGAAGGAAAGTTCCAAATTATGGGAAAAGGCCTCTGAAGTGGCTAAATCCGCCCCGCCACCACCACCACCACCCTGCCACACACACACACACACACACACACACACACACACACACACAAAAGTGGTGTGGTACAGGGAGAAAAACGAACAGCAAAAAACAGAAAAGACTTTCATTTTTGACTACTTAAAAGGCTTTATTTACATAACAAGGCCACCTTTTTGCTAGTCAGGCCAACCAAAAGAGCAATGGCTGTCGTCTCACGCTGCTGTTCCATAGCTAAGGGTTCTGCCATCTTTTTTTCCACCACAATAGCCTGGGTTTGTTTCCTAAATCAAGCCCTTTCTGGTTTGATACTTGGTACTTCTAAAATAACAGCAATTTGTTCCAGCTGAACTACGGTCATAAGATTTAAAAAGATTTTTTTTAAGGAGCTCAGTGGTTAAAAGTCAGCTTAATTACAAGCTAACATCCAAAAATGTATGCATGTGTGTCTATGTGTTTGTATTTAAAAGGCCTTCATGTTGGCATTTTTTTTCTCCTAGGACCTTGTCTTTTTCTTTTTCTTTTTTTTTTTTTTTTTTTTTGAGCAAAAGTTTTTTTCTTCTCAGTTGACTGAATTCTGTTTTCTTCATTTACTTCTTCTGTCTCTTCTTTCTCTTGCACCCTCTGCTGAATGAGGAACCTAAAATAGTTTATAACAGCCTTAAAGAAAACAGAGAAAGTGCCAGACTCCCTTTGGGGGAGAAACCGGTTTTTCCTTATGGAATCCCAAGAGCATAAACAGACCAGTTCATCTCAACTCTTAAACTATTTGCTTTTGTATTTTGTTATCTGATTTATTGACTAAAATAATTATTGCAACAGAGGCTACTCTCAGGTTTTTAGGGAGAGTGTAGTTTAGACACTCAGAAAAGTCTTTGTTTAAAAAAACCTTTTTTAAAGTGCACTGTAAAAGCATCACATGGTCTAGCCTCATAATAATTCTCCTTTTTTGGAGACCCAGGATTCAATGTGGGCTCTGCCCAGAGCTCAGATCCAGTTAAAAGACAAGTAGTCCCTATCTAAATAAAACTGGTCTCCTCTTACAGTCCTATGGTAGATTTGTATAATTTTGTGCTTGACATCCATCTTTAATCTCTCTCCAGCTCTACCAGACTTTTTCTTTCAGTACCTTGAGATGTAAATTTTGCTATCTGATTTTTCACTAAGAGTTGTTTCCTTCAATATGCAGATTTAGGGCTATTTAGCTGACAACTGCCAGAGTGATGAAACAGATTATCAAGAGTTTGCAAGTCTAAGATAGGAAAAACACAAAAGAAGAGGTCTTAGGAATCTATAAATGTACTTCTATCGGTATGCCTAATATATCTCTTTATTTATGTGCTGTGTACACAATGTTTCACTGCTAAAAATATATAAAAGAGCTCTAATGAATGGGCTTAAAGAAAAATAAAAGTGCTTAAATCAAACATTTTATCAGAAAAAAGGATAGACTAGTCAAATGCTTTTTCAAGTGTACATGACTTAAGTAGAATCTTTAATAAATAAGCTAGCTTTAAAATTACAGGTACGGTAATATTAGAATTGTCTTAAGAATTTCCAGCATACTTTTTTTTTTTTTTTTTTTGAGATGGAGTTTTGCTCTGTCTCCCAGGCTGGAGTGCAATGGCGTGCTCTCAGCTCACTGTAACCTCCACTTCCCGGCTTCAAGCTATTCTCCTGCCTCAGCCTCCCAAGTAGCTGGGATCACAGGCGCCCACTACTATGCCCAGATAATTTTTGTATTTTTAGTAGAGACAGGGTTTCACCATGTTGGTCAGGCTGTCCTCGAACTCCTGACCTCAGGTGACCCACCTGCCTCGGCCTCCCAAAGTGCTGGGATTACAGGCATGAGCCACCATGCCCAGCCTAGCATACATTTTTGTTTGCATTTATTGACCAAGCAATCTCATACTTATCCCTGGCAAATTCTATAAGGTGTCAAAATTTGGCATTGGGGTTACCTAACTATAAACCCAGCCCAAAACAGAATGATCTTTGCTTGGGTAATTTTTAATAAATAAGACATTAATATTGGTTTAATGAAAATAGCTACATCTTGAATTATTTAGTAAAATTACCATAACTTCTAATCTTGTGGTTTTGGGCAGTCTAGTCCACAGGCAGTAAGAAGGTTTGTTTTGGGAAAGGACTATCATCATCTTTGTTTCAAAACTAAACTATAAACTAAGTTCCTCCGAAAGTCCAGGAATGAACAAAGACAGCTTGGAGGTTAGAAGCAAGATGGAATCAGTTAGGTCATATCTTTTTCACTGTCTTTCACCTACCTGTGACCTGGAAGCCCCTTCCCTGCTTGAGTTCTCCTGCCTTTCTGGATGGAACCAATTTACATCTTACATATGTTGATTGATGTCTTATGTCTCCCTAAAATGTATAAAACCAAGCTGTGCTCTGACCACCTTGGGCACATGTCGTCAGGACCTCCTGAGGCTGTGTCATGGGCACGTCCTCAATCTTGGCAAAATCAACTTTCTAAGTTAACTGAGACCTGTCTCACATATTCAGGGTTCACACCTTATTCTTTCTTTCTTTTTTTTAGTATGCCCTCATTTTGGAATAGCTTACAATCTATTTCTTTCTTGAGAAAGGGTACAAGCAAAGTACAATTTTTGAGGCTTTGGATGTTGAAACCACTTCCTAGTTTGGCTGGGTAACAAAATTCCAGAATGTTTAGAAATAATTTCCCTTAGATTTTGAAGCCATTATTCATTGTTTTCTGACTTTCAGTGTTTCTATTCAGTAATCTGACATCATTCTTAGAAGTAACCATTTTATTATAATGATTTTTCTTCTTTAAATGTTTGTAAGATGTTAACTTAAGGATTCTGAAATGTCACTAATATGCCTTGGATATGTCTTTTTATATTCATTGTGCTGGACACTTGGTGTTCCCTTGCAACCAGAAAACAGGTCCTTCAGCTCTGGAAACAGCCTTTTATTGTTTCTTTAATAACTTCTGCCCTCTCTTTTATATTTCTCTCCCTGGAACTCCTATTATCCATACTTCTCACATTTTTATCACTTTTTTTCCTTTCTGTCCTTTCAGGAGTGATTTCCTAAACATTATTTTGCTAATCCATTTGTTGATGTTTTAATTTCTACTATCACATTTTTTAAGAACAAAAAGTCTTTCTTGGCTTCAAAGGGTTCTATTTGCACAGATTCCTACCCTTTGTGAAAGCAGTATATTTTCTTTGGAAGGATCATAACTATATCATTTGTTCTGTATTCTTCTGCCTCCTGCTTGTCTGTTTTCTGTGTTTTTTCTAATGCTTTGTTTGGTCTCTGTTTTTTTATGTGAGAGGCTTTCTAGAAATATTTACTGATCCATAGCTGTCCATTTACATTTGAGAATGAGGCACTACACAGCTGACTGAAAGATCTTTATGCTTGGGTGGTAATTACCAAGCGCTGGGCTTCATCAGAGGTTGATCCACGGGGACTCAGCCATTTCACAAATGTCAGTCTCCACATAACAGCAGTCTTTTCTCTTGGCCTAGTCAATCTCCCCAGAAAGAAACCCTCCAATATCTTGGTATGGTTTAAGCCTAGTTGCTAACATTCTGCCAGCCGGGTGATAAGATGGTCTGAGGTCTCTCTCTTCAGGATACGACCTTTCCTGTCTTCAGCTAATGTCCCAAGTCCAGTGCCTCTCTGTTTCATCTCCAGTCTTCTAACAGATGGGAAAGGGCAACTCCTTGCACCTGTGGGTAGGGGGAGAGCAGACACACTTCCAGCCCATCTTCCTGGTTTTAGTGACATCAGCACTGAATTTGCAACAGAACTGACTTCCTTTTACTGCTTCCCGTGTTGTGAGTACTGAAGTTGTAGATTTCTGTACTCTCCTAATCAGATATCACTAGGCCATCTGTTTTTCACCTCCTAATATTTTGTTGATGTCTTTTGTCTGCTATTTTCTTCTCTTCCACTATCTTCATTCTTACAAGTTTATGCCTATTTACATTCTTCTCTTCTCATGTTATTAGTCTTTCAAGAGGGATCAGAAAATCATAAGCCAGGTGGTATTATCCTTTTCAAGCTTAACTTCTTTACTAATGAGTTTTCAATACAGTTTTCTGATTTTAAAACATACGTGTATAAAAAATTACTGAAGGGCTACCAAGAAAAAAAAATTTATTTTGAGATGAGAGGTCACAATATGTTGCCCAGGCTTGTCTCAAATTCCTGGGCTCAAGTGATACTCCCGCCTCAGCCTCCTGAGTAACTGGGACTACAGGCATGTGCCACCACACCCAGATTACCAAGTAAATTTTTGATGGTGGTTGCTTTAAAGAAATGGAAATAAAATATTAGGGCATGTGGGAAGTTATAATTTTCATCTTATATGTTTTTATAGTTTCTTAGTGTCATGAACATGTTTTATCATTTTAAATCTGCTTAACTTTTAAGAGCTATTAAAAATTTGAAAGTTATAGATGCTTGTTATAGAAAATCTAGAAGATATAAAAGATAACAAAGAAGAAATTAAAAGTTAAAAAAGAACATAACCATACAAAGAAAAATACTATTAACAGTTTTCTCAGTGTGATCTTGACATTAGATTCTCAGCCTTTCTTCAAAATCGGTACACACTTACCTATCAATTATCTCTGCTCTCTGACATCTTCAAAATCTCCTTCTTAACTAGATCTTTAATTTTTGCCCATAAAAATACTTATTTCTCAACTAAATTAAAGAAAAATTCTTTCAAATATGACATCTCTTCAAGATATGATAAAATCTCTCTGATTTTGACAAACCAAATATCTCAAAATAATTACCGCCTCTATTTCTTCACCATCCTTATTACTTTCCTCCAGTCCATTACCTCTACTGAAACTGCCCTCTTAAAGGTCTTTAAAGATATCTGAATGATCAAATCAAATCAAATGGCCGTTCCTCATTACTCATCCTGATCGCTGAAGCATTTGACACAGTTGACCAAATTTCTCCTTCTTATAAGTCTCCCTTCCCTGATATCCACGGCAGTCTCACATCCTACATATCATCAACTCCTCTCTAAGTGCTTTTTCTCTCTCCCCTGATAAAACAGCACTTTTTCCTCCCATCACCTAAATATGATTGTCCCAAGGCTTACACCTTGATCCTCAGCATTTATTATTCTAATCATAATGAAGGATTGAGTCACAGCCACATTCCTTATATCCATCCCAAGAAAACTAATATCTCTAAAAGAGATACAAAAGAGAACAGACCTACGATGGACCATCAGGAGATGTCTAAAGTATTGTAAACTAAAAATGAAATCCTAAGCCCCCCAAGCAACTGAATGGACACTCTCCTGGCGAAGGGGACCCCAAGATAATCTTGAAAACTAAGTTCTTGGCCATGACGAGGGATAGGAAGTTGGACACACCTTGCTAGACCTCCTCCCTCGCTAACTACCATTAGCTTTTCTTCCCTAAAGACTAAAGAGAAACCGGCCCTTTCAAAGAACTCCACCACTGATGTCCAACATCCATCTGACGCTGCCCCTCCTTTTTGCCTGATGAGACACCACCGACTACAGAGTGGTTTTGGCCAGTCTATGGAGAATGCACAGTAAGGGTCTTTGTGTCCTCTGCTTCACCTTTTGACATCAGAGGGCCAAACACTCCACCCTCAGATCATGCTAACACCACTGCTTTTTGCACATGAGACCCAAGAAGGGGCATGAAGCTCAATTGTACATGTACATGTTTCTCCTTTCATTAATATTCATGAGTCTTTCTGTAGCTTATTGAATATGTAGATTTGGCCACTCTGCTCAGTATAAATTCTTGATCCCTTTGCCCCTCTCTCAAAGTATCTGTTTCTGGCTTCTGGTGGGAGGCTATGCTTCCAAACCTAGAAGAATGGCCACTTTCAGGCTGCAACACTTTATGAGAAATAAAGCTCTCCTTTCCAAATTTTTGAATCTCATCATTCTTTAGTTGGCAGTAGAAAGGTAGGTCTGGATCAGTGAAGAAAGGAGGGCCTACAGGAAAAAGAAGAAGAAATTTAAAAAATATATTTCGTTCTTACTATGCACAGATGCTATGCCATGTCCTTTCATATATATTACCTTCATTTCATTCTCAAAACAATCCTATGAATTAGGTACTTTTATTTATCTTTACAAGAGTTAAGCAGCTGCACAAAATGACACAGCTATGATCCAGGTTATAAAAGAAGGAAGCCAGACTGATGTGATGGAAAAAACAGAGGCTTGGAGATTACACAGCTTTGATGCTACCACTTACTGCTCTATGGCATCGGTCAAATACAACTCTCTGGTCTTCAGTTTTCTCATTTATAAAATAAGGACAAAATTAGCTGATTACAAATGAAAGGCTTATAAATAAGGTGTATAAAGTACCTAGTACATAGGAAGTGCCCATCAATAATTGTTATTCTGACTCTATGAATATGGGTTATTTTCATTAACAAAAGAATAAAACACTAGGAGAAGGAAGGCAAGAGAGTTTCAAAAAGAAGATCTGTTTCTTTCAAGGCATAGATCCAAGCCCAGCTGAAGCCCAGGTCTCTAGTGGCTGCACAACCTTGTGTCTATAAGGGGCCTGTCTGTGCTAAAGACAAAGTGGCAGGTTCCCCCTGTGACTGAGCAAGAGTCAGTGCAATAACTCGTCACAGTCATCTTGTGAGCTGGGAAAATGCTCAATACAGTAACTCGATTGCCTAGAGACCATATGTCCCCAAATGAGACAGCTCAGATCACCACTGAATCTTAAGAGAAGCTGCATCTATGCTTTCTGGATATGTTGTTTTGATTTCAAAAAATGTTTAAGGCAAATACAAGTGTGGTTTTTAAAAAAGAAACAATAACAACATAAAAGCAAAGCATATACGCCTCGGTGGATTTAGAAAAATCAGACTACAAAAAATGCTGACTTTTCTCTACACTCACTAGATAGCATGTCTTACAATATCGTACATTCCTTTTCCCATAAAAATAAATAAAAATATGATAAATCAACATGGCAACCCAAAATGAATTGACTAAAGAAAAACACAAGCTGAACAGAAGAGCTGAGACACGCATTATAGCCCCTGTAAGTGTTTCAGACAGCAGCTGCAGACTGTTCCCAGACACTCTGATAATGGAGAACATAATTAGTTTTCTTCAGCAAAGAAAAATAGAAGAACTGATGAGGTCAAAACCCATAAGTTAATTCAATTTAATGAATATTAGTGTTTGTTTCAATAAATCCCATGTGCTCAAAACTGCAGGTCACAGAAGACATGCAAAACACAAAGAACAGGCAGGGCATCCAGGTAATCACTCATTCATTCATTCACCTACTACTTATTATGCACTGAGTGTGTGTCAAAGACTACGTGCTAAACTTTGGGAATGAAGGTGAATAAGATGCAGTTTCTGTCCATAAGAATCTCATGGTCTTGTGGCAAGAGACAGCAGCAAATTATCCCAGCACATCTTATCAGTACTTGGAAGAGGACACACAGACTGCCACCTAGAGAGATAATTGGAAGGGTGGGTGGGGTGCAAGACAGCAGGTAGAGGGGGATAGAAGAATTTCTAAGGTCAAGGTGTAAACTGAGAATCGAAGGACTAGAAGGATTTATTCAGACAAGCAAAAGGCTAAGCAACATCATTCCCAAACACCACAGGCCAGTGCCAGTCCACAGCTATTTCTTCAATTGTCTCTGGCAAAATGAGGAAAATATAGGCAATGTGTGAGGTTTTCATAGTTTATTTTAATTAGTGGTCTTTATTCTGAGATGATGTCCTTTCTACTTTTTAAAATGTTAACATATAAAGGCTTCAATGAAATGGTGGTATTTTATAATTTCCTTATTGCTGTAATACAAAATCATCAACACTATTCATGTTTTTATTTATTTGGCAATTCTCTAGCCCATTAAATCCTAAATTTGGGAAACTGTGCATGATGCATCAACAGAATCACCAGTACTTGGCACGATCAATCAGCAGAGTACACACAGCAAGCAAATAAACAATAATAGTTTATGTAGGAGATTAATTGCATAAAGTAGGCAAGACCTCCATTGCAAAGGACTTTAAATGGCTGGCTAGGAAATTTAGGCTTCATCCCATAGTCAAAAAGGATGAAGGTGACTGTCAAAATTGAGGAATTAGTCAGTGGGCAAGTCCCCTACACTTTTTCTCTGGTGCTCCTTTCTAAAATGTTGATGCTGATAAGCACCCAACCTACCAGGCTTTGTGGGTACATAAACCACAACTGAGATGAGCTGATGATGTTCCCCATAAATTCTAGTGTGTTGCCCCAAAGGTAGAGGGTTAACATTAATAAAACCCTCCCTCTCCTCTAAATAAACGTATAAACTAACCAGCTGTTAAAATCTCCCCTCCTGGCTCTTTCTCCTGGATCACCTTTGGCCAGGATACTGCCTACCAGGGTCCTAGAATAGGACATGAAGTGAAGAAAACCAAAAGACACTTCTTAGGTTCTAATAAATGAATGGCACATCTTTCCCCAGACTTTGATTTTTATTTGTGATGGAGGACCACCTAGTAGCAATCTACTAAGTTAATTTTAAGAGTTATTAAAATTCAGTATTCAAACACCAGAACTGCCACATGTGAGAGTTTACCAAGGATTCTCATTCAACATTCTCCAAAGAAGCCTGGCTGCTGAGCAGCAGTTGGCAACAGAACAATGCTTCCTTTGTGCACAGACACATGCACGGTTTGGAAATTCCCACAATTGTCGGAAAAGACATGTTTTTTCAGTGCATCATTAGTGTTATGGGGACTTGGCTACGATTTTCAATTGCTATTGCTCTTGTTGGTAAATATAAATTAGTCATTGCTGGATTAAGCAAAAGCAGATTGTTTGTATTTGGTGTGGCAACCAAGTAGGGGCGTCACGGAAATGAAAAAAAAAAAAAAACAATAAATTTGTAAAAATAATTTGGTATTTAAATTCCTAAAAGCATTAAAGTGGTCCCGATGGACACAAGCAAAACTTTACTAAACTGAGTATACCATATTCTTTTCAATGCCGAAGTCTTCTAAAAGTTTTAATCAGAACTTTTAGTTAGCTTAGCAAAAAACTTTCATTTCTTGTGAATTACTGGTCTAACCCTTTGGTATACAGAGATGATAATTTACATTGATATTTTATGCCATAATTTTGGAATAACTTTTAAATTTGAGACATATCTGTAAAATTTACAGTTTAAATATGAATCATCTATAAATGCGCTGGTAGAGTCCGAGCTCATGGAGGCAGGCCATACCAAATGTGAATTCTGGCCCTATCTCCTACTACATATGAGACCTTGAGTATGTTCCATAGCCTCTCTAAGCCTTAGTTTTCGCAACTGCACAATAGAAATTAAATAGTACCTCCCTCATACATTAGTAGAGAGAACTAATAAAGCTCATACATATAAACCCCTTTGCATGGAAACTGTCACATTTCTCAACCACTTAGGCATTAGCAGCAGTAGTATTATTTAAGTTCATTTTTTTTCAACAACAGTAAAAACAGGTAAGATAAAAGGGCAAGAAAGCTCAGCGCAGTCAAGCTACCAAATAAACACACTTGAGTTTTGCCAATGAAGGAAATAGGAAAGGAACAGAACAAATGTTGGAGGAGTTATCTCCACACAGAAACCATGAGGCATAGAAAATGGGATAATGGCCAAATACACTCAAAATGAGAAGCAAGAGGATTCTAGCCTGTGCCAAAGGGCCTGGATAAACATTTGTCCACAAATGTCACCTATTTCAGTGAATCTAGACAACTAAGCTGGATACCCTCGATGTTCAACAACAAAAAAGAATCACTGGAACGTATACTTAATTGCACTCATATTGATGAATTTATGCATAAAGCCAATTTACCAATTTTTACGCTAATGATTTTAACTTTCACACAGGTACTGCTATATCTGGAACATGCCAGGAATGTCTATGGAGCCATGAGCATGTGTTGCCAGCAGGAAGGTGCCCCAGGCCATATGGACTGACCAATCAGTGTCCAGATACCTGACACCAGCAGATATGTTCAACTTATGCCCTGGTATTTGCTCATAATGCAAATGTAGAAATTTTCATTCTTTAAAATGTCTATCTCTTTAAAAAATATTTTGGTTGCATTTGTTCCATGTAGGTGTGTCTATGTTTGGGTTTGTTGTAGGGTAAGGGGTGCATTTGGAATAAGCATTTTGTGGTCCTTAAAACCGTGAGTTGCTTTGTCTGAGGAGGGATAAAGGAGGCAATTAAGGATGTCAAGGAAGCTGTTTTCCCCATCCATCCAGACTCCTGCTAGCTTAATCCCACCACATGTACAAACAGCTGCTGCAAAATGGGACAGGACAGAGAAACTGACAACATGGCTACATGAAACCCTGCACTCTCCCCCTCCTTCCTCCATGCTCACTAGTACTACCCTTCACGGTATGTTTTTAGCCATCAAAGAACTCTCAAACATGATTATCCCACAAGGCCAAAATATGTTAACCCAGAGAGAAGAAAGCCAGCCAGTATGCCTCCTAACACAGTGTTTAACCTCCTCCTCAACGTATGCCATCATGGTGATAGCTTTAACTTTTCAGTCACCAGAGCATCTACTGGGAGGATCACTTGAAGACAATTCAGTGCATAACTGATAAAACCTACAGGAACACAACAAGAATCCTATCTAACAATTTAAAGAAAAATTTAAAGAAAAAAATGGAATAACTGGCTCAATTAGCAGAAGAAAACTCAGTTCTGGTCCACATTCCATGATATAGAGCAAGAGGACCCAAGTAGTGTCAAACCTGTCCAGTATTGAATTGTGTATCTTCCTTCTCTTCCACAAACTTTACAAAATCATTTCCTTATTCTGGAGGATTTTCTGTTGTGTCTGTTAGATCTGCCCATTCTATGCCATTCCCATTGTTTGTACTCTAGACTGGGCTCTCGGCATGACTGTTTCTTAACTCACATCCCTGGCTCCAGGCGTACTTCTCCCAGATTCATGCTCCTAATCACAGTTACCATGTTACTTACATACTCCAGAGCTGACGATAACTCTCAAACTCCAACTGAAGCTCATCCTAACCGCCCAAGGTTTTCTTTCATTTCTCCCACTCACATAATGCTGCTCAAACCAACCATTCAGCTAACTCTCAACCAAAAACCATTTCTCAGATTTTTCTCAGGCTCAGAATATGCATGACTGTTTCTCTGCCAATTCAAATCCCACTCACCCTCAAGATTAAGTTCAGCACTCCTCTCTGCTACCAAGTACCAGCATTTAATTGTCTGACCCACTAGTTACAATTACCTGGAGATCAGAGACTATGCCTTACACTTTCTTTATATTCTCCCTTGAAGCTGTCCTCATAGTAGAAACTCAATAATGACTCGTTGAATTTAAAAAAAAAAAGTGCTAAACAGAGTTGTAAATTCTATCACTTGCAAATAAGAAGCGTCTATTTCTGTCATTTTTCCTACTCCTTATTCATCCCCATCCCAACCACCCATCACAGACCTGTGCTTCACTGACAGAGGACTTGGTTTAGAGCAACCGTTCTTTCTCCCAGTAAGATTCATGCAGTAATCCCACTGCTAGAGAAAATATAGCAAAATTAACACGTACTGATTTTTAAAACCTAGAGAAGTTTCCTTTCTGAGCAGAACATCTATTTTTCCTCTTGCTTTCCATTTCCCCACAAGAATCTAAACTATTTTCCTTCTCTACCTCCCGTGCTCCCTCCTAAAATAATGACATTTCCAGAAACCAGATTCTTTTGATTTAAGCATCTCACAGTGAGCTGTGTTTCCTTTCAAACCGAGAACCTATAGTGAAGGGCAAGAGGAGAATATGCAGCAGCAAACCTTGAAGTAATGAGGGAACTAAACACCTCTGAACAATCCAGAAGAGATAAGAGTAGTTAGGGCAAGCAAATAAATTCACATTCACAAACCCCTTAATGTAAAAAAAAAAAAAAAAAAAATTCCCCTCACAGACAGGCAATGCTGTATGGTGAAATCATTGTTCTTAGAGTCAAAAGTCCATCGGGATAAACAGATAATGCCTGAGGGGCTTAAAACTTAGATGATGGGTTGATAGGTACAGCAAACCACTATGGCACACGTTTACCTGTGTAACAAACCTGCACATCCTGTACATGTAGCCCAGAACTTAAAATAAAATTAAATTAAATATTTAAAAAAGATAGAATTCTAAAAAAACTAAATACTCTGTTTAGGAAAATAAAATAAGAATTAAATATACAAGTAAATATTCTTAAACAAGAAGTTTCAGTTCTTAATAATAACATATAAATGAGTGAAATTCAAATAAAAAATCTCAACAAGAATCATTTGAACTTGCAAAACAATCTTAATTGTATCTGAGAGAAAAATATGACACAATAGCACAGAAAATTCTGACAAAGAAACAGTGATTGGCCCAGCATATATTAAAATGTACTATAAAGCTATGGTATGGCTTTAGAAAAGAACAAGTGAGACACAACTATGGAAGAAAAGTGGGACTTCTGAAATAGACCCACACATATTGGATTATCTAGAATGGATGGACTTGGCATTACAAATTAGTGGGGAGAGGTGAATTTTTGTTTTTGTTTTTGTTTCAGTAACATCTTGTGGAAAAAGTTGGATCTCTACCTCACTATACTAAAACAAATCACAGATAGATCTCAAATTTACATGCAAAAAGTTAAATCATAAAAATACCAGATGAAAATGTTTTGGGCTGCACGATTCATGACTCGAAGGCTCAAAAGCTATAAAAGAAAAAACTGATGAGGTTGATTGCCTGATAATTTTTAAAGTCGTTATGGAAAAAAAATTCAAACATAAACGTAAGCAGTCATAAGACAAATTGAGAAAAATATTTGCAACAGATGTGACAAAAACGTCTACTACATTCCCTTAACAAATAAAGAACACTTAGTATCAAAAAAGAAAAGATGAACCACCCAAGAAGAAAGTGGCTAAGACACATGAATGTGCCCCTCGCAGGAAAAGAGAGCTGAGTCTCACTCATCAATACAATTATAATTTTTCACCTATATATTGGCAAAATTGTTTAAAGTTGATAACATTCAGTATCGGGAAAAAAAAACAGGCTTTCTCATACACTCTTGGTCACAAAACAGATGACTTCAATTGGAACACAATTCATAAATATCAGTGTAAATCTAAATGTGCTGTCTCATGACCCAGAAATCTTTCCTTTAAGAAGCTACTCTGTGGAGATAATTGCAGGAGCAAAAAACATGTTTCCAAGGATTTTTAAGGCATTTTTTTTATTTAAAAAAAGAAAAGGAGAAACATTATGGTCAACTCTAAAATCATTTTACATTTTATCTACTTTAAAAAATAAAACAGTATTGCTTTGTCCTACACATACTAAGTGGGGTATCTACTGATAGACGTTGTGGGTGGGAAAGAGGATATTGTTAAAAACAATTTATTACGTGATTTGATTTTTTATTTAATAAATGTGGATGGGTTATCTATTATGATATAACAAATTACCACAAACTTAGCAGCTTAAAACAGCCAAGACTTACTTTCTCACACAGTTTATGAGAGCCAGGAGTATCTCAGCTGGAGGGCTCTAGCTCAAGGTCTCTCATGAAGTGTAGTCAAGCTGTCTGCTGGGGCTGCGGTCATCGGAAGCTAAAGGATACGCTTCCTAGTTCACTTACGTGGTTGTTGGTGGCCTCAGTTCCTCACTGGCTATCAACCAGAACTGCAGTTTTTTCGCACAAGGGTCTCTCCATAGACTGCCTGAGTGGCCTCATAGCATGGCAGCTGGTTTCCCCCAGAGCGAGTGATCCCATAGGGAGAGAACGAGGGCACTCAAAATGGAAGCCATGGTCTTTTCATAACCTAATCTCTGAAGTGGCGTGCCATCTCTTCCATAGTATCCTATTCTATTCTAGTAGTGAGTCACTAAACGCAGCCTCCACTCGGAGACAGATGACACAAGGGCATGAATACCAGGAGTGGGGATCACTGGGACCCATCTTAGAGGTTGTGCATCACCATGTATAACACATGTTGAGTGTATCTAGATATTTCTGTAGACACAGCTGTAAAAATTCATACACAGTAAGGAGATTATATATCTCAGTTTGTTGGAAATAGTCTTAGTTTGTGCCTGTTGTCCCGGCATAATTATGGCATTTTATCTCAGGTATCCCAGTTTAAATAATGAATTATACTCTAAATAGGAAAACATCTGGAAGAATAGACATCAAAATGTTAACATTATTTATCTCTAGGAAATGAAACTGATAAGACCTTTATGTTTGATTAATACACTTGCATAAGGCAACAAGTGAATTATTTTAATAAAAAAAATACACATTGGATTCTCTCTCAATAACTCAAAACATTATCACATAGATTCCACTTCAGAGACAGTGACTGTAGCCGAAAGGAAAGTCCATGGAGATTTCAGCAATGGAGAGAAATGAAAGAATCACTTCCCTTTTTGGGTGCGCAGAAGTCTCCACACGATTCATTGCTCCACTCCTGTTTCTCAGTTGTACAGGCCATAGTCTCCCTTACTATGGTATGGCTGGCATCTTTTCTAGGCTTCCACCTCTTACAGATAAAAGGGGGAATTAAGCAAGTGGGCTGTGAGAGCTAGATAGTTAAGAGAGCAAAGAATCCTAAAGCTAAGCCACTGGGATGAATCAGAGATGTTAGGCAGAAAAAGGAAAAAAAGAGACATCCTCCTTCCCCCTCTTTTCCCTGCCTCCTTCTCAAGCTAAGCCACTGGGATGAATCAGAGATGTCAGGCAGAGAGAGGAAAAAAAGAGACATCCTCCTTCCTCACTGCTTTATTTGTACGGCTCTTGAGGAATGGGTGATACAAACAGCCTTTGATTTTAACAATATCAAAATAGAATAAAGTGTTAATTCACCTATACAAAATGAAATTTTATCATTTGCGATTCATTCCTTTGCAGTAAGACACTGCAATATAAGGGACTATCAGGCTTTGACTTGAAGCCCTGAATGCAAATGTGGATCTTACCACAAAGGTTCAGCACAGTAAGGAAGTTTGCGAGTCCCAGAGCCAGACAGACCATTTTCTAACTATGTAACCCTAACCAAGGTCCTTAAGCTCTTTGTGGCTCAGTTTCTCCATCAAGAAAATGATGATCTTAACATCCACAAACATCCTTAAAAGAGGAGCTGATGCATAGTAAGCATTCATTAAATGCTAGCTCTGGGCATTACTGACTGCCTAACTGCCCTTAGGTAAATAATTGTTCACAGCCTGTTTCTTTGTAAAATAAGTATAATAATATCTTCTTCATTTTGCATTTGCGAATGTTAAATGATAAGACTGTGTAGAGTGCTGAAAATAGTGCCTGGCATATGGCAGACACAAAATAAATAGCAACTCTATTACTGAAAATACTATCATTATTGTCTCAAAAATGGAGCTGATCTAGGGTTAAATTGACTGATAAAATCTGCATTAAAGCATCTAGCACTGTGCTTGCATACAGTTGGTACTCAATAAATGTTCATTAAATCTGAACTTAATTTTCCATATTGCATCTCTGTTTTAAAAGTCCAAAGAGAATTTTTTGGACTACTTATAAGTTATAAACCTTGACACCTGATACACGAGGAGCAATCTTCTGGCTTCTTAATTGGTTCTTTCCTTTTGTAACAGAATGCTCAGTGGGATTTTATGCCAGAATTATAGTTTCAGTCCAAGGCTGGAGATGCAGCTTCTGAGTATGCTGCATGAGTTGGGAGAGCCCCTGGACATATGGCCCTCAGCAGGGCTGGGGGAAGAGTCTGACTGGCAATCCAGCGCCCCCACTATAATTGCCCTTCACCTTGGCGAACATGAAGGGAAAATTGGGAGCAAGAAAAACCTATTGAGAATGGGGATTCTTCCCTCCCCTGAAGAAGAGGGAGGCCCAAAGAGAATCAAAGTTGGGGGTACCTAGCCAGAGGGGCATCATTCATCATTCCCCATTTGGAGTCTGCTTAGCTAGGAGGTGTGTTGATCTGACCACGAGCTTCCTAAGCAAGAAGAAAAAGAAATTTTTAAAAAGGCAGTGAAGAGTGATTCTAAATGGTGAAGAAACAGTTCAAGACATTCACGGTAAGCCCCATAAAAAGGAGGTGAGGGGCTTGGGCATCTCATTTGTAATGGGAAACCTTGATTTCTTGCTTAAGATGAAACAGAATGGACTCAGTTGAGCATTTCCATATGACATAGACCTGCAGAGATCCTTTAAGAAACAGTACACAACAGATTGGATCTTTACAAATTATATGAATATATTAAATTATCACATGTACCCCAAAGCTATGTACATCTATAATGCATCTATTTAAAGAAAGAAAAGGAACTTAGCTGGTGTACAATAACTAAGCTTCATGAAGGTTCAAAGACTTATCCGGGGAATAAGTATAACAAAGTGTGAGGATTTTTCCCTCTTATCTGGGAATTACAGTCAAGGCCCCACCCTGAGGCCAAAATAGGCTAAGTACCCCATCTTTTATGTTTACCACTCCACAGGTTTTCTAAGAGGACCAGTCCTGGCACCACCCAGCTGATTTATACTAGGGAAGGAGCTGCCTTGGGAGTGGCATGCTTTTGTGGTGAGGCCACAGCCTTTCCACCCCCACGGAGAGGGGAGACAAGGGCTTTCCCTCCCTGCCAACACAGAAGAGGGGTAGAGGAATCTCCAAACAAATCACCTGTAAAGAAGTGAAGCCGGGAGCGGTGGCTTACACCTGTAATCCCAGCACTTTGTGAGGCCGAGGCGGGAGGATCGCTTCAGCCCAGGAGTTCGAGACCAGCCCGGGCAACATAGGGAGATCCCTTCTCTACAAAGATAAAAATTAAAAATTTGCTGGGCCTACAGTCCCAGGTACTTGGGAGGCTGAGTCAGGAGGTTTCCTTGAGCCCAGCAGGGCTGCAGTGAGCTATGATTGCACCACTGCACTCCAGCCTGGGTGCAGAGAAAGACCTAAAAAAAAGAAAAGAAAAGAAAGAGAGAGAGAAGAAAAAAAGAAAGAAAGAAAGAAAGAGAAAGAAAGAAAGGAGAAGGAAAGAGAGAAGAAAGGAAAGAAAGGAAGAAAGAAAGAAAGAAAGAAAGAAAGAAAGAGAAAGAAAGAAAGAAAGAAAGAAAGAAAGAAAGAAAGAAAGAAAGAAGAAAGAAAGAAAGAAAGAAAGAAAGAAAGAGAAAGAGAAAGAAAAGAAAAGGAAGAGTCTGCAGAATCAACCAGACACCAGACACACCAGGCACCAGACACACCAGGCACTAGACACACCAGGCACTGCACTCCTGGATGTTTTCTCTGGCTGTCCCTGAGCCATGGAGAAAGCGGAAAGGGAGACGGAAAGATAGATGGTGAGGCTGAGAGGGGTGGGAGAGAAAGAGCCCTTTGGCGTGGCAAGGATAGGGGATCTCCCTGTGGATGGAGTGTTTATCAGGACCCCACCTAAGAGGGCTGCCCGCCAGGTGAAAGAACCAGAACACTTTGCCATTAGAAGGCTGGGCAGCCAAGCAGGGTTCACGCGGAAGCAGCCACCCCCAACAGAGAAAGGGACTATGAATATTCCCCTCCTCCCTGCCCAAACTGAAGCAGCAGCTCCTAGAGGAGGGTGGAGTGGGCTCCACCTCAGCGATTGCTCTTCTTGCCTTCTGCCGCAAGCGCCTAGAGGTTCTAGAGCCTGAGCAGGCGGAGGTGGTAGACGCCAGAATTTTCATTGTGCTTTAAAATAAACAAAACTGAGCTAAATACCAGAGTGAGACTGTCCCAAGAATCAAAGTGAATAAAAAATTAATAAAACCTGGCCAAGTTGTTCAGAGACCCATTAGAGCCAGCTAACTGGGGTGCGGGGTGGAGGTCAGGAGGTAGATTTCACATGCCATAGTTGGAGCAGTTATTAGGAAACAATAAAGTGACTGTGTTTTTACCCCAAATTGAGACTCAGCTCACTGCCTACTGACTCAGCTCACCAGAGTCTTGCTGCCGGCCCCTCCACTTCCTCTTCTTTGCTATTGCAGGGTGGCAGGTTGAGTTGAGAACAGTTGCTTACAAAGTGAGCAATCCCCTTCCAAGCCAGCCTGCCTCTGTCTCTTTGATTCTACCAGTAATTGAGCTTTGTGTTTCCCCATGGGCTCATGTATCTTTCAGCAAGGTTTTAAAGTGCTTTTCCTCTCCAGCAGTTCACATGTTGCATAGGTTAGCAAGAGTCCAAAGATATCATACCACTGAACTAGACGGAGACCTCTGCCATCGCAATCACGATTCAGGCACCACACTGAATGGACCAGAGTGGAGATTTGGGCCCTTTATGGACTGAATCAAATACAGGCAGACACAGCTAAGTTCTGAAAGCTAAGGCAAACCTGTGTTTGTTTTTCCTCCCATATAAAGAAGTGGAGAGACTGGAGAATGTTGCTGCTCCTTTCCCATTGTGTGCTGCGTGCTTGTTTGCTGTATGGGGGAAGGCCTGCGTCCTCTTGGCCTATCGCTCTGTTCTCAGTAATTAGCATTGTGCCTGGCACATAGAAGGCATCGAATATATATTTGTTGAATAAAGGAATGAAGGAGTGAATACATGAATTAGCAGTGAATATTTAGAGCCTAGAGTCTTAATAATAGACAATAAATGAAACTGTCCCTAAAAGGTATTCAGACAGCTGTCTACCAGCCTTTCAGATAATCTGATGTTTTTATTCATCCAATACTCATTAGACATTTAGTAAGGCTGTGACCAGGGACTTGAGACAGACATATATCAACAAGACTTCATTTCTAGCCCCAAAGCACCAAAGCAACAGTATGTGGAGCCATTTCACACAAGTGCAAGGGAGTAGAAGGACACAATACAGATGATATCGAGCAATGTCACAGTCACCAACACTTCACCACCAAAACACTGACCCAACAAAATATCATCATGGAATTTTTGTGCCTTTTTATGACACCTCCACCCTTCACCAGGTGGGTATGATCTGCTGCAGATTCATGCTGAAGACGTTTAATTTTAGTAAATAGGAAAATGACTCTTAAAATTAGAGTTGTGAAACATAGTATTTCTATTTTATCCAGGACACTTTTCTTTTTCCTTGAAATCTCTACCTTATCATGAAGTAAAAGTTCATTTTCCTTTTTAAATCACAGTTTTATTTAATTGCTTAAGTCCTAGAAGAAAGAAAGCTATTGCTTTTTAAATGGAGATAAAACACCATGCTAATTATCAGCTGTACTGTAATGGAGCTGATAACCATGAAAAATAAAAGCACGTGTACCACTGCACTACATAAATTCCTCATAGCTGGGTCTCTGCAATCCCAAATGAAGGGTTTACCTGCCACTGTACATATCCAGTTGTATGGGGATCTTTTTTCATTGCCTGACCTATTGTAAATCCACCTAAGGGAAATTTTATAATTTAATCTAACAATCATAGTATATCTATTTATGCAATCACTTTGCACACTGAAAGAGGCAACACCCCAAATCTGCACTTAGCCAAAGCCAAAGATTTTCTATGAACAATCAAAGATGCCAGATATAAGAATTGGTGTTTACTGATGGAGGGAGTGTAAACTAGTTCAACCATTGTGGAAGACAGTGTGACAATTCCTCAAAGACCTAGAGGCAGAAATACCAATTGACCCAGTAATCCCATTACTGGGTATACACCCAAAGAAATATAAATCATTCTATTATAAAGATATAGGCACACATATGTTCACTGCAGCACTATTCACAATAGCAAAGTCATGGAATCAACCTAAATGCCCATCAATGACAGACTGGATAAAGAAAATGTGGTACGTATACACCATGGAATACTATGCAGCCATAAAAAGGAATGAGATGGTGTCCTTTGCAGGGACATGGATGGAGTCGGAAACCATTATTCTCAGCAAAGTAACCCAGGAACAGAAAACCAAACACTGTATGTTCTCACTTATAAGTGAGAGCTGATCGATGAGAACACATGGACACATTGTGGGGAACAACAACACACCTGTCAGGGTTGGGGTGAGGGAAGAAAGAGCATCAGGAAGGATAGCTAACGAATGCTGGGCTTAATACCTGGGTAATGGGATGATCTGTGGAGTAAACCACTACGGCACATGTTTACCTGTGAAACAAACCTGCATATACTGCACATGTACCCCTGAACTTAAAATACAAGTTGAAAAAAAAAGAAAGAAAAAACCAATATAGAATTAAGACAACTTAAAGTCATCAAATGACAGTGTTATTCATGATCATAAAAATAGTAGATAAACTAAATTTCCAACAAAGATCATTGGTTAAATACATTTAATGATATTCATATGACAGAAAATTATGCAAGCGTTAAAATGTATGTCTGGGCTAAAGTTTAGTGGCATGGAAGAAATGCTTGTAGTAGCATTCGTTTTAAGTTAATAAACTCAAGGAACAAAAATTTTAAAAAGATTTTAAAAAAAGAACTGGCGCTTCAAACTAAAAAGTGTGAAAAGATTAATTCTAGAAATTTATAAGCAGGTAAGTGTTTAAGATGTATACAAAAGGATGATCACCACATCTTTATTCATAAAAGTGAGAAATTACAACATAAATATCCAATAACAGTATATTAATTAAATACATTTGTATCTATCCTAACAATGGAAAATCTTACAGCCATTAGAAGAGATGATGTAGACTGCATATACTATTACTAGAAAAATATTTGCAATGTACTGTTGAATTCATTATATTTTTGTTTCATTTATACACACATTGGCATTGAATGATCCAGAAGAATATAAACCAAAATATTAGCGATGTTTGTTAAATGTCAATTACTTTTACAAATGAAAATAGTGTTGCTTTTATCCTTTAAATATCAACCTCAAGACAGTACAGATCTTTAAAGAGGCTTTTTAATTTCCTATGCTCAGCTATACAACAACTACATATGAAGAAATCATTAAAGAAAAAAGTCTAACATAAATTTGTCAGCAGCATAATCTTTTTTTAAAGTATTTTTATGGTAATACTTGGACAATAAATAATTATTTTTCCAAAATAAAAAATTATAAAGCTATTTTTTCACAAGTTTATAAATTAAAAGTTATTTAATTATATGAGAAAATTCTAAAGGTATAATTTTGAGTGAATAAAAGAGGATATAAAATTAAATATACAAAATACATACAATTTAGTAATACACACAAACAAACATACACAAAAGAGACTGTTTACAATAAGTACTTCCGAGTGAGGGAATTTCAGCAGGCTTTTTCTTCTTTTTTACTACATTTAAAAGTTTTCTATAGTAAATATGTATTCTTTCCAAAATCAGACAAATAATAAACACTATAAATTGTTTAAATGAACATGGGGGACATAAAATCATGTACTATATATGTTTATTTTATCAATAATGGAAACAAACTAAAGATTTTGCATCCCAGGCAAGATGTAGTGGGACGAAAGGCCCTTTTCTCATTGTGGTCACCTGGAAATCTCTGATAGTGTCTTCTGTGTTTAAGATCTGAAAAATGGAGAATGTGTGGCTCTGAATTCATTTCCACTTCCTCCTGGCACCTAATTAGAGCGACACAGCTCTTACGGTCTTGGCTGCTTCCCTCTCATGCAATGCCACAGCTAGAAGACAGTTCAACAGAAAGGGATAAAAATCGATTCCTTCAAAACTCATTATCATTATCCAAAACAGTCAAACTGTAAGCCTTGGAACCCCATGTTACTTGGTTTCTTACTGATTTAAGGAATGAAACTAGGAATCTCCTCTTATCTGTGGAGGATACATTCCAAGACCCCCAGTGGATGTCTGAAACTTCAGATGGTACCAAGCCCTATATACCGTTTTTTCCTATTTTTTCCTATACATACATGCCTATGATAAAATTTGATTTATAAATTAGGCACAGTAAGAGATGAACAATAATAACTAATAATAAAATAGAACAATTATAACAATATACCTGCATCATCAGTCTTGCATTTTGGGGCCACTGGTAAAATAAAATCGGTGTTCCTTGAACACAAGCACGGTGATCCCACCACCAAGATGGATATTAAGTGACTCATGGGCAGCAAGTGTCAACAGTGTGGAGACGCTGAACAAAGGGAAGATTCGCATCCCAGGCAAGACATAGTGGGACAAAGTGAAATCTCATCACGCTACTCAAAACAGAGCACAATTTAAAACTTATGAATTGTTTATTTCTGGAATTTCCATTTAATATTTTTGGACCAAATTAACCATAGACAACTGAAGCCATGGAAAACAAAACCACAGATATGGGAGAACTGCTGTTAATTAGATTATAAAATTTGTTAATTAGATTAACAAATCAGGGACCACGTTCTTGTATTCATCACTGTATTGCCAGCACCTAACTGGTACATGGTAGACATTCAGCAAATGTGGTTGAATGAATGATTGAAATCAGTTGATTTATTGCTGGGCTCTGCTGTCTTCCATAAAATTTTGCCGGCCATAGTACAGCACCCTCAGCACTAACTCTGTGAAAAAAGAGCGTGTGTCACAAGGTCACATTTCATTGTCAGATATTCTTTTACTGAAAGTACAATTAATAGGCACAGAATTTGTCCAAAGACATGGATTTTCTCCTCATTATGGACTAATAATTAGCACTTATCCAGCAACTAATCCTCTCAAGGTAACTATTGCCACCTGCGGCTAAGGCTCAGCAAGACCAAGTAAATTTTTCAATGTCACAAAGTTGATAAATGACAGAACCAGGATTAGATCCTTATCTCTGGGACTCCAAAGTCCAGACATTTTCCAGGTGGGAACAAACTTCCTATCATCCCACCCAGCCAAGTGAGGATGGTTATGGAGTCTACATTCTTTATCTGATTTAATTATCATCACAAACCTATGAAGTAGATTAGCACATTATACTCATTTTTCAGATGATGCAACAAAGGTACAGAGAGGTTAAGTAACTTGCCCAAGGTCACACAGCTCCTGATAGAGCCAGGTCAGAATGAGAAGCTAAAATAGATTATTTTACCAGAAATCTATCAAATCCATCATGAAGAGTGCATTAATGATACATAGTATCATTATTTCCAAGATGACTCACAACTTTGTCAAAAGACTAACTGACCACATTCTATACTAACTTACATAATTATTCAATTGATCCAACTAGTTTCCTAAAACACTTTGCTCTCAAAGAAGACTGATAGACTCCCAAGTTACAAAAAACCCACTATAATTTTTCACTCGAGTATTGATTATACAGTACAGACCAAAAACTCTCCAACCACCTCCATTTGCAAGGCAGAGAACAAAAGTACAACTGTATCTAATATTGAGAAGTTATCATCAAACCAACAAACCGATAAAACATGTTCTATTCTCCTCCCTGGACAAACAAATCTGCATAACAATCTGGAATGCCAAATTCAAATTTAGACTCCTGAAACTCCAGGAAGTTTGGTCCTGCAATCTGGGGACACAGGGCAAGCCTATACCACTTGCATATGTGGGCCCCACAGCACCAAATCAAAGATCCTTCCACAATGTCTCCCTCAAAGAGCTGTCCCTTAGCCGTTCCTTGCCCCCTCTGATGTGTGGACTAGGATTGTACATACCAGGGGGGCAAGCCACTCTCAGGAAGAAGATTGGGGAAAATGCCCCACGCAGGCAGGCAGGCTGCAGAAGTAGAGTTGGGTCATTTGGGCAGGAAATTCCAGAGTCTAGAAAGATCCCATTAACACCCTGCCTCACTGAGAAAGGGTGAAACCAGAGAAAAAGAAGGATGTGGCCCCTTAAAGTATAGGGCACAGAGCATGGACCCCTCTCACCAGGGATTAAGGGGAACATTAGTGAAAATCTTAAACAGCTGTTATATTACTTTCAACAGAGACGGTTGCTTATATAAATATCCTAAAACGCCTCCCCTCTCCTGACCCTCCCTAACCAAGACCTGTCTATCAAGTACAGTTCATTCAGGCCTCTTCCAGGAGGCCTTCTCCAACAACTTGAGCCCACAGAGACACCTCCTTTCTCTAAACAGTCAAAGCATTTATATTGTAGTTTCCAAATTTAGTTCTTAATTACGCATACTTTCAAGGTTTCTTAAATCCTGTCGATAGGGCAGGTTTTGTTTCTGCAAATCAATGGTTCTCAGTCAGGGGCAATTTTCCCCCCAGGAGGTATTTTGCCAAGTCTGGAGACATATTTGGTTGTCTCATTTAGTGGACAGAGGCCAGGGATGCTGCTGAACATTCTACAATGTACCGGACAGCACTCCACAGCAAAGCAGTATGCAGCCTAAAATGTCAGGAGGGTTGAAATTAAGAACCTCTGCTCTAGAGTAAGAGCTCTTTGAGAATACAAAGGATGCTTACTCCTCTGATCTGCTACACTGCCAGAGTGCTGGACACACAGTAGGTCTCATTAAATATTTGTTGACCAATTGGGTGGCTATCTGGTTCCACACCTTCCTAAACATTCATTCACATGATATCTAAGCAAAATTTAGTGTGCCAGGGACCATGCTGGGCTCTGGGAATGCAACTAAGAATGAGGCACAGTTCCTGTCTGTGAGAAACTTAAAATTTAGCAGGGAAGGCAGGCAAGTGCACTCATATTTTTAATACATCATCACTAATGCACCTGTCGCTACCAGTTATTTGTATATTTCTCTGTTTATTTTCTGTCTCTCATCATTATCCTATAAATTCCAAGAAAACAAAAATTTTATTCAGTTCACAGCTACAGACCCAGCATCTCCTATCCTACAGTAATAGTGGTAGACACAGAGTAGTAGGTATTTTGAATAACTGAAAGGATTACAATCATACATGCATGGTATAAAGAAAACAGAGAGGAGGAGTTCTAAGCACAGCCTGGGAAGGGAAGAAGGAGTAAGGGAAGCCACCTTGAGGCGAACTAACAAGGACTGAGCATTAATTATATACTGGAAATAGTTCTAAACATTTTAAACACATTATCTAATCTAATTCTTACAACAGTCCTATAAGAAGCCCCATTTTATGGATAGAGAAATGAGCAATGAAGGCTGATTTGCTCAAGAACACAGCAAGTGATGGAATCAGAATTTGAACACAGCTGACTTCAGAACCTTTGCTCTTACCCACTATAATGCACTGTCAAGAGATGAGAAGGAACTGGCCAGGTAAAAGGCAGGAAGATGTGGCCTTCAAGTCAAGTCATTCCAGGTGGAGTGGGTGGCTCGAGCAAAACCAATATAGCCTGGCCTATTTTTAATTATTCCAATATTAGCAAAGAATAAAAAGAAAAACTGATGAAAGATGACATTGGAGAAGTAATCAGAGCCAAATCATGAGAGAGATGTATACAGCATTGCTTCATTTATCCCAAATGAGCAGGGAACAAGCATGAGGTTTAGAATTAAATAGCTCCAGGTTGGAAATCAAACTCCATCATTTTGTTCATGGATCTGTCTAAACCTCCATATCCTCATCTATAAAACAAGGAACATACACAAACCTACTTTATAAGGTTGCTTTGGGGAAAAAAAAACATATATAAGTGCTAAGAACTAGGCCTGGTATATTTTACGTATCCAGTAAGGGTTAGTGATTGATTTTTGCTATTGTGATTATTGCTGATGAGATTTTTTTCCACATTTGTAAATTTGCAACATAACTGTAGCATATTTTCTTGAGCATCAAAACTTATTAAACCCTCTTTTTCCCAAACTACCTTTTCAAAGTGAATTCCATAAACCCCCAACTTACAAACACTAAACTTATATTTTACCTGTACAGATGGCTGCACCTATGCTCCTCCCCTCCACTCCCAATGCCCTTTTCCTGCCACCAGGACAATTATGGAAATTGAGCTTTTAACATCCCTGGATTCAAAAATAGGGAAATAAAGAGGCCACATAAAGGTGGAACTGCTGAAAACAGTCGTTTGTTCAAAATTTTGAAAAAGAAAGGACTTGACTGCTTAGAGTAACGGTTACCACCCAATGAGTCGACAGAATTTTCAAAACAACCACTTCACTGTATTAACCTCTATTCTACTTCCCAAACCCACTGGTAACAGTGATGTGCCACCTCTGCTGATAGCTAACATGCAGCCAGTACCATTAGATCCTTGATGTTTGTCCATTTCTAATGAGCCATACCTTAAATACATTCAAAGACTCCTGGCTTCGTCCTACCACCCAGCCCACTTTTCTATGGTGGTCTCCATGGGTGACTTAATAACTTTCCATACAGTAAACACATCAGGCACTTCCAAATCTCTCCGCCTTGATCTTTGCTGTTCTCTCTGCCTGGCATATACTTCTATCCTCACCTCTTACCACTATGCCACCCTACCATCCTTGGAGGCTTACTCCAAACACCACCTCCTCTCTGAAACCCGATTTCCCTCCCTTCAGTAGAATTAAATGTCATGTTCTGGGAACATCCCCAGCACTTCACTGGTGTTTCTATTGTTATAACAATCACGTATTAAACAGAGCTATGTGGCAAGCATCATTCCAGGCGCTGTCTATATGCTATCATGTAATTTTCACCACAAACTTGTAAGACATTCTTACAAGCCCCAATTTACAAATGGAGGAACTGAAGCTCTGAGATTGGACTTACCAATGATTGCACAACTAGAAAGGGATACAGCCAGAATTCCAACCATGTTCTGACAGCTCCCAAATCCATAAGGTTTTCACTCTGCTATGTTTCCTGTCTTTGATGGCCCTATTTCCAGTTAGTTAATTATATACATTATCTGTCTTTTCCATGGGATTATAGCAACTCCCTTGAAGACCAGGGCATGTTCATTTTCATAAATGTGGATAATGATATATCAATTTATACAAGATTCTTATGAGGATTAAATGAGACAATACATACTAGCATAGTGTCAGGCAGATAATAAGCACCTAATAACTTGTTAGCTTAATTGTTACTATTATTGTTACCATGTCAGGTGCCATGAATAAAGCCTTGCACATAAATTCTGAATTCAGGTTCATTTCTGAGGAGCAAATGAAATGGGTGAGGATCTGATGGAAGAAACAAACACTGCTTTGGTTTGGCATTTCCCACAGTATCACTTAATCAAAAGCAACAAGAATTAAGAAAGTTTCTATAATAGGATCTATTGATTCCTTTATCTTTCTATCACCACATAAACATTAGGAAAACTTCCTGTTCTATTCAAAACTCTTACAGCTTTCTTACTTTCTTCCTGCCATCTCCTTCGCAGTTTGACAAGGTTCTTCTCTGAGAATTCAGTACATATCAAGTACTGAGCTAGAAGAAGAAAATTACAAAAGTAAATGGAAGCACAGAGGGCAAAATAAAATCTTAAATTTTGGTGTTTATAAACATAGTGAAACACTCCCTTTTCTCTTCACAGAATTTAACCGTATGTTAAGTCATCGTATTTATTTGTGTGTCAATCATCCTCTACTAGGAGGAAAGCTCTTAGAGGAGGCAATCTATCCATCCTATTCACTGCTATCCCCCAGGGCCTAACACATATCTGATGTAGAGTAGTCACTCATGAAATATTGTTTAATTGACTGATTGCAAATGTTTGTATTTATGTATGTATACACATCTATATTTTTATACATACATGACACCATTCCATGATTTGTGAATAAATGCACCTATATCTCAACATATAAGTGCACCTTGTGCATTTGTGTGCATATATCTGTATTTATGCAGAAGATGTTTCAGACTGGAGAAAAACAGATGCTTGTTTGTCAAAGTTGTGTCTCCTTAACATGATAATGGCTTCTGACTGACTGGTCTAATATTTAACAAATAAACACTACTGCCATATACTGACAATCCAAATGTTAAAGAACATTAAATGTGCAGGTAAAAAATAATTAACTCAAACCATGAAACTTCTCCTACCTTTCAAAATGTCTTGTCCCTGTTCATTAGCGTTAAGTGTACATGGCTGGGGAGAGGGGTAGGGACCAATAATGTTTACCTGTAAATCTGGCAGGAGAAACATTCCAAATTCTCATGGGTTGCCCAGATTTCCTTATTTAAGTTGTAACATATACCAGAAATATAATTTATAACAATTATAAGGCAACCATTTTCTGGGTACACAATGTACCAGATACTTGGCATCAGTTTTTATTAAAAATGTAAACCTTCTAACAACTCTGCAATGTAGATAAACAAGAAAGCCAGGACTCAAAAAATATACTAACTTGCCAAAGATTCTCTGCTGTTTATCTAGTCACAGCATACTCAGTGTAGAAATTCAGAATTCTACTCTGAAGCTCAAACTTATTTCAATAAGCAATGGTGCCTTTTACATGGTTTTACAGCCACTAACTTTGAGGGATATGTGTTTAGGTAGTTTTCATAGTGTGTGGATTTTAATAAGTAATTCTCTGCACATAGAGACCAGACCAGATAACAGCCAAACACACTGAAAATTACTCCAGGCTACAGAAAGCAAGGAACAAATGTGTCTCAGAAACTATCAGCCTGTGTGTCTCAGAATTTGAAGCATTTTCCACTTGACTGTATCCTCCAACAAGAAATCTATCCTCTAAGAGGGCTTCATTATTCCTCCTCCTATATTAAAAAAATGGACTCTTTCATTGCAAACCAATGGGAAGTTCTTAACTCATTTCCTTAGATCACTTGAAATGAAAGTGCTTTCTGTCTTTAGGGAAAATAATTGCTGGATGTGATGCCTTTTGCCTGCTCTTGAGTCCCACAATCAATACTGTGAAGGAAAGAAAAAATTAACCCTTAGATACTTTTAGGAAGAGTGAGGTTATTTTTAAATTCAATGATGGTAGAGTTCTAAAAAGGGAGAAGGAAAGTCCTCCCTTCCAAGGAGAATGCAGTTGCCTTCCTCTAAACAAATTGGCTCTGTTATCTTTTTAATCCTCTTTCCAGGAGGAGGCCTGAGAAGGAGATGGAAACCATATGTTTAAAAAGTTTTTAAAAATGTATAGATGCTCCTGAATATTTGTAAATAACTGCAGTGAAAAATGTTTACATTAGAACTCACCTGCCCTTGCACTGATTAGAAAGATCCTCTACAGAGCAGAGGAGATCATTTCCAACCACCCAGACCACTACAATCACAGGAAGAAGCCAACAGCAGCATCTTCAGCCCCAGAGACTAAAGGTGAAAGGGGCACCTCGCAGTGGTGGAAGCACCCGTGTGTTCCCTCAACATGCCTGGGGAGGTGGAGAGGAAGGGGAAGCAGCTCTGCCTTCCCTCCAATCTAACTACACAACCCCTGCTGCCGTAACTTATTTTTAGACATTTAATCTAAAATTCCCAGAAAGGAAGCGGATCTACAACCTCTGAGTGATCCTCAGAGTTCTGATTTCCAACCTGGCTTGGGCATTTTGTTTGTTTTCTGACTTCAGGTGCCTACTTAAAGTACATCTCCCATCTTCCAGAGGCATCCACAGCCTAAGCCAATAAAAAGAGCTGGGAGCTTTGGAGCTTTAAGTGATGAAAAATCCAGCACCCACAGGTCAAAAGTAATGACCTTGGGGAAGTTACTCATCCTTCTAAAGAATCAATTTGTGGTCAACAAGATGAGATAATAATACTAGACAGCTGTTCGAGATTTCAACACAAAAATTGCACAGTATCGTCTCTTAGTAGACGTCAGTCAGTACTATGCACTTGCTGTGGGCACACTGCGCAAAGCTGCGGGATCCGTCCATGTTTCCACTGCCCATCACTCCGACGTTGGGGACTTATGTTACCGACTGTGCACTCCACCTCGGGGAGATGCCTTTTACCTGCTTCTTGTTCCCTACAGCTTCAAATGTCTGCAGAGCCCAAGAGGTAAATTCTTATTAAGTGCAAGAGACTAAGTTATCCTGGGTTCTCCTTCCCTCTGTTTTGTTTATCCGTAAATTGTTAAATAAAACTCCGCTTTGGGAAGAAATGCGTCGAGTCTTTACATGCGCAAAGCAGGTGTCTGCACATCTCTGGGGATCAGGGGTGGGGAAGGAACCCTGACTAAAGTCTCCAGGTTGGGAATGGCACAAATGGAGGGAAAGGACATGGAAGAGCGGATGAAAGGGATGCCTCTGCGAGACGGTGCAAGGCGGTCCTCGCCGGTGACCCTGTCCTCTGCACTCGGGGAGGAAAGGACGCTAGAGGGGAGGAGCCGCGAGGGCAGGAGTACCTGAACGCTCTGGCCGCGGTCTGGTTCCTCCTCCACGCCGTGCCCTGTTGCAGCACCCCCTGCACGATCTCTTTCTCGTTGGGCAGCCGGTAGACGGGGAAGATGTAGAGCCAACAGAGGACCACGACACAGAGGGCACTGGCTCCCATGGGCAGCCGGGTCCGCGGGAACTTCCACGCCAGTACAGCCATGGCCCCTCTGGACGTTTGTCGCCGGGCCCGCCCGCAGGGGCTCATCGCAGCCCCGGCGTCCCAGGGGCGGGGGCCGGGGCCTCAGCACAAAGCTAGGCGAAGTGGCAGCGGAGGGTCCCCCACCGCCAGCCCCCCATGCACACACACCTTTGGTTCTCTTACTTGCAAACGCACGCACGCTTCTTCGGCCCCGTCGGCCCCAAAGGTCAGCGCAAGGATTTTTTCAAATGCAACTTTTCCAAGGATTTCTTTCTAGGGGAAGTGGCTGGGGGTGAAGTCACGATCTATGGCCATGGTCGCTTCCCCTGCAGAAGGCGGGCGCTGGGGTCTCCGAGTGCGCAGAGAGCGGCGGCGGCGAGTCGCTCCCGCCGGTTCTGCAGCATCACGGTCGCCCTCGGCGAGGGTCCGGGAGAAGGCTCGGCTCCCTCCTAAACATGTGGCCCGTGGCGTCCCCTTGTCCCCTCCGAGCGATGCTCCTGCGCCCTTCGCCGCCTCCCGCGCTGCTGCGCCGCCAGGCAACCCCCCCCCCCCCACCCCGCCCCGAGACGCGCTCTCTGCGCCGCACCAAGTCCTTGGAAATTTCCACGGCGGCCCGGGACCGCTATCCTGCCCCGGGCTCCTCCGCCTCGCCCGCCGGGACCCTCGCTCCCCACCCCTCCCGGAGAAGAAAAGAACTCGCTCTCATCAGTTAATTCAGCGGCGCGCCGCAGCCTTCCGCTGCGCCCCGGACTTCGCAGACAAACGCCCGGGGATTGGTGGAAATCAAGGTCTCCCCCTCCCTCCCCCACCCGCAAAATTGCCTCCTTCGACCCGATCCGAGCCGCGACACTCGCCCAGAGCGCGCACCCCTCACTCGTGCCCTTGTTCTTTGGAGATAACGGCAGACAATAAAAACCAACAGCCCCCCGCCAATAGAAATATATCAGTCCCTGAGTGTGGCGGAGACTGGCTAATATCCTGATCCTTCGACAAGCGGCCGGTGTGCCCAGGCTGTCACCCTGCTGCCGTCACCCTAGTCTTTCTCTAGCTGGTTGGATATTAACCCGCAGCCAGGCGCGAGGAGGCTGGCGGAGATTTATTCCTTCCTGGGCCCCCACCCCCATTAGCCGGTCCCGGAGCCGCGGCCCGTGTGTGTGCGCGCGCGCCCGCACACACACACACACACACACACACACACACACACACACACACGTTCACGGGCGCAAGCGAGCGCGCGCACGAGGAGGTGCGTGCACTCCGGGGTCCTCCGCCTCGCCTCCTCCCTGAAAGGAAGTGCTGCATCCAGATGTGCAGGCAGCTGGTGCCCAAACACTAGACCTCAAGATGTCACATTGCCTTGGAGGCGCGCGGCCTTTTAGATTAAAGGACCGTTGGTTCTTAGACGTCCTTCTTGCCCTTCTTGCTTGTGATAAGCGATAAGCTTATCGCAACCCCGACCTTGGAAAAGCACCACCCGCCTTGACCCACCGAGCCGAGAGAGTCGCTGTTAGCCATTTCTGCTCGCCCCGGCGGCCGACGCATAGCTCGGGTACCTCCTAGCGGTCGCCTATTCTATTTGCTTAAGCATCTCGTCAAGCATAAAGTGTGCAAGGACAAAGAAGAAACCTGGTCAGCTTAGTCATCACGAAAACAAAATCTAAGGCTATAACTCCATTTGTTCAGCCGACCAGGCTGCGGTGTCTGGTACCTTTGTCTAGCATCCGTCTCCACTGAGAGGTGGAACTTGAGAAGTTGATGCAAAGTTATTTACCAAAAGCGAAGTAGCATCCCAGATGACCACTTTAGTGTCATTTTCTCAACAATACTGTGCTCTTAGTTGAGTGACCTACTGCCCTCCACCGGCAGGCATGCCCCAGAAATCTCTGTCCTACTTAGGTAAATCAGTAGAGACAGGGGAAACCTTGAAATCCCAGTCACATCTTACCACAGTGGAGGCTGATACAGATTCTTTAAAATGAAGATCATCTTAAGTCCTGCAAAGTAACCAGCCAACTCTCTTCTATCCTGGAAAAGGGGAAGGGAAGGGGGAGCTTTTCCTACTTGCCTGGGCTTTGGATAAATCATCTGCCATCTTTGATCTTATAATTTAAGTAAAACACAAACCATTCCCATTTTTCTTCCTCAAGTTCAAGGACTATTTGTAGAGTAAATAACAAAGAAATAAACTGACAAACAAAACTAGGGCATATTACAGTTATGAAGGGGCTATGTAAATGTTTCCCTATATAATATCATAAGAATGCATTAAAGTCATGCTTTACATCAAAAGATCTGTGTGACACAATGTGCTGTTTTTCTTTCTTCTGCAAACTAAGAATTCTCTTACCTTGGTGGGCTTCTGCCCACCCAACAATCCAAACTTATTCCCTGCTTTTTCTTAACATGAGCACCAAATCTAATCAGGTCATCGCTCTCACCCTTCCAAGTCACACTACATTGGTCCGTTCTCACATTACTATAAAGAATACCACTGAGACTGGGTAATTTGTAAAGGAAAGAGGTTTAATTGACTCACAGTTCCACATGGCTGAGGAGGCCTCAGGAAACTTACAATCCTGGTGGAAGGCAAAGTGGCATGTCTTACTTGGTGGCAGGCAAGAGGGAGAATGTGTGTGTAGGATGAACTGTCAAACACTTATAAAACCATCAGATCTCGTGAGAACTCGCTATCATGAGAACAGCCTGGGGGAAACAGCCCCCACGATCCAATCACCTCTCACCAGGTCCCACCCTGGACACAGGGGGGTTACGGAGATTACAATTCAAGATAAGATTTGGGTGGGGACACAGAGCCAAACTATATCACACACAGGTCTCAGTTCTGTCACAGTGTTGTGATCCGCTCATGTGATGTGTGTTTGTTTTTGTTTTCTTTTTCTCCCCATGTATAAATCCAGTGCATTATTCAAGACCAAGCCAAGTTATCTAGAAAGTTCTCATTCAATAATGTGTTCCCAGGACACCTAAAACACAGACTTTATGAGAACTCAATAAATATTTGTGGTATCTGCTTCTACTCTCTTTGACCTCCTGTTCTGATGTCATAGTATTTGCTGGCTCTGACTGATGATTAAACACTTAGTTGTGTTGTGTTGTCTTGTATTGCTAGTATTTTTCATATATAACTATGTCTCACCAACTAGGCAGGAAGGGGATTTAGTTTTATGTATCAAATGAAAAGCCTGTGCTTTTGATCAAATTAGGACTCCACAGGGCATGGCTAAGTGTCTAGGAGAAGAGCAAGAACAATATTTCACATTTTCTTCATGTTCCTCCAGGTATCAACTCAGGCACTTCAACAAATAATTGTTGCTTGGTTTTATAATGAGATCCTCAAACTTATTCAGTCTATTGCCAAGGCATCACTGTTTAAGGAAAAGTATGAACCCCCAAGTTTTAATGTTTTAAATAAAATATTTTAATTGATATTTAGCCATCTTGTTTGTATGACTTATAGTAAGTAGCTTAGGTATTCTTTTATACTTCTGCATCTGAGTATGCTTAGCGGACACAAACAGGATTTCCTCAGGGACTAAACAACTTTTAAAACTCTATAAATGTGTAGTAGAAAAATGTAAAGGCAGGAGTCCAGATTAAACAGAATTGTCAGTGATTTGAGATAAAATTTTAAAAGGCCAATCTTCAGTCTCTGCTCAAGTTCTTCTTGTCAGAATGGCTTGGAATGGCCAGTCAAAAGCATAAAATGATGCCTGTTTCACAACCAATTACAACACCAAGGTAAATAAGGTTGTAGATTGAGAAAGGTTATAAATATAGTTTATCTGAATAAATGCATTTATTTATCTCCACTCCCTATTGTGACCTCACTAAAAGAAGAGTAAAGGAGTAAAAGTGAAAAAGATTCAGAAGAACAAGAAAAAACGAAGGAATACAAAAGCAGACAAAGGATGTCAAAAAGTTCACAAGCAGGAAAGCAATTAAACAAGTGTTAACTGACTTATCAGGAGAGAGAAAGGTCTGGGCCTTCAAGTAACTCTGTGTGTGTGTGTGTGTGTGTGTGTGTGTGTGTGTGTGTGTGTGTGTGTGTGTCCACGTGCACAGAAAATTGAGGAGCATAGAGAGAAGCCAACAAGAATCAAGCTAATTTATACTAGAGAGTTCTTGAAAGGCTCAGAAACGAAGGCACCTAGGACCTCTGGAGATGGAGGTAATGAATGAAACAAACTAAGAGGTTTGTTGGAAATCTTTAAAAAGGAGCAGTTGAAACATCTAGATCTTATTCCCCAACTGGCTTAAAACGGGAGGTTAAATCTCTAGAGACTGACCAGCACAAAAGAGAAGACCTACAGATTCTGATATGTTTAAGAGATCTCCAATCGAATGGCCAAATCCCTGTCTAACACCCTCTAGTGAGACCCATTAGTGTATAAGCTCTGCCTACACCGAGTTTCGTGGCCTCTTTTTCAGGCCTCCTTCTTAAATATGAGGGGAGAGTCAAGGATCCCTAGACATTTGAAGAGAGTCTCCAACATGAAAGTAGAGACAAAACAAGCAAATGATCACACACAGAAATCAACTCTAGGAAAAAATGATAATGCAGGAAACATAAGAAATCTTCAATAAAAACCATAATTAATATTCTCACATGGACTGAGACACAATCCAATGAAGCAAGAACAAAAGGAATGTTCAGATGACTAAAAATAAAGTCCTTTGAAACTTAAAATATGGTAACAAAATATATAACAGAATTCATAGAAAAGTTGAATTACAAAGTTAAAGAAATATCCCAGAAAGTAGGCCAAAAATATAAAAGAGGGTAAACAAGATAATAAATTATAGGCTCAAAGAAAAAATAAATATCCAAACAACAAGAAACAAAAAGCAGATTTTCAAAGACATACTAAAAAGAATCCTAAAATTTAAGAGTTCATTAAGGACTCAATAAAATGAATTTTTTAAACCTACACCAAAGGTATATAACACTGAAATTTTAGAAAATAAGAAACAGAAAATAATGGAAGTTTAAAGAAGAAAATGCATGCAAAAGATTGGAAATTATGTTGGGATTAGATTTATTTAAAGCAAGAAAGCTGAAAATCAACAACTTTACTTGGGCTCAATAAAGAACTAAAGTTACAAGGCAATTCCCCTCTCCTCCAAAATGGAGAAATGGACAAATCCAGAGCCAGAGTTGAGGTATGTTTATCTGGAGCAGAAGATGTTGAAGCCATAAACTGGTAGGAACGCTTCAGTGGTCATTTGGAATTGGCATAGTGGAATTGCTGGAGGCTAAGTGTGGACTAGAGTGAAAGGGAGAAACTCCTGGGGATCACAATCAGGAAGTCCTGGAGATCATAGTCAGGTGGGCCTCCACACTTTTTATAGTTTTACCTCCAAGAATCTCACTCACACAGGATGGGGGCCAGGGAAGTATTGGGTAAAAAAGGACAGTGTCCCTGGAGATGGCTCCACCCTCAGGCCTGTGCCCACAGACCTAAGTGAGAACAGGCACTCCTGTTTTCGTGCCCAAATGTTGCATTTTCCAAGACTGCTCTGGCCTACCATGCCCCCCATCCTGTTCCCATATAAACCTAAGGCCTTAGCAGGCACAGACGCAAGCAGCTGAAGGTTGAGCGAAGCAGAAGAACACACCAGCAGACACCAGCAGACCGGCAGACCAGCAACGGCAGAACGACATGGCAGAGAAAGAAAGAAGAGCAGGGACATCTGGATGCCAAGAGGAGTTCGGCCGGGGGCGGTTAGAGAAGAGTCTGGCAGCTGGGCAGCCCAACTCCTGAGGAAGACCACATTTCCATTCCATCCCCCTCTTCCAGCTCCCCATCCATCTTGCTGAAAGCCACCCCCACCACTCAATAAAACTTTGCACTGATCCTTCCAGCCCACATGTGATCCGATTTTTCCAACACACTGGGTAAGAGCTCAGGATACAGAAAGCTGTCACACTGGCCCTCTGCCCTTGCAATAAGGCAGAGGGTCTATTGAGCTGATTAACACAAGCTGTCTGCAGACAGCAAAGCTGAAAAAGCACACTGTAACACATGCCCACTTGGGCTTCGGGAGTCGCAGACACCCATCCCTAGATGCTGCCATGGGGCCAAAGCCCAAAAGTGCTCCACACAGCCTCTGCACCTACCCATCTGCATGCTCCCCCTAGGAGTTTGAGTAGCAGGGCCACCGAAGGCGCAAGCCACACCCCTGTTGCATGTCCTGTGAGGAGAATAAGGGAACTCTCCTGTTTCATCATCAGGTTTTCAGGAAGAGAAACTGAGAAAGATCATCTTAAGGTTTTACATGGGTAGGGAAGAGTAACCACTGTGAAATATACCCAGAAGATTATCTACAACAAAGCCCTACTCTTCAGGGCAGAAAACCTTACCATATCATTATCTCATCTCAGGGAAGGGCATTTCTTCCACTCCAATCCCCTCTAGGCTTTCTATCTCTCCTAAGCTGGGAAAATAAAGCTAAGAAACACTTGCAAAGTTCATTGTCCAAGGACACAGGGCCACTAAACACTAAAATGTAATAATAAGATTATAGAACATTTCTCATCTCCCACACCTTATCACCACACCAGTATGGCTCTGATATAGTATCAACGGATTACAGCTGAAAAAGATATAAGACACAGATTCTCTCTGAGGAGAAGTACTTAGACAAGCCCAGACAGGAGAAACAAAAACTAGAACATTGGAGAAATTTGAAGACTGATACTCACAGCTATAGCAAACATTAAACACAGCCCAAATCTTAGCCAAATTAACATAAAAGTTCACACTTGAAGGCCTGTTTACCTTTGCTTGTATTACCCAATACATCATATCTGCCTTTCAACAAATAATTACAAGGCAAGAAAAAAATTCTGAAGAGACAAAACAAGCATCAGAACCAGTCACCACACAAAACATAAGGCATACATGTTGGAATTATTGGACAGAGAATTTAAAATCACTATGATTAAGATGTTAAAGGCTTTAATAAAGAAGTAGACAACATGCAAGAACAGATGGCTGATGTAAGCAGAGGCATGGAAACTCTAAGAAAGAATCAAACAAAAATGCTAGAAATCAAACCCACTATAACAGAAATGAAGAATGCCTTTGATGGGCTCATCAGTGATTAGATCTGGCTGGGGAGAGAATCAGTAAGCCTGAAGACAATAAAAATTTGCCAAGCTGAACCACAGGACAATTTCAAAGGGTGTAACATAAAAGTAATTGGAATACCAGGGGAAAAAAAGAAAGAAAAAGGAACAGAAGAAATATCCAAAGGGATAACAGCTGAGAATTTTCCAAAAGTAATGACAGACACCAAACCACAAATTCAGGAACCTCAGAGAACATCAAGCATGATAAATCACAAAAAAAAAAATACATGGGTATATCATATTCAAACTACATAAAACCAAATACAAAGAAAAAAGTCTTGAAAGAAGCCAGAGTGGAAAAAAACACCTTACCCATGGAGGAAAAAGTTAAGAATTACAACTGACTTTTCATCAAAAACCATACAAGTAAGCAGATAATGGAGGGAAATACTTAAACTGTGAGGGGGAAAATCACAACCTAAGATTCTAAATTGAGTGAGATTATCTTTCAAAAGTGAAAGATAAATAAATACTTTCTTCAGGTGATTTCTGCATTTCCAACTGAGGAACGCAGCTCCTCACCAGCAACGGAACAAAGCTGGATGGAGAATGACTTTGACGAGTTGAGAGAAGAAGGCTTCAGACGATCAAACTACTCCGAGCTACAGGAGGAAATTCGAACCAATGGCAAAGAAGTTAAAAGCTTTGAAAAAAATTAGACGAATGGATAACTAGAATAACGAATGCAGAGAGGTCCTTAAAGGACCTGATGGAGCTGAAAACCAAGGCATGAGAGCTATGTGACGAATGCAGAAGCCTCAGTAGCTGATGTGATCAACTGGAAGAAAGGGTATCAGTGATGGAAGACGAAATGAATGAAATGAAGCGAGAAGAGAAGTTTAGAGCAAAAAGAATAAAAAGAAACGAACAAAGCCTCCAAGAAATATGGGACTATGTAAAAAGACCAAATCTATGTCTGATTGGTGTACCTGAAAGTGACGGGGAGAATGGAACCAAGTTGGAAAACACTCTGCAGGATATTATCCAGGAGAACTTCCCCAATCTAGCAAGAGAGGCCAACATTCAAATTCAGGAAATACAGAGACCGCCACAAAGATACTCCTCGAGAAGAGCAAACTCCAAGATCAAGAATTTGGTCAGATTCACCAAAGTTGAAATGAAGGAAAAAATGTTAAAGGCAGCTGGAGAGAAAGGTCGGGTTACCCACAAAGGGAAGCCCATCAGACTAACAGCTGATCTCTCAGCAGAAACTCTACAAGCCAGAAGAGAGGGGGACCAATATTTAACATTCTTAAAGGGAAGAATTTTCAACCCAGAATTTCATATCCAGCCAAACTAAGCTGCATAAGTGAAGGAGAAATAAAATATTTTACAGACAAGTAAATGCTGAGAGATTCTGTCACCACCAGGCCTGCCCTAAAAGAGCTCCTGAAGGAGGCACTAAACATGGAAAGGAACAACCAGTACCAGCCACTGCAAAAACGTGCCAAATTGTAAAGACCATCAAAGCTAGGAAGAAACTGCATCAACTAACGAGCTAAACAACCAGCTAACATCATAATGACAGGATCAAATTCACACATAACAATATTAACTTTAAATGTAAATGGACGAAATGCTCCAATTAAAAGACACAGACTGGCAAACTGGATAAAGAGTCAAGACCCATCAGTGTGCTGTATTCAGGAAACCCATGTCACGTGCAGAGACACACATAGGCTCAAAATAAAGGGATGGAGGAAGATCTACCAAACAAATGGAAAACAAAAAAAGGCAGGGGTTGCAATCCTAGTCTCTGATAAAACAGACTTTAAACCAGCAAAGATCAAAAGAGACAAAGAAGGCCATTACATAATGGTAAAGGGATCAATTCAACAAGAAGAGCTAACTATCCTAAATATATATGCACCCAATACAGGAGCACCCAGATTGATAAAGCAAGTCCTTAGTGACCTACAAAGAGACTTAGACTCCCACACAATAATAGTAGGAGACTTTAACACCCCACTGTCAACATTAGACAGATCAACGAGACAGAAAGTTAACAAGGATACCCAGGAATTGAACTCAGCTCTGCACCAAGCAGACCTAATAGACATAGGTCTATTAGGTAGACCTATGACTATTATAGACCCCAAATCAACAGAATATACATTCTTTTCAGCACCACACCACACCTACTCCAAAATTGACCACACAGTTGGAAGTAAAGCACCCCTCAGCAAATGTAAAAGAACAGAAATTATAACAAACTGTCTCTCAGACCACAGTGCAATCAAACTAGAACTCAGGATTAAGAAACTCACTCAAAACCACTCAACTACATGGAAACTGAACAACCTGCTCCTGAATGACTACTGGGTACATAATGAAATGAAGGCAGAAATACAGATGTTCTTTGAAACCAACGAGAACAAAGACACAACATACCAGAATCTCTGGGACGCATTCAAAGCAGCGTGTAGAGGTAAATTTATAGCACTAAATGCCCACAAGAGAAAGCAGGAAAGATCCAAAATTGACACCCTAACATCACACTTAAAAGAACTAGAAAAGCAAGAGCAAACACATTCAAAAGCTAGCAGAAGGCAAGAAATAACTAAGATCCGAGCAGAACTGAAGGAAATAGAGACACAAAAAACCCTTCAAAAAATTAATGAATCCAGGAGCTGGTTTTTTGAAAAGATCAACAAAATTGATAGACCACTAGCAAGACTAATAAAGAAGAAAACAGAGAAGAATCAAATAGACGCAAAAAAAAATGATAAAGGGGATATCACCACTGATCCCACAGAAATGCAAACTACGATCAGAGAATACTACAAACACCTCTATGAAAATAAACTAGAAAATCTAGAAGAAATGGATAAATTCCTCGACACATACATCCTCCCAAGACTAAACCAGGAAGAAGTTGAATCTCTGAATACACCAATAACAGGCTCTGAAATTGAGGCAATAATCAATAGCTTACCAACCAAAAAAAGTCCAGGACCAGATGGATTCACAGCTGAATTCTACCAGAGGTACAAAGAGGAGCTGTTACCATTCCTTCTGAAACTATTCCAATCAATAGAAAAAGAAGGAATCCTCCCTAACTCATTTTATGAGGCCAGCATCATCCTGATACCAAAGCCTGGCAAAGACACAACCAAAAAAGAGAATTTTAGACCAATATCCTTGACGAACATCGATGCAAAAATCCTCAATAAAATACTGGCAAACCGAATCCAGCAGCACATCAAAAAGCTTATCCACCATGATCAAGTGGGCTTCATCCCTGGGATGCAAGGCTGGTTCAACATACACAAATCAATAAATGATTTGCATATAAATAGAACCAAAGACAAAAACCACATGATTATCTCAATAGATGCAGAAAAGGCCTTTGACAAAATTCAACAACTCTTCATGCTAAAAACTCTCAATAAATTAAGTACTGATAGGATGTATCTCAAAATAATAAGAGCTATCTGTGACAAACCCACAGCCAATATCATACTGAATGGGCAAAAACTGGAAGAATTCCCCTTGAAAACTGGCACAAGACAGGGATGCCCTCTCTCACCACTCCTATTCAACATAGTGTTGGAAGTTCTGGCCAGGGCAATTAGGCAGGAGAAGGAAATAAAGGGTATTCAATTAGGAAAAGAGGAAGTCAAATTGTCCCTGTTTGCAGATGACATGATTGTATATGTAGAAAACCCCATCGTCTCAGCCCAAAATCTCCTCA
This sequence comes from Homo sapiens, assembly GCF_000001405.40. Classification (NCBI taxonomy): domain Eukaryota; kingdom Metazoa; phylum Chordata; class Mammalia; order Primates; family Hominidae; genus Homo; species Homo sapiens. The sequence goes on from NC_000012.12 coordinate 22,345,014, forward strand.
AGCTGATAAGCAACTTCAGCAAAGTCTCAGGATACAAAATCAATGTACAAAAATCACAAGCATTCTTATACACCAATAACAGACAAACAGAGAGCCAAATCATGAGTGAACTCCCATTCACAATTGCTTCAAAGAGAATAAAATACCTAGGAATCCAACTTACAAGAGATGTGAAGGACCTCTTCAAGGAGAACTACAAACCACTGCTCAATGAAATAAAACAGGATACAAACAAATGGAAGAACATTCCATGCTCATGGGTAGGAAGAATCAATATTGTGAAAATGGCCATACTGCCCAAGGTAATTTATAGATTCAATGCCATCCCCATCAAGCTACCAATGACTTTCTTCACAGAATTGGAAAAAAACTACTTTAAAGTTCATATGGAACCAAAAAAGAGCCCGCACCTCCAGGTCAATTCTAAGCCAAAAGAACAAAGCTGGAGGCATCAAGCTACCTGACTTCAAACTATACTACAAGGCTACAGTAACCAAAACAGCATGGTACTGGTACCAAAACAGAGATATAGATCAATGGAACAGAACAGAGCCCTCAGAAATAATGCCGCATATCTACAACTATCTGATCTTTGACAAACCTGACAAAAACAAGAAATGGGGAAAGGATTCCCTATTTAATAAATGGTGCTGGGAAAACTGGCTAGCCATATGTAGAAAGCTGAAACTGGATCCCTTCCTTACACCTTAGACAAAAATTAATTCAAGATGGATTAAAGACTTACATGTTAGACCTAAAACCATAAAAACCCTAGAAGAAAACCTAGGCAATACCATTCAGGACATAGGCATGGGCAAGGACTTCATGTCTACAACACCAAAAGCAATGGCAACAAAAGCCAAAATGGACAAATGGGATCTAATTAAACTAAAGAGCTTCTGCACAGCAAAAGAAACTACCATCAGAGTGAACAGGCAACCTACAGAATGGGAGAAAATTTTTGCAAGCTACTCATCTGACAAAGGGCTAATATCCAGAATCTACAATGAACTCAAACAAATTTACAAGCAAAAAACAAACAACCCCATCAAAAAGTGGGCGAAGGATATGAACAGACACTTCTCAAAAGAAGACATTTATGCAGCCAAAAAACACATGAAAAAATGCTCACCATCACTGGCCATCAGAGAAATGCAAATCAAAACCACAATGAGATACCATCTCACACCAGTTAGAATGGCGATCATTAAAAAGTCAGGAAACAACAGGTGCTGGAGAGGATGTGGAGAAATAGGAACACTTTTACACTGTTGGTGGGACTGTAAACTAGTTCAACCATTGTGGAAGTCAGTCTGGCAATTCCTCAGGGATCTAGAACTAGAAATACCATTTGACCCAGCAATCCCATTACTGGGTATATACCCAAAGGATTATAAATCGTGCTGCTATAAAGACACATGCACACGTATGTTTATAGCGGCACTATTCACAATAGCAAAGACTTGGAACCAACCCAAATGTCCAACAATGATAGACTGGATTAAGAAAATGTGGCACATATACACCATGGAATACTATGCAGCCATAAAAAATGATGAGTTCATGTCCTTTGTAGGGACATGGATGAAACTGGAAACCATCATTCTCAGCAAACTATCGCAAGGACAAAAAAACCAAACACCGCATATTCTCACTCATAGGTGGGAATTGAAAAATGAGAACAAATGGACACAGGAAGGGGAACATCACACTCTGGGGCCTGTTGTGGGGTGCGGGGAGTGGGGAGGGATAGCATTAGGAGATATACCTAATGTAAATGACGGGTTAATGGGTGCAGCACACCAACATGGCACAGGTATACATATGTAACAAACCTGCATGTTGTGCACATGTACCCTAAAACTTAAAGTATAATAATAATAAAATTAAAATAAATAAATAAATAAAAATAATTAATGCATAAATCAAAGACCTTGTTGTATGAAAATACCACTGAAATAGATATTTTTAAAGTCCTTCAGAGAGAAAAAATCCGAACTGAGAGAAAATTCAAAGATATAGTAATACAAATGAGAAACTAAATTTGAACATAGATGTGGAAGAGATTATAATTCAAGGTTGAGAATGTAATGAATGCTATCACATTTGAAAGTAATAATAAAGTTTCCTAAGAAAACAGAATTCAAAAAGAGGTGGAATGATTATATAGAACAAGAGCCATTAGTAATTTTTTAAATTATGTAATAAATGGATCCAATTTGGTTCTGAGTTAATGAAAATAATGTTTGCTAGGATATCTAACTTTCATTTTATCCTGCAAGAAACTCATCAAAACATACTTCATATCCAGACTCTTAAACTGAGAAGCAGTAGTCAAAATAATAAATTTCACTCTAACACTAAAATAAATAAATAAATAAATACTTTCTTCAACAAAAACTGAACTGATTCATCACCAATAGATTGACCCTGAAAAAAATATTGAAAAAAGTTCTTCAGAAAGAAAGAAGCGATACAGGTGAGAAACTCCAAGCTACATAAAAAAAGAAAGAGCATTAGAGAAGGAATACATTGAGGTACAAGCCAGGTTCAGTGGCTCATGCCTGTAATCCCAGCACTTTAGGAGGCCAATGTGAGAGAATTGCTTGAGCTCAGGAGTTCAAGACAAGCCTGAGCAACATAATAAGTCCTCATCTCTACTAAAAAAAGTTTTTAAAAATTGGCTGGGCCTCATGGCATGTGCCTGTAGTCCCAGCTACTCAGGAGACTAAGGCAGGAGAATTGCTTGAGCCCAGGAGGTCAAGGCTGCAGTGAGCCATCATCATGCCATTGAACTCTAGCCTGGGTGACAGAGCAAGAGCCTGTCTCAAAAAAATTAAATTAAATTAAATTAATTACGGCATAATAAAATGTTTTATTTTTCTTATTTTTAATTCAACTAAAAATAATTTTTAAGAGTGATAGTAATAACAACATATAGAATGATCATAGCATACAGATAAGCAAAGTGAATGATAGCAATATCATAAGAATCAGGAGGGAGGAATTGGAAATGCTCTGTTATCAAAGATACCTGTACTACACTTGAAGATGTATAGTGTTATTTGAAGTTAGACTTAGAAGAGTTAACAATATATGTTGAAAATAAGAGTTGAAAAAACTCAAAAAATATATATTGCAATCTCATATCATATAACTGATAAGGCAGAGGGTCTATTGAGCTGATTAACACAAGCCGTCTGCAGACAGCAAAGCTGAAAAAGCACACTGTAACACATGCCCACTTGGGCTTTGGGAGTCGCAGATACCCATCCCTAGATGCTGTCATGGGGCAAAAGACCAAAAGTGCTACCCACAGCCTCTGCATCTGCCCATCTGCATGCTCCCCCTAGGAGTCTGAGTAGCGGGGTCACCGAAGGAGCAAGCCATACACCTGTTGCATGTTCTGTGAGGAGAATAAGGGAACTCTCCTGTTTCATCACCAAGTTTTCAGGAAGAGAAACTAAGAGAAAAGATTAAATGGAGTCATATAGAATGCTCAGTTAAAACCAGAGAGGGCTGAAAAAGAAGCCGAGGAAAAGCAGAGGAAAAAGAGCAAGCAATCTTTTTTGAAGTAGAAGAATAGAGACCCTGAGAAAGAAGTTCTCCCAGAAGAAAAAATTAAGCTGAGAGACCACCTGGTAAGTTTGAGTGTGTTTAGAATGAACACTGTGTTAGCTAGGTTTCTAGGTACTAACTAAGCCAATGTAAAAGCAAAGCAATAATTAACTCCAGATAAAACAAAAAGTTGTAAAAGAAAAGAAACATTTCAATATATTTAATCCATAATCTTAATAACATAAACAATAAATACTAATTTAACAAAAAATGTGATATAATAATATTGGGTGAGAGTCGGTTAATATGAGGGTATAAGACAACAAAATTCTATCTTCCTTAGAAACAATATAATAGATCACATTTTTTAAAAAGATCTAGGAAAGGCAACATAAGAACATTATTTCAAAATTTGAAGTAATGGCCTAAAGAAATAACTAAAACAGCTAAAAAGGATAGGATAAAGAAATAACTAAAACAGCTAAAAAGGAATAGGGAATTAGGGATGGGGCAGGTAGTACTATTTGTTTGTTTGTTTGTTTATTTGTCTATTTATTTACTATTCAAAGCCTAGTAGTTCTCATAGTACTACATGGCTTTTTAAAATATGTGCTTTTATTCATTTTGTAAAACAAAAAATATAAACTTTAAATAGAAAAAAACAAGCAGGAAGAGAGCCAAAGTATATTCAGGGAGATCATTTAGAGTCTGAGATGTTTGCAGTAGAGATGAAGAAAAGAGGGTGGATTAGAGAATCATTTAGGAAATAAAATTGATGGGAGTTGAAGACAAATTTGAAAACAGACATGAGGGAAACGTAGGTGTTGAGAGTAATTCATAGATTTCTGGCAAAATAATAAAAGATGCTATTCTTAAAGACAGCAAACACCAGAAGGGGAGCAAGTTGGGTCTCAGGACTTGAGTTTGGTTTTGGACATGTGAATTTGAGGTACCTTTGAGGCATCCAGGTAGATATATCTTCTAGGCAGGGAAGTATTTGTACCTGGAACTCAGAGAAGAGGTTTGGGTATGATATATATTTGGAAATGACACATCTGTAGATAATGACATCGATAAAATTGTTGAGTTAGTGGAGGAAAACACAGGGCGGAAAGACTACCTAATATTGAGCTATAAATACCCAACATAAAGGTGGACCCATGGAAAAGAATAAGTGTGTAAAAGAGTTAGAAAAGGATTGGCCCAAGAGGGAAAGAAAATCCAGAGTATGGTGTCATAGAAGGCAAGGGAGTACTGAGTGGCAGAAGACATGATCAATGGTGTATAAAGAAAGAATATATTTCCTTCCATATGGTCCATTTTTTTAGGTGATCCAAGGTCAGAGTCTGGTTGGAATATCAAAGGACAATTTTGTGTACTGATATTTAATCATTTCAAAACTACTTTTAGCAAACTATAGTTTGAGGAGAAAACAACCATTTTAGTATGCAGCAATTGTTCTAGTACTTCAGAAAAGGCTATTTCAGATACATTAAAAATAAGACAAGAGGAAGAAGAGAAGGAGGAGAGAGAGCTAACACTTACTGAGACACTAAGTTGACACTTCACCTGTATAAACTCATTCAATCCTCATGAAACCCTAGGATGTACTATTTGTTGTTATCCCTATTTTTGAAAGGAGCAATTGAGGCATATAGAGGTCAAACAACTTACATCATTTTATTCTTTTTTAAGGTCTACCTAGAAATATCTTGAGAAAACTTTTTTATAAATGGGTAGCTTCCTTATGGAGTAACCCTAAGCAACAGAACTGAAAGGGCTTCAGGGTTCCCCAACCCCCAGGTTGTGGACCAGTACCAGTTCATGCATGGCCTGTTAGCAACCCGGCAGCACAGCAGAAGGTCAGCACCAGGCAGTGAGCATTACTGCCTGAGCTCTGCCTCCTGTCAGATGAGCTGTTGCGTTAGATTCTCACAGGAGCACGAGCCCTATTGTGAACTGCGCATGCAAGGGATCTAGGTTGCGTGTTTCTTATGAGAATCCAATGCCTGATATCTGAGGTAGAACAATGTCACCCTGAAACCATCCATCCTAAAAAGGTTGGGGACTGCTGGCTTAGGGTATTATTCTTCCTACATACATTCAGAAATTACTTAATGAAAGTGTGTTGACCTTTTTACATGGAAAAGAATATATTATTGATTAATTTTATGTATGATAAATATTTGTCTTAACCTTAAGAAAATCCTAGGTCCCTAGGTTATGGGTAGAAAGAATAAAGCATTGGTGAATGTCTCCCAGCTGATCAGTGCTGCTAAGTTCTTCCAATTCTTTCTTTGTTATGTTTTTAGAAGACAATCTTCCCTTCCTAGTCCATTTGCTACCATTCCAATTCTGCTTCTGGTTTTTCTTTTATCTCCTAACATTATCTTTCCCAGCAGTTCTTTAACTCATCCCTCTTGTGTACCACTGACATATTTATCTTTCTAAGACACCTTTAATCACGCCGTCCTGCACTTCAACAAGAACCACCAGTTGCCTACAAATACGTGTCAAAATCCATAGCCTAGCAGGCACGATGAACCACAATCTCAACAACCCTTATTCTCAGCCTTATATCCTCATACACCCAGTTGCCTGCATCTGAGTCATTCTATACTTCATCTCAGCTTTCTTGGACTTACTTCATGCATGTAAGTTCCTTCACTTGAAATTCTGTTCCACTTTCTCTGCTTATTCAGATCTGAACCATTTTCAATATCACATTCTTTTCATGAATGTTTGTTTTTTCCTGCAACATTCCAGGTCCTGATCATCTCTCCCCTTGTGATTTTATGCCAGTTGTTTATAAACCTCTTTTAGCAGTGCATCAAAAACTATTGCAATATGGTTTGAATTTTAATTTTGTTTTCTTACCAGCATATTGGAATTACATGATTTGATATCTCAATTTTATTTTAAGCTACTCGAGAGTAGACACCAATCACATACAAATAAAAAGCCACTATTTTAAGCCAAGTCACTACTGTAGGGGTAAAGATACAGCTATGACAATTCAGACAGAGTCCCAGTTCACACAAAGCATATTGTCTCCATTCTTTCTAGCACCAGCCAGTCTTTTCTGTGTTAATGGAGATAAAGCTGTATTCAGTGACTATACTTACCGATAACTCCTGCTAGCATATCATAAATCAGGCTTTTTATGTTATACAAAGTGCCCATGGAACATGAAAAAATTATCAAAAGAAGTCTATCTTCCCAACAAAGCAAAGAAATTCCCTCCTTCTCCATACCCAAATATCTTTTCTCCTATCAGTAAAAATATCCAGAAGAAAATTTGTATTGAATCTTGTTTCAGTTGCTGTCCTAGTCCATTTTCTTATAACAGAACACCAGAAACTGGGCAATTTATATAGTAAATAAATTTATTTCTTACAGTTGTAAGGGCTGAGAAGTCTAAGGTTAAGGTGCCACCTTGGTGAGGGACTTCTTGTTGGTGGAGACTCTTCCCAAGGTGGATCAGGGTATCACATGGTGAGGGAGTGAGCGTGCTGGCTCAGGTTTCTCTTCCTCTTCTTATAAAGCCACCAGTCCCACTCCCATGATAACCCATTAAGCCAGTAACCCATTAATCCGTTAGTGAATTAACCCATTCAGCAGGGCAGATTCCTCATGACCCGATCACCTCTTAAAGGCTCCACATCTTTATACTGCCACATTGGGGATTAAATTTCAACATGAACTTTAGAGTAGACACATATTCAAATCATAACAGTGACCTAGGGTGTTTTATTATGGGGACCATGTTCAAATAAATTCACTGTATACTTTGTAAGGTCATCTGTTTTATGAGACCCAGTGGAGACTAAATGCCCACTCCCTCTGGCATGATATATTCCTTTTTTTCTAAATGTCAATATATACACTATACCAAATTCTACCCATGGTGGATTACAAAGCCACCTAATCTTTCTGTGCTACATTTTCTCTCTTCTAAAATCAGAGAATTATAGTTGATAATCTTGAAGATTCCTCCAGTTATAGATTTCTATTATAGATGTATAATAGTATATGTATATAATTATACATTATCTATAATAATATATGTATATAATTACATATTATATATAATATGTATATAATTACATATTATATATAATATGTATATAATTACATATTATATATAATATGTATATAATTACATATTATATATAATATGTATATGATTATACATATACATAATTCTATTATTATACATATATGCCCACATATATATGGGTAATATTCTCCAGCCAATATTCATTGTCTGGAGAACTGATTGTTAAAAAAGAGCATGGCCTCCTCCTCCTTCTTCTTCTTCTTCTCTCTCTCTCTCTCTCTCTCTGTCACTCCTCTCTCTCACCATGTGATCTCCACACAGTTGGCTTCCTTTCACCTTCCACCTTGAGTGGAAGCAGCCTCAAGCCTCACAAGAATCAACTGCTGGTGCCATGCTTCTTGTACAGCCTGTAAGCCATGAATCAAATAAATCTTTTTTCTTTATAAATCACCCAGTCTCAGGTATTCTTTTATAACAATGCAAATGGACTAAGACAATTGGCTTTTGGAAAATCTCTTTTATACAATATAGTATATTTGACAATATCAAAACCAGATAAAGTCCCTAATTATTCCTTCAGCTCTACTGACAGAAATAGAGGCAATCCTGCATTATGAGAAGGACAGATAAAGCCTATTTTAGTGTTTCTCAAACTTTGATGTGCATATGATTCACCTGGGGAATCTGGTTAAAATTCAGATTCTGATTCAGAAAGTTTGGAGTGAGGGCCTGTCATTCTGAATAATAAACCATGATCCTTAATTTGTCAAAAGCCAACCAATTTGTACCACACAGAATATAAATGCCTTTTTAATTTGTGGCACTGTGAGTGTGATGAAACTGATATAAAGGCATCTAGTGACTAGTGACACCTCGCCATAGTTTAGGCTTGCCATAGTTCCCCACCCCCAAATATATCCTTCCAGCCTGATGCTTCATTATACCTTGGCACTTCCCTGCAAGTATATCACATTCTATTGTAAGCAATATGCCAAGGCTCATGTCATCCAAAGATGTTAGCAAGCCTAATTCTCAATCAGTTTGGTAATGGGCAATATCCATTTGCATGTTTCTTTATCATCTTTCCAGACCAACTGTCAAGCCCATGGCTGTCCTTCTAGTTGTCCTTATCTGACTTAACAGGTCTATCACAATGGTGAAGCTTCAAAAGGACTGTTATCTCCACTTGTCTCCACATACCAAGCCCAATTACTAAGACCCACAAGCCCCTTTTAGCACATTGCAGCCAGTACTGGTTAAGGGACAACAAATGTTGCCACTGTGTATTTGTGGTGTGGGTGAAATTCAAGAATTGTGTTATTTGAGCCTATGCAACTCTTAGATACAGTTCTGAGTAAGTCATAACATTTCCATAATTATCCTTTTTGAAGTCCCAGGGATGAATTATCTGTGATATATGATAAGCATATCAAGCCAATATTCACTATCTGGAGCACAAGCCCAATCCTATCAAGATGAGCTTGTCTAGCACTCTGTCTGTATTCACATCTGGTATTGTCAAATGAGCAAAGTAGACCCTGACTTACAAGGCAGGCAGCAATGCGCAAGTCAGCTCTCATCATGCACAGTTGCCTTAACAGGCTGTCATCTTGGTTCATGGCAATGCAGAGTATCAGCTACAGATGCCAAAATCACAATGTATCCTCCAGTTCAAAGAAAATTTTCTCTAAAAACTACAAAAGAATAAATACAATAAATACAACCAACGAAACACAACCTAAATGGCAAATGCGACCTGCTCATATTCAAGAGTCATCAAGGGATGCTAATTAACCTATTTTCTCTAAACTTCCCAAGTGCATTCTTTGAGTGAATCTCATAGTATGGATTCAATACAATCTTTTTCCTCAGGGAAAAACAAATCTAGGGGCTTTGCCTAGCATTGGCCATGATTCCACACCACATCTGAGACAGCTAAAAATATTATTTTCCTGCTGTGAGATATTGTCTCAAGAAAAGAATGATGGTTCCCTTTCCTAGCATTGTTACCAGTTAAATACCCCATTCCCATCTCCCACACTTTCCACTTGTTTCCACTTATTACCTAGTTTCAGCTTCCATGGGTGGGAGTTTCTGCCCAATCATAAGGCAGGTAGCAGGCATAGCCTTGCCAGAGGTTCCTCTTTTCTCCCTGTCCAAGAAAGAAGAGTAGTGTTTACAAAAAATGTTAGGGATAATGGGACTTCTATTACTAAACAATAAAGTACATATATGGTCAGGCCTCAGTTAGCCATACGACAGAAACTCACTATCCAGCTCACTGTGTGCTAAGAATACACTGAGTCAAATTTGGAGTAATTTTAAAAATGTCCTGAATACTGTCTCTCTCTTCCACACACACAAGGGCAACCCAGACCCAAGACATTTGGATACAGGAAAACCAAAAAATTTTGTGGGAAAGGAGGAATACAGAATCGCTGTGATGGCATCGAACCCTATTCCTTTTTTTCCCAATGCCACATTCCAAAAACTTGTCCAAAGGTGTTCCTCCCCTTTGCTGCCTATATACTTGGATGAAACACATGTTCACCCAAGTGAGTCAGCAATCTTTTCATGCCTCATCACCCCTTAGGTTTATTAATAGGTATTCTAATTGCTCATCCCAGTTCTTATCCAAACTGTTACACTGTGTGTGATCAGGGATACCGGTCCCTGCGTTACTATTTTTTTAGTTCAGTTTTTTACATTGCCAGCAGCTAAACGCATACCTTAGTCCAATGAAATGTGGTTTGAGGGACCAAACTTGGTGCTGCATACCTTAAATGACATTCTTAGCCATTGCTTGGGTGACTAAGTAAGAGGAGACCAAAGCAGATTACATGTCTACTCCAGGAGGACCCATATGAAGCCAGCTGGGACTACTAGTGAGGGTCCTAGGTATTCATTTCCTAGCTAAATGCCAGCTCCTAAACTCAGGGAATCTTACCTAAAGCCATCTTTAGATCTTTAGATGATTCTTTTGTTCTTGACATTCACCTTATTACCAGCTTCAATGAGAGGCAAATAAATATATCATTTTTCCATCCAACATTTCATAACTTGAAATGCTGCTCGGCTTATGTACCTAAGTAGCTATTTCCAGAGGCTGGACAAGACAGCCTCTACATCTCAGTCCTCCTCTGAGCCACCAACTGCACTTTTCTGGTTGGCATATGCATAGGCCATTTTAATTCATCCTTGAAGTTCCTACAGGGATTTCATAATTACAATCTAGGAAGGAAGGAAGAAGGGAGGGAGGGAGGCAGAGAAGGAGGGAGGGAGAATGTGTTGCCTGACTATACATCAAGGCCTTGGCAAGTCCAAGCTCTTACTGTTCTATGGGTATACTGCCCTCAATTTTGAGTGTTGCTCAAGTTACCCCTGCTTCTTCAGCCAAGGTTTTATGACCTACTGATCAAATGGGGGCAAACATCCAGACTGCAGTGCATCCTTGATTTGAGGGCTTCCATCAGTAAACCAGGAAACTCACTTTACTTTAACAAGGAGAGAAACCTATGATTAAAACCACTCAGCACCAAGAGCTGGCAGTTTTGGGGGCTCCTGTTGTTGGTCCTAAGAGCAAAGTAGCAATATATTTATGGATACAATGTCTTCAGGGCCATAGCAAGTGCAGCGTTCCTATAAATATATCATTTCTATTTTAACACTGAGCTCTGTTGAGCTGCTCCTTCCTTATCAGAATGAATCTGACATTACCTATGACATCAAGGTACTTTAGATCTCAGAATTATTTGAAATCCCTGAGTGGTGGGAACAATCTCCACTAAAGCCCAGTAAAAGGGCAGTAATTGTCTCTCAAAGGGGCCATATCTTGTCTTGACATCAAGTATCTTCAAATTCAATATTCTTCCAGCAGTCACTGCTTAGTGCAAGGAGAACAGTGTTAACAACTTTGGCAAGAGACTACAATCTGCACATATCTATCTAGATAGTAAAAACCTCCAAAATAATTTGTACAGTAGGCCAACCCAAATAGTGCTGTTTTGGGTTACAGCTCTCTGTAAGTCTTCAAAGCCTGTTTTTGTTTTGGGATATCTTTCAAATTCACACTTTTCTTTCTTGTCACTCGATGTATTTTAGCTAGCAAGATGCCCAGGAACAGCGAGTGGTGTCCCCCAAGCCCAAAATGCCCCACAGATTTTTGTGTCTCCTTCTTATTAGCAGAGCCTAGCAAACACATTCATTTATTCTCTGCCTTCGGTGGACTGTCTCTTGCGGCCTTCACTCCAAGCCACGTTCAAGTGTTTAACTGATTGAGCTGTATTTTAACCACACAGATTAGCCATCTTCAACTACTCATAGATGCCAGTACTGTTCTCAGATCCTCCTAGGCTTCCCGCTCTGACAGGGAAACTTTCCTGTTATCATTAATGCATATATCAACTTGCATTTGACTGTGATTAAGTCTAAACCTTACCTCACCAACTCGTCAAAATATACTGGAGAATTCAACTACTTGTAGCAGAGAATGGTGAGTGTATATCAATCATTCCCCTGAAAAGGGACATTTTGCCTGATTTCTTCTAAGACTAGGACAGAAAAGAAAAAAAAAAACACCACGACTTTCACAGCATCCCAGTCATATTACCCTATTGGTTTCCTAAATAGGTTCACCCATGTCTGACATGATGGGGGTTATCAATGGAGCTACTTGGTTTAAGCCACAATAAACAAGTTACTTTACAGGAGTCACCCATTTTTCTTCCCACAAGCAAGAGAGGACGGTTGTAAAGCAAGCTGTTGGAAATTAGTATCATTCTACTATATTTTAATTTTAATTTTTATTATTTTTAAAATAAATGCTATTGTGTATATTTGAGGTTTACAATATGATGTTATTGGATACATTTAAATAGTAAAATAGTTACTGCAGTGAAGCAGATTAATATATCTATCATCTCACATGGTCACTTTCTTTTTGTGGCAAGAGCAGCTAAAATGTGCTTAATGAAATCCCGAATACGATATAATTTCATTAACTGCAGTCCTCATGTACATTAGATCTCTAGACTTGTTCATCCTACATATCTGCTACTTTGTATCCTTTGACCTTCATCACCCCATTTCCTTCACATCCCCCCACCCCAGTAACCACTGTTTTATTCTCTGTCTCTATGTATTTGACATTTTTTTAAAAGATTCCATATGTAAGTGAGATCATTAAATACATTTCTTTCTGTTTCTGGCTTATCTCACTTAGCATAATGTCCTCCAGGTCCGTCCATGTTGTGACAAATGGCAGGATCTCCTTTTTTAAGGCAGAACAGTATTGTATCTCATATATATATGAGATATATATATGAGATATATGTAGATGAGATATATATGAGATATATAGATGATATATATATGAGATATATGTATATGAGATATATATGAGATATATGTATATGAGATATATATATGAGATATATGTAGATGAGATATATATGAGATATATGTAGATGAGATATATATATGATATATGTAGATGAGATATATATGAGATATATGTAGATGAGATATATATATGTTATATGTAGATGAGATATATATGATATATGTAGATGAGATATATGTATGATATATGTAGATGAGATGTATATGATATATGTAGATGAGATATATATATGATATATGTAGATGAGATATATATGATATATGTAGATGAGATATATATATGAGATATATGTAGATGAGATATATATGAGATATGTAGATGAGATATATATATGAGATATATGTAGATGAGATATATATATGAGATATATGTAGATGAGATATATATGAGATATATGTAGATGAGATATATATGAGATATGTAGATGAGATATATATGAGATATATGTAGATGAGATATATATGAGATATATGTAGATGAGATATATATATGTGATATATATGAGATATATATGAGATATATGTAGATGAGATATATATGAGATATATGTAGATGAGATATATGAGATATATGTAGATGAGACATATATGATATATATGTAGATGAGATATATATGCGATATATATGAGATATATATATGAGATATATGTAGATGAGATATATATATGAGATATATGTCGATGAGATATATATATGACATATATGTCGATGAGATATATATATGAGATATATGTATGAGATATATATGAGATATATGTACATGAGATATATATGAGATATATGTAGATGAGATATATATGAGATATATGTAGATGAGATATATATATGAGATATATGTATATGAGATATATATATGAGATATATGTAGTTGAGATATATATGAGAGATATATGTAGATGAGATATATATACAAGATATATGTATACGAGATATATATATATGAGATACAATACTGTTCTGCCTTAAAATATATCTGAGATATATATATATCAGATTATCTTTATCCATTTGCTCATCAGCAGACACTTACACTGTTTCCCTATCATGGGCATTGTGAATAATGCTGTAATAAACATGAGAATGCAGATATCTTTATGAGTTGGTGATTTCATCTCTTTTGGGCATGTAACCAGAAGAGGGATTGCTGGGTCATATGGTTGTTCTACTTTTAATTTCTTTAGGAATCTCCATACTGTTTATCCATAGAGGCTACACCAATCTACATTCTTACTATAGGATTAAACCACTCTATTATATATTTAAATTAAAGCTGGAAATTTCTTGTTATCCTTCTGGGATTTGGGTATTGCTTAATATTCACTATGGAGGAGAGTTTGGACAATTCTAAGATTTCCTAATTAACATACTCAATTAAAATCAGGCAAAGGGTAGAAGAAGTCCCAGCAACAGCAAAGCCTTCCATTCACAATGACACTTATTCCAACTATGCACTCAGATGCATGTTTTGTGTCTTGGGTTTTTGTTGTTGTTTTGTTTCTTTTTCACTTTTTAAACAGTGGCTTCACCATAACCCTAGGACTTACCATGACAACATCGCTATGCCCCTAAAAGGCTCTTTTTTGGTTTCCTGATATTTTCCTCCCACTATATAGCAGATGTTATGGTTTATTGCTCACCAGAATCCAATAATTGCATCAACCCAAGGCTGTTCTGTTTAGACATAACATGTAGTCTTGGATCCCCCAGTGGAATTCAAGTCAATCTTCTTTGCTTTATTTAACAGGTAGAGTAAACCCAGAACCCTGGTCTAACACATTCTTCCACTTCCCATCTGCATCAGTGGATTTAAGTTCATCCAGTCTGGGATAAAAATGGGACAAATTTGCCAAGACCCTTTAGGTAGAGTGATCACCTGGGCTAAAGTAATTTTTCTTCCTCCCAACTAATAACAAGGTGCAACCTGGCAATGTGCAAAGTTGACACATCTTTCTGGTTTTTCTTTTTTCTTTTCTTTTTTTTTTTTTTTTTTTACTGGCTTCAACTTCAAGGGGTCTGGCTTCCCCCACCCCTCTCCTCCAGCCCAATCAGTTATTTAATGTTCACTAAAGCAGTCTGTTGTAACCAGTATTTCTGGCTATTTCTTCCTCATTTTCTCTCCCCAATGCATTTTGCCAACTCTTCAAAGGTCAATGCTTTATCATTCAATCTCCATCAGTAATATTTGTCCCTGCTAATCTGCCACAGATCTTCTGCTACTTCAAACCTAGGATGGGCAGGCAACCACCCTGGCTTCAAAATGTTGTCATGTTTCCATGCTGGCCAGGAAGGATTAAGTCTACTATAACCTGATTACAACTCTGGACAAGGTACAAAAAGCAACTGAGCAACTACCTGAGAGCTCTAAAAGTAGGAGGCAGCGTGGGAAGAGACATCAAAACTTTAAGAATAACCAGTATAGCAGTGAATTTTCTAATTTTTCCCCTCTTTTATCACCCCACTTTGATCTAAGTTTGCCCAGTGCACAGCAGGCACAGATAAAAACTCCAAAAGAAACCCTCTTTTTCTTGACAGGGGACAGAAAAATACGCCCTTATTTATATTTTGTATTTCTTTAACACTACTTTTTCCATTTGTTTCAAGCATGTTTGTAATTGCTTATTGAAATGTTTTTATGATGACTGCTTTAAATTTCCTTTTGGATAGTTCCAACATCTCTATCAACTCAACGTTGGTATTGGTTAATTTTCTTTTCTCATTCATGTTAAGATTTTTCTGATTCTTATAATGAGTGATTTTTATTGTATTCCGGACATTTCAGGTGTTGCTGTGAGACTCTAGGACTTACTTAAATCTTCTGGTCAAACAATTTTTTTCTGACACCAGGCCAGTGTGGGAGAGGAGAAAGGAGGAACCTTTTCATTACTGCTAGATGGGGATGGAAGTCCAAGCTCGCGCTGTGGTCTCTACTGACAGCACAGGGGAAGGAAGGGGTCCGTTACAGGCAGATGAGGGTGGAAGTCCAGCTTCCTCACTCAGCCTTTGCTGAAGGGGATGTAGCCAGTTTACTCTGGGTTGTAATGATTGCATTAGGGTAGTTAGTGTCTAAAATATTTCATTCTTTCTAGACGGCCACTTTCATGGTCCCTTAGCTAGAGAGAATTGCTTTTCTTTGGGATTTTTTGGCCTATGCCCATTGGTATTTCCAGACTGCCCCCTTCTCCAGTGCCCAGTCCAGGGTATGTAAATCAATAGCAACAATAACAAAACAGAAACAAGAAACTCTGCTAAAGTTTCTACAAGTCCCAGGTCTCTCGCCTGTCATCTCTCTACCTTCAAAAGTCTTCTGTGTTTGCTTCATAAATAATGTTTAGGATTTTTAACTGTAATTGGTGGGAGAACTAGGAAGAAGTTTGTCTATTTCATCTTATAACCAGAGAAAGCTGAATTGTCTTTTAAAACAGAATAATCAACTTTCTCCAGAAAATTTTAACAGGACTCCAGAAAATTTAACAGGACTCCAGAAAATTTTAACATGACATAATATTCAAAATGTTCAGTATGCAATCTAAAATTACTCAAAATATCAAAATCTATGAAAATGTGCCCAATTACCAAGGGCAAAGACAATCAAGAGATGACAACCCTGAGATGACTTAGATATTGGAATTATCAGAAAAATACATTAGAGCAGCCATTATAACTATCCTGTGAGGCAAAGGTGAAATTCTTAAAATGCATCAAAAGATAAAAGCTTTCAGCTAGAAATAGAAACTAAAAACAAATGATATCAAAACCTTACAATTGAAAAATACAATATTGGGAATAAAAATATCAGTGGATGGGTTCAATAGCAGAATGGAGGTGAAAAGGGAAGACACAATTAGAAGATAGGTTAAGGCAGGAGTCCCCAGCCCCGGGCCACAGACTGGTGGCCTGTTAGGAACCAGGCTGCACAACAGGAGGTGAGCTGAGGATGAGCGAGCATTACCGCCTGAGCTCCGCCTCCTGTCAGACCAGCAAGGGCATTAGATTCTCATAGGAATGCAAACCTTATTGTGAACTGAGCATGTGAGGGATCTAGGCTTCACATTCCTTATGAGAATCTAATGCCTGATGATGTGTCACTGTGTCCTAGCACCTCCAGATGAGACCATCTAGTTTCAGCAAAACAAGCTCAGGGCTCCCACTAATTTTACATTATGGTGAGTTGTATAATTATTTCATTATATATTAAAAATAGTAATAATAGAAATAAAGTGCACAATAAATGTAATGCCCTTGAATCATCCCCCACCCACCCCTTGCATGGAAAAATTGGCTTCCATGAAGCTGGTCCCTGGTGCCAAAAAGGTTGGGGACCACTGGTTAAGGGATTATTCAATCTGAAAAACAAAGTGAAAAAGAGATTAAAAATAAAATTAAGAGAGCTTTAGGAACATGTGAGACAATATTAAATGGTCTAATATTCGTACCATTAGCATCACGGAGGAAGAGGAGAAACAATTAGTAAAGGGAAATGTATCAGAAGAAATAACACTGAAACTTCCCAGATTTGAGGAAAGGCATAAATCTACAGATTTAAGTAGTTTGGCACACTCCACACAGGGAAACCCAAGGAAAACCAAACCCAGACATGTGGGAATAAAACTGCTAAAAATCAGGGGTTAAGAAAAGCCATGAAAGCAGCCATTAAAAATGCCACTTTACATATAAGGGAGAAATAATGTGAATGACTGTGGATTTCTCATCAGAAACTAGGGAGGCCGGAAAACTGTGGGACAACATCTTCAAAGTGCCAAAAATAAATAAATAAATAAATAACTGTCAACTCGCAATTCTATGTCCAGTGAAAATATCCTTCAGGAATAATGACAAAATAAACATATTCTCAAATGAAGGGATCCTAAGAGAATTTGTTGCCAGTAGACTTGCTCTAAAACAAATGGTAAAAGACATTTTCCCAGCGTAAGAAAAATGATACCAGAGAGATCTCTGGAACTTCAGGAAGGAAGGAAGAACAACATATGTAGGTCTATATCTGGGTAAATATTTTAAAAATTGTTTTTCTCTTCCTAAGTTCTTTATACATAGCCATCAAAAAGAAAAATTGTAACATTTCTTGATGCAGGTTTTCAGTTTATGTAGATGTAAAACATGTGACAACTGTAACAGAAAAGGAAAAGTTAAAGGGTAGATTTCTACGCTTTCCTTGAAATGGCAAAATATTAACTCAAAGAAGACTGTTAAAGTTAAGTAGGTATATTGCAATCCTTAGAACACACGCACAGGTGCACACACATGCTAGATAGCCAAAAAGCCAAAAATGATATAAAATACATCATGTTAAAAATCAGGCCGGGCGCAGTGGCTTACGCCTGTAATCCCATCACTTTGGGAGGCAGAGGCGGGCAAATCACGAGATCGGGAGATCGAGACCATCCTGGCTAACATGGCGAAACCCTGCCTCTACTTAAAATATACAAAAATTAGATGGGTGTGGTGGTGGGCGCCTGTAGTCCCAGCAAATCGGGAGGCTGAGGCAGGAGAATGGTGTGAACCCGGGAGGCGGAGCTTGCAGTGAGCCGAGATCACATCACTGCACTCCAGCCTGGGAGACAGACCAAGACTCCATCTCAAAAAAAAAAAAAAAAAAACAAGCCATCCAAAAGAAAAGTTAATAAAAGACTATCAAGTACTCAATGCCCACAAATATAAAAATGTAGATAAAACAGAATAATTGTTTGAATAACAGAAACTACCAAGATTCGCTGATAAATTTGATAAAGAAATAGACAAAATAATCATATCTCCATTAAAGAAATATTAAGTTTTTACATACAAACGTTTCCACAAGAAAAGTCGATTCCCAGAGTATTTGACCGAAAAATTCTGGTGTACTTTCAAAGAAATAATATAAACTCTATACAATGTCTTTCCAGAAAATAGAAGAGAAGAAAACATTCCTCAATTCATTTTATGAGATCAGCATAACCCAATACCCAAATCAGACATAGATATAGCAAGAAATAAAAACTATAGAAAAATATTCATGAATATGGACACAAAGATTTTCAACAAAATATTAGCTGATAGAATCTTGCAGCATGTGCAATATGTTAAAAAGATAATATATCATGACCAAGTGGGATTTTCCCAGTAATTCAAAGCTGATTCAACATAAAATATCAATCAATATGGTTTACAATATCAACAGAAAATATTACATAATCATCTCAATAGATGCAAAAAAGCATGTTATAAAATTTAATAGCCACTGATATAGACTAGGTATATAAATTTCATTAGCCTAATCAAGGACATCTAAAAAATCTCTACATTCTACATCAGACTTAATGATAAAAGAATAAATGCCTTGCCCCTGATAATGGGCAGCTACAAAGAAACAAAAAACAAGCAAACAAACAAAATAACCTATATACTACATTACAGTTAACAATTAAAGATGTAAGCCTTTCCCTTAAGATCATTGATGAGGCAAGGATGTCTGTTTTCACCTCTCCTATTTAATATCATATTGATAGTCCTAGCCACTGCAATAAAGCAAGAAAAGAATAAATGGCCTACAGATTGGACAGGAGCAAATAAAATTATCTCTATTTACAGATAAATGACCATCTACACAGAAAGTCTAAAGTAATCTAGTAAGACGCTCCTAAAACTAATAAATGAATTTAGCAAGGTTGCAAGATACAAGGTCAATATATAAAAATTAGTTGTATTTCTATATTCTAGCAACAAACAAGTGGAAACCAAAATTGGGTGGGGGGCGGGTAGCACCATTTAAAATAGCATCAGAAATACAAATAAATGAAATATGTACACATTTAACAAGATATGTGCAAGATAAGTATGCTCAAAAATATTACACACTGATGAAAAAAGCCAAAGAGACCAAAACAAATGAAGAGATAATGTGACCACAGATTGTGTTAATCAATATTGTTGAGTGCCACTTGTCTCAAAATTTATCTATAGATTTAAGGCAATTCTAAACAAAATCCCAGCAGGACTTTGTAGAGATATTAGCAAACTTATTCTAAAATTTGTATGGAAAGGCAAAGGACCTAGAATAGCCAAAACAATCTTGAAAAAGAAGAACAGAGTTGGAGGATTCATATTATAATTACATAATTTCAAGACCAAAAATAAAGCTACATAGTGAAAACTGTGTGGTGTTGGTGAAAGGACAAATATAATAATGATGCAGAATAGGGAACCCATAAATAGATTCACAAAAATATAGGCAATGATTTTTTTTACAAAGACACAATGGAAGTTTAATGGAGCAAAAATAGTCATTTCAACAAATGGTGTTAACTCGAATGGATCATAAGCCTAAATGTAAAATATAATAGCATACAACTTTAGGATGAAAACAAAGGAGAAAATTTTTGTGACCTTGAGTTAGGCAAAGATTCCTTGGATATGATATCAAAAGCACAAGCCATTTTTTTAAAAAGTTGATGAAATCAATACCAGCAAAATTAAATTATTTCAGCCTCTGAAAAACACTTTCAAAATGAACTGAAAGCCACAAACTGAGAAAAAAATGTTTACAACAAATTTTATTACTGACAAAGGGCTTGTATAAAGAGTAAAGAACGGTCACAGGCAAGACAGCCAAATAGGAACAGCTCCGGTCTGCAGCTCCCAGTGAGATCAATGCAGAAGGTGGGTGATTTCTGCATTTCCAACTGAGGTACCCGGCTCATCTCATTAGGACTGGTTAGACAGTGGTTGCAGCCCACAGAGGGCAAGCCAAAGCAGGGTGAGGCATTGCCTCATCCAGGAAGCACAAAGGGTTGGACAACTCCCTCCCCTAGCCAAGGGAAGCCATGAGGGACTGTGCCATGAGGGACTGTGCCATGAGGAACGGTGCATTCTGGCCCAGATACTACACTTTTCCCATGATCTTCACAACCCGCAGACCAGGAGATTCCCTCAGGTGCCTACGCCCCCCCGAGCCCTGGGTTTCAAGCACAAAACTGGGTGGCTGTTTGGGCAGACATCAAGCTAGCTGCAGGAGTTTTTTTTTTCATACCCCAGAGGTGCCTGGAATGCCAGCTAGACAAAACCACTCACTCCCCTGGAAAGGGAGCTGAAGCCAGGGAGCCAAGTGGTCCAGCACAGTGGATCCCATGCCCACAGAGCACAGCAAGCTAAGATCCACAGGCTTGAAATTCTCACTGCAAGCACAGCAGTCTGAAGTTGACCTGGGACACTCGAGCTTGGTGGGGGGAGGGGCGTCCACCATTACTGATGCTTGAGTAGGTTGTTTTCCCCTCACAGCGTAAACAAAGCCACCAAGAAGTTCAAACTGGGTGGAGCCCACTGAAGCTCCATAAAGCCACTGTAGCCAAACTGCCTCTCTAGATTTCTCCTCTCTGGGCAGGGTATCTCTGAAAGTAAGGCAGCAGCCCCAGTCAGGGGCCTATAGATAAAACTACCATCTCCCCAGGACAGAGCACCTGGGGGAAGGGGCGGCTGTGGGCACTGCTTCAGCAGACTTAAACATTCCTATCTCCCAGCTCTGAAGAGTCTCCCAGCACAGTGCTCGAGCTCTGCTAAGGGACAGATTGCTTCCTCAAGTGGGTCCCTGACCCCCATGCCTCCTGACTGGGAGACATCTCCCAGCAGGGGTTGACAGACACCTCATACTAGAGAGCCCCAGCTGGCATCTGGTGGGTGACCCTCTGGGACAAAGCTTCCAGAGGAAGGAACAGGCAGCAATCATTGCTGTTCTGCAGCCTCTGCTGGTGATACCCAGGCAAACAGGGTCTGGAGTGTACCTCTAGTAACTCCAGCAGACCTGCAGCTGAGGGGCCTGACTGTTAGAAGGAAAACTAACCAACAGAAAGGAATAGCATCAACATCAACAAAAAGGATGTCCACACAGAAACCATATCTGAAGGTCACCAACATCAAAGACCAAAGGTAGATAAATTCAAGAAGATGAGGAAAAACCAGTGCAAAAAGGCTGAAAATTCCAAAAAGCAGAACACCTCTTCTCCTCCAAAGGATCACAAGTCCTTGCCAGCAAGAGAACAGAACAAAGCTGGACAGAGAATGAATTTGACAAACTGACAGCAGTAGGCTTCAGAAGGTGGGTAACAACAAACTCCTTCAAGCTAAAGGAGCATGTTCTAACCCAATGCGAGGAAGCTAAGAATCTTGAAAAAAAGGCTAGAGGAACTGCCAACTAGAATAACCAGTTCAGGGAAGAATATAAATGACCTGATGGAGCTGAAAAACACAGCACCAGAACTTTGTGAAGCATACACAAATATCAATAGCTGAATCAATCAAGCAAAAGAAAGGATACCAGAGATTGAAGATCAACTTAATGAAATAAAGCATGAAGACAAGATTAGAGAAAAAAGAACGAAAAGGAACGAACAAAGCCTCCAAGAAATATGGGACTATGTGAAAAGACCAAACCTACCTTTGATTGGTGTACCTGAAAGTGACGGGCAGGATGGAACCAAGTTAGAAAGTACTCCTCAGGATATCACCCAGGAAAACTTGCCCAGCCTAGCAAGACAGGCGAACATTCAAATTCAGGAAATACAAAGAACACCACAAAGGTACGCCTCAAGAAGAGCCACCCCAAGACACATAATTATCAGATTCACCAAGGTTGAAATGAAGAAAAAAATGTTAAGGGCAGCCAGAGAGAAAGGTCAGGTTACCCACAAAGGGAAGCCCATCAGACTAACAGTGGATCTCTCTGCAGAAACCTTAGAAGCCAGAAAAGAGTGGGCGCCAATATTCAACATTTTTAAATAAAAGAATTTTCAACCCAGAATTTCATATCCAGCCAAACTAAGCTTCATAGGTGAAGGAGAAATAAAATCCTTTACAGACAAGCAAATGCAGAGAGATTTTGTCACCATCAGGCCTGTCTTACAAGAGCTCCTGAAGGAAGCACTAAATATGGAAAGGAAAAACTGGTACCAGCCACTACAAAAACATACCAAATTGTAAAGACCATAGACACTATGAAGAAACTGAATCAACTAAAGGGCAAAATAAGCAGCTAGCATCATAATGACAAGATCAAATTCACTCATAACAATATTAACCTTAAATATAAATGGGCTAAATTCCCCAATTAAAAGACACAGACTGGCAAATTGGATAGAGTCAAGACCCATTGGTGTGCTGTATTCAGGAGACCCATCTCACATACAAAGACACACATAGGCTCAAAATAAAGAGATGAAGGAATATTTACTGAGCAAATGGAAAGAAAAAAAAAGCGGGGGTTGCAATAATAGTCTCTGATAAAACAGACTTTAAACCAACAAAGATCAAAACAGACAAAGAAGGGCATCACCTAATGCTAAAGGGATCAATTCAACAAGAAGAGCTAACTATCCTAAATATATAGGCACCCAATACAGGAGCACCCAGATTCCTATAGCAAGTTCTTAGAGACCTGCAAAGAAACTTAGACTCCCACACAATAACAGTGAAAGAACTTAACACCCCACTGCCCATATTAGACAGATCAACAAGAGAGAAAATATTCAGGACTTGAACTTAGCTCTGGACCAAGCAGACCTAATAGACATCTTCAGAACTCTTCACCCCAAATCAACAGAATATACATTCTTCTCAATACCACATTGCACTAATTATAAAATTGACCCCATAATTGAAGTAAAACACTCCTCAGCAAATGCAGAAGAACAGAAATCATAGCAAATAGCCTCTCAGACCACACTGCAATCAAATTAGAACTCAAGATTAAGAAACTCACTCAAAACTACACAACTACATGGAAACTGAACAACCTGCTCCTGAATGACTACTGGGTAAATAACGAAATGAAGGCAGAAATAAAGATGTTCTTTGAAACCAGTGAGAACAAAGACACAACATACCAGAATCTCTGGGACACGGCTAAAGCAGTGTTTAGGGGGAAATTGATAGCACTAAATGCCCACAGGGGGAAGCAGGAAAGATCTAAAATCGACTCCCTAACATCACAGTTAAAAGAACTAGAGAAGCAAGAGCAAACACATTCGAAAGCTAGCAGAAGACAAGAAATAACTAAGATCAGAGCAGAAATGAAGTAGATAAGAGACACGAAAAACCCTTCAAAAAATCAATGAATCCAGGAGCTGGATTTTTGAAAAGATCAACAAAATAGATAGACCACTAGCCAGACTAATAAAGAAGAAAAGAGAGAAGAATCAAATAGATGCATAAAAACTGATAAAGGGCATATCACCACTGATCCCACAGAAATACAAACTACCATCAGAGAACACTATAAACACCTCTATGCAAATAAACTAGAAAATCTAGAAGAAATGGATAAACTGCTGGACACATACACCCTCCCAAGACTAAACCAGGAAGAAGTTGAATCCCTGAAAAGACCAATAACAAGTTCTGAAATTGAGGCAGCCTGCCAACGAAAAAAAGCCCAGGACCAGATGGATTCACAGCTGAATTCTACCAGAGGTACAAAGAGGAGCTGGTACCATTCCTTCTGAAACTATTCCAGACAATAGAAAAAGAGAGCCCCTCCATAAACTCATTTTATGAGGCCAGCATCATCCTAATACCAACATCTGGCAGAGACACAACAAAAAAAGAAAATTTCAGGCCAATATCCCAGATGAACAGGGATGCAAAAACCCGCAGTAAAATACTGGAAAACCGAATCCAGCAGCACATCAAAAAGCTTATCCACCACAATCAATTTGGCTTCATCCCTGGGATGCAAGGCTCGTTCAACATACACAAATCAATAAACGTAATCCATCATACAAACAAAACCAATGACAAAAACCACGATTATCTCAATAGATGCAGAAAAGGCCTTTGACAAAATTCAACAGCCTTTCACGCTAAAAACTCTCAATAAACTAGGTACTGATGGAACATATCTCAAAATAATAAGAGTTATTTATGACAAACCCACAGCCAATATCATACTGAATGGGCAAAAGCTGGAAGCATTCCCTTTGAAAACTGGCACAAGACAAGGATGCCCTCTCTCACCACTCCTATTCAACATAGTGTTGGAAGTTCTGGCCAGGGCAATCAGGCAGGAGAAAGAAATAAAGGGTATTCAATTAGGAAAAGAGGAAGTCAAATTGTCCCTATTTGCAGATGACATGATTGTATATCTAGAAAACCCCATCATCTCAGCCCAAAATCTCCTTAAGCTGATAAGCAACTTCAGCAAAGTCTCAGGATACAAAATCAATGTGGAAAAATCACAAGCATTCCTATACACCAATAACAGACAAACAGAGAGCCATATCATGAGTGAACTCCCACTCATAATTGCTTCAAAGAGAAATAAATACTTAGGAATCCAACTTACAAGGGATGTGAAAGACCTCTTCAAGGAGAATTATAAACCACCGCTCAAGGAAATAAGAGAGGACACAAACAAATGCAAAGACATTCCATGCTCATGGACAGGAAGAATCAATACTGTGAAAATGGCCATACTGCCTAAAGTAATTTATGGATTTAATGCTATCCCCATGAAGCTACCATTGACTTTCTTCACAGAGTTAGAAAAAAACGACTTTAAATTTCATATGGAACCCAAAAAGAGCCCGTATAGCCAAGACAGCCCTAAGCAAAAGGAACAAAGCTGGAGGCATCATGCTACCTGACTTCAAACTATACTACAAGGCTACAGTAACCAAAACAGCATAGTATTATTACCAAAACAGATATATAGACCAATGGAACAGAACAGAGGCCTCAGAAATAATGCTACACATCTACAACCATCTGATCTTTGATAAACCTGACAAAAACAAGCAATAGGGAAAGGATTCCCTATTTAATAAATGGTGTTGGGAAAGCTGGCTAGCCTTATGCAGAAAACTGAAACTAGACGCCTTCCTTACACCTTATACAAAAATTAACTCAAGATGAATTAAAGACTTAAACATAAGACCTAAAACCATAAAAACCCTAGAAGAAAACCTAGGCAATACCATTCAGGACATAGGCATGGGCAAAGATTTCATGACTAAAACACCAAAAGCATGGGCAACAAAAGCTAAAATTAATAAATGGGATCTAATTAAACTAAAGAGCTTCTGCACAGCAAAAAAACTACCATCAGAGTGAACAGGCAACCTACAGAATGGGAAAATTTTTGCAATCTATCCATCTGACAAAGGGCTAATATCCAGAATCTACAAAGAACTTAAACAACTTACAAGAAAAAACAAACAACCCCATCAAAAAGTGTGCAAAGGATATGAACAGACACTTCTCAAAAGAAGACATTTATGCGGCCAA
This sequence comes from Homo sapiens, assembly GCF_000001405.40. Lineage (NCBI taxonomy): Eukaryota > Metazoa > Chordata > Mammalia > Primates > Hominidae > Homo > Homo sapiens. Next base: position 22,371,299 of record NC_000012.12, read on the forward strand.
CAAACATATGAAAAAAAGCTCATCATCACTGGTCATTAGAGAAATGCAAATCAAAACCACAATGAGATACCATCTCACGCCAGTTTTAATGGTGACATAAAAAAGTCAGGAAACAACAGATGCTGAAGAGAATGTGGAGAAATAGAAACGCTTTTACACTGTTGGTGGGAGTGTAAATTAGTTCAACCATTGTGGAAGACAGCATGGCGATTCCTCAAGGATCTAGATCCAGAAATACCATTTGACCCGGCAATTGCATTTCTGGGTATATACCCAGAGGATTATAAATCATTCTACTATAAAGACACATGCACACACGTATGTTTACTGCAGCACTGTTCACAATAGCAAAGACTTGGAACCAACCCAAATGTCCATCAGTGATAGACTGGATAAAGAAAATGTGGCACATACATACCATGGAATACTATGCAGCATAAAAAAGATGAGTTCATGTTTTTTGCAGGGACATGGATGAAACTGGCAACCATCATTATCAGCAAACTAACACAGGAGCAGAAAACCAAACACCGCATGTTCTCACTCATAAGTGGGAGTTGCACAATGAGAACACATGGACACAGGGAGGGGAACATCACACACCGGGGCCTGTCGGGAGGTGAGGGGGCTAGGGGAGGGATAGCTTTAGGAGAAATACCTAATGTAGATGACAGGTTGATGGGTGCAGCAAACCACCATGGCACGTATATACCTGTGTAACAAACCTGCATGTTCTGCACATGTATCCCAGAACTTAAAGTATAATAAGAAAAAAAGGTTAAAAAAAGAGTAAAGAAGTCTCAAAACTCAGCAGTAAGACAATTAAAAACAGTTTAAAAAATAGGCAAAAGATTTTAAGACAGTTTAGCAAAATAATTATACAAATGGAAAATAAGCACATGAACAAATGCACATTATCATTATTCATTATGAATAATTATTTAAAACTACAGGAAGTTATCACTAAACACCTATTAGAATAGCTTTATTTATTCATTTATTTACTTATTCATTTACTAAAAGCCATTAACAATACCAGATGCTGGTAAGGATGCAAAACAACTAAAACTCTCATACATGACTGATGGAAATGCAAAATGGCACAGTTACTTAAGACAACAGTTTGACAGTTTCTCATATAGCTACACATTAATTACTATATGACTCAGCAATTCCATTCCCAGTTATTTATCAAAGACAAATACAAATTTATATTCACACAAAAACCTGTACATAGATGTTTATAGCACCTTAATTTATAACTGCCAGAAACTGGAAACAGCACAAATGCTCTTTAGCTTGTGGATGATAAACAAACTCTGGTCCATCCATAAAAAGGAATATGATTCAGCAATTTTTAAAAATACTCAACTGGATACCAAGCAAAAATAAATCTCAAATACATCATGTTAGGTGAAAAAAACCATAGGCTACATGCTGTATGATTCCAATTATACAATATTTTGGAAAAGGCAGAACTACAGGGAGAGAGGATAGATCAGTGGTTGTCAGAGGTTGGGACTGGAGAGTGATTTGATGCCAAAGGGATATTGAGAAATGTTCTTTTCATGATGAAACTGTTATGTATCTTGATTGGGTGGTGGTGATCCTATGACTCTATGCATGTTTCACAATTCAAAGAACGGTACACTAAATAGTAAATTTTACTATATGTAAAATTAAAATATAATCAGACATACATTTCTAAATAAATTAAATTTTAATCTTGTTAGATTCTCTCTCCATGTAGTTTTTATCAACCCAGTGTGCTTTTGCCTTATATCTAGCCACAATTCTATGAGTATAGCATAAGTGGAAAACAGACTTTTATGGATAATCAGTAGTCTCCACCATATAAAGTTTAATTCTGCATGAAATCATTCTCTAGTACAAACCCTTTCTATATAGATCTGCAAATAAAATGATGTGAAGATTAAAAATTTTCAGGTTGCAGAACAAAAACATTGTGCCAATTCTGTCCTCTATGTAGAAGCTTGGTAAGACCATTGCAGGCTGTTTGATAAACTATAAAGGGAAGAGAAAACCAACTGCAAGGGACTAGACAGAGGAAAAAAATGAAAGTACAAGGCAGGGTAAAAGAGAAGAATACAGTGTAAACAGAGAGGAGAGACAGGATTAGAAAGGGAAGAAAAGATAAATGGGGAATAAAATATGAAAAAAATAGACAGTGTATGAAATTTTTATATCTTTGTTATGTGGAATAATTTTTCATGGTTGTAGCTATAAAGCAAAACTGAAGTCAATTGGGAACTATGTGTTACTTTGTTTTGGTAAGTTAAATTAAGTTTCTCACACAATGAAACAAATTACTAAAAGTCTCCCTCATTACAAAAATATTGCCAATTATTTCTCCTTAGTTCTAGCTTATAACATCACTGTCTATCTCAGAAAATGAAATTGTCTAAATGTCCTTTTAAGAGTATCTCTGATGCTGGTTCTCACGTCCTTCAAATGTAGAAAAACTACTTTCTCCATAAATGTTAAGTTGCAAACAACATTGAAATCAATTTATAAGCTAGATAAAGACTACCATAAAGTTTCCACAAAAGTACACTCACCTCATGCTGCTGATGTAAGCATTTAACATAAAAGGTTTATATATGCAGTTCTCTGGAACCTCTCTCTAAAAGTTAGCAATCCCTATCCATCCCAAACAACCAGAGAACAACCAGTCTGCAAATCTGAGCGCAGTCTGCTTTTCTGCTTTCTACTACACTTGGTGCCATTTTGGTCTCTCTCAAGGCCTTCAGCTTTGTGTTGAGAAGGGGACCCCTCTCCTCCCTCTCCATCAGCAATATCAAGGTCAGGGAAGCATTTTTAAAAGTTTCTGCTTAGGTCTGATTCTCCATACCACAGCATATATTTGAATTATGACATGCGTGTCAGTGATTTTCAACCAAGGAGATGTTGTTCTCAAGGTTTGGCAATGTCCAGAGACATCTTTGGCCATGATTACTGGGGGAAGGATGCTACTGGCATCTAACAGGTGGAGGCCGGGAATGCTGCTAAATTCTACAACACACAGGACAATCTTCCACAACAAAGAATTAATTAATTCAAAATATCAGTAGTGCCAAGGTTGGGAAACACTGATCTATATATATATATATATTTCAACATCTACCTCTTTATCTGTATCTATTTTTAAACCAAGTAGTCGTTTGGGGTTTCTGGTAGTTTTTGTAATTAGGGATGTTTGGAGTTTTCAGGTAAGCATGTTTGGTTGGTTAAGAGACCACCCAGATTAATTAGCAGACTCACTGGAGACCTTGAATAATGTCTTCAGTAATACTGAGCATTGGGAATTTGATTCTGACTCAAGCTGCAGAACCCTGGTTTATGTAGCCACATAAACTCTGAAGAGGAACACTGTCTCTTTCAGAGTGGAAACTTCCACAGTTCTAACGTTTTCACTTCCTCCCTTCACAAGGGAAATAATAATATTCTTGTGAAACTTAAAAAATAATACCAAAAAGCGAGAGAAAAAAAGGAAACAAGCTTTAAGCATGAAACACCAGCATAATTATACATGCAAATACTTGGATAATTACTACTTCTTTACCTGGCATTATAGTACATTAATAACATAATAGTAAACTGAATTTACCCTTAAATGGATCCTTAGGCTCAAGTAATATTGTTCATCTCTAAAAGGCACTGGAAGTACAAAACAAGTTCACCCTGGTAAGTGGATAGATAATTTATAATATAAAATAAATCCAATAAAATTCTTGATGTCTTCTTTAAAACTAAAAAAGTATTAAAATGCTTTTGTCACTCTGACAAAAGCATTCAAATGGGGGATAAATGAGAGTGAAGCAGAAAACTTTAGTTTGCAAGTTCCAATTTCCTCTGTAAGAGTCAAAAGATAAGGTTAGCTTTTGAGGCATCCTATCAATACTTTAGAAACCAGTGTTGGTTAAGTATAATGAAAAAAAATTAATCATTGTGTTGTTTTATGTGCATTTACAATTTTGTTTATTTTTAAAAAATTTCTATGGGTACATTTATGGACATATTTAAGAGTCTTTACAACACGAAAAAAATTCACTCTATTGGACTTATAGAAATATTAAGAATAAAATCTATGTTTAAATATTTCAAAATTTTAATTGGCTACATTAATAAGTTTTTATTTATAGTTGCATAAGGAGTTTGTGAATATTTGGAAATACCTAGATTAAAGATTAAACAGACATTACTTGACATACAAATAAAAGTAAGGGGATAAAGTCCTCCGTAAAACTATAAGTTTTACAAAATATAGCGACAGCCAAGTAAAAACGGGTTCTGGAAGAATCTCCCACCAGCCTGCACAGTGGGAGGACAGGGCGGGACCTCGGGAAGTTCGCGTTGTTTGCAGCGGGGAGGATCCCGGCCTCTCCTGTCCCTGGGATTCAATCTGTGAGATGAAGGCCTGTTAACAGGAACGCCTCTCGCTTTGCTGATTTTTTTTTTTCTTTCACCCAATAAATTCCACTCCTCGCCCTTCTGTGTGTCCACGAGCCTAATTTTTCCTAGTCATGTGACAACAGCCCGTTTTTTTCCTACAACAGTATCATTTGGTGTCTGCCCCTGATTTAGGTCACTCTAATTATAATGTCATAAGAAAAAAGCAGGCCCACAGAAAGAACGCCTTGGTCAGAGAAGACCACATTGCTCCATTATAAAATCCTTCTCCCCCTGCATCAAAACTCATGTTTAAGAGTCCATATTTGAGAACCAGACTTCCTGGGTTTAATTTCTGTGGTTCTACCACTTAATAGTGGTATCATCTTAGGCAAATATTAAATGTGTTGAACCATTCTCTGACTCAGTTTATTCATTTATAAATGATAATAACAATAGAACCTGCCCTATAGGGTTGCTATGAGGATTGAATGAGGTAACATTTTTAAAGAACGTGGCATAATGAATGGAAGATGGGTAGCATTATTATATATTACTCTCTTAGCACTGAAACCATTCTCCCTATTCCCTATGATAGGCAGGGCTGTTACTTTTTTAACATGTTATATATCCAATCCTGAAAATCAGAACGGAAACTAGCGAAAAGCTTTCAAAATTTATCCTTGACTTCAACAAACTGTGACAGAAATATAAAGTTACTTTTACTAAAGCGTTCTGTTAACTCATGTCATAAATACAAAAAAAAAAAAGTACAGGGTTGAAAATAAAACCTAAGATATATCATTGAGTTCTGATTAAAAACACTCAACAAATCAGACTGAGATAACATTTAGAATAAAGGAGACATAGAGACCTTCACGGGGATGGTGACAAAGACGTGGGGATGGTTGACATTTGCTGGAATGCTTACTGTACACCACACACTCTTCTGAGTACCTGACATATGATGGCTCAAACTGGTCCTCAGCATCGTTGTGAGAGGTGACAGCATGCTGGCAGCCCTGGCAGCCCTCGCTCGCTCTAGGCGCCTCCTCGGCCTCGGCGCCCCCTTGGCCTCGGCGCCCACTCTGGCTGCGCTTGAGGAGCCCTTCAGCCCGCCGCTGCACTGTGGGAGCCCCTTCCTGGGATGGCCGAGGCCGGAGCCGGCTCCCTCAGCCTGCGGGGAGGTGTGGAAGGGGAGGCACGGCTGGGAACCGCGGCTGCGCGCTGCGCTTGCGGGTCAGCTAGAGTTCCGGGTGGGCGTGGGCTTGGCGGGCCCCGCCCTCGGAGTGGCCGGCCGGCCCCGCCGGCCCCCTAGGCAGTGAGGGGCTTAGCACCCTGGCCAGCAGCTGCGGAGGGTGCTACGGGTCCCCCAGCAGTGCCGGCTCACCGGCGCTGCGCTCGATTTCTCGCCGGGCCTTAGCTGCCTCCCCGCGGGGCAGGGCTCGGGACCTGCAGCCCGCCATGCCTGAGCCTTCCCCAAGGTGTCTACATGCTGGAGGGGGAGGAAAATGCATCAGGTCACACCAGACAATCTGGATCAAAAAGGCATACTTCCTCCTACCATGAAAAAATAGCCTCTCCACTTTAAAATATTAAATGAAAAATACATGTTGTATATGTGAAAGTTATAGAAAAGGGCTAATTATAAAAAAATAGTTTAGTGCCAATACTGGTTCATAAATCCTTATTTTTAACTAATGCTGTTAAAATGCATACCAAAATCTTTCTTCTTAGTGACAATCCTGGCCTGAATCACTGAAATTTATACAAACAAATTACATTCAAAGAAAAATCTGTGTTTAAAGACAGGGCCTTAAAAATGTTTCTCTAGTTGAACTAGATATTCAATAGATTCATAAAACTTTCATTGCCAAAGCGTACAAAACATTTATTTTTAAAAGCTCTGCCTCTATATTATCTATGCCAAGTAAAATAGAATTTTATTTGGATTAAATGTCTTTGAGACATTTATAAGGCTCACTATTTGCAGGGAGGTCTATTTTACTAAATTAAAAAATGTCACTGAGACAAAGCAATTAAGTGTTAAATAACTTACTTTCCTATTTCAGACATAAATCTGTGTAGGTAGAGATGGTCTTGATAAACTATGATAGAAGCAATCTGGCATCATACCTAGATGTCACCAACATTTTAAGCAATGGAAAAAAAATAACATGGCTTAGGATCATTTGAGACCTTGGCTGGAGGCCACAGCTTCTGTGGCTTCTGAATTGTTTAGGAAAGAAGCTGAGGTTTGGTTGTTCCTTTTTTGCATTCTTTCATGAAAGGAGAGAGATATATCCAAGGGATGAAATTAATAAAAGAAAAAAAAATCTGTTATCAGAGTTGGTCAACAGGCATCACAAGCTCGGATTCCAAGAGCCTGGAAAAACAAGTGAGAGGCGAGAGGTTGGTTCTCAAACTAAGAGCTGATGTGAGGTGCCTGACTTTCAGCAAGCCGGTAGACTTCCCCAGTACCTATCCTGCACATGCAGAGACCCTGACCACAGCCAAGCAGACAAAGCCAATTTAAAAACAGAATGTCAGAGAAAAACTGGAGAAGCAAAGCAATGCCTAAGAGTGGGAGAGGCAGAAGCAGGCTTGAATGAGTAATCGTGACTAGCTTCATGGAGAAGTAGATAATCTCTGCCCCAGAGAGATAAAGGGTAAAGCTATAGACATTCCCCTCTCACCTAGAAAGACAAAGTGGCCTTTCTGGAAATTGATGGTATGAAACCTAGATGTGAGATCACTTAAACCTTATGTAGTGTTATCTTAGGTAGTGTTATGTAGTGCATATATGTGCTGTTTAGACTTGCAAAATAAGAATCTAATACCTACTGGCTCCAAACAAATAGTTAATTTAGGGGAGTTAAGCTCCAGGGAATCACATGTATAGTGATAGCCCTACAAAGCCCAAGCAATGTAAAAAAAAAAAAAAATTTTTTTTTTTTTTTTTGAGACAGAGTGTCACTCTTTCACCAGGATGGAGTACAGTGGCATGATCTCGGCTCACTGCAACCAGGAAAGATTAGGCTTGGGGACACACAGAAGGGCGAGGAGTGCGTTCAAGCAATTCTCCTGCCTCAGCCTCCCAAGTAGCTGGGACTACAGGTGTGCGCCACCACGCCCAGCTAATTTTTGTATTTTTAGTAGAGACAGGGTTTCACCATGTTGGCCAGGATAGTCTCGATCTCTTGATCTCGTGATCCTCTCAACTCGGCCTCCCGAAGGGCTGGAATTACAGGGGTGAGCCACTGAAACCAGCCGGAAAAATTTTTTTGTGACTTTCATTTCTGGAACTCAGTCTGGCTGCATTTCTGGACCATCACTCCAGCTGAGAACAACCATAAATGCTGAACACATTTAAATGTTGTTGTATCATTTTAAAGGCCTTGAAGAGAAGAGATGACAAGCAATTACTGGGCCTAAATCTAGGAGAAGGCAGAAACCCAGAGAGGAAAACAAAGCTCCGAAGCTAATTTTGCTCTGAGAGTGTTTGCTGAACCCTGCGGACTTGTAATTTTGTTTTCACTGCTCGAGGGCTGTGGGACCACCATAGACAGGTAAGACAGAGACTGGCTTTGTGCTCACAGATCCTGTTTCTTTATTCTTGGCTTACAGGAAGATTGTATTTCCTATTGCTTCTTATAGTTATGTTGGAGACACATGTCTAGTTTAGTCAATAGAATAAGTACAGAACTTATGAATGTCACTTCCACACCCAGCCCTTAAAGTCATCCTCAAGAGCTCAGTTTCCTTTGCCAAATATTAACAACTTCTTGACAGATGCCTTGGAGGGGACACACCTAAGAGAGTCATTTGACCTATGTCTGACTATGACATGAATGAAATAATACATTTTTATTTTTTTAAGCCACCAAGATTTTGGCTACAGAAGCTGGTGAGGATTATGCTGACAAGTTCCGGGGACTGCAAAGAAGCCCTTTGGAAAGACTTGTAAACAGGAATATATATATTAATATATATTTTTAAAGTTTTCATGATGAAATATTTTAGACTTACAAATGAATAGCAAAAATAGTACGAAGAGTTCCTGTACACTCTTCACCCAACTTCTCCAAATGTTTAATCTTACATAATTGAGTAAAATGATCAAAATCAAGAAAATAACACTAGTAAATGCCACTAATTCATCTATAAACTGTATTTAAATTTTGTCAGCTGTCCCTATGTGCCCCTTTTCCTGGATCAGGATGCTATCAAAGATCACACAATGCATTTATTTATCTTCTTACTCTTTAATCTGGGATAGTTTCTTAATCTTTCTTTATCTTTTGTGACCTTCACAATTCTGAAGAGTGTGTGCCCATAGTTTTGTAGAGTGTCCCTCACTTTGGATTTGTCCGATGTTTCTTTTTGATTAAATCAGGTTATATATGTTGGCCTCATGACTGCAAAAAAAAAAAAAAAAAGAAACCCTCAGCCTCAAAAATGTAAAAAATAATATCAACCCACCAACCCACTCTATAGGCCCAACCACAGACCACAACGAATGTTATCTTAGTTGAACAGAAAAGGGGAGAAGTGGAGAGACACTTGAAAAACCATAAACAGAAGTAAGTGAACACATGGCTGACTAAATCATGATCACATTTGCTGGACTGTGTAAAAAAAAAAAAAATTCCAATTGAGAATTCAGTTTAAAATTGTCTCCGATTATAGTATAGCCTAGAGTCCAGCAAATGCAAAAACAAATCGTTTTTGTAGGGATTCGTCTTTATCCCAGGCATCAAAGAACTTTCACAAATAGTTTTAGAGGGAAAATGCATGGATCACAACCCAAAACCACTGAAAACAGCAGGCAACAAAGCAGCATGAGCAAAAATAGCAGAAATAGCAGGCAGCAGGAATAGACATGAAAAGAGATGATATATTGGAATTGACAGAAATATAATTCCATACTTGCTATGCCTAAAAAATAAAAGACTAATTTGGAAGTATCTATAGGAATCAGAAAACTATAAAGAATGACCAGCAGATTTGAAAATGGTACAAATAAAACTTATCCTGTTGAAGAATGTAATACCAAATTTCATAAATATAACATGCATTTATTTTCTGACTATTACTTCCTTTCAGCTGAAAGGCCACAATCTATGGCAATATTGATTCAAAGAAACATGGTCATTGAAATAAAAAGTCATTGGAAAGTTTTAATAGCACATGAGACAAAGTTAAAAGGACAATTGGTGAGATGTAAAATGAGTCAGAGGGAACCAACCATCCAGAAAGATGCACAATGAGAAAAATAAATGAAAAATGTGTTTTTTGAACAATTTTGAAACATGGAGGAGAAAGCACTTCCAAAATTACGGAATAAAGATCTATAATCTTTATTTTTAAGAATGCTGGAAATTGATGGCTTGCCACAATCCAGGAGCATTTATTAAAGAAAAACAGTTGAATTTTAGTTATAATATTACAGTGAGCCCTGTGATGTTTTAACTTGCTCTGGTCTCATCTGCCTTCTCTAGTTCTCCAGTAGCCTTGAAAGCCAACAGCCTCAAAAATGTCATAGCTGTGAAAACCACAACCTAGCATCCCTGGAGGGGACAGAACAGGTTTGGACCACCCCAAAAACTCCATACTCAGAGAATTGTCAGTATTTGACCAGTCTGTAAGCTCCCTGAAAAGTTTCTTTCTCAGAGCTTGGTCTGTGTAACTACCTTAGGCTATTGTCTTAAAAACACTCAACAGTAGTTATTTAACACTACAGTTGCATGAAGCAGTGATAAAAGTTGGGGATAGTAACAAGAAGCTACCACGAAATTCAAAAGGAAGAGTGGGGAATGAGATGTCCGTGGGGTCATTGAAAAGCTCTGACAAATTTCTGGGAATCTAGAAGGCAACGTGCATGTGCCAAGGAAGACCTGACAAGGCCCTGATCTCTTACCTTTGGCAGATCTTAAGGCTCTGTGCAAGCAAGAAGAGAAGGTTAAGGCAGAGTTGTGAACTACTTGCTTGCTAAGGACTGACAACATGTTCCAACACACTCTGAGAGATTCTTAGCAAAGACTGGTGTACTTACTGGTTTAAGACATTTGAGGAAATAGTGTTGAATTATTACCTGATTGGTAAGTTAACATAAAAGAGATTTTAGAGACTACACACTACAAAGAATACAGAGTTCAAAAAATTGGTCCAGGAAAGTCACTATACGACCAAACAAACAACAGCAATAACAACATCAACAAACAGCTACAACAACTGACACGGGGTTGGTACAAAGGGGAGATGCAATTTCCAGGGTTGTAACATGGTATTATTTTAAATATCCAGTTTTATACAAAAAATTATGAGACAAGCAACAAAACAGAAAATTATGGCCCATACATGGTGGTGGTGGGAGTGCTGGGGGGAAGGCAATAGAAATGTTCCTTCAGTATGCCCGGACACTAAACTAGAGAAAGACTTTCAATCAACTACTATTATATTATCAAAGAAATTGCAGTAACCATGTCTAAAGAATTAAAGAGAATTTTGATAAAATGTCCCACCAAGTAGAGAATATCATTTAAGAGATAGAAATTATTTCAAAAAAGAACCACAGGGAAATTTTGGAGTTAAAAAAATTAATTGAAATAACAATTCACTGGAGGAACACAACAGCTGATTTGAAATGACACAAGAAAGAGCCACCAAAACTTAAACCTAGGTTGACTGCAAGTCTCTAATCTTAGAAACCAAAAGAAAAAATAATAAAGAAAAGTGAACAAAACCTCAGAGAACTGTGGGAAACCATCAAGCATAGCAGCATACACATAATGGAAATATCAGAAGGAGAGAAAAGGGGGAAGAAAGAATATTTTTAAAATAATGTTTAACAAATTCACACATCTGATGATGTCTCATCACAAATCATGAAGCCAGGAGGCAGTGAGACAATTTATTCAACGTGCTAAAGAAATAGACTTTTGACTAAGAATTCTATATTCTCCGAAACTATCTATCAAAACAAATAAAAAATTAAGACATTCCCAGATAAACAAAAATGGAGACAATCCATTACTGGCAGACCCGCCCTGCAAGAAATAAAAAGGAGGGGCCGGACGCGGTGGCTCACGCCTGTAATCCCAGCACTTTGGGAAGCCGAGGCGGGTGGATCAAGAAGTCAGGAGATCAAGACCATCCTGGCTAACATGGTGAAACCCCATCTCTACTAAAAATACAAAAAATTAGCCGGTGTGGTGGCGGGCACCTGTAGTCCCAGCTACTTGGGAGGCTGAGGCAGGAGAAAGGCATGAACCCAGGGTGAACCCAGGAGGCAGAACTTGCAGTGAGCTGAAATTGCGCCACTGCACTCCAGCCTGGGTGACAGAGCAAGACTCTGTCTCAAAAAAAAAAAAAAAAAAAGAAACACAAAAAGGAAACTTTCTAGCTGAAATGAAAGGACACTAGATAGTAGTTACTCAAGTCCATGTGAAAAAATAAAAAGCATCAGTAAAAGTAACTATATTTGATAATATAAAAGATATCATAAGTGTATTATTGTTCGTAACTCTTTTCTTCTCTCACTGATTTCAAAGACAACTGCATAAGGCACTAGTTATAAAACTGTGTTGAAGGATTTATAATGAAAAAGATGTAATTTCTATGACAATCATAGCACAAAAGGTCAGTGAGGAAAGAGAACTACATTGGAAGTTGACCCAGAAAGTTTTATATACAATTGAAATTAAGTTGTTACTAATATAAACTAGATTGTTTTAAGTGAAGGTGTTACTTGTAATTTCCAGGACAACCACTAAGAAAATAATTTAAATAGATAAATATATTTATACTTATCTATAATATGTATTATATGTATAAACATAAATATTTGAATCATTTAGTTTTTAAAATATTAAAAGAAAGAAGGGAATTAAAACTTTATACTGCAAGATATCAATTTAACTCCAAAGAAAGGGGAAATGGAGAAATAGACAAAGACACAAGATGTATAGAAAACAAATGGCTGTTCACTCTGATGAGTGAACAGGCAACCTACGCAATGGGAGAAAATTTTTGCAATCTATCCATCTGACAAAGGGCTAATATCCAGAGTCTACAAAGAACTTAAATTTACAACAAAAAAAACAAACAACCCCATCAAAAAGTGGGCAAAGGATATGAACAGACACTTCTCAAAAGAAGACATTTATGCATCCAACAAACATATGAAAAAAAGCTCATCACTGGTCATTAGAGAAATGCAAATCACAACCACAATGAGATACCATCTCAATGCCAGTTAGAATGGCAATCATTAAAAAGACAGAAAACAGATGCTGGAGAGGATGTGGAGAAATAGGAACGCTTTTACACTGTTGGTGGGAGTATAAATTAATTCAACCATTGTGGAAGACAGTGTGGCAGTTCCTCAAGGATCTAGAACCAGAAATACCATTTGACCCAGCAATCCCATTACTGGGTATATACCCAAAGAATTATAAATAATTCTACTATAAAGACACACGCACACATATGTTTATTGCAGTACTATTCACAATAACAAAGACTTGAAACCAACCCAAATGCCCATCAATGATAGATTGGATAAAGGAAATGTGGCACATATATGTCATGGAATACTATGCAGCCATAAAAAAGGATGAGTTCATGTCCTTTGCAGGGACGTGGGTGAAGCTGGAAACCATCATTCTCAGCAAACTAACACAAGAACAGAAAACCAAACACCGCATGTTCTCACTTGTAAGTGGGAGTTGAACAATGAGAACGCATGGGCTCAGGGAGGGGAACATCACACACCAGGGCCTGTTGGGGGCTAGGGGGCGACGGGAGGGAAAGCATTAGGAGAAATACCTAATGTAGATGACGGGTTGATGTGTGCAGCAAACCACCAAGCATGTGTATACCTATGTAACAAACCTGCATGTTCTGCACATGTATCCCGGAACTTAAAGTATAATAAAAAAAAAGAAAACAAATGGCAAAATTCCAGATGTAAATCATACATTATCAATAATTGCATTAAATGTAAATGGACTAAACCCAGCAGTCAAAAGGCAGATTGGCAGAATACATTTTAAAAGCATAATCCTGTCATAAGCTGTCTACCAAACACATTTGACATTCAAGAGACAATAGGTTGAGAATAAAAAAAAAAAGAAAAATACAGTATGCTAATAGTAAGTAAAGGAAAGCTGAAGTGGCTACACTAATTTCAGACAAAACAAACTTTAAACAAAAATTATTACTTGAAAAAAAGGATATTTTATAATGATAAAGGAACTAAACCATCAGCAAGATTCATTATTCATTCATGAAATGAACAAATATATATATTTCAACATTTTGGAAAATGTTTAGAAATATATACGCAGCTAACACCAGATCCCGAAAGTACATGAAACAAAAAGTGACAGAACTGAAGAAAAAATAGACAATTCAATAATAATAATTAGAGGCTTTAGTATGCCATTCTTTTTTTTTCCAGGAAGTTAATAAAGACAAAAACAAATGAAAGGTGTATTTTATTTAACAAATACTTACATAGGGCATGTGAGTTAGACAAAGTTCTAGGGAATTTCCAAATTCATTTAATTCTTGTATCAACCCCATGAGGTAACTACTATTGTCATCATTTTTTTAATGAGAAAATTGAACCATAAAGAGGATAAATAGCCCAATGTTACATAAAACTAGTAAATGACAAGAAAGATCAAATCTAGGCAATCTAACTCCACAGTCCATGCTCCTATTACATATCTAGTAGTAAGACAAGCAAGTTATTTAGAGACTGGGAGGTAAATAGCACAATAATCATCTAAAAGAGGTGAAAGTGATTGTTTTATAGTAGGTCCTCAAATATTTAAGACGCATGTGTGTTACCTATAAAATAGGAGTAATACTCATTTTGCCTACTTCTCAGGATGGCAGTAGTATCAGTTAAAATACTTTGTTAACTAAAATACGAAATTATAATTTTTAAAGTTTTTTTTCAAGATATACATGCACAGTTTAAAGATAGTTTAAATGGTTTTCCAAGAAATAAATGGAAGAGCTTCCTGCACCCTTACTTTCCAGTTTTCCTTTCCTAGTATGCCATTCTTGATACTAGACAGAACAAGGCAGCAGACAAACAAGGAAGTACAAGATTTGAACACTGTACACCAACTAGCCCTAACTGAACATCTATAGAACATTCTACTCAACAACAGAAGAATACACATTGTTTCAAGGGTATGTGGAACATTTTCCACCTTAGACCATCTGTTAGACCATAAAACACCCTTCAGTACCTTTTAAAATATTTAAACCATACGAAGTATATTCTCTGGCCACAGTGAAATAAAACTAGGAATCAATAACAGAAAGAAATTTGGAGAATTCACACAGGAAAGTGTATATTAAACACACTACTAAGTAACCAGTGGTTCCAAAAATAAATGTAAACTAAAAGGAAAACTAAAAAATGTTACTAAATAAATAGAAACAAAAATATTCCAAAAATTATGGGATGCAATGAAAGCAGTGCTTAGAGGGAAATCACTAGCTATAAACATCTACATTAGAAAAGGAAGAAAAATCTTAATAGCCTAACTGTACACCTTCAGACTAGAAAAAGAAGGGCTAACTAAACTGAAAACAAGGAGATGGAAGAAAATAATAAAGATTAAAGTAGAAATAAGTGAAATAGAGAATAGAAAAAAAAATCAACAAAACCAAAAGTTGGGATTTTTTTTAAAGCTTAACAAAATGGACACATCTTTAGCTAAACTGATACAAAAAAAAGAAAGAAAGAAGTTTCAACTTAATAAAATTAGGAATGGAAACAGAGACATCATTAATGATCTCACAGAAATAAAAACAATTCCAAAAAGGATACTGTAAACAATTATATGCCAACAAATTAGATAACCTTGATGAAACAGACAAATTCCTAGAAAGACATAAGCTACTAAAACAGATTCAAGGAGCGAAAAACACTTGAATAAGCATATCACACGTAAAAAGATTTTATTAGTGATCAAAAATCTCCCCACCCCCAACATACACACACAAGTCAAGTACCAAATAGATTCAATGATGAATTCTACCAAACAACTAAAGAAGAATTAACACCAATTCTTCACAAACTCATTCAAAAAAATAGAACAGGAAATAACACTTCCCAATTCCTTCTATGAGGCCAACAACCAGACAAATACATCACAAGAAAAGAAAACTACAGAACAATATGTCATTATGGGCCAGGCCCAGCGGCTCATGCCTGTAATCCCAGCATTTTCGGAGGCCAAGGCAGGCTGATCACTTGAGGCCAGGAGTTCAAGAGCAGCCCGTCAAACATGGTGAAACCCTGTCTCTACTAAAAATACAAAAATTAGCTGGGTGTGGTGGCGCATGCCTGTAGTCCCAGCTACTTGGGAGGCTGAGGCACAAGAATCGCTTCAACCTGGGAGGCGGAGGTTGCAGTGAGCCAAGATCATGCCATTGCACTCCCGCCTGGGCAACAGAATGAGACCCTGTCTCAAAAAAACAAAAGTCATTATGAATATAGATGCAAAATTCCTCAATAAAATACTACCAAATTGAATCCAGCAACATATAAAAAGCATTATATAAAATGCAAATCAAAACTATAATGAGTTACCACTTCACACCTGTTAGGATGGCTATTACTTGGGAAAAAAAAAAGGTATTGGCAAAGTTGTGCAGAAACTGGAACATAAGTGTTGGTTGGAATATAAACCAGTGTGGCAGCTATGGAAAACAGTATGAAGATTCCTCAAAAAACTAAAAATAGAACTACCATATGATCCAATAATCTCACTTCTGGGAATATATACAAAAGAATTGAAATCAGAATCTCAAAGAGATGTCTGCATTTCTCATGTTCATTTCAGCTCAATTCATAATAACCAAGACATGGAAACAGCCTAAGTATCCATCAACAGATGAATGGATAAAGAAAATGTGGTATATACATACAATGGAATATTAGTCAGCCTTAAAAAGTAAGGAAATTCTGCCATTTGCAACAACATAATGAACCTGGAGGAGACTATGCTAAGTGGAACAGGACAAATATTGCATGATTTCACTTGCATTAAGTACTTAAAATAGTCAAACTTATAGAAGTAGAGAATACAATGATGGTTGCTAGAGGCTGGAGACAGGAGAAATTTGGAGTTGCTATTCAAAGGATATAGTTTCAGTTATGCTAGATGAATAAATTCTAGAGATCTGCTTATAACACAGTGCCTATACTTAATAAAATGATATGGTGCACCCCTCCTCAGAAAAAACCAAAGGAATACAAAAAACTCTGGGAGGTGTTAAATATGTCTATTACCTTGATTGTGGTGAGGATATTATGGGTGTTTGCATATGTCCAAACTCATCAATTCTACACGTTAAATATGTGCAGTTATTTATATATAACTTTACCTCAATAAAGGTGATTTTTAAAAAGATTATACAACATGACCAAGTGGCATTTATCTGAGAAATAATTCAAGATGGTTAACATCTGAAAATCAATGTATAATATCCTATTACAAAAACCAGATAATCATTTCAATAGACACAGAAAACTCATTTGAAAAAATCCAACACTCTTCCTAATAAAAACACCCAGTAAACCAGGAATATTAAAAAAGTTATCAGCCTAATAAAGCCCATATATAAAAATTGCATAGCTAATATCATAATTAATGTTGAATGACTAAATGCCTTCCCCCTGATCATGAACAAGAAAAGATTGTCCATTCTCACCACTTCTGTACAATTTTCTACTGAAAGACCTAGAGAAAAAATGGGCAAATGTCTCTATAAAAATAAAAAATAAAAAATTTGCCTGGTGTGGTGGCATGTCCCTGTAGTTCCAGTACTGAGGAGGCTGAGGCAGGAGGATCGCTTAAGCCCAGGACTTAGAGGCTCCAGTGAGCTAAATCACACCACTACACTCAGCCTGGGTGACAGTGTGAGACCCCCAACTCTTAAAAAAAAGGTTAAAAAATAAAAAGTTTAATATATTAGAAAATATAACAATTTAAAATGTATTTATTCCTATTTACATTAATACAAAATATATAAAGCAAAATTTTACATAACTATAAGAGAAAGTTAACACATTCACAATAAAAATGAAACATTTTTTAACAAATCTACCTCAGTACCTAATAAAATAAAGCAAAAAAAGACTATGAGATATTTAAGTAGCATAACCTACAAACTTCAAATCACATTCTTTGAAATACACATAAACCAATTACAAAAACTGATCATGACTTGGCCTCAAAACAACTCTCAGATAATTTCAAAGGTTTAAGGTCATACAGATGATATACTATGACTATAATTCAATTAACCCAGAAGTCAGTAACAAAAATATAACTAGAAGATAATTCATGTTTAGAAATAAGGAAATATGTTTCTAACGGAACTATGGTCCAATAAATCATAATAGAAATAAATTATCAGAAAGTAAAACTCTCTACTGAAAATGGAGAGGAGGGAGTATATGATAACATAATAAAAGAGGAAGAAGGGGAGTAAATGATCACTTGAAAATATAAAAAAGACTTAGGAAAAGAAGATGCTGCATGGGGGAAATTGGGAATATATTTAGAAACAATAGAAGTAAGCATAAAATAACTAAGAACTGAGAAATTTTAGAAAGCAAAGCAGAGTGTATAAAATTTACTATCTTGGTTTTTAAAATTCAGTAAAGTAGTAATATATGGACATTCACAAACACACACATAAACAGCACACATAGACTTGAAACTAGTGTGATTGACTTACTATCAGAACAGAAACAGAAGAAAAATAAAAACAAAATAAAGAAAAACAGGTTGTGATTGAAGGAAAAAATATATTTTCTTAAGAAGAAAGATAGGCTGGGTGCGGTGGCTCATGCCTGTAATCCCAGCACTTCGGGAGGCCGAGGTGGGCAGATCACCTGAGGTCCAGAGTTCGAGACCAGCCTGGCCAACACTGTGAAACCCATCTCTACTAGAAATACAAAAATTAGCCAGGAGTGGTGGCTCGTGCCTTGTAGTCCTAGCTACTCAGGAGGCTGAGGCAGGAGAATCGCTTGAACCTGGGAGGCGGAGGTTGCAGTGACCCGAGATCACACCCCTGCACTCCAGCCTGGGCACAGAGCGAGGCTCTGTCTCAAAAAAAAAAAAAAAAAAAAAAAAAAAAAAGATAGAGGGCAAACTGGAGAGAAAATACCATCCCCTTAACAACAGCCATAAAACTACAAAATTCCTAGGAATTAACCTAACAGAATATGTAGACTTTTATAAAGAGCTATTTTAAACTCTATTGAGGACCTAAATAAAACTTAATAATGCAGATTTAACCATGTACATGGTTGAAAAACATAAAACTGTAAAAATATTTTCCCTCATACACAGATACACACAGACTATAGATTCTTCATTATTTCAATGGACTATAAAAGAGAATGATAAAGATATTCTCAAATTTAGATGAAGAAAATAAATGAAGGATAACTGAGATGATTTTGAAAAAGAAGATTAAAAACATAATTAACGGCCAGGCGTGGTGGCTCACGCCTGTAATCCCAACACTTTGGGAGGCCGAGGTGGGCGGATCACGAGGTCAGGAGATCAAGAACATCCTGACTAACACGGTGAAACCCCGTCTCTACTAAAAATACAAAAAATTAGCCTGGCGTGGTGGCGGGCGCCTGTAGTCCCAGCTACTCGGGAGGCTGAGGCAGGAGAATGGCGGGAACCCGGGAGGCGGAGCTTGCAGTGGGCTGAGATCCCGCCACTGCACTCAAGCCTGGGCGACAGAGCGAGACTCCGTCTCAAAAAAAAACCTAACTATGCCTACACAACCACCATATTCCCAGTCTTTATTATTAGCAGAGGTCTTATTTTCTTCCCCTCCTCCCATGCAACTGAAGGAATGACCCTATTTCCAGGTCCTCCCCAGCGTACATCCTAAGTGGTCTTAGGTAATCATTGTGGGCCTGATCTCTTTGCCTTTTTGTTGGGTTAGATATGGGCATGTGTGTGATCTGGCCAATGACGTGTGAAGGGAAGCTCACTGGAGGCCCTCTGCAAAGGTTTCTTCAACTCTTAAAGAGACAAAGACAGCCCCTCTTTTAATATTGTGCTTTTTGGCCTGTCAGAATACGATCCCTGCTATCCTGCAGCCATTTTGTAACCGTGAGGAGAAAGCCAACGTGTCAGTGACAGCCATATTCAGTGGGAAAGAGTGGGGTATTTGATGATATTGTTGCACCTTTGAATTAACCTCCTCTGGACTTCTTGTTCATAGCATAATAAACGATCCTTCCTTGTTGTATAAAAAAAAATGGAGTGACAACCATAAAAAGGAAGAAAATAACGGCATTTGCAGCAACCTGGATGGAACTGGGGACCATTATTCTAGGTGAAGTGACTCAGGAATGGAAAACCAAACATCATATGTTCTCACTGATATGTGGGAGCTAAGCTATGAGGACTCAAAGGCATAAGAATGATACAATGGATTTGGGGGCCTCGAGAGAAAGGGTAGGGGAGTGAGGGATATAAGACTACACGTTGGGTATAGTGTACACTGCTTGGGTGATGGGTGCGCCAAAATATCAGAAATCCTACTAAAAAACATATTCATGTAACCAGACACCACCTGTTCCCCAAAAACCTATTAAAATAATTGTTTTAATGGAGGGAGATTGTATATACTGCTATGGAAATATGTTGAAACACATTTTAAGTAGGAAAAATATCCAAAATAGTATGTGGAATATGATTTCATCTGTGTAAAACAAAAATTTATATGTATTATTTACATTGTAATATGGATAGAACGTGTATATCCAAGAAAACAAAAGAACCTATTAACAGTTTTTACTTCTGTTGTATAATTTCAAACTTTGCTTTATATACTTTATAATTTTTAAATGTTTCAATGTTTTTTATCCTGTGTGTTACATTAAACGAGGTAAAAAAAAATTAGAAAATGGTGATTTGTCAGATGCCAGGGAGAAAGAAAAGGGAGAACAGAGTTACTGAGAAAAACAAGCATGAATAAAAAACAAGGAAACAAAAATTCTGGCAAATTAAGAATGAAGTCTGGGCCGGGCGCGGTGGCTCACGCCTGTAATCCCAGCACTTTGGGAGGCCGAGGCGGGCGGATCACGAGGTCAGGAGATCGAGACCATCCTGGCTAACACGGTGAAACCCCGTCTCTACTAAAAATACAAAAAATTAGCCTGGCGTGGTGGCGGGCGCCTGTAGTCCCAGCTACTCGGGAGGCTGAGGCAGGAGAATGGCGGGAACCCAGGAGGCGGAGCTTCCAGTGGGCTGAGATCGCGCCACTGCACTCCAGCCTGGGCGACAGAGCAAGACTCCGTCTCAAAAAAAAAAAAAAAAAAAAAAAAAAAAAAAAAAAAAAAAAAAGAATGAAGTCTGAAGTCAACATCTGGAAGTTGACATAGTTTTAGGCTGGGTTGATACTGTTGCTAACTGATGCTTCAGTTTCAGTTGTAGCCAATGCCAGCTGTTGCCCTATGTTCCGGGGCAATGAGTGAGTGGGGAAGGAGAATCAAGTACAGATGGCAGGGGCTCTTCACTTACCTGCTCTCAGCTGGCTGAAGAAGACTTTACGTTCGGAATCTTGGGTCATATCATGGATTGCTCATCTTCATTGTTTGCCATGAAATGAATTTTGTGCTGCAAGAGGCATGTTTTGCCATTCTTAATTATACCAGATGGTGATGGAAGACTTAATAGACAATAAGTCTGTTTGGAAAACATCAACAAATGAATTTAGGAAATAGCATCTATCCATATATCATTATGGATAGTCATTAGTTTTGCCACAGCAGGTATCAGTCTTTGAAGTTGGTTGGATAGTTGTAAATTAAATTATCCAGAAATACAAATAGGAAATTCCTATTTTTAGAAAACACAGAACCCCAGAACGCTAAATTCTAGGAGAAAAAGAATAAATTAAGCCTTTTTATTTGAACAGAAATACAACTCAGTGTGATGGAGTTAGAATGCACCCCTTACAGAAGCCATGAAAGCAGAAAATTGATTAAGAACATACTTACGGTGACAGGGACCTAGAATCTGTAACAGGGTTTCACTTTTGAGTAAAGAATGGTGCCAATGGACCACTAACGAGGTCAAAGTTGTGTGTTCAATACCCTAGTGTAACAAAATTTTCCATTTTCAGGCTACATTATGCAATTTGTTCTTAAACAAGATTTATTTTAATTTTTAAAAAAGGACCGGTAGGTGTGTATGAATCCATGTCTGTTACTGGAAAACCACTCAAATGGCTTATCCTGCAGGTGGCAGTTCAGTAGAATCATCTTTAAAATGAAAGATAGATAGTCAATCATTATAAGCACAGAAGACATCTGTCACTCATATCAGTGGAGGAAAATGTTAAATATCATTTCTTGAAATGTAAACTATTGTTTTATTTTATTTTTATTTTTATTTTTATTTTTTTTTTTTGGAGATGGAGTCTTGCTGTCTCCCAGGATGGAGTGCAGTGGTGCAATCATAGCTCACTGCAGCCTCAAACTCCTGAGCTCAAGCGATCCTCCCTCCTCAGCCTCCCAACTAACTGGGACTACAGGTATGTGCCACCATGCTTGGCTAACTTTTTTTTTTTGTTGTAGCTACAGGGTCTTGCTATGTTGCCCTAGTCCTGAACTCCTGGCCTCAAGGGATCCTGACTCTACCTCCCAAAGTGTTGGGGTTACAGGTATGAGCCACTGCACCTGGCCCCTGTTTTTACTTTTGATATGAGATAAAGTAACTTTTACATTATATACCATATTCTCACTATGTTGCCCAGGCTGGTCTTGAACTCCTGGCCTCAACTGATCTTCCTGACTCCTCGTTCCAAAGTGCTGGGATTACAGGTGTGAGCCACTGCAACTGGTCCGTTTTACTTTTGATATGAGATAAAGTAACTTTTATACCATAGGGACCTAGTGACAACTTAACTCACACTATCTTTTATAGGAAACAGTCTTTAAAAAGTTTTCCTTGCTCAGCATTAAGCAGTAAAACTCCCCATAGTAGTTCCTGGAGAAGAAATATAATAATCTTGTTAGCTTGCCCTTGATGTTTCAGAACGCTGTACTGTTACTACTTTTTCGTGACACATTATAACAATATTTTAGCACTTGTTATTTTCACAGTGAATAAAGGAAATGATTGTATTAGTATTTATTTACTATGTTTATCAGTTGGGACAGTCCACTTCTCTCATATTTCAACTTTTATTTTAGATTCGGGGTACACATGCAGGTTTGTTACATAGGTATATTGCATGATGCTGAGGTTTGGGGTATGACTGATCCCATCAGCCAGGTAGTGAGCATAATACCTAATAGGTAGTTTTTCAACCCTTGCCCCTTTCCCTCTAACCCCCTGTAGTAGTTCCCAATGTCTATCATTCCCATCGTTAGGTCCACGTGTACCCAATGTTTAGCTCCCATTTATAAGTGAGAACATGTGGTATTTGGCTTTCTGTTTCTGTATTAATTTTCTTAGGATAATGGCCTCCAGCTGCATCCATGTTACTGCAAAGGACGTGAGTTCCTTCTTTTAAATGGCTGTATAGTATTCCATAGTGTATATGTACCACATTTTCCTTATCCAGTCCACCATTAATGGGCACTAAGGTTGATTCCATGTCATTGCTAACAGCACTGCGATGAACATACAAGTGCATGTGTCTTTTGGGTAAAACAATTTCTTTTACTTTGGATATATACCCAGTAATGACATTGCTGGGTCAAATGGTGGTTCTGTTTTAATTTTTTTGACAAATCTCCAAACTGCTTTTCATAGTGGCTGAACTACTTTACATTATCACTAACAGTTATAAGCATTCCCTTTTCTCTGCAGCCTCACCAACATCTGTTTTCCTTTACTTTTTAATAATAGCCATTCTGACTGGTTTGAGATGGCATCTCATTGTGGTTTTGACTTGTGTGTCTCGGATGATTAGTGATGTTGAGCTTTTTTTCATATGTTTGTCGACTGCTTGTATGTCTTCTTTTGAGAAGTGTCTGTTCATGTCCTTTGCCCACTTTTTTATGGGGTTACTTGTTTTTTGCTTGTTGAATTGTTTAAGTTCCTTATACAGTCTGGATGTGAAACCTTTGTCACATGCATAGTTCGTGAATATCTTCTCCTGTTCTGTAGATTGTCTTTTGGCTCTGTTGATAGTTTCTTTTGCTGTGAAGAAGCTCTTTAGTTTAATTAGGTCCCACCTGTTAATTTTTGCTTTTCTTGCAATTGCTTTTACACTTCTGCCATATAACTAAACCATATTTTGATTGTTTTTATTGTGGTGCTGACTTTTTAAAAAATTGTGTTTACATATAATATAAAGTTTAATATCTTAACCATTTTACAGTCCAGTAGTGTAAACTGTATTCACAATATTGCACAACCAATCTCCAGAACTTTGTTTTTGTTGAGTTGCAGAATTTTATATATTCTAGATACTAACTCCCTATCACATATATGATTTGCAAATGTTCTTTCCCATTCTGTAGGTTGCTTTTTTACTCTGCTGCTTGTGTCCTTGCATTTCCAATAGTTTTTAACACCTTATCCTCAAGGCTCAGCCTGAAATGAAGAGGAAAGAAGTCACAGATCTTACCATGTCTTTTTTCTTTCCTTTTTATTCCCCCATGATCTGTCCTTCTTCCCTAATAAACAGTAGCCTTCCTACGTTACAGCCTGTATTCTTCTTCTTCCTGTGATCTCTAGAGTAACTGAAGTTCAGACCTTCAATCTTTTAGGAGCTTGAAAATGTACAAATCTTTTCTCTCTCAACAAACCTTGCCTCTCAAAAGCCCACTTTGACAAGAGTCCTAAATGCATTTGTGCAATACATAGCTTGTTCTGAGATTACTTTGAACACTGCAACTCTTCAGTTCATTAGGTTGAAAATCTCAAGACATCATGATTTAAAGAAGGGGAAGATATATCACTTTACTATTTTAAATGCATATTTTTTACACATTCCAACTTGAAGAAAAACTGCTAAATATATTGTTTCCTTCTCACATACATTCTTTGAATACTACTTGTGTCAAATATTACCTTGTGTTTTGAGAGACTATAATGACTCTCCTTCTAAGCAAGTGCTGACACCTTGGATGACATTCAAATCCAATATTACACAATTGACTTCCAGTAATTGCTTCTCTGGCACTTTTTTCACAGATAAGTGTTGAGTAGTATCCATTGTCTTATAGCCACCCTGAGATCTTCAATGAAGCTATTTTATGGTTTAAAAAAAAATCTTTTGTCTTATTAGAATTTTAACTTGCTTTTTCTAATATTACAATTGCAATGACATGTTTTCTTGTTTAGCAGTACAATTTTACCATGGGATTTCTGGAAGAAGCCTACTCTTTGTACTAGAAGTCTGGCTCTTAAGATCAGAAATACTAACAGTGTCAAGTAGAAAATTATGACATACAATCATAGAGGTTTGCTATTCTAAATATTCTACATGAAGAATTTCTTTATGCAATGACTTGGTAGTGTAGTTTCAATGTGTACATGACTCAATAAAGTATGTCCCTAGAATTTAGGTCCAGTCTCAGGTGGGCATGGAGAAGGAGCAGTTAGTGAGTCAGTGACCACCAGGGCCAGCCATAAGAGTAGGGAGAGAGGAAGGAAATGAGGACTTCTTTAAATTCGGAGTTTAATATCAGCTTAAAGATCTGAAATAACATCCTGCCTATACCTCTATCAGACAGAGGTTTTAAACCATGAGAAATATTTTGTGGTTAGTATAAAAACACTTTCTGGAAATTACCTAATATCATTATTCTGATACTTAGAGTGGCAGTTTTTAAAAGAGGATAAGCTGCCTGTAAGTACTAAGTTTCTTGTCACAGGAAGTATTCACATAGAGTGAGCAAAACAAAAGTTTTGCTTTTAAGAATGGAAATATATTCAATAGTCAGGAAGTTATCTTGTTTCACTTATATTTTTTCACCTCCTCATTTTTATAACTTCAAAAATGCATATATCAAAGTACATCAGTTTCCACAAGGAGTATCAGCAAGACATTACTTTGTATTTAGCCAGTAAAAGGCAGCCAGAAGATTTTTTTCCCACATCTGCTGAACAGTTACAATAATTTCTATTTTAGCAGTTTCCAATGACATAAAGGAGAACAGAAACCAATGTGCATCTTCCTTTGAAAAGAATTACAGATGTCCTAAATGCCATTGACTCAAGGGAATTTCAGGTGCTCTTGGAACCCTCCAACCTCATCCATGTGCCTCCCTCAACTCTCAGGCAGCCACCTCCCTTGCATATCCCTGGAGTGGCATCATTAATATCTTGCTCTTACTGTTTTTTGGGACATATGACAGTGTCAAAAAAATTAAAATAAAAACAGATCAAGTTAGGAAAAAGGTGTTGTGTTTTGTTTCATTTTGTTTTGTTTCATTTTGCTCTGTTTTGTGATGGAGCGTAGTGGTGCAATCTCGGCTCACTGCAACCTCCACCTCCCAGGTCCAAGAGAATCTCCTGCCTCAGCCTCCCAAGTAGTTGGGACTAAGGACACACGCCACCATGCCTGGCTAATTTTTGTATTTTTAGTAGAGATGGGGTTTCACCATGTTGGCCAGGCTGGTCTCAAACTCCTGTCCTCAAGTGACCTGCCCACCTCGGCCTCCCAAAGTGCTGGGGCAAGCCACTAGGTGTGAGTCACCGCGCCCAGACAAGTTAGGAAAAAGTTGAAAGCATATTGTCATACAATAAGAGAAAGTATAGAATGCAATCGGGACACATCAAACTAAAGTGGTATGAAGCCCCCTCCCACACACAATTGCAGTGCAGCTTATGAAGCACAGATGAGAGATTATTTTGATCTTTTTCATGATTGGCTGTTATATACTAACATTCTGTTTTTCAGGCAAGCAGAGCTATTTAAGCTGATTTGTCTATAGCTGGTTGGCTTAATTTTATTGAATCATGCTGACAAAGACAAAAGCATACATTTTGTGTTTTGCTTATGATTAGAGCTGGCATTTCAGTGAAAACTTAGGTCATTTCAGAATGGCTCAAGTTTTGGCTATGTGGTTATGGTTGGCCTTGAAGTACATCAAAACCATGGTCTCCATTTTTACTTTTCTTTAACAATTCTTCCCTTTGGTCATTCTCTCAGTTGAACTGAGTGTGACCAATTATTCGCCATTACCTCAGTATTTACATGTTTTCTTTCTGTAGACATCTGTTGGTTACAAACTAGAATCTTGATAGGCTCTTTTGATGATTCTTGTTCTTGTAGTGTTTTCATTCAGTCTTCATGGAGATCATCTGCTGAGTTAGTGGCTGCTGACAAGCATTTAAAACTCTTGAAAGATGACAGCACAGAAGGATATTATGACTATAAATCATAGGAGGATAATGGCAAGCCTTTAAAAATATCCCAAATCCAAGGTCCCCAATAGCCAAGATTTAACAAATTAGATCAGTTGATTGTCCTTCCCCAATCTGGTGAATATCTGGATCTGATCTTTTAGATCTTTAAGATTTTGGGCTACAATTCCTGGCTTATTAATGTGTAAACAGCATTTTTTTTCTAATACGGCAGTTTCAATATAATAGATTTTCCTGGTTTGCAGTTTGAATGTCTCTGGTGATGCCATTGGGCATTCTGGTTAACTTTCTGCATGGCCCACACAGCAGGCAAAAAGGTTGTCAACATATGAGCTGCTGTGGTGATTTCTCTGAAATGCATATCAAGTCATCCAGCCCCAGCTTGTGGACCTGCAAGGCTAGGAACAACCCTAGTAGTATGATTTTAAAGCTATCAGAAACCTGTCAGAATTTTGCAATTTTGTAACATAGCTACTTGCAAAAACTTCTAGAAAAACCATCAGAGTAAAAAAATAACTATTTTTGAATGACAAAATACTTAAAATGACCACAGTTAAAGATGATGATAAGCATTTATATAAATGAAATTGATGAGGAAATATGGTTATTTCTGTGACATATAACATTTTAAGGTAATAACCAGGATTATAACTGATTATACAGACAATAAGAAAATTAAAAAATTTCTAACAACTCTATATAATTTTTGGAATACCTATATCCACATAAATATAATCTAAAGAAGGTTTATCATCACTTCTTATTTAACAATGCTTCCCATACAATTTAACATACCAAATAAACCTAATTATTTTAACATCTCTTTCTGATAAGACTAGATATTAATCCTTTGTGTTTCTCCAGCAGCCCTCTGGAAAATCTCAAAATTAGGTTGAGGTCAAGCAGATTGTATTTAAGATTTGGTTTGGGGAAGGTGAAATAGTCAAAAATGTCAAAAGATTTTAAACACTTGATTAAATGGGACACTTGAAACAATACTTAGTTATCCCTGTAACCAAAATAAGAATTAATGATTTCAAAGACAAATACAGAAAGTTATATAGTTGACAAAAACCTCAGCTCTTTTAACAGAGAAGTCTGTTTTCTTAAGTTGTCAGACATGATCAAGACAACATGAAGCAAAGGAAAGTATTTTGATAAGACCAAAATCCTTTTGTTTTTAGGCAAATCACTTAGGAGGTAAAGAGAAACCTTTCATAGTCACTTACCAGGAATACACCAATAACCTAAGAAAGCTTTGTTCTTTTAACAAAAATAAGACCAAAATCTAATTTTGTCTCAACATACTTTTGATACTAAGCCTCATTTTTAAACCATTATAATAAATTCATTTCATTTCAGCCAGCCTAACTACATAAGATTATCTCTCTTCATATTATCTCTTTCTCTTTCTCTCTCTCCCCCCACCCCAATTTCTATGTCCATTTAGTTTTTGTCCTTCATTTCCCTCTTTTTC
Source organism: Homo sapiens (assembly GCF_000001405.40). NCBI lineage: Eukaryota > Metazoa > Chordata > Mammalia > Primates > Hominidae > Homo > Homo sapiens. Next base: position 22,399,586 of record NC_000012.12, read on the forward strand.
ATTTGAAACAAGCTTTAAACTCTAAAATAGAACAATAATTTTCTTTTTCTCAGCAAAAAACACATCCTTATACTTTATAACTTATCTTACCAAAAATAAACCTTACTTTCCTTGTCTAATTTATATTAATTCGTTTTTCTTATTATTTCTAGTGTCCTTAATTACATATATTAATTAATTCTTAGCTCTTAGTAAACTTAATTTTCAGCAAAAATGAGGAAGTATGCCATTTCATAACTATGAGAAAGCATCGTACAATTTTTAAATGTAGCACGTTTACTTACAAACTCAAATATCTTTAGTGTCTGTAATAAGAAGCTGCAGAGTAGGCAAAATTTTATTTCTATCCTCTTAGAGTTTTCAGCTGAGACTGAGAAACAAATTTTTGTTTGTACAGATTTCCCTTTGCCTCAACTTTGCATTCTTGACAAGAATGTTACTTCCCTTCTTATAAGGGGAGAACATCTTTCATGTGGAAATTTTATCTTCTGCTTTTAAGAATTAGAAGGGAGAGGTTCCAAGATGGCCAAATAGAAACAACTCCAGTCTATAGCTCCCAGTGTGAGCGATGCAGAAGATGGGTGATTTCTGCCTTTTCAACTGAGGTACCGGGTTCATCTCACTGGGGCTTGTCAAACAGTGGGTGCAGGACAATGGATGCAGCCCACGGAGTGTAAGCCAAAGCAGGGCGGGCATCGCCTCACCCAGGAAGTGCAAGGGGTCAGGGAATTCCTTTTCCTGGCCAAGGGAAGCTGTGACAGATGGTACCTGGAAAATCGGGACACTCCCACTCTAATACTGTGCTTTTCCAATGGTCTTAGCAAATGGCACACCAGGAGATTATATCCCGCACCTGGCTGGCTGGGAGGGTCCCACGCCCACAGAGCCTCGCTCACTGCTAGCACAGCAGTCTAAGATCGAACTGCAAGGTGGCAGCAAGGCTGGGGGATGGGCGTCCACCATTGCTGAGGCTTGAGTAGGTAAACAAAGCAGCTGGGAAGCTCGAACTGGGTGGAGCCCACCACAGCTCCAGGAGGCCTGCCTGCCTCTGTACACACCACCTCTGGGGGCAGGGCATAGCGGAACAAAAGGCAGCAGAAACTTCTGCAGGCTTAAATGTCTCTGTCTGACAGCTTTGAAGAGACTAGTGGTTCTCCTAGCACAGAGTTTGAGATCTGAGAATGGATAGACTGCCTCCTCAAGTGGGTCCCTGACCCTCAAGTAGCCTAACCGGGAGGCACCTCCCAGTAGGGGCCAACTGACACCTCATACACCTGGGTGCCCCTCTAAGACGAAGCTTCCAGAGGAAGGATCAGGAAGCAACATTTGCCGTTCCACAATATTTGTTGTTCTGCAGCCTCCGCTGGTGATACCCAGGCAAACAGGGTCTGGAGTGGAACTCCAGCAAACTCCAACAGACCTGCAGGTGAGGGTCCTGACTGTTAGAAGGAAAACTAACAAACAGAAAGGACATCGACACCAAAATCCCATCTGTACATCACCGTCATCAAAGACCAAATGTAGATAAAACCACAAAGATGGGGAGAAGCCAGAGCAGAAAAGCTGAAAATTCTAAAAATCACAGCGCCTCTTCTCCACCAAAGGAATGCAGCTCCTCACAAACAATGGAACAAAGCTGGATGGAGAATGACATTGACGAGTTGAGAGAAGAAGGCTTCAGACAATCGGGAATAACAAACTTCTCCGAGCTAAAGGAGGATGTTTGAACCCATTGCAAAGAAGCTAAAAACCTTGAAAAAAGATTAGACGAATGGCTAACGAGAATAAGCAGCATACAGAAGACCTTAAATGACCTAATGGAGCTGAAAACCATGGCATGAGAACTATGTGACGCATGCACAAGCTTCAGTAGCCAATTCGATCAAGTGGAAGAAAGGGTATCAGTGATTGAAGATCAAATGAAGCGAGAAGAGAAGTTTAGAGAAAAAAGAGTAAAAAGAAACGAACAAAGCCTCCAAGAAATATGGGACTATGTGAAAAGACCAAATCTACTTCTGATTGGTGCACCTGAAAGTGACAGGGAGAATAGAACCAAGTTGGAAAACACTCTTCAGGATATTATCCAGGAGAACCTAGTAAAGCAGGCCTAGTAAAGCAGGCCAACATTCAAATTCAGGAAATACAGAGAACACCACAAAGATACTCCTCGAGAAGAGCAAATCCAAGACACATAATTATCAGATTAACCAAGGTTGAAACAAAGGAAAAAATGTTAAAGGCAGCTAGAGAGAAAGGTCGGGTTACCCTCAAAGGGAAGCCCATCAGACTAACAGCGGATCTCTCAGCAGAAACTCTACAAGCCAGAAGAGAGTGGGGACCAATATTCAACATTCTTAAAGAAAAGAATTTTCAACCCAGAATTTCATATCCAGCCCAACTAAGCTTCATAAGTGAAGGAGAAATAAAATACTTTACAGACAAGCAAATGCTGAGAGATTTTGTCACCATCAGGCCTGCCCTAAAAGAACTCCTGAAGGAAGCACTAAACATGGAAAGGAACAACTGGTACCAGCCACTGGAAAAACATGCCAAATTGTAAAGACCATTGATGCTACGAAGAAACTGCATCAACTAATGAGCAAAATAACCAGCTAACATCATGATGCCAGGATTAAATTCACACATGACAATATTAACCTAAAATGTAAATGGGCTAAATGCTCCAATTAAAAGACACAGACTGGCAAATTGGATAAAGAGTCAAGACCCATTAGTCTGTTGTACTCAGGAGACCCATCTCACACGCAGAGACACACATAGGCTCAAAATAAAGGGATGGAGGAAGATCTACCAAACAAATGGAAAACAAAAAAAATGAGGGGGTGCAATCCTAGTCTCTGATAAAACAGACTTTAAACCAACAAAGATCAAAAGAGACAAAGAAGGCCATTACATAATGGTAAAGGGAGCAATACAACAAGAAGAGCTAACTATCCTAAATATATATGCACCCAATACAGGAGCACCCAGATTCATAAAGCAAGTCCTTAGAGACCTACAAAGAGACTTAGACTCCCACACAATAATAATGGGAGACTTTAACACTCCACTGTCGACATTAGACAAATCAACAAGACAGAAAGTTAACAAGGATATCCAGGAATTGAACTCAGCTTTGCACCAAGTGGACCAAATAGACATTTACAGAACTCTCCACCCCAAATCAACAGAATATACATTTTTCTCAGCACCACATCACAGTTATTCCAAAATTGACCATATAGTTGGAAGTAAAGGACTCCTCAGCAAATGTAAAAGAACAGAAATTATAACAAACTGTCTCTCAGACCACAGTGCAATCAAACTAGAACTCAAGATTAAGAAACTCACTCAAAACCACTCAACTACATGGAAACTGAACAACCGGCTCCTGAATGACTACTGGGCACATAATGAAATGAAGGCAGAAATAAAGATGTTCTTTGAAACCAATGAGAACAAAGACACAACATACCAGAATCTCTGGGACTCAGCTAAAGAAGTGTATAGAGGGAAATTTATGGCACTAAATGTCCACAAGAGAAAGCAGGAAAGATCAAAAACGGACACCATAACATCACAATTTAAAGAACTAGAGAAGCAAGAGCAAACACATTCAAAAGCTAGCAGAAGGCAAGAAATAACTAAGATCAGAGCAGAACAGAAGGAGATAGAGACACAAAAAAACCCTTCAAAAAATCAATGAATCCAGGAGCTGGTTTTTTGAAAGGATCAACAAAATTGATAGACTGCTAGTAAGACTAATAAAGAAGAAAAGAGAGAAGAATCAAATAGACACAATAAAAAAATGATAAAGGGGTATCACCACTGATCCCACAGAAATACAAACTACCATCAGAGAATACTATAAACACCTCTAAGCAAATAAACTAGAAAATCGAGAAGAAATGGATAAATTCCTGGACACATACACCCTCCCAATACTAAACCAGGAAGAAGTTGAATCCCTGAATAGACCAATAACAGGCACTCAAATTGAGGCAATAATTAATAGCTTACCAACCAAAAAAAGTCCAGCACCAGATGGATTCACAGCCGAATTCCACCAGAGGTACAAAGAGGAGCTGGTACCATTCCTTCTGAAAGTATTCCAATCAATAGAAAAACAGGGAATCTGCCCTAACTCATTTTATGAGGCCAGCATCATCCTGATACTAAAGCCTGGCAGAGACACAACAAAGAAAAGGAATTTTAGACCAATTTCCATGATGAATATTGATGCAAAAATCCTCAATAAAATACTGGCAAACTGAATCCAGCAGCACATCAAAAAGCTTATCCACCACGATCAAGTTGGCGTCATCCCTGGGATGCAAGGCCGGTTCAACGTATGCAAATCAATAAATGTAATCCATCACATAAACAGAACCAAAGACAAAAACCCCATGATTATCTCAATAGATGCAGAAAAGGCCTTTGACAAAATTCAACAGCCTTTCATGCTAAAAACTCTCAATAAACTAGGTATTGATGGGATGTATCTCAAAATAATAAGAGCTATTTATGACAAACCCATGGCCAGTATCATACTGAATGGGCAAAAACTGGAAGCATTCCTTTGAAAACTGGCACAAGACAGGGATGCCCTCTCTCACCACTCCTATTCAACATAGTGTTGGAAGTTCTGGCCAGGGCAATCAGGCAGGAGAAAGAAATAAAGGGCATTCAATTAGGAAAAGAGGAAGTCAAATTGTTCCCTTTTGCAGACGACATGATTGTATATTTAGAAAGCCCCATTGTCTCAGCCCAAAATCTCCTTAAGCTGATAAGCAACTGCAGCAAAGTCTCAGGATACAAAATTGATATGCAAAAATCACAAGCATTCCTATACACCAATAACAGACAAACAGAGAGCCAAATCATGAGTGAACTCCCATTCACAATTGCTTCAAAGAGAATAAAATACCTAGGAATCTAACTTACAAGGGGTGTGAAGGACCTCTTCAAGGAGAACTACAAACCACTGCTCAACAAAATAAAAGAGGACACAAAAAAATGGAAGAATATTCCATGATCATGGATAGTAAGAATCAATGACTTTCTTCACAGAATTGGAAAAAACTACTTTAAAGTTCATATGGAACCAAAAAAGAGCCTGCATTGCCAAGACAATCCTAAGCCAAAAGAACAAAGTTGGAGGCATCATGCTACCTGGCTTCAAACTATGCTACAAGGCTACAGTAACCAAAACAGCATGGTACTGGTACCAAAACAGAGATATAGACCAATGGAACAGAACAGAGCTCTCAGAAATAATACCACACATCTACAACCATCTGATCTTTGACAAGCCTGACAAAAACAAAAAATGGGGAAAGGATTCCCTATTTAATAAATGGTACTGGGAAAACTGGCTAGCCCTATGTAGAAAGCTGAAACTGGATCCCTTCCTTACACCTTATACAAAAATTAATTCAAGATGGATTAAAGACCTCAATGTTAGACCTAAAACCATAAAAACCCTAGAAGAAAACCTACGCAATACCATTCGGGACATAGGCATGGGCGAGGACTTCATGTCTAAAACACCAAAAGCAATGGCAACAAAAGCCAAAATTGACAAATGGGATCTAATTCAACTAAAGAGCTTCTGCACAGCAAAAGCAACCACCATCAGAGTGAACAGGCAACCTACAGAATGGGAGAAAATTTTTGCAATCTATCCATCTGACAAATGGCTAATATCCAGAATCTACAAAGAACTTAAACAAATTTATAAGAAAAAATCAAACAACCCCATCAAAAGTGGGCAAAGGATATGAACAGACACTTCTCAACAGAAGACATTTATGCAGCCAGCAGACACATGAAAAAATGCTCATCATCACTGGCCATCAGAGAAATGCAAATCAAAACCACGATGAGATATCATCTCACACCAGTTAGAATGGTGATCATTAAAAAGTCAGGAAACAACAGGTGCTGGAGAGGATGTGGAGAAATAGGAACACTTTTACACTGTTAGTGGGACTGTAAACTAGTTCAACCATTGTGGAAGTCAGTGTGGCGATTCCTCAGGGATCTAGAACTAGAAATACCATTTGACCCAGCCATCCCATTACTGGGTATATACCCAAAGGATTATAAATCGTGCTGCTATAAAGACACATGCACATATATGTTTATTGCGGCACTATTCACAATAGCAAAGACTTGGAACCAACCCAAATGTCCAACAATGATAGACTGGATTAAGAAAATGTGGCACATATACACCATGGAATACTATGCAGCCATAAAAAAGGATGAGTTCATGTCTTTTGTAGGGACATGGATGAAGCTGGAAACCATCATTCTCAGCAAACTATCGCAAGGGCAGAAGACCAAACACCGCATGTTCTCACTCATAGGTGGGAATTGAACAATGAGAACACTTGGACACAGGGTGGGGACATCACACACTGGGGACTGTCATGGGGTGGGGGGATTGGGGGATGGATAGCATTAGGAGATATACCTAATATAAATGACGAGTTAATGGGTGCAGCACACCAGCATGGCACAACTATACATATGTAACAAAACTGCACGTTGTGCACATGTACCCTAGAACTTAAAATATAATAATAAAAAAAAGAAATAGAAGGCAAATCAGAGTGTTTTTGTTTTTACATATGTTATTTTTCACGTGCCTTTGATTCAAAATAGTTAATATGCCAGTGCAGCATATTTTGGGGATGGTGTATTCTGAACTCCTTCAAAGCCAAAAGTAAATAAACTATGTTTAGCAATTAATGTTTTTATATTTTATATTATTTGGAAATGATCTGGATAGTGAATGAATATCCATCATTTCACTTAATATAACTTCAGAGGTATAAGTTACTGAAAACATTTGGGTAACTATTTTTAAGTAGATATAATTACTGTTGAAAATTTTATTTATATACTTTTATTTTACTTACATCTATTTATTTGTTTTTAACAATTATCCTTGCTCAATATTTATGAGATATTAAACAGCTAGCCATCATATTAAGTTATTTTTCTTACTGGCAAGTTCTTAACAGGAATCATAGGAGCTTACGTTGCTTGTAAACACAGGTAGAAAAAGTTGCATGTCTGTATTATATTTAATGCAGAAACACTGAAGTCATAGCTGGTGTTTTTCTCATTTTTTGCTTTTGGTTTCATCATTAAAGATGATCCAGTAAACATTAATATACCATGAGGCTCCAGTTAAGAATGTCAACAGTGGTGTGAGTACAGAACAGAGAATGTGGCATGGCAAACTCAATAAAGGATTCATTTCAGTTTGTACCACAATGAGGAAGTTCTTATTGCTGCCAACAGTTGGGCTATAAGCCTTCATCTCATTCTTGCATCTAAGGAGACAGTAGCTGCTGGGAAGAACAGAAATATAAGACAAATTTCCCAAGTGCCAGAGAGAAGCACTAAACTACAGTATTGACATCATGCCACCATCTTGGCTTCCCTTGAAAGCAAGAAGCCTAGATTTATTAGTGCAAGTTGGGGTGAAGCAAAGTCTTCCATAGAAATCAACTGACAAAGACTTAGTATTTATATTTGTACTTAAATACATATATTAATAAAGATTAGGGCTTGGTAATAAGGCCTTGATTCAAGAGGTAGCCATCCCGATATTCTGTGACACACTTGAGAGGAAACCTAGAAATAGGAAGAAGAATCTGAATCAGACCAGAACCAGTTTCCTTGCTCATTGATTAGAGGTTACCAACAGCTCCTTAACAAGGAGTGGCTAGAAACATGTATCTCTTTATGTCCTTTATGGCTAATCCTCTTATTATGGCAATACAGGTTCAGCTGCTCTCAAGAGCTCTTTCTGTAAAAAGTTCTTGTAAACATATGACATAAAAGAAGAATGTGTTATGACTTTTGGAAACCAGGGTTGGATTAATTCTACGCACTCGTCTGTCAAGATTCTTACGGCAAAACAGAAGTAGCATTCTTTAAAGAAACAGTCCTAATAAGACTTAATTAGGAAAACTGAAAGTATTTTAGGGTACTATGTACTCATACAAAGAAGTAATAGTAATAACCAACACTTACATAGCACTTAATATGTGGCAGTCACTGTCATATATGGCTAGTATACTTTATACTTATAAAGTGCTACAGGTTGAGCATCCCTAATCTGAAAATCCAAAATCCAAAATGCTCTAAAATCTGAAACTTTCTGAAAACTGACATGACACCACAAGTGAAAAATTCTACACCTGACTTCATGTAATGGGTCAAAACAAAATTGTGTTTTGACCGGGCATGGTAGTTCACACCTGTAATCCCAGCACTTTGGGAGGCTGAGGTGGGTGGATTGCTCGAGCTCAGGAGCTTGAGACCAGTCTGGGCAACATGGCAAAATCCTGTCTCTACCAAAAACGCAAAAAAATCAGTGAGGCATGGTGGCGCATGCCTGTAGTCCCAAACTGAGGAGGCTAAGGTGAGAGGATCGCTGGAGCTGGGGAAGTTGAGGCTGCAGTGAGCCATGATCGCACCACTGCAACTCCAGCCTGGGTGGCAGAGTGAGACCCTGTCTCAAAAACAAAGAATAAAAATAAAAATAAAAAAATAAAACTTTGTTTTTGTGCACAAAATTATTTTTAAATATTTTATAAAATTATCTTCAGGCTGTACATATAAGGTGTATATGAAACATACATGAATTTTATGTTTAGACTTGGGTTCCATCCCCAAAATATCTCTTAATGTATATGCAAATATCTCAAAATCCAAAAATAATCCCAAATCTGAAACACATCTGGTCCCAAGCATTTCAGGTAAGGGATAGTCACCGTGTACTATAATTGTCCCGTTTTACAAATGAGGAAATTTAGTCACAGAGATACTGTGATGGGTATTTATGAGTTTTATAAGTCAACTAAGCTAGGCTATAGTACCTAGCTATTCAATCAAATGCCAGTCTAGGTGTTCCTAAGAAGGTATTTTGTAGATGTGCTTAAACATCTGTAATCAGTTGACATTAAGAAAATCATTCTCCGTAATGTGAGTGGACCTTATCCAATCAGTTGAGATTTTCCTGAGGAAGAAGACATTTTGCCTGTGGGTTGCATTACAGGCCTGCCAGGCTGTCCTACAGATTTTGGACTACACACACGTCCTACCTTTCTGTTTCTCTGCTACAACCTTGACCTCTAGAGACATTAAGTATCTTGGAAGTAGCTTGTTCCCAGGCACACTGCCAGTAAGTGGTAGAACCAGTACAAGGACCTGAGCAGGCTGGGCCTTGAACCAAAGACTTACCCCACCACCACCACACTACCCCTCCTATGAATTCCAGTCATTAGCAGTCTAATTAAAAATTCAAGACGTGGCCCTGTGGGAAAAAGCAAAGAGAAAGAAAAACAAAACACACATGAATGCAAATAAGTCCAGTATAAAAGAGTTCACTGTGTGTAGGGATATGCAGAATATGGAGAATAGCACCAGTCCTTACAGAATATATTTTTGAGTTCTGTTAAGAAGTCAAAATGAAGAATTTGTATTTGCTTGGAAGAAAAGGAAAAGAGCATCTCCAGAGGAGTGCATGACACAGGCAAAAGCCCAAAGCAAATTCTGTAGAATCTGGCTATGGCAACCCGCCAGAATGAAAGTTAATGAGCAAAAAGCATGAAATCTGTATTAGTTCCCAATAGCTGCATAGCCGACTGAGGGCTGGAATCAGCTGAAATTCACTCTCTCACGTCTGACAGCAAGGCTGCTGTGTGCTGAGACCGTCGCTGGGGCTGACAGCCGCTTTATGTGTTCTCTTCACATAAGCCAGCTTGAGCTTCTTGAAAACATGATGGATAGCTTTCCAAGGTGAGTGTGGAGAGAGAGAGAGAGAGAGAAACTGACTCTATTATCTACTAGGACCTAGCCTCAGAAGTTGTGCAACATTTCTTTCCTTTATTTTCTGTTCTATTTTCAATTTCAAGTGGAAGTGCCCTATTCCACTTCTTGGTAGGCAAAGGTGACGTTCTTGAAAACTATGTGGGGCTGAAAATATCGTGTTGTCAATTTTGGAAAAAACAGTCTGCCGCACAATAAATCATGGGAGATTAGTCTGTTGTGAGCTAGGCCAGTATCTCCTTTAAACGCTTGTTGATAGAGACTTGGTGGGGAGATGGATGTATCACCCTCCAGCTGCTCACAGTTCCGTCACACTCTGCAAACAGTGATCTGGGCTTTGAAACCAAACCGTTGCATTTCACACCTAAACCTCAGAGATATGTGAAATGAGTATAGACACTGTCTGTGTTTTGTTATATCACAAGTTGGGGAGAGAATGCTCAGAGCTGAGTGAGCGAGCTCAGCCTGGGTGGCCAATACTCCGCTTGTGGCATTTGCTGGAATTAGAGCTAGGACGAGGCAGGTAAGGTCGTTTTCATTCAACCTAGAAAATGACTTTGGTTCAAAGCAGTAGCATGAACAGAATCTGAATGCACATGTTGACTATTCTTTCTGTCGGTGGCACATTAGCCCGGAGTTTCTGCTCTCCTAAGGTGGTGCCATGATGGAAAGTGCTATCACTACCCTGGCTCAAATGAGGCTTAGAAAGACAAGAAACTGGCTGGGCGCGGTGGCTCACGCCTGTAATCACAGCACTTTGGGAGGCCGAGGCGGGCAGATCACGAGGTCAGGAGATCCGAGACCACCCTGGCTAACACGGTGAAACCCCGTCTCTACTAAAAATACAAAAAATTAGCGAGGCGTGGTGGCGGGTGCCTGTAGTCCCATCTACTCGGGAGGCTGAGGCAGGAGAATGTCGTGAATCTGGGAGGCCGAGCTTGCAGTGAGCCGAGATCGCGCCACTGCACTCCAGCCTGGGCGACAGAGCGACACTCTGGATCAAAAAAAAAAAAAAAAAAAAAAAGACAAGAAACTTTTCGGTCTAAGGACATATCATTTTGCTCTGATTTGGAGCTGTTGTCTATCATTCACAGTTTCCCCTAAATGCGGCTTCTATGCTTTAACGCTAATTGAATCTTGGCTAGCTGAGTCATTCCATTTTGCATCTGTATACTTGTATTACCTTGCTTCTAGAAAGACTGTGGTGAAATACTCACTTGGAGTCTGACTTCTCTGACTGGAGAAACTGGTATTTCCAGGTATTTTCCTACAGCAATAAACACATTCTTCCCATCTATTGCTGTGCCAATCTATTTTTTCAATGCCAGTACCAAGCCACACTGAGTGATTCATCTATTTTGTCAATGACTTCTATCCGTTGCTAGTGTCCTAGTAATCTAATAGCAAGCATATGGGAGTTTCAAGAAACTAGGTAACAAGATAGAGCTGAAAGGGAAAAAACATATAAACGAACTTTGAAGCAGATAAAACACCACTATTAAAATAATTATACACATATATATCCATACAAATATATATATAACTTTTTACTCTTTTGTAGATTTGTAGAAATATTTATTAAACAGTTAAAACATGAGGGATATCCAACCAAATACCAATCTAGGTGTTGCTGTGAAGATATTTTGTAGATGTGCAGTGATGAACAAGAGACACATTATTGCTACCGTACAGTGTTTGAAACAGAGGAAACCGGGACACTGGGAGAGAGTGGAAGATGCTGAGGTCAGAGAAGGAGTCAGGGGCTAATTCCTATAGGATCTTGCAGGATTTTAATTTCAGTCTAAATGTAATGAGAAAACACGGGGTGGTGGGGTTAATAGAGGGGGCTTGATCTGGGGAGCTCTATTATCTAGATGTTTCTATACAATTGTATCTGCTTTGTTGTGGACTTTTTAAAAACTTTTCTCTATAGTCAATGTGTGATAAAATTTTAAGATTTCTCATGGTCTTTGGACACTTAAACCTCAGACCGGTTTTGGAATATCCTTCCCTAAAAATTTTAACAAGGGACAAATTTAATAGAGAGACGACTGATCTGGGTGACCTCCTGAACCCCCTCCCAACATGTAATTCTGTATGTTGTGTTTTGAAAAGCTTCCATTTGTGCGATGCCTAGCATCTAATCTCAAAACTGTTCCCTGCAGTTGATAAGTGGTGTTTTTCATGCTCTTAAGTGGGAAATAGACCTCCATTTCGGGCCTAGCGTCTATACAGAAGCATAAGCCATAAAGACTTGCATTTTAACAGTTGATGCACTAAATAAATCTCTTATTCATGTTCCATTTTACTTGTTTGTCATTCATCTTATAATGAATTGTGTTAAATGCTTTGTCAGTTAAACTTCCCTAACTTGTTTTTCTTATTTCTTAAGCTTTTTCGAAAATGTTCAGTGCCTATATTATTATTATTATTATTATTATTATTACTATTTTGAGATAGAGTCTCGCTCTGTCACCCTGGCTGGAGTGCAGTGAGGCAATCTCGGCTCACTGCAACCTCCACCTCCTTGTTCAAGCGATTCTCGTGCCTCCGCCTCCTGAATAGCTGGGATTACAGGCATGTGCCACCACACCCAGCTAATTTTTGTATTTTTAGTAGAGACAGGGTTTCGCCATATTGGCCAGGCTGGTCTCAAACTCCTGACCTCAGCTGACCCACCCGCCTTGGCCTGCCAAAGTGCTGGGATTACAGGCGTGAGCCTCCACGCCCGGCCGCCTTTATTATTTAAAAAAAAAAAAAAAAAAAAAAAAAGTTGACCAGGAGCAAAAAGATTGTTTGAAACGCTCATTATATACATTAGCATACACGTGGTTTAAAATATAAAAGATACTTAGTTCTCCATAATCTAGGATTCTAGAAAGCTAGTTTACAATGAATAATGTATCTGGAAGAGGGTGGCTATTAGAACCTCTGGGGCTTTGCCATTTCAAATGAGAAAATATATTCTGTTCATAAGTGCATGGCATTTTCAGTGGTTGCAGAGACACCAATAACTAAGCACATTTGATTATAATATTAACAAAAAATTAGGCAGGGAACTTAGCAGTTTTTAATAAATTTAATACATTCAGAACTGGTAGGATAGAATAAGTATTCCTGAAGTGGTCTATAAAGTTTGAAATGGACTCCTTTCTAATCCTTCTTTGATTCTGACCTGAAAGTAGAATTGAAATTATGCTTGCAAGATTCCCACAGCTGTGTGGCTCTTTAGAACCAAGCCAAGTATAGAAAGAATCCAAGGGAAGTTTAAGCCGGCTTCTCTCTGTGTCACGTAACCAAAATCAAATCTTTCCCGAGGCAACAAACTACAATACATTATCTATTCTAGGATGGTTAAAAAAACAAATAAATAATAAAGCAAGATGTGATAATTTTAGTTAATAATGTACATCATTGTTCTTACTCAGTTCTCTGTGGAGGATCTCATAACCTAGGGAAAGAAACAGGAAGCAATTAACTACAATGGAGTCAGATACTTGAGGTAACAGAATAACATATGGGAAGCAAAGTAGACATGGATCCCAATTTTGCTTCTTCTAGTTTCAGTCCTTTCACTGATGTGCAGAAGGTCACTGTATCCAAGATAGAGCCTCCTGAAACACAGTACAGGTAGACGTATAGCAAACTGAAGGCCCCAAAGATTAATTGGCGTAAAAATGGGTATTTTTAGATAGATAGTATGCATCTATATGGGTTATCTGGTGAATCATGGAATTGCCCCCCCAATTTTTTAGACATTGACTTGAGGCTTTATAAAGGAGGAATTCTGGTCAGGGGTGGTTGCTTACGCCTGTAATCCTAGCAATCTGGGAGGCCAAGGCAGTCGGATCACTTGAGGTCAGCAGTTTGAGACTAGCCTGGCCAACATGGTGAAACCCCGTCTCTACTAAAAATACAAAAATTAGCCAAGCATGATGACAGGCATCTGTAGTCCCAGCTACTCTGGAGGCAGAGGTGGGAGGCTTGTTCGAGCTTGGTAGGTGGAGGTTGCAGTGAGACGAGATCACGCCACTGCATTCCAGCCTGGGCTACAGAGCGAGAGTGCATCTCAAAAAATAAATAAATAAAAATAAAGGAGCAATTCTATGAATAGTCATTTAGAAAGTGGCCATTCAGCCACTTTTGGAGATATAGGACCCTGTGGCTGAGCACAGATAGATCCTAGTTGGCAAACAAGGTTTTTCAACATCTGCCCGTTGGGCCACCTGAGAGTCCACCATGGCTGCAACCAGAGGCCTGCTTTCTAATTGGAGCCTCTCACCTTGGCAAAGAGTCCAGAGGTTATCCTTTCCCCACATCCTGGGAACTGGGCCATATTGAGGCTAAGAATACCTTTCTTCCTATGTGTAAAGCCTCTCATTGTTTGTATCTCTCTCTAATGGCCGTGTTCTGTGCACTGTATACTAACCAGCTGCAGCCAGGGAGAGAGAAAGGGGTCAGCTAAGGGTGGCAAGAATCCTCACTCTTCAATCGTCACCTCATCAATTGTCTAATAGAACAGCTGGGTGGTATTCTTATTTGTTTGACCTGGAAATTTAAATCCTTGAAGACCAGATTGGACAGAATACTTTTAATAGTTCACTAAAATTATACATCCTTACATTTATGAACTCCAGCCATTTACGAAGCACGTTCTTTTTTTTTTTTTTTTTTTTTTTTTTAGCAAAAAGGGCTCTTAGAGGACTTCTAGGCCAACCTCTTAATTTTCTGAATGGGAAAAATATAGCTTAAGGAATAAACTGGCTTGCCCAAGGACACATAGATTTGACAAAAGTCATATATTCAAGTATTTGAAAATTATTTATTTATTGAGTACCTGTTTTAGTCCATTCTCACATTGCTGTAAAGAACTACCTGAGTCCAGGTGCAGTGGCTCACACCTGTAATCCCAGGACTTTGGGAGGCTAAGGAGGGTGGATTACCTGAGGTCAGGAGTTCGAGACCAGCCTGGCCAACATAGTGAAACCCCGTATCTACTAAAAATACAAAATTAGCCAGGCATGGTGGCAGGTGCCTGTAATCCCAGCTACGCAGGAGGCTGAGGCAGGAGAATAGCTTGAACCAGCAAGGCAGAGGTTGCAGTGAGCCGAGATCACACCACTGCACTCCAGCCTGGGTGACAAGGTAAAACTCCGTCTCAAAAAAAAAAAAAAAAAAAAAAAAGAAGTACCTGAAACTACCTGAGACTGGGTAATTTATAAAGAAAAGAGGTTTAATTGGTTCAGGGTTCCACAGGCTGTACAGAAAGCATGGCTGGGGGAGGCCTCAGGAAACTTACAATCATGACAGAAGGCAAAGGGGAAGCTGGCACATCCTACATGGGTAGAACAGGAGGAAGAGAGGGAAGGGGGAGGTGCTACCCACTTTCAAACAACCAGGTCTCCTGAGAACTTACTCACTATCATGAGAATAGCAAGGGGAAAGTCTACCTCCATGATTCAGTCACCTCCCACTAGGCCCCTCGTTGAACACGTGGGGATTACAACTGGACATGAGGTTTGAGTGGGGACACAGAGCTAAACCATATCAGTACCTATAACCCTTATTTTTTGAATTTTAAGATGTTCAGTTTTTCACATTTCCACATCTCAAATTAGGGTGAGTCTTACAGTTGCTGTCTGCCAGGCACTGATGGCCCATAAGCATCAAAACTTAAAAGAATGAATGTCACCATCTGGGAAGAAAATCTCAAAGACAATAATGGAGTAATATTTTCAGAAATTCAGCTTCACCAATACTCTTGATGCCACAAACAATTATATCATGTTGAAAATACCATATATTGGCAACTTTTCTTTGAAAATGCTGAAGAGGCTGGGCATAGTGTCTCACGCCTATAATCCCAGCACTTTGGTAAGCCGAGGTGAGCAGATCGCTTGAGCATAAGAGTTCAAGAACAGCCTGGGCAACATGGCCAAACCTCATCTCTAGAAAAATACAAAATTTAGCTGGGCGCAGGTGTTGTAGTATGCACCTGTAGTCCCAGCTACTCAGGAGGCTAAGGAGGAAGGATTGCTTGAGCCCAGGATAACAAGGCTGCAATGAGCTGTGATTGCAGTCTTACATCCCCAACATAATGATGCATCTCACCATTGATGTCACCTTAGATTCAATGAGACATGGTATATTCCTATGTAAAGTCCCTAAAGTTTAGATTCTAGGAAGATAATCAAAAGAAACAAACAAGAAAAATACCCAGTAATGAGCAATAAGGGCTATGTAGAGAATTAAAATCAGGGGATGTGAAAGAGAGTGACTGGGTGGCTACTTGCATTGTCAAGGTTCTCATCTTCTGGAAAAGGTGACTTTAAACTGAAGAAGTCATAATACCAGATGAGTGGAAGAGCCAGAACTACAAGAGTCTCCTGAATACCAGAATTCTTGCCAAGAAAACTTGGCGCCTGAGAGTACAATCATTGTGCCAAAGCCTATTTACAGTTTCTTATCTCACTCGTGGTATAATTCCCATTCCAAAATGAATGTGGGCTTTGAAGGAAACTACTCTTTCATCTGGTCATCTGAAGTGGAAATGTAACTGTCGTACATGGGTAGTATTTTAGGCAACAAAACACATCCAACTTCTGATCTGATAAATGACACAGGGAGAATGAATCAAAAATTCTTGTGAAATGCAAACAAAAAAACCCATAAATGCTTAATGTCAACTTTCTTACTCTTCAAAACTTTTGCCAAAGTTTTAGATGATTAGACAAAGCCAACACTGGAATTGAAGAATGTATCAACTTGGGGTTGGGCCAAGGGATAATTGACTCATTGGAATTCTTTTTCTGGTTGATTGCTGTTTAAATAGCAGGTATTTAAAACTAGAAAGTTTATGAAGGGATTAGTTAAAAGATTCTTGGCCAGTGACCCTAGTTTCAAAATATCAGGTTGTAATTCTAAAAAAGAAGCCTCCAGAAGGAATAATATTTAAAAGAGAAATGATATAATTTTAAAAGATTCTAAAACATTGGGAGCAAAGGATAATAAAATATCAAAACACCCTCCCCAACACATACACAGAAACAATGTAATGCAAACTCAAATAGGATGATCTTAAAATGGTAACAGCCCATTAGAGACAAACATTAAGAGAATTAACTGGTTTTTAGCTTAAACAGCTTTATGCTTAAAGTCTACCTTGAACCCTAAATAATAGCATTTCGATTTTTTAAAAAAAGAAAACTTTTATTTACATTATCACATGTTATAAATATTTACTGCACTCTTGTTACATACCAATCTCTGTGCTGGTAGTGGTCGAATTCTTCTTAATACACCAAGATCAACTGAGGCAATATGTAAAACCAACGGTGAACAGGTTATTAACTGTTGAATAACTAAAATCTGAAGGTAAAGTGGTGCCTGTGTCCATTGCAGTGTGTCTCTAATCAAGGAAAATGGTCTGTACTTGGAACCCATTAAGTGGAGATCCTTTATTTGTGCCTCTGGAACATGGTAAGAATAAATATGAAAGGCTTTTCTGAAAAATGCCCAAGGGGACAAACAGCAATCAATCTACTGAGCCCAGTCTCTCCTAATCTTCTTCCACTCATACAAATTGAGGTTTCAGCTGTTATTTCTCTCTCATTCTAACCACTTCAGTAAATGAGGTATTTGTGCCAATGTGTGGAGTAAAACCTCACAGACCACTAAGTATTTCTGATTCTATGCTGGAAGTAATAATGACTGAGTACTTTATTTCAAAGTGGAGAATTAGACACTGACCAATTTAAATTCTGAGGAAGTCCATCCAACATAACTGAGTATGAAGAGGTAAAAGTAGAAATATTTTTTTCCTCAATTTCAGACAGTGATAAGGAGATAGGAATGACATCTGTAAATAGACCAGTTCCTCTAAATAAGCCTAGAAAATGATCACCTAAGGCAGACAAGAATAACTAAATGAGGCTACTCTACTGTTAAAACATATGTGTGTGTGTGCTTATTTCTCATAGAATATGGAATAGTTACCTGCAGCCTTATACCAAAAAGAATTTATCCTGTTCCCTCAACCTGATTTCTAGCAGTTTCTTTGAAAATCTTATCCATGAGAATAAAATATTGCTTGTGACTGACTGCAATACAAAAGGAGGAGAAAAACTTTTCTAATCATTATAGACGCGGGGTCATTACTCATTCTGAACTTCACATGTCATCTTCTCTAGGGACTTCATCAATTCCCTTGAACAATCTCAAATAATTTCCTGTCAAGAAAACGTCACTACTGGAAATATCAAGTTTTCCAATTAACCATTTATACTTGAATCTATTTCAAAAGCCATCACAATAAAAGCACTGTATTGATACTGCAGGCAAGTCTTCAGATATACCATATCTTTTTTTACTGTGACAGTTCACTTTTTTTGTATACTTTTTTGAATTTATATAATTAAATTCCCCAGATAAGAGTTGATGAAACATAATAAAATGATTCCAGTGTTTAGCAAGGAGAAATATATAGACAACCTTATCAAATATTCTGAATCATTTGACAAACACATTATCAAATTCAAGAAGTGGATGTATATTTAAATTAGGATTGTGGAAATGTTTCTTAATTGATAGTAGTTATTTTGTATTTACTTAATATTAAGGGTTTGTCTATTTGGGGGGAAGACAGAGACAGTCTAAGTTGTTAGAGAGACAAAACTTGTTAGACAAAATATTAAAAATAAATGGGAAGATGTGGGTCAAAAGGAACAAAATTGTAGTTATATAGGATGAATAAGGCTAGAGAACTAATATACATGAGAACTATAGTTAGTAATAATGTATTGTATACCAGTGATTTGCCAAAAGAGTAGAGTTTAGATATGTTTACTACAGGAAGAAAAAAGATAATTATATGAGATGACAGATATGTTAGTTTGCTTCACTGTAGTTATCATTTCACCATGTATGTATATATCAAGATATGTATATAGAAGTATCATGTTGTACACCTTAAAAATGTATAATTTTATATACAAGATAAACTGAATAATGACCCCCCCAGAGATATCTATGTTCTAATCTCCAGAACTTGTGAATTTTACATTTATATGGCAAAGGATTTTGCAGATGTGATGAAATTAAGAGATGGAGGGATTACCCTAGATTATCTGGATGGACCCTAAATGTAATAACAAGTATCCACATGAGAGGGAAGAAGAAGGAGATTTGATCACAGTAAAGACGGGCAATGTGATTACACATCTGAGGCAAGATGCTAAGCTTCTGGTTTTGAAGATGGAGGGAGGGACAGCGAGCCAAGGCATGCAAGGAATGATGCTCTAGAAACTGGAAAGGAAATAGATTCACACCCCCTAGAGCATCTGGAAAGACCACAGACCTGCTGACACCCAATCCTGGTCCAGTGAAACTGCTTTCAGTTTTCTGGCATCCAGAATATAAAAGCATAAATGTGCTTTGATTAAAAGAACCAAATTTGTGGTCATTTGTTACAGCAACCACAGGAACCTAATACAATATATTTAAAATGTGAAGTAATCACTGAAAGAATAGATAAAGAACACATGACATATTTTCATGGAACACTTATGCCCCCACTCATGTTTCTAGGTGGGATTTTTATTAAAGTAGTACTTCTGGGCTCTCAGGCCACCCCTTCTCCCTCTTCCCTGATGGAGACAAAATGGCTTCTCTACATGGTGGTTTGGGAGAAGCAGCTGAATATTTAGCCCAGACTCTTCTGATCTCCTTTCTCTTCTTGGCATCTGCTTGCCAGCAGAGAATGTAGATTCTGCTCTGCTCTGCTCTGCTCCTCCCTAAGGAGTCCTGCAATTTCTCACCACTGCTAGTGACTAGGTAAGTCTGCCAAACTCAGGGATAATAGACTTAAAGTCAGATTCTCCAAGTCTTTGTTAATAATAAAGGTGGCATTTGACATTTTTATCTGCCTTACCCTCTTATTCATCTCTCAGTTGCTTCAGAACACGCAGGTGGAAAAGCATGATATTACATATTCGTTTCTTGAAACCTCAATTTTCAAATGATGAAAGAGAAAAACAAAAGTAGAACTTAGTTCAACAGAAAACAGAAAAAGAAAAAAAAGACAAAAAGAAATGGTGGACAAAATATAAGAGGCACAACCAGAACAAAACACCATAGAGAATGTAAATATAATTAGTTGGAGAAAAAGTGTACCAGGCAAAAAATTATTCCAAAGGAAACTGGTATGTTAATGCTTATAATAGAACTGCTCAAAATAAAAATGTGATTTTTTAAATGCATTAATGGGAACACATTTAACATTAGTGAAATACATACTTACATTGCTAAAGGATATAAACAACAAAGATGATATCAAAATTATAAAGTTACATGCATCTAAAGTTGTGGTCTCAAAATATAGAAAGTAAACATGCCAGAATTATAAAGACAAATTGACAACTGCATAACTACAGTGGAAAATCTTTATGCTATACATCAGTTAGCTATTGCTTCATTAAAAAAATCACCCCCAAACTCACTGCCTGAAGATAATTATCATTTATTCTTATTCATAGCATCTAATCATCAGTTAACTAATTCAAATATAAGATAGGCACAACTGGGATGTCTTACCTCTGCTCCACAAAGTTTCTTACCTTCTAGCAGACTAGACAAGGCTGACTGGCATGGCATAATAGAGGTTCCAGAGAGAAAGCAAAAGCACCCACAATACCTCTGTGATCCAGGCTCAGAGTGGGCACATCATCACTTCTATGTATTCTATTGTTTAATGCAAGGTAGAAGGCCAGCCCAAACTCAACACGTGGGGAAACTGATGCCACATCTTGATGGCAGGAGCTGCAATGTAGCATTGCTAAACACATGGTTTTATAGAGACATTTAATTGGGGCCACTGAAGAGAATCAGAATATGCCACCCCAAAATGTGCCACTTTGGTATAAGGAATATTTTGGGTTGGAGGCAAATGAGAACCAACAGATACAGATAGAACCCTTTTCAAGGCTTTTCTTATCTGACTAAAGCAGCAACTTTGAGAAATCAGGACTACCATATATCTCCACTCTTGAGGGAGTTTTGCAGTCACGAGAAGGTAGAAAGTCAACACCAAGATCAGTCTGAAACAAATCTCACTAAAATAACCTTTGTTTTCCATTACTTTCCCCATGTATTTCCAAATCACTTTCCCACAATTTACCTCTCCTAGCATAAATTTCCCTTTCCTCTCTCTTGTCACATTTCCACAATTTATCATTCTTTGTTAAAAAAAGTATATAAGCCCTCAGGCCTATCACTTCTTTGGTGTCTTTAATTTTCTATAATGGCCTGTATATGCATATGCAATAACAAACTTTTTCTGCTGTTAACGTATTTAACAGCAGAAAATTATACTGGTTTGCCAGTCTAATTTGTAGGGCCCCAGCCACTGAACACAAAGAAAAAAGTTTTTTCCCCTTCCCTACACCATCAATAAAATTAATATACCACATTCACATTTCTCAGAAATTGATAGAGCATATTGACAAAAATATTGATAAAAATATAGAAAATTTAATTATAGTTAATAAGTTTGATTTTATAGATACATGATGATAGACGATAGATGATAAAGATATATAACTTTGCATGTAACAAATAAACAATGCATTTTCTTTTCAAGCACACATGAAATTACAAATTAAAAAGGCAAACAACCAGGAAATTTTCAGCAATTTTCAAAAAAAATTATTTAGATAACAATATCTATCATTATGCAAATTAATTAGAAAAACAACTAAGTGGAAAAAATAAACTATACATTTGGAGACTGGAAATACACATCTAAATAATTCATAGGTTAATCAAGAAATCATCATGATAATTATAAGTATTCAGAGTTAAAAAAATAAAAGCACTGCATAAAACTTTTGGAATGCTATTCCTATACACCAACAACAGCCAAGCAGAGAACTAAATCACGAATGAATTCTTATAAACAACTGTCACAAAAAAATAATAAAATACCTAAGAATACAGCTAACTAGGGAGGTGAAAGATCTCTACAAGGAGAACTACAAAACACTGCTCAAAGAAATCAGAGAGGACACAAACAAATGGAAAAACATTCCATGCTCATGGATAGGAAGAATCAATATTATTAAAACGGCCATACTGCCCAACGCAATTTATAGATTCAATGCTATTTCCATTAAACTACCATTGACATTGACATTCTTCATAGAAATAGAAAAAAATATTTTAAAATTCATATGGAACCAAAAAAGAGCCCCAGTAGCCAAGTCAATCCTAAGCAAAAAGAACAAAGCTGGAAGTATCATGCCACATGACTTCAAACTACACTACAGGGCTGCAGTAACAAAAACAGCATAGTACTGGTACAAGAACAGACACATAGACCAATGGAACAGAATGGAGAACCTAGAAATAAAACTGCACACTACAACTATCTGATCTTTGGCAAGCCTGACAAAAACAAGCAATGAGGAAAGGACTTCCTATTCAATAAGTGGTGCTGGGATAACTGGCTAGCCACATGCAGGAGATTGAAACCGGACCCCTTTTACACCATATAAAAAATTAACCCAAGATGGAATAAAGACTTAAATGTAAAACCCAAAACTATAAAAACCCTGAAAGACAACGTAGGCAATATCACTCAGGACATAGGCATGGGCAAAGATGTCATGACAAAGATGCCAAAAGCAATTTCAACAAAAGCAAAAATTGACAAACAGGATCTAATTAAACTAAAGAGCTTCTGCACAGCAAAAGAAACTATCAACAGAGCCAAAAGACAACCTACAGAATGGGAGAAAAATTTTGCAAACTATGCACCCAACAAAGGTCTAATATCCAGCATCTATAAGAAACTTAAACAAATTTACAAGAAAAAAAAACTCCATTAAAAAGTCAGCAAAGGACATGAACAGACACTTTTCCAAAGAAGATATACATGCGGCCAACAATCATATG
This sequence comes from Homo sapiens, assembly GCF_000001405.40. Taxonomy (NCBI): domain Eukaryota; kingdom Metazoa; phylum Chordata; class Mammalia; order Primates; family Hominidae; genus Homo; species Homo sapiens. The sequence continues at coordinate 22,422,386 of NC_000012.12, forward strand.
AAAAAAAGCTCAACATCACTGATCATTAGAGAAATGGAAATCAAAACCACAATGAGATACCATCTCACACCAGTCAGAATGGTTACTATTAAAAAGTCAAAAAATAACAGATGCTGACGAGGTTGTGGAGAAAAAGGAACAATTATACACTGTTGGTGGGAGTGTAAATTAGCTCAGCCATTGTGGAAGACAGTGTGGTGATTCCCCAATCACCTAAAGACAGAAATATCATTTGACCCAGCAATCCCATTACTTTGTATATACCCAAAGGAATATAAATTATTCTGTTATAAAGACACATGCACACATATGTTTATTGCAGCACTATTCACAATAGGAAAGACATGAAATAAACTTAAATGCCCATCAATAATAGACTGAAAAAAGAAAATGTGGTACATATACACCATGGAATACAAGGCAGCCATAAGAAAGAGCAAGATCATGTCCTTTGCAGGGACATGGATGGAACTGTAGGTCATTATCCTTAGCAAACTAACACATGAACAGAAAACCAAATACCGCATGTTCTCATTTATAAGTGGGACCTAAATGATGAGAACACATGGACACATAGAGGGGAACAACACACAGTGGGGCCTTTCAGAGGATGGAGAAGGGGAGGAGGGAGAGGATCAGGAAAAACAATGAATGGGTACTAGGCTTAACACCTGGGTGATGAAATAATCTGTACAACAACACCCCATGACACAAGTTTACCTACGTAACAAACGTTCACTTATACCCCGAACTTAAAATAAAAGTTAAAAACAAAAAACTTTTGGAATGCTAGTAGGGAAATTGTAGGTGAATTTATAACTTCAAATATACTTATTAGAAACCGAGACTGACAATAAATACACTAAGCATTCATCCCATGAAGCTAGAATCCAAAACACTAATAAAATCTAAAGGAAGAAGAATGTAAAAAGTAAATAATAAAGTTGATTGAAATCATTCAGAGAATATTCTACAAACACAAACTAATTCTGCTAGCTTATTTTAAGTACAAAGTACTGTAATATTATTTTAAGGTAGACTGTGATAAATTAAAAGTATATGTTGAAAAGCTTAGAACAACCATTAAAACTTGCTTAAGAAGAGACATAACTTATAAGCCAATAGTGGAGATAAAATAAAATCAGAAAAAAAAATATGCAATTGATTTGAAAGCAGACAGAAAGAAAGGATAAAAAGAAACTAAGAACATATGGAACAAATAGCAAATAACTAGCAAGATGGTAGGTTTTAATATAATCCTATTAATAACTACATTAAAATAAATGGTTTAAATTACATTAAAATATAGGTTTAATATAATTCTATCAATAATTACACTAAAATAAATGTTTTTCTAATCTGACAATCTTTGTTTTAGGTTACTTAAAACCTTTGTTTTAGGTTATTTATAAAACAAAGATTGTCAGATTAGAAAAAACAAAAGAAACCAACCATATGCAGTCTATAAGAAAACCAAGTTTAAATATAAAAATATACATTGGCTAAAAAGAAGAAAGTTTTTTTTTAAAAAAAAGATAAATTGTTTTTTCTACAAAAAAGCTAAAGTGGCTATACTAATTTCACACAAAGTAGACTTCTATAAAAGGAATATTAACAGGGATAAAGAGGGACACAGCATAATAATAGAAGGTTCAATTCACCAAGAAGATATCATAATTCTAAATGTATATGCATCTAACAACAGAGCTTCTAAATAAACGAAGCAAAAAATTAATAGAACGAAAAAGTGAAATAGGCTAAACTACCACTATTCTCCAGACTTCTATACTCCTCTCTCAGTGTCAAGAGAACAAGTGGAAACAAAATGAGTAAGACTGGGCAGGCGCGGTGGCTCACTCCTGTAATCTCAGCACTTTGGGAGGCCGAGGCTGGCAGATGGCTTGAGCCCAGGAGTTTGAGACCAACCTGGGCAATGTGGCGAAACCCTGTCTCTACTAAAAATACAAAAATTAGCCAAATGTGATTGCCCACACCTGTAGTCTCAGCTACTCGGGGAGGCTGAGGCATGAGAATCACCTGAACCCAGGAGGCAGAGTTTGCAGTAAGCCAAGATCATGCCACTGCACTCCAGCCTGGGTGATAGAGCAAGACTCTGTCTCAAAAAAAAAGAAAAAATTAGTAAGACTATGGAAGACTTAAACAACACTATCAACTAACTTAACCTAATTACCATTTATAGAAAATGCCACCCAACAAAAGGAGTATAAACATTTTTCTAAATGCATATGGAAAATCCAATAAGATAGGTTATATTCCAGGCCATAAAGTAAGTCTTAATAAATTTAAAAGAGTTGAAGTCATAAAAAGTATGTCCTCCGAACAAAAATGAAACTAAAAATCAACAACAGAAATATATCTGGAAAGTACCTAAATATTTGGAAATTAAACATCACCCTTTTAAATACCCATGTGTCAAAGTGAAAGTTACAAGGGAAAATATAAAATATTTTGAATTAATTAAAAAAGAAAACAGTATCAAAAAGTGTGGCTCTAGTAAAAGCAGTATATAAAGGGGAATGTATTACATTAAATGCTTACATTAGAGAAGAAGAAAAGCCTTAAATAAATGCTCTAGGCTTCCACTTTGAGAAACTTTAAAAAAGAGCAAATTAAACTAAAGGCATTTAGAAAACGGAAATAATAAAGATAAGAGTAGGCATACTTTAGAAAACTTCATGGAAATGGGTAAATCCCTGAAAACACACAACCTCCTGAGATTTTACCATGAAGAAATGAAACTCCTAAACAGACCAATAATTGATGAAATTAAGAGATGGAGGGATTACCCTAGATTATCTGGATGGACCCTAAATGTAATAACAAGTATCCACATGAGAGGGAAGAAGAAGGAGATTTGATTACAGTAAAGACGGGCAATGTGATTACACATCTGAGGCAAGATGCTAAGCTTCTGGTTTTGAAGACGGAGGGAGGGACAGCGAGCCAAGGCATGCAAGGAATGATGCTCTAGAAACTGGAAAGGAAATAGATTCACACCCCCTAGAGCATCTGGAAAGACCACAGACCTGCTGACACCCAATCCTGGTCCAGTGAAACTGCTTTCAGTTTTCTGGCATCCAGAATATAAAAGCATAAATGTGCTTTGATTAAAAGAACCAAATTTGTGGTCATTTGTTACAGCAACCACAGGAACCTAATACAATATATTTAAAATGTGAAGTAATCACTGAAAGAATAGATAAAGAACACATGACATATTTTCATGGAACACTTATGCCCCCACTCATGTTTCTAGGTGGGATTTTTATTAAAGTAGTACTTCTGGGCTCTCAGGCCACCCCTTCTCCCTCTTCCCTGATGGAGACAAAATGGCTTCTCTACATGGTGGTTTGGGAGAAGCAGCTGAATATTTAGCCCAGACTCTTCTGATCTCCTTTCTCTTCTTGGCATCTGCTTGCCAGCAGAGAATGTAGATTCTGCTCTGCTCTGCTCTGCTCCTCCCTAAGGAGTCCTGCAATTTCTCACCACTGCTAGTGACTAGGTAAGTCTGCCAAACTCAGGGATAATAGACTTAAAGTCAGATTCTCCAAGTCTTTGTTAATAATAAAGGTGGCATTTGACATTTTTATCTGCCTTACCCTCTTATTCATCTCTCAGTTGCTTCAGAACACGCAGGTGGAAAAGCATGATATTACATATTCGTTTCTTGAAACCTCAATTTTCAAATGATGAAAGAGAAAAACAAAAGTAGAACTTAGTTCAACAGAAAACAGAAAAAGAAAAAAAAGACAAAAAGAAATGGTGGACAAAATATAAGAGGCACAACCAGAACAAAACACCATAGAGAATGTAAATATAATTAGTTGGAGAAAAAGTGTACCAGGCAAAAAATTATTCCAAAGGAAACTGGTATGTTAATGCTTATAATAGAACTGCTCAAAATAAAAATGTGATTTTTTAAATGCATTAATGGGAACACATTTAACATTAGTGAAATACATACTTACATTGCTAAAGGATATAAACAACAAAGATGATATCAAAATTATAAAGTTACATGCATCTAAAGTTGTGGTCTCAAAATATAGAAAGTAAACATGCCAGAATTATAAAGACAAATTGACAACTGCATAACTACAGTGGAAAATCTTTATGCTATACATCAGTTAGCTATTGCTTCATTAAAAAAATCACCCCCAAACTCACTGCCTGAAGATAATTATCATTTATTCTTATTCATAGCATCTAATCATCAGTTAACTAATTCAAATATAAGATAGGCACAACTGGGATGTCTTACCTCTGCTCCACAAAGTTTCTTACCTTCTAGCAGACTAGACAAGGCTGACTGGCATGGCATAATAGAGGTTCCAGAGAGAAAGCAAAAGCACCCACAATACCTCTGTGATCCAGGCTCAGAGTGGGCACATCATCACTTCTATGTATTCTATTGTTTAATGCAAGGTAGAAGGCCAGCCCAAACTCAACACGTGGGGAAACTGATGCCACATCTTGATGGCAGGAGCTGCAATGTAGCATTGCTAAACACATGGTTTTATAGAGACATTTAATTGGGGCCACTGAAGAGAATCAGAATATGCCACCCCAAAATGTGCCACTTTGGTATAAGGAATATTTTGGGTTGGAGGCAAATGAGAACCAACAGATACAGATAGAACCCTTTTCAAGGCTTTTCTTATCTGACTAAAGCAGCAACTTTGAGAAATCAGGACTACCATATATCTCCACTCTTGAGGGAGTTTTGCAGTCACGAGAAGGTAGAAAGTCAACACCAAGATCAGTCTGAAACAAATCTCACTAAAATAACCTTTGTTTTCCATTACTTTCCCCATGTATTTCCAAATCACTTTCCCACAATTTACCTCTCCTAGCATAAATTTCCCTTTCCTCTCTCTTGTCACATTTCCACAATTTATCATTCTTTGTTAAAAAAAGTATATAAGCCCTCAGGCCTATCACTTCTTTGGTGTCTTTAATTTTCTATAATGGCCTGTATATGCATATGCAATAACAAACTTTTTCTGCTGTTAACGTATTTAACAGCAGAAAATTATACTGGTTTGCCAGTCTAATTTGTAGGGCCCCAGCCACTGAACACAAAGAAAAAAGTTTTTTCCCCTTCCCTACACCATCAATAAAATTAATATACCACATTCACATTTCTCAGAAATTGATAGAGCATATTGACAAAAATATTGATAAAAATATAGAAAATTTAATTATAGTTAATAAGTTTGATTTTATAGATACATGATGATAGACGATAGATGATAAAGATATATAACTTTGCATGTAACAAATAAACAATGCATTTTCTTTTCAAGCACACATGAAATTACAAATTAAAAAGGCAAACAACCAGGAAATTTTCAGCAATTTTCAAAAAAAATTATTTAGATAACAATATCTATCATTATGCAAATTAATTAGAAAAACAACTAAGTGGAAAAAATAAACTATACATTTGGAGACTGGAAATACACATCTAAATAATTCATAGGTTAATCAAGAAATCATCATGATAATTATAAGTATTCAGAGTTAAAAAAATAAAAGCACTGCATAAAACTTTTGGAATGCTATTCCTATACACCAACAACAGCCAAGCAGAGAACTAAATCACGAATGAATTCTTATAAACAACTGTCACAAAAAAATAATAAAATACCTAAGAATACAGCTAACTAGGGAGGTGAAAGATCTCTACAAGGAGAACTACAAAACACTGCTCAAAGAAATCAGAGAGGACACAAACAAATGGAAAAACATTCCATGCTCATGGATAGGAAGAATCAATATTATTAAAACGGCCATACTGCCCAACGCAATTTATAGATTCAATGCTATTTCCATTAAACTACCATTGACATTGACATTCTTCATAGAAATAGAAAAAAATATTTTAAAATTCATATGGAACCAAAAAAGAGCCCCAGTAGCCAAGTCAATCCTAAGCAAAAAGAACAAAGCTGGAAGTATCATGCCACATGACTTCAAACTACACTACAGGGCTGCAGTAACAAAAACAGCATAGTACTGGTACAAGAACAGACACATAGACCAATGGAACAGAATGGAGAACCTAGAAATAAAACTGCACACTACAACTATCTGATCTTTGGCAAGCCTGACAAAAACAAGCAATGAGGAAAGGACTTCCTATTCAATAAGTGGTGCTGGGATAACTGGCTAGCCACATGCAGGAGATTGAAACCGGACCCCTTTTACACCATATAAAAAATTAACCCAAGATGGAATAAAGACTTAAATGTAAAACCCAAAACTATAAAAACCCTGAAAGACAACGTAGGCAATATCACTCAGGACATAGGCATGGGCAAAGATGTCATGACAAAGATGCCAAAAGCAATTTCAACAAAAGCAAAAATTGACAAACAGGATCTAATTAAACTAAAGAGCTTCTGCACAGCAAAAGAAACTATCAACAGAGCCAAAAGACAACCTACAGAATGGGAGAAAAATTTTGCAAACTATGCACCCAACAAAGGTCTAATATTCAGCATCTATAAGAAACTTAAACAAATTTACAAGAAAAAAAAACTCCATTAAAAAGTCAGCAAAGGACATGAACAGACACTTTTCCAAAGAAGATATACATGCGGCCAACAATCATATGAAAAAAAGCTCAACATCACTGATCATTAGAGAAATGGAAATCAAAACCACAATGAGATACCATCTCACACCAGTCAGAATGGTTACTATTAAAAAGTCAAAAAATAACAGATGCTGACGAGGTTGTGGAGAAAAAGGAACAATTATACACTGTTGGTGGGAGTGTAAATTAGCTCAGCCATTGTGGAAGACAGTGTGGTGATTCCCCAATCACCTAAAGACAGAAATATCATTTGACCCAGCAATCCCATTACTTTGTATATACCCAAAGGAATATAAATTATTCTGTTATAAAGACACATGCACACATATGTTTATTGCAGCACTATTCACAATAGGAAAGACATGAAATAAACTTAAATGCCCATCAATAATAGACTGAAAAAAGAAAATGTGGTACATATACACCATGGAATACAATGCAGCCATAAAAAAGAGCAAGATCATGTCCTTTGCAGGGACATGGATGGAACTGTAGGTCATTATCCTTAGCAAACTAACACATGAACAGAAAACCAAATACCGCATGTTCTCATTTATAAGTGGGACCTAAATGATGAGAACACATGGACACATAGAGGGGAACAACACACAGTGGGGCCTTTCAGAGGATGGAGAAGGGGAGGAGGGAGAGGATCAGGAAAAACAATGAATGGGTACTAGGCTTAACACCTGGGTGATGAAATAATCTGTACAACAACACCCCATGACACAAGTTTACCTACGTAACAAACGTTCACTTATACCCCGAACTTAAAATAAAAGTTAAAAACAAAAAACTTTTGGAATGCTAGTAGGGAAATTGTAGGTGAATTTATAACTTCAAATATACTTATTAGAAACCGAGACTGACAATAAATACACTAAGCATTCATCCCATGAAGCTAGAATCAAAAACACTAATAAAATCTAAAGGAAGAAGAATGTAAAAAGTAAATAATAAAGTTGATTGAAATCATTCAGAGAATATTCTACAAACACAAACTAATTCTGCTAGCTTATTTTAAGTACAAAGTACTGTAATATTATTTTAAGGTAGACTGTGATAAATTAAAAGTATATGTTGAAAAGCTTAGAACAACCATTAAAACTTGCTTAAGAAGAGACATAACTTATAAGCCAATAGTGGAGATAAAATAAAATCAGAAAAAAAAATATGCAATTGATTTGAAAGCAGACAGAAAGAAAGGATAAAAAGAAACTAAGAACATATGGAACAAATAGCAAATAACTAGCAAGATGGTAGGTTTTAATATAATCCTATTAATAACTACATTAAAATAAATGGTTTAAATTACATTAAAATATAGGTTTAATATAATTCTATCAATAATTACACTAAAATAAATGTTTTTCTAATCTGACAATCTTTGTTTTAGGTTACTTAAAACCTTTGTTTTAGGTTATTTATAAAACAAAGATTGTCAGATTAGAAAAAACAAAAGAAACCAACCATATGCAGTCTATAAGAAAACCAAGTTTAAATATAAAAATATACATTGGCTAAAAAGAAGAAAGTTTTTTTTTAAAAAAAAGATAAATTGTTTTTTCTACAAAAAAGCTAAAGTGGCTATACTAATTTCACACAAAGTAGACTTCTATAAAAGGAATATTAACAGGGATAAAGAGGGACACAGCATAATAATAGAAGGTTCAATTCACCAAGAAGATATCATAATTCTAAATGTATATGCATCTAACAACAGAGCTTCTAAATAAACGAAGCAAAAAATTAATAGAACGAAAAAGTGAAATAGGCTAAACTACCACTATTCTCCAGACTTCTATACTCCTCTCTCAGTGTCAAGAGAACAAGTGGAAACAAAATGAGTAAGACTGGGCAGGCGCGGTGGCTCACTCCTGTAATCTCAGCACTTTGGGAGGCCGAGGCTGGCAGATGGCTTGAGCCCAGGAGTTTCAGACCAACCTGGGCAATGTGGCGAAACCCTGTCTCTACTAAAAATACAAAAATTAGCCAAATGTGATTGCCCACACCTGTAGTCTCAGCTACTCGGGGAGGCTGAGGCATGAGAATCACCTGAACCCAGGAGGCAGAGTTTGCAGTAAGCCAAGATCATGCCACTGCACTCCAGCCTGGGTGATAGAGCAAGACTCTGTCTCAAAAAAAAAGAAAAAATTAGTAAGACTATGGAAGACTTAAACAACACTATCAACTAACTTAACCTAATTACCATTTATAGAAAATGCCACCCAACAAAAGGAGTATAAACATTTTTCTAAATGCATATGGAAAATCCAATAAGATAGGTTATATTCCAGGCCATAAAGTAAGTCTTAATAAATTTAAAAGAGTTGAAGTCATAAAAAGTATGTCCTCCGAACAAAAATGAAACTAAAAATCAACAACAGAAATATATCTGGAAAGTACCTAAATATTTGGAAATTAAACATCACCCTTTTAAATACCCATGTGTCAAAGTGAAAGTTACAAGGGAAAATATAAAATATTTTGAATTAATTAAAAAAGAAAACAGTATCAAAAAGTGTGGCTCTAGTAAAAGCAGTATATAAAGGGGAATGTATTACATTAAATGCTTACATTAGAGAAGAAGAAAAGCCTTAAATAAATGCTCTAGGCTTCCACTTTGAGAAACTTTAAAAAAGAGCAAATTAAACTAAAGGCATTTAGAAAACGGAAATAATAAAGATAAGAGTAGGCATACTTTAGAAAACTTCATGGAAATGGGTAAATCCCTGAAAACACACAACCTCCTGAGATTTTACCATGAAGAAATGAAACTCCTAAACAGACCAATAATGAGTAGCAAAACTGAATCAGTAATAAAAGAAAAAAAACTCCCAACCAAATAAATCCCAGGACCAGAGGGATTCACAGCTTAATTCCACAAAACATACAAAGAAGAGCTAATACCAACCTTCCTGAAACTATTCCAAAAAATTGAGAAGGGAATTCTCCCTAATTCATTCAATGAGGCCAATATTACCCAGCCAACAAACATACGAAACTGCTCAACCTCACTAATGGTCAGAGAAATACAAATTAAAATCACAATGAGATATCATCTTACATCACTCAGAATGCTACTATTAAAAAGTCTAAAAACAACATATGTTGGTGAGGATGTGGAGAAAAAAAGAATGCTTGTACACTGTTGGTGGTAATGTAAATTAGTACAACCTTTATGGAAAGTAGTATGGAGATTTCTCAAAGAACTTAAAATAAAACTACCATTCAATCCAGCAATCCCACTACGGGGTATATATGCAAAGGGAAATAAATCATTATTCAAAAATACACCGCACTCATGTTTATCACAGCAGTTATTCACAATAGCAAAGAGATGGAATCAACCTTAGTGTCCATCAGTGGAGGATTGGATAAAGTAAATGTGATATATATAGATATGATATATAAAAATATATATAGATATATGATATATAAAAATATATATAGATATATGATATATATAAATATATAGATATATGATATATATAAATATATATAGATATATGATATATATAAATATATATAGATATATGATATATATAAATATATGATATATAGATATATATGATATATAGATATATATGATATATGTAGATATATATGATATATATAGATATATATGATATGTAGATATATATGATATATAGATATATATGATATATAGATATATATAGATATATATGATATATAGATATATATAGATATATATGATATATAGATATATATAGATATATAGATATATATAGATATATAGATAGATATAGATAGATATAGATATATAGATAGATATAGATATATAGAGATATATAGATATATAGATATATAGATATATAGAGATATATAGATATATAGATATATAGAGATATATAGAGATATATAGATATATAGATATATAGATATATATAGATATATAGATATAGATATATAGATATATATAGATATATAGAGATAGATATATAGATATATAGAGATATAGAGATATATAGATATATATAGAGATATATAGATATATATAGATATATATAGAGATATATAGATATATATAGAGATATATGATATATATATCTTTTTTATTGCTGAGTAGTATTCCATGGTGTGTGTGTGTGTGTGTGTATCTCCAGGGTGTGTGAATATGTGTGTATATATATGTAAATATATATATATATACATATGTACACATATATATATCTCCATGGTGTGTGTGTGTATATATATATATATATATATATATATACACACACACATATATATACACACATACACACACCATGGAGATATATTTATGTGTGTGTGTATATATATATATATATATATATACACACACACACATACACACACACATGGGATACTACTCAGCAATAAAAAAGAATGAAATCATGTCTTTTGCAGCAACATGGATGGAACTGGAGGCCATTGTCCTAAGTGAAATAACTCAGAAACAGAAAGTCACATGCTGCATGCTCTCACTTATAAATGGGAGCTAGACAATGGGTACACATGGACATAGACAGTGGAATAATAGATATTGGGAACTACAAAATGTGGGAGGTAGGAAGAGGAGTGAGGGGTGAAAAATTACCTATTGGGTACAATGTTCACTGTTTGGTAATTGGTACACTAAAAGCCCAGACTTCACCATTATGCAATGGATACATGTAAGAAGTCTGCACTTGTACCTCCTAAATATATTTTTAATTTTAAAAAAAGAGCAGAAACAAAACCAAAACCGAGAAAAATAGGGAAAAACATCAATGACATCAAAAGTCAGTACTTTGAAAAGATCAATAGATGAAATGAACTTCTATCCAAACTGACGTGATTGAGGAAAAAAAAAAAGGAAGACACAAATTACCAATATCTGGAATAATAGCAGACATATCACTACAGATTCTACAGATATTAAAAAAAAATAAGAAGATAATATTACGAATAACTCTATGCCAATAAAGTCAACAATTGAGGAAAAAAGGGACAAATTCCTTGAAAGACACAAACTGCCAAAGTTTAAACAAAAAGAAAAGGATAACCTAAATAGCCCTATATTTATTAATAGATTTAATTCATAGTTAAAGACCTGCCAACAAAGATAACTCAAGTGTTGGATACCTTTGCTGGCAAATTCTATCACACATTTATGGATCAAACAGCATCAATTGTAGATAAACTCTTCTGTAAAGTAGAAGAAGAGGGAACATTTGGTTTAGTTTCTAAAAATCAATAAGTGTAATTCATGATGTCAACAAACTAAAGAAGAAAATCCATGTAATCACATTGATAGATGCAGAATAAACATTTGACAAAATTTAAAGAGCATTTTAGAAAACCATGCAGATAACATCACAGTTAACGGTGAAATACTAAATGCCTTCCCCCTAAGAGCTGGAACAAGGCTAGGATGTCCACTCTTACCACTATACATTGTACTTAATAATTTACTAAAATAATTATTAATATGGCCAATTTAATAAGAAACAAGAAAAAGAAGTAAAAATCATCCAGATTGAAAAGAAAGAAATAAAACTATTACTATTTGTTATCATGACAATGGGTAACTCCACTGATAGAAACCTGGAAATGATTCTACAAAAAGATACTAAAATTAATAAATGGCTGCAGGATATAAGATCGATGTAAAAAATCAATTATATTTGTATATACTAAAAATAAATAATTTCTGGAAATTAAAATTAAAACTAAAACAGTACCATTATAATAAGACCAAAATAAATCTGAAATCAATATAATGCCCCCAAAGATGAATAAGATTTGCGTGCTAAAAACTCTAAAACATTGATGAGAGAATCAAATAAACAGAGGGCAATACAATGTTTATGAATTGGAAGACTCAATATTGTTAAGCTGTCAATGCTCTCTCAACTGGTCTATAGATTCAACACAATTTCAATCAAAAATATCAGCTTGGGGCTTGTTTTAAATAAAAATTGTAAGACCTATTCTAATTTTATGGAGGAAAAAAACAAACAAAAAACTAGAATAGCCAAAAGGTTTATTTGAAAAAATGTGAACAAAGTTGGAGGGTTTACATTCCTTTATTTGCCGACTAACTATAAGTTTCAGGAATCAAGAAGTGCAGTATTGGAAAAGGAGCAGACTTGCAGATCAGCGGAACACATGACAGACTCCAGAAATAAATTCATATATATGTGACCAAACAATTTTCAACAAAGATGTCAAATCAATTCAATGAAGAAAAGCTAGTCATTTCAACAAATAGTGCTGGAGCAGTTGAACATTATATGCAAAAACAAACAAACCAACCTTGACCAAACCTGACACCATATAAAAGTGTAATTTGAAATGATCACACACCTAAATGTAGAGCCAAAAACTCTGAAACTTCCAGATAATCTTTGTGATCTGCATTAGGCAAACATTTCTTAGGTGGAACACAAAAAGCATGAACCACAAAATTAAAAAATGATAAATTGGACTTCATCACTTCATCAAAATTAAAAACTTCTGTTCCTTAAAAGATAATGTTAAAAGAATGCAAAGACAAGTCACAGATTGAAAGAAAATGTCCACAAAACACATATGTTATTTAAATAAGAAACCGCTGATACACAGAATATATGAGGAACTCAATCAAAAATCAATTTAAAATACAAAAATGATCAAAAGACTTGAACAGACATATCACCAAGGAAGAAATGTAGATAGCAAACGAGCATGTGAAAAATTACTCATAATATTATTAGTCATTAGGAAAATGTAAATTTAAATCACAGTGAGATACACCTACTAGAGTAGCTAAAACCAAACTGAGAATACCAAGCACTGGTGAGGATGCAACGCAAAAAGAACCCTCATACATTGTGAGTGGGAATGCAAAATGGTACAGCTACTTTGGAAAGCAGTTTGGCAATTTCATATCATTAAACATATACTTATCATTTGACACATATGATAAGCAATCCTTCCCTTAGGTATTGATCCAAAAGAAATGGAAACTTATGCTCACAAGAAGACCTGTACATGAAAGTTTGTAGGGTTTTATTAATAATCTCCAAATACTAGAAACAACCCAGTGGACACCAGTTGGTGAATGGATAAACATATTGTGTTGCATCCATATGATAGAACACTACTCAGAAATAAAGGGGGGAATGAAGTGTTAATACATGGAACAATACAGACGAATCTCAAATATATCATGCTAAGTGAGAGAAGCTGGACTCAAAAGGAAACATTCTGAATTATTCCATTTATATAACATTCTTGCAAAGGTAAACTTGGGAACAAAAAACAGATCAGCAGTTTCAGGGTTTGGGTGCTGGTAGAGGGGATTCATTACATAGGGGCAGGAAGAAACTTTTTCGGGTGATGGAAATGTTCTAGATCTTGTTTACAATGATGGTTACACAACTACAAGTGCTTTTCAAAATTTATGGAATTCCACACACAAAACAGGTAAAATTTTTCGCATATAACTAGACCTCAATATACTCCAATAAATTTTGACTTTGTGGCAAGGAAGAATTTGTTAAAACAGAAGCCAACAGTCATACAAAGTTAAATACTTAAAAGATTAATAAATTTTAGCCTGTAGGGATCATGGCAGATGGGAGGCTGGACTAGATTGCAGCTCCGGAGAGAGCAACATACAGATGCTTGCACTGTGAATTTTAGCTCCAGATTGGCTGTAAGAACAAACCAGCAATCCTGAGAGGAGCCACAGACCCTCTGAAGGAAGCGAACGGCTCCTGCGGGACCTGGGAGACACCCTAAATACTGTGAGTGCCCCAACTGTGGAAGTTGGAAAGGGAGACCCTCCTCTTCTGAACACACACCCCCACTGGAGAAGCTGAAGGTCTGTTTGTGGGAGAAGTTTCCAACTTTACCTGGAGCTGAGTCAAGTTAGAGAGCCGAGCCAAACAAAATACAGGGGTAGAGAAAGCAGCAGAAAGGCCCTGGGGGCTCAGTGGGTCCCCAAGCTGCCCATTCCTGCCTGGCACCGCAGGGATCCATCAGGAGGGTGGCCAGAAGAGCAGAGGGTAAAACTCCACAGGGAGAAGGAATTCCCTGGCTGAACTTTGTAACAATTTGAACGAGGTGAGAAACCTCCTAGTCAGAACTTGGGGGAGGGTACAAATCTGGCTTGCAGACTTCACAGGCAGGGGAAGAACTAAAGCTCTTTTCTTTCGCGGCTAGGAGACAGAAAGCCTCGGGCAAGTTTTCAAGCCTGTCTCGCCCTGCACCTGGAAACAGACTCGGACTGTTGTGGTAGGCACGGTGGGAGTGAGACTGGCCCTTTGGTTTGTGTGAGAGCTGGGTGAGGTCTGTGACTGCCGGCTTTCTCCCACTTCCCTGACAACCTGCATGACTCAACAGAAGCAGCCATAATCCTCCTAGGTACACAACTCCAGTGATCTGGGAATCTCACCCCATGCCCCACAGCAGCCACAGCAAGACCCGTCCAAGGAGAGTCTGAGCCCAGACACACCTAGCCCCACCCCCACCTGCTGGTCCTTCCCTACCCACCCTGGTAGTGGAAGACAAAGGGCATATAATTTTGGGAGTTCTTGGGCCCCACCCATCACTGGCCCCTCTCCACACTACTACAGTTGATGCTTTCTGGAAAGTGCCACCTCCTGGCAGGAGGCCAACCAGCACAAAAATAGAGCATTAAACCACCAAAGCTAAGGGCCCCCACAAAGTACATTGCACCCTCTGCCACCTCCACTGGAACAGGCACTGGTATCCATGGCTGAGAAACTCATAGATGGTTCGCATCACAGGACTCTGTGCAGACAACCCCTAGTACCAGCCCAGAGCTGGGTAGACTCTCTGAATGCCTAGACCCAGAAGAGAGACAACGATCACTGCAGTTCAGCTCACAGGGAGCCACAACCACAGGAAAAGTGGGAGAGTACTACACCAACAGAACACTCCATGGGACAAAAAAATCCAAACAACATCTTTCAGCCCTAGACTCTGACAGAACCTACTCAAATGAGAAGGAGCCAGAAAACCAACCCTGGTAATATGACAAAACAAGGCTCATCAATACCCCCTCAAAAATCACACTAGTTCACCAGCAATAGATCCAAACCAAGACGAAATCTCTTATTTATCTTGAAAAGAATTCAGGAGGTTAGTTATTGAGCTAATCAGGGAGGGGCCAGAGAAAGGCAAAGGCCAATGCAACGAAATCCAAAAAATGATACAAGAAGAGAAGGGAGAAATATCCAAGGAAATAGATAACTTAAACAAAAAATCAAAAATTCAGGAAACTTTGGATACACTTCAGGAATGCAAAATGCTCTGGAAAGTCTCAGCAATAGAACTGAACAAGTGGAAGAAAAAAATTCAGAGCTCGAAGACAAGGTCTTCAAATTAACCCACTTCTACAAAGACAAAGAAAAAAGAATTAGAAAATATGAACAAAGCCTCCAAGAAATCTGGGATTGTGTTAAATGACAAAACCTAAGAATAATCGGTGTTCCTGAGGAAGAAGACAATTCTAGAAGCTTGGAAAACAATATTTGGGGGAATAATCAAGGAAAACTTCCCCAGCCTTGCTAGAGACCTAGACATGCAAATACAAGAAGCACAAAGAACACCTGGGAAATTCACCGCAAAAAGATCTTCACCCAGGCACATTGTCCTCAGGTTATACAAAGTTAAGATGAAGGAAAGAATCTTAAGAGCTGTGAGACAGAAGCACCAGGTAACCTATGAAGGAAAACCCATCAGATTAACAGCAGATTTCTCAGCAGAAACCCTACAAGCTAGAAGGAATTGAGGCCCTATCTTCAGCCTACTCAAACGAAACAATTATCAGCCAAAAACTTTGTATCCAGTGAAACTAAGCATGATATGAAGGAAAGATACAGTCATTTTCAGATAAACAAATGCTGAGAGAATTTGCCATTACCAAGCAACCACTGTAAGAATTGCTAAAAGGAGCTCTAAATCCTGAAACAAATCCTAGAAACACATCAAAACAGGACCTCTTTAAAGCATAAGTCACACAGGACCTATAAAACAAAAATATAAGTTAAAAAAGCAAAAACAAAAAACAAAACAAAGTACATAGGCAACAAAGAGCATGATCAGTGCAATGGTACCTAACATTTCAATATTAACGTTGAATGTAAATGCCTAAGTGCCCCACTTAAAAAATAGAGAGCCACAGAATGGATAAGAGCTCACCAACCATCTGCTGCCTTCAAAAAACTCACCTAACAGATAAGGACTCACATAAACTTAAAATAAAGGGGTGGAAAAAGGCATTTCATGCAAATGGACACCAAAAGTGAGCAGTGGTAGCTATTCTTATATCAGATAAAACAAACTTTAAAGCAACAGCGGTTAAAAGAGACACAGAGAAACATTATATATTGATAAAAGGCCTTGTCCAACAGGAAAATATCACAATCCTAAACATATATGCATCGAACACCTGAGATCCCAAATTTATGAAACAATTACTAACAGACCTAAGAAATGAGATAGATAGCAATAAAATAATAGTGGGGGACTTCAATACTTCACTGGCAGCATTAGACAGGTCATCAAGTCAGAAAGTCAACAAAGAAACAATGGATTTAAACTATACCATGGAACAAATGGATTTAACAGAAATATACAGAACATTTCATCCAACAACCTCAGAACACACATTCTATTCAACAGCACATGGAACTTTCTCCAAGACAGACCCTATGATAGGCCATAAAATGAGCCTCAATAAATTTAAAAAAATTGAAATTATATCAAGCACTCTCTTAGACCACAGTGGAATAAAACTGGAAATCAACTCCAAAAGGAACCTTCAAAACCACGCAAATACATGGGAATTAAATAACCTGCTCCTGAATGAGCATTGGGTCAAAAACAAAATCAAGATTGAAATTAAAAAATTATTCAAACTGAATGACAAGAATGACACAACCTATCAAAAACCTCTGGGATACAGTTAAGGCAATGATAAGAGGTTCATAGCCCTAAACAACTATATCAAAAAGTCTGAAAGGGCACAAACAGACAATCTAAGGTCACACCTCAAGGGACTAGAGAAACAAGAACAAAACCAAACCCAAACCCAGCAGAATAAAGGAAATAACCAAGATCAGAGCAGAACCAAGTGAAACTGAAACAAACAAAAAAATACAAACAATAAATGAAGCAAAAAGCTGGTTCTTTGAAAAGATAAATAAAATTGATAGACCATTAGTAAGATTAACCAAGAAAAGGAGAGAAAATTCAAATAACCTCACTAAGAAATGAAGCAGGAGATATTACAACTGACACCACTGAAATACAAAAGATCATTCAGGGCTACTATGAACAACTTTACGCACATAAACTAGAAAACCTAGACGAGATGGATAAATTCCCAGAAAAATACAACTCTCCTAGCTTAAATCAGGAAGAATTAGATACCCTGAGCAGACCAATAACAAGCAGTGAGACTGAAACAGTGATTTTAAAATTACCAACAAAAAAATGTTCAGGACCAGATGGATTCACAGAAGAATTCTACCAGACATTCAAAGAAGAATTGGTACCAATCCTTTTGACACTATTCCACAAGATAAAGAAGGAACCCTCCCTAATTCATTCTATGAAGCCAGCATCACCCTAATACCAAAACCAGGAAAGGACACAACCACGAAAGAAAACTACAGACAGATATCCTTGATGAAGTTAGATGCTAAAATCCTTAATAAAATACTAGCTAACCAAATCCAACAACATATCAAAAAGATAATCCACCATGATCAACTGGGTTTCATACCAGAGATGCAGGGACGGTTTAACATACACAAGTCAACAAATACGATACACCACCTAAACAGAAGTAAAAACAAAAATCACATGATCGTCTCAGTAGATACAGAAAAAGCATTAGACAAAATCCAGCATGCTTTATGATTAAAATTCTCAGCAAAATCAACATACAAGGGACATACCTTAATGTAATAAAATCCATCTATGACAAACCCACAGCCAACATAATACTGAATGGGGAAAAATTGAAAGCACTCCCTCTGAGAACAGGAATGAGACAAGGATGCCCACTCTCACCACTCCTCTTCAACATAGTATTGGAAGTCCTAGCCAGAGAAATCAGACAAGAGAAAGAAATAAAGGGCATCCAAATCAGTAAAGAGGAAAGTCAAACTGTCCCCATTTGCTGATGATATGATCGTTTACCTTGAAAACCCCAGGAACTCTTCCAGAAAGCTCCTAGAACTGATAAAAGCATTCAACAAAATTCCCAGATACAAGATTAATGCACGCAAATCAATAGCTCTTCTACACAGCAACAGCAACCAAGCGGAGAATCAAATCAAGAACTCAACCCCCTTTACAGTAGCCGCAAATAAAATAAAATACTTAGGAATATACTTAACAAAGGAGTCGAAAGACCTCTACAAGAAAAACTACAAAATATTGCTGAAAGAAATCACAGACAATACAAACAAATGGAAACGCATCCCATGCTCATGGATGGGTAGAATCAATATTGTAAAAATGACCATTCTGCCAAAGTAATCCACAAATTAAACACAATCCCCATCAAAATACCACCATCATTCTTCACAGAGTTAGAAAAAATAATTCTAAAATTCATATGGAACCAAAAAAGAGCCTGCATAGCCAAAGCAAGACTAAGCAAAAAGAACAAGTCTGGAGGCATCACACTACCTGATTTCAAACTATACTATAAGACCATAGTCACTAAAAGAGTGTGGTGCTGGTAAAAAATATAGGCACATAGACCAATGGAACTGAGTAGAGAACCAGAAATAAACCCAAATACTTCCAGCCAACTGATCTTCGACAAAGCAAACAAAACCATAAAGTGGGGAAAGGACACTCTTTTCAGCAAATGGTGCTGGGATAATTGGCTAGCCACATGTAGGAGAATTAAACTGCATCCTCATCTCTCACCTCATACAAAAATCAACTTAAGATGGATTAAGGACTTAAACCTAAGACCTGAAACTAAAAATTCTAGAAGACAACATTGGAAAAACCCTTCTAGACGTTGGCTTAGGCAAGGATTTCATGACCAAAAACCCAAAAGCAAATGCAATAAAAACAAAGATAAATAGCTAGGACCTAATTAAAGAGCTTTTCCATGGCAAAAGGAACAGTCAGCAGAGTAAACAGACAATCCACAGAGTGGGAGAAAGTCTTCACAATCTATACATCTGACAAAGGACTAACATCCAGAATCTACAACAAACTCAAACAAATCAGTAAGAAAAAATATACAAATGGCCAACAAACATATGAAAAAATGCTCAACTTCACTCATGATCAGGGAATTGCAAATCAAAACCACAATGCGATATCACCTTACTCCCAGGGAAATGGCCATAATCAAAAATCAAAAAACAGTAGATGTTGGCATGGATGTGGTGATCAGGGAACACTTCTACACTGCTGGTGGGACTGTAAACTAGTACAGCCACTATGGAAAACAGTGTGGAGATTCCTTAATGAACTAAATGTAGAACTACCATTTGATCCAGCAATCTTACTACTGGGTATCTACCCAGAGGAAAAGAAGTCATTATTTGAAAAAGATACTTGCACACGCATGTTTATAGCAGCACAATTCACAATTGCAAAATCGTAGAACCAACCCAAATGCCCATCAATCTAGTGGATAAACTGTGATATATATATATATATCCATAATATATATATATATCCATAATATATATATATATATGATGGAATACTACTCAGCCATAAAGAGGAATGAATTAACAGCACTTGCAGTGACCTGGATGAGATTGGACACTATTATTCTAAGTGAAGTAACTCAGGATTGGAAACCCAAACATCATATGTTCTCACTGATATGTGGGAGCTAAGCTATGAGACACAAAGGCATAAGAATGATACAATGGACTTTGGAGACTTGGGGGGAAGAGTGGAAGGAGGGGGAGGGATAAAAGACTACAGATATGGTGCAGTGTATACTGCTCAGGTGATAGGTGCACCAAAATCTCACAAATCACCACTAAAGAACTTACTCATGTAACCAAACACCACATGCACCCCAATAACTTATGGAAAAATAAAATAATAAAAATAAAAATAAATAAACATGAAAAAATAATACATTTTGCCATATAAAGATCCTTTTAAAAGTTGAATTATGCTCTAAAAGATTAACTGTAATGAGAGGTATCAGCAAGTCCTCTATTACCAGAAAATCATCCTGACATTGCTAAACTCCCTTTAGAAGGATATGTACGAATACTTTGGAATTTCCTGGCATGATTCCCTTTGGGGAATAAGGGAAAGGTCCGTGGGAAGCACTTGAGGATATCGCTATGAAGTGACAGACCCCAGAACCAGTTATGATAAGGAGCCCCTGGGGCTTCCTGGTCCACTGGGAGTCAGCTGTGAATGAGAACTAGAGGGTTGAGCACTGGGAACTGAACCTGAGCAGACTTTCTTGGCTGAATTAGGCATGGCCTAAAGACCCCTGGAAGCCTGTGCAGGAGTCTTGGTTAGTACCGCATCATCACCTGGGGAGAGGAGCTACTTCCCTGTTCTGTGTGGAACTCATTCCAACAGCGCCACCGTGTGATTATAAGAAGCAGACACAACAGTGAACCGAGAAGATTCCTGCACTGTAGCCGCTTGGATGTGGAAGCCGTTAACCCTTTGGGGACTTCATTGAGCCCTGGAGTTGTTGGACGATTCCAGAAGTAGAGAAGCGCTTACAGGCAGGAGAGTCTGGACTTCCGCTAATTATTCATATGGGTATACACAAAATTGTTAGGAAAAATAAGAGAGATGACAGTGCGTGTATCTTGAATTTGTGAAGCATTTTCTATTAGATGTTATTATCACAAATAGCACAGCTGTACGGTAATTTTATACTTTATGTATCTCTATAGTTGAACTTGTATAGGAATTTGTATTCGTTTTCTGTTGCTACCGCAACCTTAGTGGTTTCAACAACACAAACTTATTACCTTACAGTTCAGTAGGTCAGAACTGACATGGGTCTCACCAGGCTAAAATCAAGTCATTGGCGGGACTGTTCCTTTCTGGAAACCCTAGGGGAGAACACACTTCCTTGTTCATTTGAATTTCTGGCATAATTCAGTTTCTTGTATTGTGGAACTGAGATGGTTTCTGGCTGTTGTCGGCTGAGAGTTATTCCCAGAGTCTAGAGGTCACACACATTTTTATTTTTTATTTTTTATCTTATTTTATTTTAATTTTGAGACTGAGTCTCCCTCTATCGCCCAGGCTGGAGTGCAGTGGCACAATCTCGGTTCACTGCAACTTCTGCCTCAGCCATTCTCATGCCTCAGCCTCCCAAATAGCTGGGATTACAGGCGCCTACCACCATGCCCGGCTAATTTTTGTATTTTTAGTGGAGACGGGGTTTCACCATGCTGGCCAGGCTGGTCTCGAACTTCTGACCTCAAGTTGATCCGCCCGCCTCGGCCTCCCGAAGTGCTGGGATTACAGACGTTAGCCACCGCGCCCAGCCCACATTTCTTCCCCTGCCTCAAAGTCAGCAGTGTTGAGTCAAGTCCTACTCACATAGAGTCTCTCTGACCTCTTATATCCTCTGTTTCCATTTTAAAGGATTCATGTGGTTAGATTCTAGGACCCTCCCAGATAAACCAGGATAATTTATCCATCTCAAGCCTTGACCTTGATCACATTTGCAAAGTTTTTAACATGTCAGGTAATATATTCACAGGGGATTAAGTTGGGGACATCTTTGAAGGCCCATTATTCTGCTTACCATAGACATTTTGAGGTTTGTTAATATTTAAAAATATAGTCTTTAAAAAAAACTCCAATGAACAAATATTTAAAAGGATTTTTATAGACAACAACAGTCTTACTTTCAAAAAGCAGAGGAACCATTTTTATGTTTTTATTTTTTATATGTAAAAATATAGTCTTTGTTGGAGAGTACGTGGAGAAAAGGGAACCTTGCACGCTGTTGATAAGAATATAAATTAGTACAGCCATTATGGAAAAGAGTCTGGAGGCTTCCCAAAAAATTGAAAATAGTACTACCATACGATCCAGCAATCCCACTACTCTGCATGTTTCCAAGGGATATGAAATCAGTATGTCAAAGAGGTATCTGCACTCTCATGTTCATTACAGCGTTTTTCACAATAGCCAAGTTATGAAATCAACCTAAGTGTCCACAAACAGATAAGTGGATAGAGAAAATATGGTATCTATACACAATGGGATGCTCTTCAGTCTTTAAAAAGAAGGAAATTCTGCCATTTTCAACAACATGAATGAACCTGGAAGACACAATGTTAAGTAAAATAAGCCAGGCAAGAATGACAAATACCACATGATCTTACATAGTATATGTGAAATCTAAAAAAGTTGAACTCATAGAAGTAGATAGTAAAATGGTGGTTGCCAGAGGTGAGGCCTTAGGAGATGTTGGTCAAAGGATACAAAACTTCAATTAAATAGGAGGAATAAGTTCAAGGAGTCTATTGTACAACATGGTGACTACAGTTAATAATGTATTGTGTTCTTGAAAATTGCTAAGAGAAGTAGATTCTCAGTGGTCCCACCACAAAAGAAAAAAGTGAGGTAATGCATATGCTAATTAGCTCAATCTAGTCATTCCACAATGTATATATAATTTAAAACAACTGTTGTACAAGATTAATATCTGCAATCTTTGGCTATTAAAAAAAGTCAAAAAATTATATATAATTATATATCTACTTTATATAAATTCAGATATCAATATAGGTATATTAATATATAATTTATATATAAATATATCTAATTATATAGAAATATGTTATATATATTAAATGTTATATATATTAAATATATATTATATATTATATATATAATATATATAATATATATTAATAATTAATCTATTAACTATTTATATTATATATAAATAATATATTGATTTATATTATAAATATATTTATATTTAATTATATATATATATGTAGAGAGAGAGAGAGATTGAGAGTCTTTATAGTGCCTTGACTTTTCTATTAGAAAGAAGCCAAGCTTCCTAGGATACTATTTATCCAACCATTCCTAACATTTTCTTCAGCGTGGTTCCTTATTCAGCCTGGGGTCAAATAAGTGGTTTCAATAAACCTCCTGAAGTAGTATGCAAAAGTTCATGTATATGCTTATTTTGGGGGACAAAAAGGTCCAAAGCTTAGATCGGATTACCAAAAGTACTCTGAAAATGACCCTCCTCTGAGGGAAAAAGAAAAAAAAGGTTTGTAAATAAATGTGTTGCTTCCACACAACACACATTTTTATGCTTCCACGTCTTTATGCACTGGTGCCATGAGATTAGGTGGCGTATTGGGAAGAGGATAGGTTTTGATCTCCCAGACTTCCGATTCAAGCTAAACCGGCTAAGTAGTAACAACATTTATGGAAATAAGAAATAGTAAATTTTTACTGATGGAGACATACTAACAAAAGAGCAATTCAAGATGTATGAAAATTGATGAAGCTTAAGGACAGCCCCCCCACACCAAAAAAAAAATCAAAGAGAGAATAGAGGTCAATTTAACTAAGAAGCTAAAAAAAAGGAAAGATGGTCACACTGTCCATAACAAAAAGTATAGATATTGTGAAAAGTTACTGTAAAGATAGACAACAAAATAGGGGGGAAATTGTCACACACAGCAGATTAAATATTAACAAGAAAAAGTCAACCCCATAGGACAGAAATTTTCATTTTCACAAAAAAAGTGCAAACTCAAATGCAAAATAGCTCTATTATTCCTACTGGCCAAAAATGTTGTCCATGCATAGACGCATCTCAAAAAGCATTATGCCAAATGAAAGTTGCTGAGCACAAGATCCCACTGACATGGAAGGGGGAGTAGACTGACTGCAGAGGGACACCAGGGAACTTTATTGGTGATGGAAACGTTCCATATCTTGGCTACATGATGGAATATATTTGCCAACCTCAAACTATACACTTAAAATAGATGAATTTTGTTGAATTTAAATTATATCTAACAGATTTTTCAAAATATGTAAGGACACACACTAGGTTATTAACATGGATTGGAAGGGATGTGATAGGGAAGAAGAGCAAACCAGGCAAAAGGGTAAAAAAGAAAACTACTCTAAACATTGTTTATATAATCCCATTTATGCACTTATGAAAAAGCTGTATGCATTAAAAAAAAACTCACCAAATAATACTGCAAGACTGCAATCCAATACTTATATCTTTGGCATGTTCAAATTCAAGGGCAGAACAGGTGATAAAAGCCAGATGACAATGCATCATGGGAGAGAAGGAGGTGGAGGAAGTGCGACAGTGAGTTCGTTTAAATTGAGTCGTTGCCCCTAGAAGCAGTGATGAAAGATGAAGGGCATGTTAAGCCTGCTGTAAATGCTGTAAACTGGCCTATTTCCAAGAGTAAGTCCCAGCATGTCCATTCCAGATGCTCATGTTTCAGGGGTAATGTACGCATAGTGAAAGAGCAGCAGCTCTTGGGGTGTAGGTTAACATTAGCCTTTCTGGAAGGAACCAATCTTGGTCCAGATGATTGTGCTTCAAAGGTAGCCCACAGGAGCAAACAGTCCCATGTGAGTAAATAGGCAGCAAGTTTGGGTGGTTAAGGAAACTCCAGCTTTGACAGAAATCAGTCTGGGTCTCACCATGAGTATACAATTGTTCATACTAAAATAGAGATAATCCCACCTGGCTTGTTTTATGAATTATTAGCAATATCGTTATGTACACAGGACATGGCACAAAACAGCCAATTAGCAATGGCTGTTATTATTCCTTTGCCTAGAAAGACTCTGGAGCACACTATGCAATCACGTAACAGCTGCTGGATGGACAAACGGCTGGACGAATGGATGCATGGATGAATAAACTGGGAATACCCAATTCCAGTGAACTACTTTTCCTGACTGAGCTAAAACATTGTCTCCTTTGGGAAGTACCTCTATTCCAAGCTACACTCACATTTTCTCACTTACTAGTGTAGGTTTTAGAGCCAAATTGCCTGTGCTTGAATCTTGACTCCACTATTTACTGTGTCTTTGGGGCAAATCACATAAACTCTCAATTCAGCTTCCTCAACTATAAACTGGTGCTTAACAATAAGGTTTCCATAAGGATTAAAAGACTTAATACAAAAACATCTTTATTAGACTGGCTGCCCATAGTAAGCATTCAATAAATATTAGCAATTATTAAAATACTACATTACCACATCTTACAAATTATTTACCTATGCAGACACTGACTGTAAGCTCTATGAGGGAGAACTTTTGTGTGTTTCGTTCACTGCCTAAAACTGTGCCCTGCCATCTAGCAGGCATTCAATAAACAGTTGTTGAATGAATACCTACCTACCCTGAAACAATGAAAGAGCCAAAATTACAAACACACACCCCTTCCAAAATTAAGGCCAAGGCCTTACATTTAATAGGTGCTCAATAGATGTTTGTTGACTGAAGAAATGAATGGAGATGATCAGATAGAAAGTGATTCAGAAAACTGACAGTAGTATATGATGGAGGTAAAAAAGAGATTTAGGAATATTCCAGTTTATTTTTATACACTTTTTATTTAAAAAATAAAATTATAAACAAAATACAGAAAAATATTGACACCTGTGATAACAAGGAAATGACTCTTAAGGGCAGTTTGTTGTCCTGGGGGAAAAAATCATAAGTGTTATAAAGAAATATTATTGTGCAAAGGAGGAATGTAATATTTAAGGTTCATTTACAACGGGCATTTGGCGTCGACAGAAAAAGTCTTTCTATGTATACATTCAACATTTTGCAGCATATTTACATTCAAGTTACATTTCCAAATTCTATGCCAAATACAGTCTAACTCACCATCAACAATCCCTCAGATATTACTAAAATCCTGTTTATTTGGTAGGAGTGCAATATTATCTTATTAGGAAATAATTTTATGTTCCTACTAAGTCAACTGCATTTTTACTACTTTAACAAAATTCACTGACATTTTTATCCCAGTTGAAGTCAAGCCTCTTTTAGACAAAGTCAATACTAACTCAAATGTTGCCAGTTATAAAATTATATAATAATCTTTTCCTCCCTCCTTAGAGACAGTATTACAACTTTCAATGAAAGGACACCAGCTATGATAAATTATTTTCTTTTACAAGAGTTAGGATGTATTACAGATACAAGTTCCAGAATTTTAACTTGTTTTCAAAAGATGGCTGAAGCACTTTTCCCTTTCAGTTGTTACCGAATTCCTCAGCAAAATACAACACATTCAGAAATCTACATAGCAGTTTTCTGAAAACTTTTCTCCATTGTCCCCACACATTTCTCAAATCAGAGTGCTTACTCACTAGCAACTGGAGAATCTCTTGCTTAGTTTTTCTAAATTATACTAGAGTAGCTATCCTAATTTCCTGACAATCTTCCCATTTCATTTTTTAAATTATGATTTTATTAAAATCAACATAAATTACAAAGGTTCCATCTTTGCTACGGTTCTTTTAAAAATTTATCTTAACTTACTGAAGGGTCAAGACCCCACAGGGCCTGTCTAGAACAGGCAAACAAAATGTCAAGATTAGAAAATTCTCATGCCTCCAAAAGACTCCAGGCAAATCAAATCTACTCAATTCTTCCTTATTTATCTCAAGTTCAATTTTAAGTCTAAGAAGATAATTAATGACAAAATAACAGAGATTGATGAATTTCATTTAGTTGAGCTCTTTTTTCCTAATTTTCCTCAGGTTGTAACTTCGCCTTCAGTACATGATGACTGGCAGTTGGTAGTAGGTTGCTGAGATGACACCACTTCTAAGTCAGATTCACGAACAAAAACCACTGCATCACCACTTACATTTATAAGACACTGTGCCTATAAGAACAACAAACAGGACAGGTTCAGTTATACTCAACACATTCATACTCTTCTGTTACATAAGGGGCAGTGCTGTACAGCCAAAAAACACAGGCTTCTAAATCATTAGGATAAAGATAGGCAATCCAACAGAAAAATGAGAAAAGGGTAAGAGGGCAATTCACAGGAAAGAAAACTCAAGGAGCTCCTGTGAACATATGAAAACATATTCAAGCCCGCTATTAGAGATATACAGTTAAAATGACAACGAGACACCACTTCATATATACTGGCAAAAAAATGTAAAAGTTGGATGTTACCAAGTGTTAACAAAGACATGGGACAAGAGCAACACACTTAACACTGCAACAGGAAGTGCAACCATCCTGAAAAGAACCGTCTCCTAAAGCAGAAAAAGAACACACTCCCTGACCCATTAATTCCATGTATATGTGTTCCCTAGAGAAATCTTGGACATGTATGCAACAAAGATTAATAAGTAACTTTTCACTGCATCATGTTTAGCAAAATCCTAGAAACAAACTAAATGCCCATCAAAAGGGAAATGAAAATAAACTGTGGAATATTCATGCCTGAAATACTATATGGAAGTGAAAAATGACCTAAAGCTCAATCAATATGGGTAAATCTTATGATAAATTAAGAACAATTTGCAAAATGATATATACAATATAAAATCATTTACATAATTATATATATCCTTCTATATTTATATAAAGAATATGCAAAATATCTCAATGAAGGGGAACTTTGGAAATCTCTATGAAAATTACAAAGGTACTACTTTGACCTAGCAATTCTGTTTTAAGAAATTTTCCCTACAGAGATGCTCACACTTGTGCTAATCACTTATGCATCACATTGTTTTTGTAGCACTGTATGTATTAGCACAACATTTACTGAAAATAACCTAAATATTTATCAGCAGGGGACTAATTAAAGAAATTCCGATCGACCTATACCATGGAGTGTTATGTGGTTGTAACAAACAATAAAGGTAGTCTTTATGTCCTGAAATGAAAATGTTGCCAAGAAAAAGCAGGTGAAAGAGACAGCTGAGGAGCAATATGTACTGTAAAGCTACCACTTATATTAAACTGGGAGATAAAAGAATATATATTTATATATATTTGCTTGTATGTATAAAATCTCTCTGGTTACACACTCTGGAGTGTTACATCTCTAGAAGTTACCATAAAAAAAAAAATGAAAAATTTGGTTGCATGTGGGGAAGAAAAGTGACTGGCTGGAACAGCAGACAAGGAGAGACTTTTCCATTCATACCTTTTTGAATTTTGAATCATGTACTACCTATTCAAAAATATATTAAAACATTTTAGATACAAAATAAAACTACAATTAATTTTTTTAAGATATAAAGGCATGCATAGGAATGACAACAAAATTAAGATGGTTCATTCATTATAAAGAGAAAACAGGCCCACTGAGGCTTCAACCATATTTTTAATATTTTATTTCTTAAGCTGAGGGTCACGTGTAAGAATGTCTGTGTGCAATTCTCTACACTTTTTGTGTATATGCAAGATCTCACATAAAAGTGGGGGAAAAAGCTAATGACATAAATCATGGCACCTGATATGATGTGTACACATCAGTGGTAATCAGCCATTGACAGTTATTATTTGGGTACAGAGGAAGACGACTGGTGGTGGAAAATCTGGGTATATTCTAGCTTTTCTACTTATAGCCTCATACCAAACTTAAGTTTTTTAGCCCTCAGTTTTTTTCACCTACAAAATGGAGTTAATATCAACACTACAAAGTACTAGAAATGAAAAAAGAAAAAAAAAAAGCACAGTTCATTTGGAAAACCAAACAATGCAATCTACCTCTTGGGCATGTTAGGAGAGGTGAGGGGGGCAACAGATGAGTCTGAAAAGGTAGAAGACTTGAGAATGTGGAAGACCTTGTATGACATATTAAGAAGCATGACTTTGTCTTGTAAGAAATCATTGAAGACAAACATTTAAAAGATAATAGTAACAACTTTTACAGTGCTTACAATCCACCAGCACTAAGCACATTACATATATTAACTCATGATTTCCCCAATTTTTATCCCAATGTTATAGATGAGAAAACTGAGGCATAGAGATAAGTTCTGTTCTGGATAAGCTGATTTTGAGGCACTTGTTAAGGTGCTAGTTAAGTCAGTGAACAAGTTGTATAAATTTAACACTGGGAAAAACCCAAAACTACAAATCTCAATCTCAAATACAAAGTAATTAAGCAAAAAAGGATTCTTAAAGTAGGGAAAATCCTCTTATATCAAATAAATTATTACAAAGAAGTATCCAGTTGAATATAATTTCAAGATCTAATAGATGCGTTCTTTACGACCAGATAATATCAAGTGATATCAAATACTCCTGCTCAGGATGTGCCTGGTTTCCACTCTACTTCTACTTTCAAACGATCCGTGTAGAGGTAGTTCGCAGCCCTCCTGGTTTCCCTCCCGCCTTTCTCACTGTTCCTTTCTCAATCTTTCTTCTCCCCATGTACCCCTTTTGACCACTCCACACAATCTCCTTCACGCCAAATCTTATCAATAAGCTAGCTGCGAATCCAGAACTGCAGTAGCCTCACTGAGCTTTTAGATATGCCCCAATTATCTACCAAAAACCCTCCTAGGATGTTTCATAGCTTCCCTTCCCCCTCTAACGTGCCTTAGCCATTGCCAAAATTTATCAGAAGGTTGTCTCATAGTTTTGTTTATCACTATGTTTCTTCAACATGTTAATGAAGTTTAGTATACCGTGAGTTACAAAAATGTATAAACTATCAAGAAAACCTGAAAAGAACTTAGTAAATGAAGTACCCTTCTGAAGAAACTGATTAAACTTCATGATTTCAAAATAAAACTAAAACCAGTCAGGTGTGGTGGCATGTGCCAGTAGTCCCAGCCACTAGGGAAGCTGAGGTGGGAAGATCGCTTGAGCTCAGGAGTTCAAGTCCAGCCTGGGTAACATGGCAGGACCCTATCTCTTAAATAAAGCTAAAACAATTTTGCATTTCCATAATGTCTTTTCAAACTGCTTATATATTTATGACAGCAACTCACTTTCACTATAAGATAATTTTACTAATGAAAAAATGATACTAAGAATTTAAATGATTTGTCTTTGGTTACAATTATCTAGATGTACAGGTAGGGGCAAAAAATATATATACATATACACATCTATTCATTCTTACTCCTGCTTAAATGATAAGTAATTAGTCTATATTAGAGCTTCTTAAGCTCTGTGTCTGCCAAGATATTGATCCCCTCTGCTCTTAGGGGAGTCACTTGGGTCAGAAACGCAGGGCCAATTACCAGCAGCCACATACAGCTTCATGCATTCATCACAGTGTACCAGTGGACCACAGAAATAGGATTTTTGATGTGTGCCAAGAGAAGCAGGTTGGGAAGAACTGCCTTTATGGCATTTCATACTATTTAGTATAGTTGATTAATTTTTAAAAAATTTTAACAATTTTAAGTGAATTATCTTAACACAAAATTTAGAAATTTATTTTAAGATTTAAACTAACTGCTTTCATCCCCATTAAGAGAATAACACTACTTACTAGAAATAAGCAAGCCTTACTATGGCCTTACTATGATATACTCTTCATTAGTAAGGCAGCTGAAACTGGACAGCATCATAGTCCAAACTAAAGGATATCTTTAGCTCTCCTCAGTTAGCTATCACTGTATTCTAAACACCTACCAACAAGAGGGTGGAAACAGTAACTCAGGAGCACAAATTCCAGATGTGATTAAGAATAATACCCTAGTTACCTGAGATGTCGAAATAGCATGTATTGACTTGTGACTATGTATGACCATGGTTATGAATAAACTCATTAAAATATCTTACGCATCTAGACTCAAAGGGCTCTAAAGAGCAATTCTCTTTTGGAGGGGGTTAGGGGTAGGAAGCCATGGAAGAAATTCTCAGGTTCCCGCCAATCAGGAATTTTTAACTGCATCTTACCTGGTTTTTATTTGGATTCTCCATGAAGACACACTGCTTCATTATGTAGGAGACAACAGCATTCCCTCCTAATGCAGCAACATGAGCTCTCACCATTGCAAACACTTCAGCAATAAAAGCATGGAGAAAACCACTGACTCCTCCTTCCTAAATAATAGTGCACAGGAAAATCATACTATATATACATGTGTATGGATATAGGAATGCACACAAAATGTCAAAGAATATATATTAAAACATCCTAAATTATCTTAATATACCAAATAACTTAAACTTCCCTCACAATGGGGATTTACTGCATGAATGAACAAACATTGACTGAACACATGTCCAGGCAAGGATTTACTACCTTTACTTTACAGATGATAAAACTGAAGCCCGGAGAATTTGTAATTTGCCCATGACTAGCTATGATCAAATTAGCTAGTAAGTAAATGGCAAGGCAAGAATTCAAATTGTGCCTCCACCTTCAACATCTCCATCATATCATGCTCATCATCATTTAAACAAATTGATGATAAGCCTAAACGATAAAACTTACCTGTTATCTATATCTCTCATTCTGAACCTGAACCATGTTCCAATCAAACTTGCCTTTTTTTCAGTTTCTCAAATGCACAAGCACTCTTCCTACCTCAGGCTCACTGGCACATGTTGCTCCTGCAGACTTTTCATTTTTTTTTTTTTTTTCAGAGAACAACTCATTCACTCCTTGGTCCCAACTTACATATAATGTCTTCCGAGATACCTTCTCTGACTGTGAACTCTAAGTTGAAGTCCATTATATACTCTGATAGCCTCTGTTCAATTTCTTTATATTACTTACTCTCCCTAGTAATTAGATACTAATTATATGATTATTTGTTAATGTCCACCGTGCTCCAGTTCTACTAGACTGTAAATTCCATTAGGTCAGGGACTGTATCTGTTTTGCATACAACTATATGCTAACATCTAGTTCAACAGGTGCATATAATAAGAATTCCATATATAATTGTAAGGAAATAAAATCCAGTAGTTCAGGGTACTTTTCCCATATTGAAAAACAAGCAAAACAGAAATCAAAGGCTAGTCAATAGCTTGAAATGCTTTTCAACCTAGGTTTCCACAAATTCTATTGGACTTATTTACAGTCTAGGAGGAAATTTCCAACTTTAAACTGGAAGTGAAGGGGAAAAATGACTGCAGTATTAGAAAACCATTTTATTGGGTCACATCCTTCTGAAAAGCCTGAGGATCCTACATATAGTTGTATAAAGATATCTCTTTTTGTAGTTAGGGAATTAAGGGAGTTGCTTCAGCCTGCCTCCAACTCAATCATAGTTCAGTATATTTTTTGAGTTTTATCAATTTCCTGTTTATTAAATCAAAAAATTCTGATGACACAGTAGCTACAGAGGATTAATTTTAAAAATATTAATTAACTGTAAGAAAACGACTCAGGCAATTAACACATTTGGGATATGGTGCTACACAATTATTATTATAAGTTTCTGTTGAAGGAAAACCTACTAAGAAGCAACATTTTGAGGTATGGGAGCTTAAGTAGTCAAGAAGGCTTAGGAAATACAATTTTATGGATTCAAAATAGTGTAATATCCATGTGCTACCAAGAGCAAGTAGAAAAGGTTAATTCATAATATATGCCAGCTTTTCGCACCAAATCTTTGTCAAATTTAAATGGATGTAGAAGTATCATCTATTTTAATTCTCTATCCAAAGGCTTTTGAGAATATCTTCATAGTTTATTTTTCATCTTAACGTAATTAAGAGTGATATAAAAACTAATTTATCTTTTTTGGGGGGAAGGATAGAGTCTCACTCTGTCACCCAGGCTGGAGTGCAATGGCGCAATCTCGGCTCACTGCAACCTCCACCTCTCAGGTTCAAGCAATTCTCGTGCCTCAGCCTCCTGAGTAGCTAGGATTACAGGCATGTGCCACCATGCCCGGCTAATTTTTGTATTTATAGTAGAGAAGGGGTTTCGTCATGTTGGTCAGGCTGGTCTCAAACTGCTGGCCTCAAGCAATCTACCCGCCTCAGCCTCCCAAAGTGGTGAGAATATAGGCGTGAGCCACTGTGCCTGGCCTAATTTACCTTAAAGAAAACATCCATCTAATTAATTAAATAATCTGTCAGAAGCTATTCATTTATTTGCACAAAAACATATTGTGTTTATTCCATGCCAGCTACTGTGCTAGGCGCAGGATGGTGAGTATGATATTAAAGACAGTGTGCAGGCTGTTATTCCTAAGAAAGTATAGAAATACTGCTGGTGAAGAAGGGCACAGCTAAGTCATCTTTATAATGAATATACTTTTTAAAAATACAAACTGCAGCTGAAGTAAAATTTGAAAAGGTTATTGGATGTCACACCTCAGTAACTAAAAAATTTCCCTATTCACCATATTAATTTGCTTGGTAGCCCCTGTTCCTTAACATATGACACAACGTAATTTTTTTAAGTTTAAATTCCTGTGTTATAAAAGATATAACAGGCTGACTCTGATTCTGAACTTTTCCCACATCAAGTAAAATATTACAACTTGTTATTTAAAAACCAAATTAAAGTTTAATGATACTCAGTGTGAGGTAAGACTGAAGAAATGTCATCCTCATACACTAACTGAGAGAGTAAAAAATGAGCAGCTTCATTCCTTTCTCAGGAGGAAGAAACAGCAGAGCTAAATTACATAAAGTATCTCCTTAGACATGTATCTGTAATACAGTCCTCTACTATTTCTAAATGTGATCTGTCAAAAATTGCTAAATTACTGAGGAAACGAAGCTGTTCTTTCAGGGCTATTTTAAACTTCTATTTGAACACAGATATTTGTTTTATTTACTATATGATAAGGTTCTAAGATTTCTAACAATAAATAGGTTTAAAACTAACACAATTCTTGTGATAATCCTCGCTGCTAAATGAAATAAACTCTAGACTCAATCCAGATAATTAAAATATAAATAAATATTTGTAAGTTTTTGGCAAAAAATAACAATTTGAAACTTAGTTTTGTTACTAAATCTTCAGAGAAAATTTTTTAAAAAATGAAATAACTTCTATAAAATTACCTCCCGAAGAGAAGTAGTCTCTCGAATAAAAAACATGTTAATTATCCCAAGATACTTAGTTATTTTTGCTCCAGGAATAAAAGAAAGAGGTGTCATCTTAACAACCCCAACTGTGGAATTTGCACAAGGTGGAGCAGAACGATTCCGGAAATTTCCATCACCCACTGGACTTGCTTTTTCAACTGTCATGGCTAAAATTGGAGAAAAATGAGAAAACATTCAGAACAGACGCTGGTAACACAATTATTCCCTGAGGTTTCCAAATAAGTGGTGACAACATTCAGCTGTCTGTGAGGCTAAGCCATGTCATGAAAGAAAAGAAATTATCATGCACTGCATGCAATTAAAAAAGAGAGACAGAAAAACATGAGAGGAAATGCTGGAATGGAATTCTTTTGGAAGAAAAATGGCATTCCTGCAAAAGAAAATGTTGATGCAGTATAGCTACACACACAATGATTGGTTATAAAGTGAAGAAAAAGAAAAAGCGGCTGAGCATTAAAATTATCTGCTGTAGGAACAAATTATTACAAGGAGAGTGTGAAAGTTGTTCTATTTCCCAGTGCAATTTTTCCATCTTTTTCAGACGACTTCATCATTGTCAACTTGTAGATAAACCTTATGTTATCTAGTTGTAAGATACTGGTTTTTTCCAAACCTTTTTGAAAACCAACTCATAATTTTAAAAGCTTAACGACCTCTGCTAGCTAAAAGTTGGTTGTTTATAAAGTAAAAAAATAATAGCTACCACTTATTAAATAACTGCCATAAGCCAGACATATATATATATATCTAATCCTTACAACCACCCAAAAACACAGGTTATCATCATCATCCCCATTTCATGCATGAGGAAATGGAAGGTTAGAGAAGTTAAGTAACTTGCCCAAGGTCTCATAGCTATTAAAATGGCACTTCTAGGATTCAGAACCAGATCTGGCTGGTTTCACATCCTATATTATTTCCTGTGAAATGTAGTTTTTTCCCCCTTTTAATGTACGGTAAGCTCTTTCACTCAAATATATTTACCTCAAAATTTACCAAAACACATGGCATAAGATAACATATAAGTAATGATTCTGATTCTAGCAGTAAGGTAATAACTACTTTCTCACCATAAATTCTTTATTAGTTTAGCCCTCTGCATATCACACTTAATAAACCGACAGATGCCACATACTAAATAGTACCTTGGGTCCTGGAAGAATGTCTTTTCAATAAGAGAGTTGGCAATTTACTTCCAATTAGAATGATATAATATCTATTTATATACTTTTAAGAATACCTGCACAAAAAGGAAAATTTTAAAAACACAATTCTATAGGTAAAACTAATAAATCTAAAGGCCTTTCAAAAGCTTTTCCTAAATGACCGTTACAGTCTGCAGCTTTCACACTCTAATACATGATGGATTGGCAATGTTATTACTGGGTAGTAAGGTCTAGCTTTCACCACTGGGAAATCAGGGATATGTTTCTCAGATTATCATAATGTGGTAGAAACATCCGCCTACTTGTCTTAATTGATCCACGCCTTATGGTCTGAGCTTTCAGTTTAATGAGCTCTATCCAGCTGCTGCATCTGTCTGCAAAGGAACTGTAATCAACTGACGTTGCTGAAAACACAGACAGAAAACAAAAGAAAAAAACAAAGAAAAAAATATGGATGATGTCTCTTACTCGTCTTAACACTCCTTTCGATGATGTAATTTAACTGTAACTCAGAAAAAGAATGGTCCTTTTCAAGTCAGATAAGAGAGATAGTAAAGAGTCAAGCTTTAGACACTGATTTGTCCAAAACCAAGTTCTCAGTTAGCAGGCTGAGCATTTCTGGTGATGTCATAGTTGTGTGGTCTCCTAGGGAGAGCCTGAGTGGGGTCTAACATAAATATCAATGAAAGGACCACATACTGTGCTTTAACTAACTTTATTTCCTATTCTTCTTAATTTACAATATTTCAGTTGTTTCTATTTTATTTTATAATCAAAGCTTTGTGAATAATTCATTTCCCTAGTTTTACCCTAAAATTTTAAAAAAAGAGAATCAAATGTTGAAGAATATATTTTTAAAAGTTAGTAGTTGACTTATCTGTTATTAAAGTATCTTCTTTCTACAATCAGTAAGAGGAAAACCAAAGGGCCATTTTTGTTAATGTTTTGTTTCCATGTCTGATTTTGGGCAACAAAGCCTCTGATAATATGGGGTCAGGGCAGGTGTGAGCCTCACAAGTTCCCCCTTTTAAAAACAATAACTTTTACTACTGCTAAGCTGGAAAAAAAATTTTAAGGAGCTAAAATTTTATGCTTAGAAACTGGGAAACCATTAACATACTAAAAAATTTAAATATTAGTTTAATTGATGCTTTTAAAAGAACATATTCTACCTACAAAAAAAAAAAAGCCAGATTTTGGTGTCTATTCCATATTGTCCAGTGCATTTTCTTCAATGTCTATAATTTTATGCACCACCAAACTAGAATTTTACACCTTTGGTGACTATTTGCTTAATTAGACAAACTCACCTCTCTGTGCAGCTGGTATACCTGAGTTAGAACTTGCACTCTCCAGGTGTTCTAATAAGACAATATGAACAACATTAGCTCAGATGCTAAGTACAAGCCAGTACCTCTTCTTTGTTATTTGTTAATACCTCTATAAGCCAGAAGAATAGGAGGAAATCTTTATGGCTTCATTGCAAAAGCAAACCAAATAAAAGCATCTAGGTTTAAAATGCAGTTTCTATTGATAAATGAAAACTAGCTCAGTTCATAAATACCATGCCAAAGGAGACTACTTGCTTACTGTAACACAAAAAGAGTTTCAGAAACTTTATAGTCACAAGAAAATATAAACATAGTAACGAATGTGAGTATGATGAAAGCAGGATGTGAGACTAGGCAGAGAAAAGGGTCAATGTGTTGGGAAGAATATCTGAAATGAAACATGGAAGGAAAATGTTTGCTGTGGGGAAGAGTCTATAAGATTACAAATTACAGACAAGATAATGATTATGCTTCACAGATCAGCATAAGCTGCTCCCTAGTCTTAACTCTCACCACCAACTTCTTCATTCGAAGACTTCGATATCAACAGCTCCCTCTGGTGGTATCAAGACTTTGTGAAACTAAAAAATGAGTGATCACAGAGGTAACCAGGAATCCCAAGCCAGTATCACTCCCTTTCCAGTAACCTGACAGTAGCATCCAGAATTTTCCCTGATATTTTTTATTACAGGTATTTAAGGTATTGTACAAATTTAAATAGCACTATAAAAAAACTTCATAACCTATTTTTAATGCTCATGTTCTACCCACATTAGAATATTTAAATTTTTGTTTGAAAGAATTTTACAACTAAAAGAATAGTCCTGCCAATTTAGAAATAACTCATGAAAAGCACTGAGAATAATTCGGTTGGCTTAGTATAGTATAGTTTAAGTATAGATAGATAAATATGTTTTTTCATTTCTACTTAGTGTGTTGATTTTTTGGTAACATTCTTAAATTAATAAAAAAACTTTTCAAAACATTATTTGTACAGAATGTTTCTACCATAGAATGTTGCTGCTAATTGAAAATACAATGCAAGTATCTCACCACACCCCACCAACACAATTTTTTTTTTTGAGACGGAGTTTTCGTCTTGTTGCCCAGGCTGGAGTGTAGTGGCACGGTATCAGCTCACTGCAACCTCCACCTGCCAGCTTCAAGTGATTCTCCTGCCTCAGCCTCCCAAGTAGCTGGGATTACAGGCACCCACCACCACGCCCGACTAATTTTTTTGTATTTTTTGTAGAGATGGGTTTCACCATATTGGCCAGGCTGGTCTTGAACTCCTGACCTCAGGTAATCCGCCTGCCTTGGTCTCCCAAAGTGGTGGGATTGCAGGTATGAGCCACCAAACCTGGCCCACAGTTTTCATAAAGCAACTGACCACTAGCTAATCCTGTAACATATACAGAGCTGATGAATAAAAGGGATCACCAGGTGGGGTCCACGAATGGCCTATGAGGATACCACACTGTGGACATGCCCTGACCATCATGCTCACTGACTGGAGATCTAGATAGGAAAAGTCCTCCTGATTCAGGATCTTGAGAGACTTTGGAAGTCTAGGAGGAGATGGGACCTAAAGAAAGACCAGCACAGACCTGACATTCAGAGGCTTACCACATCTGTAGGGACACTCAGCACAGAAACAGACTCAATGGAGAGACTGGGACACCAACTGTCCTACCCCTAACTTACATATCCCAAGAGAGTCCTGAGGCTCTCATATGTCTTGTGCAGTATAGATTTGGTTGGTGTAGAATTACAGAACATATAGCTGGCATTAGGAATTCTGTGCATTTTTTTAAACTGCAGGGGAAAGAGGAACGGCTTAAAAATTTCTGAAAAATCACTAAAACGAAAATCTTTTCTATACCTTGATATTATCTGAGTAATATGGAATTCCCTAGTAGGAACTGCATATATTTTAATGGCAAATGTACACAGAAAGAGCTTACCTGAGTATGTATTAAATATCTGTTCCCATCTCTAACATCAAGTGGAAAAAACAAGGTACACAATGATATGTAAAATACTTGTGTTTTTTAAAAAGGATGAATAGAGTATCTTTGAAAGACAGACAGTAAACTGCTAAAAGTAGTTGCCTCTTGGGGAAGGAAATGGAGAAGAGAGCTTTATTCTGGACTACATGATTTTTGTAATATTCAAATTTTTCACGATATACATGTATTACTTTTACCCAGTAAAATTTATATAAAGGATGAAGAGGGAAAAAAGGGAGGGAAAATGTTTATTCCCTGCCCTCAAATACGAATGCATCTGAAAAAAATCTGAAAAACCCAAGTTTTTAAGGGAGATTTTTGATTTCACTTAGGGAGAGCAGGTTCATCTTTTAACATGCTTGCTATCTTAATTTTTCTCCTAGAAAAAAAAGGCCCAAGAGGCCCAAGGCCAGCTGGTCCCAGCAGCAGATAGACATCAGCACCTGGACTGGTTTGAATACCTCAAATGTCTGATGACCTCAGACTCCCAGGCCCTCTGCTCCTCCTGATCAGAGTTTGGCTTCCCAGGTGATAAGCTTTTCAAAAGAGAAGGTACTGCAGATACATGCAGTCTGGCTCACTGACCAACTGGGAGTTCCAGTTTAAAAGAAATAAAACAACATGCAGTCTCTAGACTAATACTAAATTAAAAACAACATAGTTCATTATTCAAGGGTAGAAATCTCCTTAAAAGTCTTTCAGGCTTTGCTGAGTTGTGCTCACTTGTGTGCCATTTGTAGATCTATATGGAAGAGTCTGAAACAAATGCTTTTCATGTCAAGATCCCCCTTCTAGCTGCAAACAGTCTCAATTAAGCCACACAACAGTCTGCTTCTATTATAATTTGGTTTCCCACTTAATGCAAGAAGAAGATTATTTTGCATTTTTTTAAAAGTCACCATTAAGTGATAACCCTGCAAGCCCCAAATAAATGACCCTAGAAACTTAGCAAAGCAATACAGGGCTATGGTTTTATAATTCCCCTAGTGCACTCTAGCAATATTTAACAAGCCCTGTGTGTAGTGGTGTGGGAGGGAAACTAACCCAGGTTAAAATCAGCTCAGTGGAAATGAGCATATTAACGACAAAAAGGATTCTTCCTCCCTCAAACAGACATTCTCCAGTACGTCTAAAGTCTGAGACTTTTCCATTCTTCTAAATAACTTGTCGTAACCAATGGCAAAGGTATTCGTTAGCTGCAGCGATTATTTGAATGTAGGTCCCCTCCAAAACTCACTGAAATTTAACTGCCATTGTAACAGTACTAAGAAGTAGGACATTCTGGCCAGGGGCAGTGGTTCACACCTGTAATCTCAGCACTTTGGGAAACCTAAGTGGGCGGGTCAGTTGAGCTCAGGAGCTCGAGACCAGCCTGGGCAACATGTTGAAACCCCATCACTACAAAAAAAGATAAACATTAACCAGGCAAGGGGGTGTTAGTGGTCCCAGCTACTCAGGAGGCTGAGGCGGGAGGATCGCTTGAACCCAGGAGCTAAAGGCTGCAGTGAGCCAAGATCGCAGCACTGCACTCCAGCCTGGGGGACAGAGTAAGACCCTGTCTCAAAGAGAGAGAGAAAAAAAAAGGCCAGGTGCGGTGGCTCACACCTGTAATCTCAGCACTTTGGGAGGCCAAGGCAGGCGGATCACTTGAGGTCAGGAGTTCGAGACCAGCCTGACCAATATGGTGAAACCCCGTCTCTACTAAAAATACAAAAAAAAATTAGCCAGGCATGGTGGCAGGCGCCTGCAACCCCAGCTACTTGGGAGGCTGAGGCTGGAGAATCACTTGAACCTGGGAGGCAAAGGTTGCAGTGACCCAAGATCGTGCCTCTGCATTCCAGCCTTGGCAACAGAGGGAGACTCTTGTCTCAAAAAAAAAAAAAAGTAGGACATTTAAGGCCTGATTAGGCCAGGTCTCCACCCTTATGGGTGGGATTGGTGCCATTATAAAAAGGGAGATTTGATCTCCTCTTGCTCTCTTTTTGCCCTTCTGCCCTGTGATAACACAGCAAGAAGGCCCCTGCCAGATGCTGGTTCCTTGATATGGGACTTCCAACCTCCAGAACTGAGTCAATAAATGCCTGTTCTTTATAAATTACACGGTCTCAAGTGTTTTGTCACAGTAGTACCAAACAAACTAAGATAAATACAGGAATAAATTTCTACACTGATCAGTACCTCTTTTGACTATCTATTCACTTTATATCATTAGAATTTGCAGATCATCTTTGCTCTAAATAATTAAAAAATATTTGAGAAAATCTTATCTGAATGTCTTTTAAGAATTACTAAAACTAAAAAACTTCCTACAAATTTGGAAATGATTCTCTGGCAGATTAAAATATATGCAGTTGGGAGTCATTATAATTTATGTTTTATTTTCCTATTTAAACATTCTCAGTTTTATTATGATCAAAACTGGGTTTTATGTTTCTTTAGGAATTTCCATCAATTGATAATGCATTGATTAGTTATGCTTTATAAGTATAAAATCTAACTTCATGACTGGGGTAGACAAATGATATATCTAAACATTCAGTATAAACCTGATCTATAACGATACTCAAATATTGATGAATTGATAAGGAAACTGCCATATTACAGTTGTAAATTACTAAGGCACACAGAAAGACAGAACTAGCTTCAATTTGGACAGTTTATAAGGGAAAAATTCAACTGTGATACCTAGGTAGTACATATATTAGATAACAAAGACAATTAACTTCCCTATTTGGGTCATTTAAGTTTCTAATTAAAGGTGTACGACATTCTAAACCACTTGTCTTTCTTCTTCAATCCCCTTCTTACATTTTCCTGCTTCCATTTCCAAGCATGCAATCTCCCTCTCACTCCTATCTTTTATAGCTTCTCTTCCAAATAATCCGTTTTCTGTCAGTAACTCAATGCAATTTTCCTTTGCTTTTTACTCCCTCTTCCTCTAACTGTGGATTTCACTGTCCTCAAGCTGCCTTGAAGAAGCCACAGAGATAAAGATTCTTTATTCCTACTTCTCCATCAATTCTCTTGCCTTCCGTCCTTCCTTCCTTCCCATTTCTGGGATGAGTTTTTCACACATTTTCCTCTAGTTAGTTTCTGTTTTTTGCATTCTCTTCCCCTGAGCGTCTCTTTCCTTTTAAAACTTGCCATTGATTATTTGGCCTCCAATAACATCAAGAATTTTAACTGTTTTTTATTGTTGCTGCCACTTGGTCATAGTGACAAAATATATTTTTTAAAAAATAGTAATAACAGACATGCAATGGACTATTAATATATAAAATGCTTTTAATTAGTATAAGGAATTATATATAGTCATAAGAATTCAAACCGTTAGTTGGCAGGAAAAGTAAAAGATAACTTCTGTATTTTTTACAAATGTACACTTCTAATTGCTATTTTAAAATAATGTTAGCAAGACATTAAATTCAAACAGTTAAACTATTTTAAAATCAAATCTGTGAATGAGACTGTCTCTAAAAAGAAAAAAAATCTAATTTGGTTTAACAAAGAAAAAGTAACTCTTCTAGCCTACAATAAAAAACTTCTGACGTAGACACCTAATTTTGAAGTACAATGTATTGTGGGTATAAGCCAACTTGTTTTTATATTTAACCTATGCTTGCCACAGCAGTCAGCAGCTAATGTAATGAATAGAGTATTCCTGCCAGCCTATAGCGTATGCCACTGAACACGAGGAAATACTCTAGTAAAAGCAAAAGGAAAGCAGGAAACAAGGTGGGTATTAAAAAAAAAGAGTCTTCTATACAGTTTCACTCAACGGTATTTAAAACTAAAATTGACTTAATTAAACCTTTTTAATTTTTAAATGATCAGTGTTTTAATGAAAACTATTATCCTACCTTAGGTAATATTTTTTAAGAACTTGAAATATATTTAAAGTAGTATATGATTTATACACACTTGTCTAATATAAGTTCTTAAGCCCTACAATACAGCAACTAATAGCTCAAGATGTAAGCCTTTAGATATTTCTCTGAAGTAATATGCTAACCTTTTATAAAAATTACATGTATAAAATTCTTGAGATAAACTGAAATCTATGAGAAGAATCTCGCTGATTTTTTTTACTCTTCTCCCAGACCTCAACCCAGATTCCCCCCCATTTTGCTCATTCTTTTTTTCTATATAGATACACACATTATTTTTAAAGTCTCTTGAAAATCATTTCAGAGAAAAACTCAGGTTTGGATATCAATGATGAGAAAAACACATGAAAATTGTATTAAAAATTTGCTATAGCTATCATTTTTCTCATAACACACTCTTGAATAAACATAAATAATTTATGTTGATACCATATCATCTATCCTTAAATAAATTATTTAGGCTCAGCACCAGTTAATATATCAAATCAGAAAAATCAAGACAACCAGCAAGGTAACACCAAATCAACCATAAATTTGAGACATACATCAAACTACTCTGCTACCTTTAAAAACAAAACCAAATATAATAAACGATGGAAAGAAAAAATTGAACATGGATGGACAATTCAGGCCCAGGCTTACTCTACACTGTGAATTAAGATACATGTTATTGAAGCAACATTTCTTTACATGACATTCACCCATTTTCAATAACACAAAAAGACAATGAAAGGTTTATCTACAAGTAAAAAGATGGAAATATTAATAAACATACTATGCTTAGCTCTTGAAACTAATCCCCTAGTCAATATAAAAGGAAATAAAAAATTTTAACAATCATCCTATTTGTGATTAAAAACATGAAATATACACTGGAATTCAAAGTTACTGAAAGTAAAAAAAAAAAAGCTATCACCTTATTTAACTTAACAAAATGATTAAAAAACTATACTTTTATTTATCAGTATTAGTAACTGACTTTTAAGCCTCTTATGGTTGCATATTTTAAAAAAACAGAGAAAT
The DNA here is from genome assembly GCF_000001405.40 of Homo sapiens. Taxonomy (NCBI): domain Eukaryota; kingdom Metazoa; phylum Chordata; class Mammalia; order Primates; family Hominidae; genus Homo; species Homo sapiens. Next base: position 22,466,432 of record NC_000012.12, read on the forward strand.
CTTTTGAGCATTTATCCCTAACACTCTTACCTTCCTCTCTTCCTATTTCCGCTAAATTGCTATTTTTGAATTTTTCCAGACATTGCCTTCTTTCATGTTACAACACGCAATTACTCCATTTTTAAGACTCTATTATATTTTTCAGACCTTTTCAAAACCTATCTTACCCTCAAATTTTCCAAAACATTTTGAGATAGCTTTAAAAATTGTATTTAGCCCATGTCCTCCTGAAAAGACTTGAAGCACAAGACAATAAATAAGCACGCAACACAAACCACAATTTACAAAACTACAGAAATATTGGCAGAAAGGTACAGATACACTTTTAAGTGTTTACTGATTATTTTAAATGCAGTATTCAAGGAAAAGCACATAGGTTTCACAGTTAAGCACTTAGTATAGAAAGTTTTACATATATTCGTATTAGATGTGATGGTCTGATGATGATGATGACAATAAAGGGTGGCATAATCAATCAATGGTTTTCAAACTCTTTGAGACCCTTTCTTCAAGTGAAATCACATACAGAAGATGGATATATAAAAACATGGAATCAAAGCTGCTGTTTCAGAAAAGTAGGGGATCCAGAGACCTACCCTCAATCCCATCCTTCTCTGCTCCCTTTCACTTTGCCTCCTGGCAGGCCAAGAGGTACCTCTGACAAACCTCTATGGTTCAGAGGAGCAGAATTTAAAATTAAAATTATTGGTTTAATTGATTAAAAGTTATTTGAAATCATTTTTTATTCTGTTTTTTTTGAGACAGCGTCACTCTGTCGCCCAGGCTGGAGTGCAGTGGCATGATCACAGCTTACTGTAGCCTCAACCTCCCTGGGCTCAGGTGATTCTACCACCCGGCTTCCTGAGTAGCTGGGACCACAGGCACACCACCATGCATGACTAATTTTTTGTATTTTTTGTAGAGAAGAGACTCCTAGGCTCAAGCAATCCGCCTGCTTCGGCCTCCCAAAGTGCTACGATTACAGATATGAGTCACCGCGCCCAGCTGAACACACTTAAATTAAATACAGACGCTCAGTGTGACCTTGGGGTCTAATTTAGCTTTTGATTTACTTTTCAAAATGGGAATATGTTAATAATTGAAGAACCATAAACTATAGAAACCCAACGAATTTTAAAGGTTAGAGAGAATCTTTTCACATTTTACAAAGGACGAACTGAGGCTCAAAGAGGTTAAGCAATTGGTCCAAGTTCTCATGCCTAATCCATAGCAGAACTGAGAAAACAGGTCAGTTGCTTTTCCAACCTACCTCACGGTCCCTCTCAATTCTCCCTAAAATGAGCTGCAAATATTTTAGGTACTGTTCAAATAGGACTTACTCTACTCAAATTCTTATTTTCTTGTTTTTTAGTCCACAAAATATCATTTGGATACCGTATAGTAACGATCACATAAGCACCAGTTATAATTCCTTTGAAAACATTTTGAAAGCTATTGCAGAAGTGGAAAGTTGTCCTTATAGACAAGGCAAACTTAGAGAGCTGAAATCTAATCTTCTGCAGAATTCAGTAGGTATTAACAACATAGTAAAACAGAGCTAACAGGGACCCCAAGTCCACAAATACCTTTTCCTACAGAATAACAATCAATCAAACCTTTGTCGATTAGGTTTTAGGGCTTTTTTTTTTTTTTTTGGCCCCTATTGCAGGATAAGGATAAATGAAATTATACCTAGAAGTGATTTGGAACTAACCCTGAATAAATACAAATTTCTGTATAAAGTAGATGTTAAAGAAAAAAAAACTTGCTGTATAGTGAATTCAAGAAAGACTTTTCTTCTTTTTGAGAGAGGGTCTCCCCCTATCGCCTGGGCTGGAGTGCAGTGGCACAATCACAGCTCACTGTAGCCTTAACCTCCTGGGATCAAGCAATCCTCCCACCTCAGCCTCCCACGGAGCTAGGATCACAGGTGCACACCACCACATGCAGCTCATTATTTATTTTTTGTAGAGCTGGGGTCTCACTGTGTTGCCCAGGCTGGTCTTAAGCTCCTGGATTCAAGCGATCTTCTCGCCTCAGCCTCTCAAAGTGCTGGGATTACAGGTATGAGCCAACAGGCCCGGCCCAAAGAAGACTCTTGACAGTTCTGCTTTCTGCCTGGAAGCTGTATTTAATTCATAAATCTGAACTCACATTACCTTTGAATTTGATTTTTCCTCTCTATTCTTTCAAGGACATTGAGATATGCTACAATTCTCTATGGAGTTCTAAATCAGAATTTTGGGTGATCACAAAAAGGAAAAAGGACCACAGTTACTACGTTACAAAGTTCAGAATCTGGAAGCAGCTTATTTTTCGTCTTTGAAATATGAGACAAGATCTATTTATCTATATAAACAGACTTTGTACTGATTTAATAAAGATTCTATTGACATATATGTAAAGTGAATATAAAACTATTCTGTATTATACATAATTTGGTATCAAATAACAAGTAGGAATCATAAAATAATATCCATTGTATTATAAGACATAAAAGTTGAATAGCTCATTTCAAATAACTATCATTTCTCAAAATAAATTTAGTGAAAAACACATACTACATTTATCTAATACATAATGCTACAAAATAAGGCATAGTAATTTTAAATTTTTTTGTAATAAAAATCATACTAAAATCAGATGAGAAATGGAAAACAATACCTCCCACTTTTCCCCAAAGATTATGCAGATCAAAATAGATTTATTGCTATTAAATTAAGGAGCTATCAATTTGCACTGGAAAAAAAACATGGCAGTGTCTTATATAAGTACATAACAATGTTCTTCAATTATTGCCACAGCAAAGACAGGAAGCTCATCGCTTTCTCACTTGTACTACTCCCACTCAAAACCTCTTCATGTATCTTCTGGAAAAAAAAAAGCATTCTGTTGTGCATGAAAATCCAAAACTTTTTGTGAAGGTTTAATTGTTGCTGGAAAAAACTTACCAAATATAATATAAAATATCAAGTATTCTATGTGTGAATAGTTACAGTGGGAAATCCAAACCTTTGAAAATAAAGCTTTAATACATTAAGGTATGAGAATAGAATATCATAGGAAAAATTACCTTAATAACTTAGAATGAAATTACTTCAGAAATTAAAATAAAAGGAACATTAATTTCTCCCCTTTATGAATATGAAGAAACATATAATGAGGGAATGAAGGATAAATTTTCACCTCAAGGTTAGTAAGATTTCCTATAATGAAGAAGCAGTGAAAGGAACTAGAAACCAGGATTTGTGTTTGCTTTTTCCCTCACTTAACCAACCTTTAGCTGGTGGAAAAGGATGAGAAGGAAGTGAATCTGAACACAGTTCCAGTGGAAATTGTAAAAGTTCTTCATTATCTGTTGAGGCTAGAAAGGCAAGAAAATATCAGTTATTTAGTAATGATCTATTATTAATTTTTTAAAATTAAGAATCTGTGACAACATACATATACATATTCTCAGCTCCATCTCCCCACCCCAATTTATTCTGGTCATTTTCTCCTTGATTTCTCCCATGGAAACCATTCATCTGCATGATGCTGAGACTGGTGCTATCTTCCCTGGTATGACTCTTGTGAAGCTTTAAGAGATTAATATCTGTAACTCACTTAGCACAGTGCTTTGCAAATAATAAATGCTAGACAATAATTAATATCCTATACTTTGTCCATTACTAGCTTTTGTGATACTTAAACCGGTTACATGTCTTCTTTGATAAATATCTGAACACATAATCATTTAATACATCTACCTGACATTAACTCACTGCTCAAATCTTATCAATGCTATACATGTAGAATGTAATCAACTTTTAAAAGTTTAGGACTAATCAGGAATATTTCATTTAGCCAGTAAATCATTCAAACTATACAAGAAAGTATAGTATCCCCCATTATGTGTTTTTCAGAACACACAGTTTCCAATAATTTGGATTTCTTCAGAATATATATTAAGACTACTTCCTAAATTTTACTGGATTAAGGCCACCTTTGTGAATCTGTTGAACACTATGGAACTTGTCCTGAAAATAATACACAGGCACACAATTGTGCTTACTACATCAGTAGGTCCTCAGATGCCTTGAAGACCTTGCCAGAGATCTTAGTATAGAAACCCTTATATTACTGCAGAATTAATAGGCTATAATTTAAGTCTAAAAAACCAGCAGCATTCTCTATGTAAACATCAGTCAAATACCACCCAGTCGCGTGTGAAAAATATCAAGTCAGCCATACGCTTATCCACACAGTTATCTTCATAAAGATGAACAGAAAAAGCAGCAAATATTCTTCAAGAAATAAGTAATTTATTGAATCCACCTGTCCTGTATATTTTATCACTGAACCATAACACAGACAAACACAAACTGAACTTCCTATTCAGTAAAGATTTACCTCTTTGCAATGACTTTTCAACAGGGGTTTTTGTGGTTTGTAAAGCCTGATTTTTGTCAAAAGTGATTGCGACTGCCGTGACTGTAACCTAGAATTATAAAAACAATAATGGTTAGCAAAATAATCACTGCCAAAACTAAGTTTCTTACATATTTTTTTCAGTACCACGGAACAACCTACACCAAATACCTTTTCTGGTTAAAATCCTCAACCAGAATTATGTATAAATTCAAATCATACACAAACTACAACTATACCAAACAGTTATACCTAAATCTAGATATTCCAGAAAGAGCTCAAGAACCTTCTCTAAAAAATGGGAACTGGTGAAATCCCACATGATGGGTACAGATCCTACTGTATACATGCTGAAGCATACGTGTGCTTACCCCCTCAGATAACTAAAGTTCAGAAAAAGAAACACACATGGCCTAATGCATACTAACATATATTTTTTAATATTGTGAGGTAAACTAGTATATGTTTATTTAATTACGGCAAAATTATGATAAACAGATAATGAAAATAATAAAACAGATCAGATAAAGACTAATAATGGACTAAATCTTAATTACCTGAATTAATTCATCTTCAGGCAGAGATACTGTAAAATTTACATGGCAAAGGCAGCAGGGGATCATAGATCGTAGTTTAAAGTACAGGCTCTACACAATAGAAAATATTAGTAATGTCACTTTTTTATTTAAAAATTTTTAAAAGCTGATTTTTTTAATGTACATTATATTATAGCAAATGGAGAGTTAAAAATAAAACAAAACTGGTCCACTTTTGTTTTGTGTATTTTTACACTAACGATATACTTTTTAATATTTAAGTAGACAATAAGATTTAATCGTCAATAAGTCACAAAAAATAATATAGTAAGTTTTTTTAAATATACACATATACACTAGATTTTTATGGAAGTTAAAGCTATTAACTAAAACTATTTCTTTTATAATTTGATATAGTAAGGGGGAGAGGACAACTTTAGTATCTCACCCGCTGATAGAGGTAAGGTAAGTAGGTAAGAATGATTCAGCCCACAACTGTGTAAGGTATTACAGACAATACAGCAATATAGACACTTAAAATTTCATTATTATAGACGCATGAAATAAAATTTAGTCAGAAGGTTCCTACCTTGAGCAAATTTTCACAGAGATCATTAAAGTTCTTATTGAGAGCTTGATTAGTCAGGTTGAGGCTGCTTAATCTGATTACTCTTACTGAAGTGAACATCTAAATGTGGGGTGACATAACATGTCATTTTATTATTTTTAACTAAATATTTTAACAGTTGATAAATTGCCAAATAATGAACAATACTAACTAATGTAGTAGAATAAGGATGGTATTTTAATTGCAATAAGGAGGTAAAAAAAAAAAGACAAATATTTAAATGGAACTTACTAAAATAACTTATGTGTTATGTGCTTAAAATTAAGAAAAAAAGGTTTACCTGTATTTCAGAGGTCCAATTATTTATACCGGGCATAATTTCTGTATTACAACTATAAAAGCCTGTCAAAATAAATTGTAATCAAAATATATGATAATATTTCATTGATTTTTGTGTTAAATGACATTTTTCAATTATTATATGAAGTTCTAACTATAACACCCTTCATTTTTTTTCTTCTAAAACTATACCTGCAGGAGACTTTAAACCATCCTAATAAATTATCACAGGTTTTTTTTTCCGTGTATAAATATAAAAGGACTAAAAATCACTTCCACCTAAGTTCTAACATAAGTATTTTTAAGGTATGTTTTCTACCTTGGAGTAGCAAAGTACATGACAAGCTGTGACACTGTGATAAGTCCTTCTTTTAAAGTAAAATTAGTACTGTAACAATTATGAGCTAAAACATTTATATGTAAAACTAGTTTCATCTCAAAGATAACTTTTTTGTTCACCTGAAGGAGGAGGAACATCAGTAAGTAGAGAATGGACATCTTCCATGGCATCTGTGTCATCAATCTTAAAATAGAGATTAAAACTATTTTATAAGTAGTAAATGCATAATTATTTCACGTTTTAAAAGAACTATTAATAGAGTCAAGAAAAGGCAGAGTCATTTTTCCTAAGTAAAAATATGTAACAAGAAAAAAATTCTAATATCAGTAAATTTCTCCACAGTAATAACCACAAATACTTCCAAGTGAAATATTTTACGTACAAAGTACACTAAGTTAAAAAAGAAAACTAGCTCTTTCTCAAGCCTTTATGAGAATATGTTTCTAAAGACAAAGACATCATAAGCAATCATTATTCTAATTTGTTTAAATTAATAAAGTGTAATGAGATCCTTTCACTAAATGCAGAACTCCTTTACAATGGAATTAGGTACAGATAAATTTAAAGACATATCTAATAATAGGTCTAAACTCTATTTTTTTAATAAAATAAATAGGTCTAAATTCTATTCTTCTTACATCACCATATTCCACTGTGAATAATAAATAGGGAAACTATCCAGCTGGACAGGCGCTGACATTCATCTGCACCTCAGTTTCTAAGTCCTAACCTGCAGACTCGCTAAGCTTCTTCCCACATCACCCTCAGGACTTCAAGAACCACTTTCACTTCCACTTCACGTGGCTACCCACAGTCACAGCCATACCTCAACCCATTATTCCCCAAAACGTTCCACACCCAGGATCTCGAGCATTCTCCAACTACAGTCCTGTCTCTTTGTCCTCTCTTACTGGATATTCCACTTGCCCTCTGTCCTCTGCCCATGTTTGAAGCACTTTGTTCTCATGTGCCTCTCTACTTAGCCAGGATCCCAAGATCAGACTTATCAATAATGCCCTAGATCAAACTTCAGGTAATGTTTGGCATCACCTGGAAAGTTTGTTAAACAGATTCCTGGGCTCCACCTTGAAATTCTCATCTACTAGGTCTGAGGTAGGGGCCCAAGAATTTGCATTTCTTACAAGCTCCCAGGTAGAGCTGACGCCACAAGTAGGCACATCACACTTTGAGTAGCATTGCTGTAAATAGTACCCTGGAACTTTTAACCTCCTTGACCTGAGATATTTTCCATGACATATTTTCCATTCTCAGACTGTAGAGAAATGTGGGGAAAAAGTGGGGGGCAAATAACCATATAAGTTGAGTTTTCTACAAACTGACACTCTCACCTTGGTTAGGCCTGTGCGTCTCTCATAGATCCTTGTTACAGCCACTGGCACCGTTCCTGACTCTTTAAACCTCCAATCCCATCCCAACACAATTCTACCACCAGCTTCCTGCTACACCAAGATCAAAGCATCTGATTTTTCTCTCTCTCAACTTACATCTTAATCATTTATTTTCCTTTCCTTCAATATGAAAAAGAAAAATCTATCTCTTTGGGAGCTAACCATTCTACAGGGGAGTGCAGAGGAAGCAGATCTGTGAGGAAGGAGTCTCCATAAACTTTTCATGTGACATTTACTCTCTGGGAAAGTTACTAAAGTGTTCTTAGTATCTTTTTATAAAGATGGATCAATTATACCTTTTGAATTCAGTAAGAAAATACTACACTCAGAATTCACAGTGATTATACTAAAAAATGTTATAACTACAGTAATATACAAAAAAGGTAATAATTATAGTAAGTTAAAGAATGGCACTTCATTTAAATTCATTCAAGTTTACAAAAATAACTTCAAAGGTTTAATACTATTCTATCATTATTTCAACCCATACATTAACTTTTTCAGAACCATCTGCATTATTGTATCAGTGACCTGGTATTGAACAAACATATGTTACCAAGTTCTGTTATTTTCAAGTTTGTTGTATTTTTATATAATAACTTTTTAAATATTTATAACAGTTGTAATGATATAAAAGTATCATATTAATTTAGCACGTGAAAAAATGTGTATCTTAGCTTCCAAAACCTTTAAGAAATTAGTCCAATGCCACATTACCTCCAAAACAAAAGCATCTTTTTTCCCATGTGAAAGGTCTAATTCTGTAACTTCATCCGAGCTTTCTGATTGAGATCTTAGAAGTCTTGAGCGTTGCCTAGGTTCTGGGATGGGTGATCCTATAATCTCTTCAGATATCTCCTAAAAGAAATATAATTGTTTTATATCATATGAGATTGTCTTTTCCAGTTTAAATTTTACATCTTTATATTAGTAGACACCTACCTGTGGAGAAAAAGCCTGTAAAATATACTCAGTGAAGTCCGTACTTAAGTATAACCTTTAAAACTAAACTTTTATAGCAGATATGGCAGCCTTAATGATACACGAATCAGAAAAATATATATAACTGTCACAGACATAACAAGATAAAACTGACATCTAGTGTACACACAGGACACTACAATGTGTATGGAATTGGCAGTCCTTACAGCTCTGAAATCCAGTACTGCTGTGTGTGCATATTTTCTATTCAGCATTATAAAAGTCCTAATAGGCCTTAAAAATTTAAAGACTTATGTTCCTAGAAAGAATTCTAATCTTTTATATATTTTCTTATCCACTTTCAAAGCTCCATATAGCAAAATGTGAAATATGATCAATGTATGAGTATGAATACATATATACTTATACTATGCACATATTTGCTATTCAATTTATTAAGCTAAATAAACATTGGTACTTACAATAATGATCTTTTTAAGGTCAGTGTATGGTGCAATACTGTATGGCTTAGTGAGCTTTTTGCTGTTACATAGCCAAAGATCACTAGGGGTTCTAAGTGTCTGTCGGCCACAAGGAATGCTGGAAGAATATGAATACGTGAACGCAAAAGCAAAAGCCATAGCCTATTGCTGATGCAACAGAATTGTCTTTTTAATAAACAAGGAAATTGTACATAAAATTTTTCAAAAATATATAGTTTTAAATGTTCATTGGTAGTATGCACCTTAGATAAAAGACTACCACTGCACAATTTCATAATGTAATGATCTATGGAGCACTTTCACATCAATTTATCTTATTTGTACTCCAAATTAATCTGCCCTCTATAAAGTTAACATTATAATAACTACAAAATGGAAAAGAGCTGTAATTCAGAAGTAAATTAGTAGTCTGCCTAAATTTGGAAAACTAGCAAGTGTAGAGCCAGTCTAGGTCAGTCTTTTGACACACAGTGCAACGTTATTCCCACTAGATACCACACTACTTTTTATAATTTTACAATAGTTTTAAATTCTGTTATGCCTTTGTTCACAATGCCACAGACTTAACAAATATAACTGTCTGGTATTTAATATGTTCTAGATTCATACTGAAATTTCATCACTAGTACTGTTATTCTGAGAGATGTGCATCTTATTTTGATACCTTTGATTATCTCCATAAAGCTTAAGTGGTACTACACCTTTGTATTAGAAACATTTTTTAATGTATTGACAAAAAATTTAAACAGCAGCATTTATTTCAGTGAGGGCTATCATCCTAAGAGAAGGAACACTCTGATCTACATATTCAGGGTGGACATAACACAACACTGTAATGTGTATAGTGGCCTGGTAATCAACCTTGTACACTGACTCTGTCAAAAAAAATGCTGAGAGATTATGCTAAAAGACTATAATGTAGTCAGTATCTACAATAAGGAAAGACATATTAGAAGATGCATAAACTGATGAGTACTGTTGTGAAAATACAGTCATCCTCAACACATGAAATTCATATATGTTAAAATTTTTAAAATCATAATAGATTTACTCCCTCCTTCCAAATGTAAACTGTATGACACATAGTAGCAGCTCAATAAGTACTGAATGGATGAAGTAACTTAATTCATAGTCTTATTTAAACACATCCCTGTCTCCAAAGGGCTTACATTATAGTAAAGGAAGACAGATATATAAAAACTAAGTACAATAATATGTAACAGTTTCTATACAAGTACATACAGGTACAACAAGTACACAATGGAGGAAGAGTCCATTCTTCCTGTTAGAGGTCAGGATGGATTTACAGAGGTGAGAAACACTATTAAGTAAGTAAAAAAGTTCAGCTCATATCATTAGAAATAATAAATGAAGAATATATGAAACCCTAACACAAAGCTTTACAAATCATTTTTCCCAAGTGGCATACTATAAACAGATGTTCAAATATCAAAATATAACTACCAAATAAAAATAATGTACTATAAAAATAAGCAGTCAGTAGAGTGGTGCACAGAGAACTTTTACAAAGTCTATTTTTCAAATATGAATATGTTAACACATCAACATTTGCATTCATTTTAAAGAAGCCCTAAGTCAGTATTGTTCAATAGAAATATAAAGCAAGCCACATACATAATAAAGTAAAAAGAAACAGATAAAATCCATTTTAATAAAACATTTTATTTCATTCAGTATATCCAAAATATTAAATTTTTGACACAAAATCAATACAAAAATATTCATATTTTACACTACTTTTTCACAGTAAATCTTTAAAATCCAGTGTATATTTTATACTTACTACACATTTCAATTCAGACTAGTCACAAGTCCTCAAAAGTCACATGTGGCCAGCGGCTACCACAGTGAATAATGAATAGTGCAGCTGTAGGTCATAACCTTAAAATTCCTCCCAAATTAACAACTATGCTAGAATAATATGATGAAAGCTATACATGTGACGCAACAATCCAGACACACTGTTCCAGAAGACCAGCCAAAATTAGATAAGACGTTTAAAATAATAAAAGCAATAATGTTATACTTTCTTTTTTTATTTTTTTAATTATACTTTAAGTTTTAGGGTACATGTGCACAATGTGCAGGTTTGTTACATATGTATACGTGTGAATGTTATACTTTCCTTTTGTGAAAGTCTTTCATTATCAGAGACTCATAAAAACAAATAGTTTCATTCTAATTCCAACCCATTTTTCTTTCAATTCAGACTCTTGCCATCAGTCATCCACAGAGGAGGCAGCATTGTGATACTTATTGCAAAGTTGGTAAAAAGACTGATTAAAGGAAATGACTGGGAGCAAATTTGTAAAAAAAGAAACTGTAACTGAAAAACTATATTCTTTCACATTTTTACCACCAATAAGAATCTCTTTTTACTAACAAAGAACATTTTAAACCATTTATTTCATCATTCAACAAATACTAAGAGACTACCACCAATAGGAACTTTTCTAGGCAATAGAAACAAAGCCCTCATGAAGCTTCATTCTACCAGTACTAACAGGCAAAAGACCAACAAAACACACACACTCACACACACACACACACTCACACACACACACACTCACAAAGATAAGAGCTATAGAAAACAATAAAAGAGGGAAAAGTCATAGGAAGTGGCAAAAATGAAGTCACAATTTTTAAATAGGATCGTTAGAGTAGGCTTACCCGAAAAGGAGACAGTTGAGCAAAGACATAAAGGGAGGTGAAAGAATGAGTAATAAGGAGAGCTAAACAGTGAAAAAAAAATCTTGTGTCCTCAATAAGATAACCTAAAAATATACTAATAAACAATAACTGATACATTCACAATGTAGGTTTGTTTTACTTACTGGAGGATTGATTTCATATAACTCTTTGTTTTTAGCAATTGTGTCATTTATCTTCTTCTGCATATGAGAGATGTGTTGTTCATATGAGCCATCATTAGGAGTCTTCCCAGCAATCTGAATACCACCAGGAGTTGGTAAAGCTGCTAAATACACACCTGTGGCAGACTTGTAAAAAATAATGGGGAAATAATCAGAAAAAATATCTACAGAATAACAGTCCTTAAGTTTTCATATTTAAGAATGTGGTCAACAGCTGGGTGCAGTGGCTCACACCTGTAATCCCAGTACTTTGGGAGGCCAAGGCGGGCAGATCACTTGAGGTCAGGAGTTTGAGACCAGCCTGGCCAACAAGGTGAAACCCCGTCTCTCCTAAAAATACAAAAATTAGCCAGGTGTAGTGGTGTGTGCCCATAATCCCTGCTACTCAGGAGGGTGAGGCAGGACAATCACTTGAACCCGGGAGGCAGAGGTTGCAGTGAGTCAGGATCATGCCTCTGCACTCCAGCCTGGGCAACAGAGCAAGACTCTGTCTCAAAAAAAAGAAAAAAAGGGAAAAAAAAACAAGAATGTGATCTTTGCTCATTAGGAAGAATATAATCAGCATCAGGGTATACATAGGACATCTCTGGAAAGGCACACAAAAACAACTGGTAATAAGCGTTGGTTTCTTTTGGGGAGGACCCTGGGTAGGTGGGAGACAGTTACGAAATGCGGATTTACTTTTCACTGCATACCCAATTATATTTTTTATGTTTCTACCTCACAATTTTTTTTTTTTTGAGACGAAGTCCCACGCTTTCACCCAGGCTGGAGTGTAGTGGCGTGATCTCGGCTCACTGCAACCTCCAACTCCTGGGTTCAAGCGATTCTTCTGCCTCAGCCTCCTGAGTAGCTAGGATTACAGGTGCCCACCACCACACTCAGCTAATTTTTGTATTTTTAGTAGAGATGGGTTTTCATCATGTTGGCCAGGCTGGTCTCCAACTCCTGACCTCAATTGATCCGCCTGCCTTGGCCTCCTAAAGTGCTGGGATTACGGGCCTGAGTCACTGGGCCCGGACCTACCTCATAATTTAAAAAAATATATAATTAGAATTAAAAATAGCAAAAAAAAAATTAAAGGTTGCTAAAAAATAAATTTTTCATGAATGAGCAGATGCTCTATCTTTAAAGGTGGCAAAAGTGAAGAGGAAACTTTTGCAAGGCAAGAGACTGAAATTCAGAAAGGACAGGGAACTTTCTCAAGCCAAGTCAATAAATGTGGACAAACGATCTGAACTGAGTGTTTCTCACTCTAAAACCCAAACGCATTTCACTATATTGCCCTACCTTCCTAATTAGCAGAGAAAAGTGTTTATTAGATACAGATTTATTTTAAATATCTAATTAAATTACTATTTAATATCTGACTCTGAAACAGTACTATATTTCATTAGTACTGGAAAACTATCATGGGAAATACAAAACAAGGTAACATTTATATATATCCTTATGAGCACTTATGTGTAAATATGCTAATATAAGCAAAGCAAAAAAAATAGAAGCATAAACATCAAATTGTTAACATCAAAGGAGTGGAATGGGAAACAGAAAAGAATTCTTTTAACTCTAGATATTTGTTATTATTATTTTTTAAATTAATCAACTGCCAATTTTGTGAACACCAATCCTAAAAAGGGATTGATGAAGAAATCTGCATAGTAGATAAAATTGTTCCTCAAGAGTGCTTACTCCTGGTTTGTTCATTAGTGTCCATCACTGTATACATGACCCAATCTCTAATATTCAACCAGGGAACCCCCTTCTCTATGCCATATGAAGCCTTAGTCCACCACCTCTAATGTGTTTTAGCTCCACTCATTAACGAAGCAACAGCCCTGAACAGCTGAGAACACAGACTCTGGCATCAGAGAGGCCTGATTTGAAATCCATTTCTAACACATGTAACCACATCACTTTACAGTCTCAACCTATCACAGCACACAGTTTCTCCTCCTGTAAAGTGAAGATAATATCACATTCCTTCTAGAATAGCACAGTGCCAGACACCTCGTCGGCACTCATCAGAGATCACCTAAGAAAGAAGCTACTCTTGAGAACTTAGGATTTAAGTGCACAAACTATAACAAAGCACAAAGATGAAATGTCAAACAGTGGTAGTTAACAGCACTAGTGATCAAGAAGGAAAGAAAAGATTAGTATGAATCAGAAAAGCAATATTTGAGGCAAGTCTTGAATTACATCAGTGTCATAAACTAGTTTCCTGGGGCTCAACCATCAAAAACGTTTGTTATAGCTAGCAAAATGTTTTTTAAACCCCTCAATTTGAATCCAGCTCTTAATTGACATGCATAGGCACCCACCAATCATTACAGTCTTGCATCAAGCACAAATTATACATTTATGTAATGTCCTCACTAGGCATACAAATTTTTAGACCACTGAATTAAAATAACCACTTTTCCCCAAGTTACTCTAAGTATAAAAGAAATTTTTTTTTTTTTTTTAAAGACAGGGTCTCTCGCTCTGTCAGCCAGGCTGGAGTGCAGTGGCACAATCACGGCTCACTGCAGCCTCAAGCTCCCAGGCTCAGCTGATTCTCCCATCTCAGCCTCCCAAGTTGCTGGGACTACAGGCACAAGCAGCCACGCCTGGGTAATTTTTGTATTTTTAGTAGAGATGGGGTTTCGCCCTGTTGCCCAGACTGGTCTCAGACTCCTGGGCTTGAACGATCTGCCCACCTCAGCCTCTCAAAGTGCTGGGATTACAGGCATGAGTCACCATGCCCGGCCTATGTATCAAATATTTTAATATGAACCAAGTTACCTAATTATTACAAATTTCTGTCGTTAGAAAACTGTAATACCTAATTAGTTTATCATCATCATACAATTATCCTCTACATACAAAACTTTACATTTTTGCTCTTAAAGAAAGATGAAACAGGAAACAAATGTGCATCTGACCTACAAATGTATAGAGACAAAAAAGTCCAATTCTATAAATTTCTTAAAATTAAATGTCTATGCACTCTCAAAAAGATGGCAAGAGAATTCAAATTTGAAAACTGCCAATAACACAGCCAAAATGCTGGTTAGCAAAGTACCTAGAAAATGAGAGAATTTCCATAAACGTGGTTCATCAGATTCCATATGATCAATACACTTTTTGCAGGCACCTGGTTCTCTGAGTCCTACACTACTTATAGAAGCAGCACTGGCTTTCCTCATTAACATCTTTCCAGTCAGAATTTATTTGCTAACAAGCCAAAATGAACATTAAGCTGAGACACAGCTTTTTCTTGTCTCATATTTCATCGGCACTTAAGAAACACACCTTTTTTTTTTTTTTTTTTTTTTTGAGACAGAGCCTCACTCTGTCGCCTCGGTTGGAGTGCAGTGATGTGATCAGGGTTCACTGCAGCCTCAACCTCCCAGGACTCAATTAATCCTCCCACTTAAGCTTCCTGCCAGCACACCTGGTGTATTTTTTTTTTTTTTTTTTTTTTTATAGAGACAGTGGTCTCACCCGGGCTGGTCTAACTTCTGGGCTCAAGTGATCCTCCCACCTCAGCTGCCCAAAGTGTTGGAATTATGGGTGTGAGCCAACGCACCTGGCCAGAAACACCTGTATTTTATTACACAGTCTACCACTGGCCACAGGTGCACATTTATGATAAAGTTTAATTGTCTGTCCAATAGTGTCTCACATGTTTTGCTTTATCTTCTCCATCAAAACTAAAGATTAATCCACATCCTGGGGTAATTTTGCTCCACTCACCAAGGGACATTTGGCAATTTCTGAAGACATTCTTGTGTGTCACAACTGGGGGGATGCTACTAGCTTATAGTGGGGAATTGCCATGGATGCTGCTAAGCGTCCTACAATGCACAACTCAGTTCCCTGCAACAAAGAGGTATCCTGCCCTAGTACTGAGATGGAGGAACCCTGTTTTAGCAATATGTAAACAATAATAAAGTCCAGAAAAACTGTGGCCAACTTATTAAGCAAGCGACAAATGATAATTTTTAGAAATAGAATTATTAAAGTTGTGATCACAGTCCCTTTAAAATATGTGAAAACCTATCACCAGATTTTTCACTTCTTAAAATGTCCTCGTCCCATAAAGGTCTTAATGTCAAAGTCTTTAGATAAGCCTTTGAAAAGACTATTTGAATCACATAACATAGAATCTACTATAATTAAGGAAATCATAAAACAAAACCAAAAACATCTAAACTTACCGCTAAGCCCATCAACATATTTTCACCCACTGTGATCTGAATTCTTAGTCCAAACAAAGCATTCATTCCTTTGAGTTTTAGTTTATTCATTAGCTGAGTATGCACTTCATATTCCATAAATGGCAAGAGATTACTGATAGCTGTAGCATTTGCTTCTGCCTGTGCTTTCTTTTTTAAGCGACATAACCTGTAAAGGAAAATAAGTCAGTGAACAGTATTCTTGGTACCACCTTTAAAAATGTCCAAATTTTAAAACTTGCTAAAAGTGTGCTGAATAAAACATTTACTTGTTTCTAATGGGCTTACTGAGTTATATCAATAATCTGTTCTGCTTTTTGTCATTGTATAAACTTGCACTAAAAATCCTATTTCATAACAGGTACAAAAAAATAGGAAGAATGAATAAGACCTAGTATTTGATAGCACAACAGGGTATCTACAGTCAATAATAATTGTACAAGTTAAAATAACTAAAAGAGTATAACAGGACTGTTTCTAACACAAAGGATAAATGCGTGAGGGGATGGATACCCCATCTTCCATGATGTGATTATTATGTATTACATGCCTGTATCAAAGTAGCTCATGTACCCTATAAATACATACACCTGTTTACCCACAAAAATTAAATATTTTAAAGAATCATATTTCAATAAAGAAAAATAAAAAATCTTAAAATCTCTAAAAATGAAATAATGACCAAAATCACTAGAGAATATCATTTAAAATCTTAGGTTTTATAACTGCATGTGTTCAATATAAATGGAAAGCAGAAGAAAATGTTAGTCATTAAAAAAAATACAAAAGTCACTTGAGCATCTACTTCGTGCCACATAGGCTACATTCAAAGGGACAGTAATTAGACTAATAGATTATTTCTCAACAGTAGCAATGAAAGCCAGAAGACAGTGGTGAAAGAGTACTTCAATGTGCTGTAAAGAAATAGCTGCCAGCCCAAAATATTTTTTAAGATAAAAGTAAAATAAACACATTTTTCAGACAGACAAAAAAAATAGCTCACCACCAGCAGACCATCAAAAGAAATACTAAAGCGTACATTTAAGGCAAAAGGAAAACAATCCCAAATGGAAGGTCTAAGATTCAAGAGGGAAAAAAATAAATGGATTAGAAATACATTTTAGAAGAAAAATCAACGGACTTTGTAATAAATTTGATGTGGGGAGGTTGAGAAAGAGGACAGTGCCAAAGAATACCAAATTTGGCATGAAGAACTGGATAGAGAAAGGTACCATTCATTAAAACAGAAAAGGCTAATAAGAAAAGTGAAGAAAATCAGCAGTTCAATGTGGAACGCGTATGAGATGCCTATGGCTTATCAAAATGGGGTATGAAGTAGACAGGTATAAGTCTAAAGCTCAAAAGAAAGTTCCGGACTAGAGTTACAAATCTGGGAGTCACAGACACATAGATCTATATAAGTTGATGAGTTCAACTAAGGAGAGAGCTTTGGGCAGAGGGTCCAAACCCATGGCTCTCAAGGATCAAGAAATGAGAAGTCATCAAGGAGGATGAAGATTATACATAAAGGTAGGAAAACATAGAAGGTGTAGCATCATGAAGTCAAAGGAATTTCAAGGCGAAAATAATTAATGGTGTCACTATTGCTGAGATGTCAGAACTAAGATGAGGACAGAAGTACCTGATGGATTTGGTAACCTGGCAGCTGTTGTCATGAGTTCCCCAATTAGGATTTCCTACTCCAGTGCATTTTAAAAGGAACTCTTACCAGCTAATTAAAGCAGTAAAAGAAACACTTCATGGCACTGTTCTTTAAAAGAAAAAAAGAGAGTCAACTTCTAAAATGTGTTACATATTGAATGTAATTGAAGCAATCTATACTTAGTCACATCCCTAGCCTTTGGCAGGTTAATAATTCCCAAAATGACAAATATTTGTGTAGAATTTAAAGTTAAAAACTGCTTTTGTACACAAACTTATTTGAGTTTTACACAGAGGGTTTTTTTTTTACATGCAATAAAATACAAAGTTCCAGCAGAATTGTCCAGTTTGTGCAGGATCAAACAGGTAGGAAACAGTAAAGCTGACACTTAAAAATAGGTTTACGGCTCCCTATCTCATACTTTTTCAGGGACACCGAGTGTTGTTTTCACAAACATACCTTGCTTGAATAAGACAACCTTTTCCAATAACTGTTGCATCTGTTGGGAGGTCTATAGTTGTAAACAGAACATCAGGAACTTTTTGTTTCCTGCAGTTATAGCAATATGTGAGATGAGCTGGAAATGGCATATTCAGTTCATCATATGGTATATGACAAAATCCACAACGTGTAGGCAAATTTTCTTCAAGCCTATATAAATAAATAAAAAAATAAGATATTCTTTAAAAATGTACCAATTTTTTCAAAAATAATTATGTAACTGATATTACATACACAGTACTTGTATACGAACTATCCAACTTCTACTGCTGTAGGCTACAAAAGTACCACTAAGGCTGATAAGAATTGAAAATGACCATGAAATCAGAACCATACATTTTTCCTATGAGAGAAAAGACTTACCAATTGCAAAGTCATTTTGCACCAATTTATTTGTTTGATGACTTACCACCTGACAAACATCACTATCACCCCAAAGTTTTTTCTCTGGGATACAACATTTTTAAAAAATGGTTAGATGATAATGATGACATTTTCCCACTGGTTGACAAATATAACCACAAAAAAAATTCCCAAAGAAAAAAATATTTTGGTTACCAGAGGCTGGGAAGGGTAGTGGCAGGCTGGAGGGAAGGTGGGGATGGCTAATGGGTACAAAAAAATAGAAAGAATGAATAAGACCTAGCGTTTGATAGCACAACAAGGTGACTATAATTGATAATTTAATTGTACATTTTCATGTACCCTATAAATATATACAGCTACTAGGTACCCCCCAAAATTAAAAAAAATCCAAGTGTAATAATTTTTTAATTTAATGTAAAAAAGTATTAAAAAAGAAAAATAGTAAGTCAAAAACAGGCATACTCTAAGATTTCTAATTTCCTATGATAGTTTTAACTTTTTTGAAAAACCAAAACATCTATTTCATAAAGTCATACTAAGCACTAAGTAGCAGGCCTCATGTTTGAATTTCAGTTTGTTTGAATCCAAAGCCAATGTGTTATAAGAGGGTACAAAAGGATGAAAACTGAAGCAATTTTTAACTAAACAGCTCACACAAATTTCAATATTAGTGGTATACATAAGGCATAAAAATAAAAGTATTAAAATTTATGAAAGCATTTAAAATATGAAATGTACACAGGGATTATCCCTGAATAGTGAGATCATAAGGAATCTTCTCTTCCTTCTACTCTCCTACATTCTCCAAATTTTTTTTTGATTCATTTTAAAAATTTAATGAAGAAAACAAGTACTTTGCAACTAAGCATTATACGAGTCAAATGCAGATAGCTATCAAAACATTTCTAAAATAACCAAAGTTATTATACTTAAGTCCTGTTAAGTCCTGGTTTTCCTAATACACATCTTATATTCAAATTTCTCTATGGGATGGGTTACTTAATAAAGTGAGAATCCTGTACTTAGGATCCCTAGTTTTGACCTGCTACTTATCCTGTCTTTTTAAAACCAGGCTTGAATGGAAAAAAAAAAAAAAAAAACACTGCAAAGCACACTCTGAAGCTTTTGCTTAAGGGACAGCTCTACTTCAGCCCGTTCACTGTGGTCACTCATTCCCAGCTACTACACTGCTCTCGTATCGTTGGTTCCTGACTGATCTGCACTCTAGTTTGTTCAGGAAAGTCTAGAGGTGAAGCTTTAATCCTAATCCAGTTTCCTTTCCCCATATCAGTGCCAGAGCATTAGCAGAACCAGTATTTCTACATAAGGGAAAACTAATGAATTCATTTTAAACCAACTTCTTATAAGCCAAGACAAGGCATTAGCTATCAGTCATGACTTCAAATAAATACAACTGCTGAGGACTAGCACATTGCATTTTTTCAACCACAGGTATAACCTGTGCATTTAGGTTATTTTATTTTCCTTTCAGGAAAATACTCAATATAATTAAACATCTGCTCTCTAACATCCTATACAAATGAATGGCTGATGATTTTAGAATCACTGACAGTTTGGTTTAAAGACAGAAGCTCATTTAATTTATTGTTTTTAATAGAATATTTCTTAAATGACATTTTAAGGAAATGCCGAGAATGTTGGTAGAACTAGAGTGTGTAGTGTAAGAAAAAGATGCAAAATTTAAGCCTTCCTTAAACTGCAGAATTAACTTGTGAATGGCAATTATTACTCAATATTGTGATAAAGAGACAACAGAGCCCTCAGAAATAATGCCACGCATCTACAACTATCTGATTTTTGACAAACCTGACAAAAACAAGAAATGGGGAAAGGATTCCCTATTTAATAAATGCTGCTGGGAAAACCGGCTAGCCATATGTAGAAAGCTGAAATTGGATCCCTTCCTTACACCTTATACAAAAATTAATTTAAGATGGATTAAAGACTTAAATGTTAGACCTAAAACCATAAAAACCCTAGAAGAAAACCTAGGCAATACCATTCAGGACATAGGCATGGACAAGGACTTCATGTCTAAAACACCAAAAGCAATGGCAACAAAAGCCAAAATTGACAAATGGGATCTAATTCAACTAAAGAGCTTCTGCACAGCAAAAGAAACTACCATCAGAGTGAACAGGCAACCTACAGAATGGGAGAAAATTTTTGCAATCTATCCATCTGACAAAGGGCTAATATCCAGAATCTACAATGAACTCAAACAAATTTACAAGAAAAAAACAACTCCATCAAAAAGTAGGTGAAGGATATGAACAGACATTTCTCAAAAGAAGACATTTATGCAGCCAAAAGACACATGAAAAAATGCTCATCATCACTGGCCATCAGAGAAATGCAAATCAAAACCACGATGAGATACCATACCACACCAGTTAGAATGGTGATCATTAAAAAGTCAGGAAACAACAGGTGCTGGAGAGGATGTGGAGAAATAGGAACACTTTTACACTGTTGGTGGGAATGTAAACTAGTTCAACCATTGTGGAAGTCAGTGTGGCAATTCCTCAGGGATCTAGAACTAGAAATACCATTTGACCCAGCCATCCCATTACTGGGTATATACCCAAAGGATTATAAATCATGCTGCTATAAAGACACATGCACACGTATGTTTATTGCGGCACTATTCACAATAGCAAACACTTGGAACCAACCCAAATGTCCAACAATGATAGAATGGATTAAGAAAATGTGGCACCTAGACACCATGGAATACTATGCAGCCATAAAAAAGGATGAGTTCATGTCCTTTGTAGGGACATGGATGAAGCTGGAAACCATCATTCTCAGCAAACTATCACAAGGACAAAAAACCAAACACTGCACGTTCTCACTCATAGGTGGGAATGAGAACACATGGACACAGGAAGGGGAACATCACACATCAGGGCCTGTTGTGGGGTAGGGGGAGGGGGGAGGGATAGCATTAGGAGATAAACCTAATGTTAAATGACGAGTTAATGGGTGCAGCACATCAACATGGCACAGGTATACATATGTAACAAACCTGCACGTTGTGCACATGTACCCTAAAACTTAAAGTATAATTAAAAAAAAACAAAGAAATAGCAAACAAATGAGGATAAGAATTTCTATAGGCAGCATAGTGAATTAGCATGAAAAATGACAGCTGACTTCAAGGCAAGACGTAGGAAATCTTACAAAGCATATAAGAATTTGAAAAGGATGGCAATCTAGCATCATTTGATATAGGAACTCTCCAAATTTTTTCTAATAAGCAGTAATAATTTTTATAGCAGAAAGAAAAGGCATTTTCCTTGTTTTTTTCTTTTTTTTTTTACAACTAGGGGTGGCACCTATTGTATTGAACTACTATATAAGAGAATTTATTGTATTCGTCCAAGCCACAATACAGAAAAAAACCAAGCTACATGAAAAAGGTCATTTGTTAAATTAGGCTTCCTATCAACTTAAGAATGAAATCTACAGACGTGTAAGAACTATATTGTATCACTGGTACAACTCACTGACAAAGAGAGTTTCCTCAATAGAATATTCTAATTATTTACTGTGCTTCAAAATGCCCCACCTTCACTTTCCTATTTACAATGACCTTTAAGGCTCTGGAATTCATAATAGTCAATATCCATTTTAATACTGACAAAAGAAACTGACCAAGTTCCTCTAGTGAATACCAGAACTAGAATATCTTAGTTATAAATGCGTGCAAGTTTATACTAAACTTGACAAGATACAGAATTTTTTTGCTTTTTTTTTTTTTTTAAATAGAGTCTCACTCTGTTGCCCAGGTTAGAGAACAGTGGTGCCATCTTGGCTCACTGCAACCTCCACCTCCCAGGCTCAAGCAATCAATTCTTCTGCCTTAGCCTCCTGAGTAGCTGGGATTAGAGGCGCCCACCATCACACCAGGCTAATTTTTGTATTTTTAGTGGAGACGGGGTTTCACCATGTTGGCCAGGCTGGTCTCAAACTCCTGACCTCAAGTGATCCACCCACCTCAGCCTCACAAAGTGCTAGGATTACAGGCGTGAGCCACCGCACTTGGCCTTTGCTTCCTTTCTTAATATATACTTAATATATTAATACTGGGGAGGGGGGAAGTAAATAGGCACACTGTGGCATAAGGGGTAATTAAAATCTGTATTATCCAGGTAGACTCTGGTACCAAACTAATAGTTTATATATGTGTATATATATATATATTTAAATATACAGTCACCCTTCCGTATCCATGGGTTTGGCATGTATGGATTCAACCAATCACAGGTTGAAAATAGGAAAACAATAAAAAATCCCACAAAATTCCAAAAAGCAAAACTTGAATTTGCCACATGCTCAGCATTACACTGAATCCATGAAAATGAAATGATGAACAGGTATTATATCAGGTATTATAAATAATCTAGAGATTATTTAAAGTATAGGGGAGAATGTGCATAGGTTACATGCAAATACTATACCATTTTATATAAGGGACTTGAGCATCTGCAGGTTTTGGTATCTGCAAGGGGTCCTGGAACCAATTCCCTATGGACACGGAAGGACCATATATATTATATCTACAGATAATCTTGATAAAATGCAGTACTTTTACTATTTTGTAAATTAAGAATTGTTTTTTATAAAAATTGTTTCATAACCTCTTTCTGTTTTTGGAGGTGAGACACAGGGAAATGAAAGGAAGAGAAAGATCCAAAGATTATTTCTATATCATGACAAAGCAAAAAAAAATGGACACCTGAAATTCTTCAACTGGTAATCATACATGTCACTTATCAAGACACTAGAAACAATAATGTGTGCCATATAGTGCAGAATCCAATACTCCTCTGTTACTACGGGTTAGTTAAAAATTAGTGAAGTGCTTGGTCCTGATTTCTACACTGTACCCCTGTAAGCCACCCTACGGAGAAGAATTATCCCAACTCTCAGAAAAAAAGTCGACCTCTCCCTTCTCTGCCCTTATAGAAAATAAGCCAGGCTGCCATGACAACCTCTGTTCCAAACAGCCTTCCACGGTGCCATCCTGCAGAAATCTAGGATTCAGTACAGCCGCTGTGCCAGATGCAGATAAAATGCAGACCTCTTCACTATAAAGGAAAAAACACAAACAAGTTAACATTTTTCAGACCGTATAACTTTGGGAAATGCTAAATATCAAAATAATTATAACAGTGACAATTTAAGTTCAAGTTAGACTCTACTCAATATTAAATAATATTTACGAGGTTTACCTCCTAAACCTAGCCTAGAAAACAGAAGTAACTTTATTTGAATGGAGGGAAAGAATTCTTCATAAATTAAAAACTGAAAAAAGATAAAAGTATTAATATTAAAGACAATAACTTCATTTAAAATATGGCAAGGCTGAAAGAATGAAATGTTTCAAAATATAAGCAGTAATAAATTGTATTGCTGAATCTAGCATTAATCAATGAAACTATATTAAAATACTCTTTAAATGTATATGAAGTTTTATTAAAATTATTCTAAAAGCACAACTATGTAAATATCTCTATATAGGTGATTTATATAGCTTAATCTAAATTTAAATCATTATAAAGGTTTCTGAAACAATATACAAAATATACTAAATGAAGCTTAAACTACATCATCATATAACAGAAAACTGATATTCAAAATAATTTTTAAATTATTATATGTCACCCAATTTGAAAGCTAAAAAATTAAACAATCAACATAATTATTGAATGAGATCACCTAAACAAATGAGAAAAGTAGCAACCTAGGGATGAACTGCTGAAAACCAGGTATAAATAAAACCCAGAAATAAAATAAAACAGAAGCCTAAGAGAACAAGGGAGGAACAGTCACTTGAACTGTAAATAAAATAAAGGAAGACCAGGCTTAAAGTGTAGGTAGGAATTAAGGATGTCAGAAGGAATAACATGAAACCACTGATGTCTTCGAATCAAGAAGTTATAAGAGCAGAAGTGCATTTCAGAGAGTTTAATCCAGTAACAGAAAGTAGCATGGGCTGGAACAGAAAAGATTAGTTAAAATTTAAATACACAGATGTTTTTGAGGTCTAGAAAGGACCTCTGTCAGATGACATCTGTCAGATGAACTCAAACTTCTAGGTAAATTAACTGAACTCATTTGCAGACTCCTCCATCTGTGACCTATCATCAGCCATCCTGAGTCTACATCCTGTGGCCTTCTTTTTTTTGCTACTCTTTTAAGTGTTGAATGCATCTTGTAAGCTTTGAAACCTCTCCTTATGCCTCTTCTTTTTATTTATATAATTCATATTCATCCCCCAAAATCCAACTCAAGCATCAGTTACTTCATTGACATTTTCTTCCAATTCTACTTTGAGCTTTCAGCCCTCTAGGATCCCAAAGCATCCTATATCTCAATCTTAAAATTTATTTTACATCATAATTATCCAGTAGAATGTAAATGTGATACCAAGAACTATGCCTTCTAAAACCATATCTCTGGCCGGGTGTGGTGGCTTACGCCTGTAATCCCAGCACTTTGGGAGGCCGAGGTGGACAGATCACGAGGTCAGGAGTTCGAGATCAGCCTGACCAACATGGCGAAACCCCATCTCTACTAAAAATATGAAAATTAGCCAGACAGGAAGGCAGGCACCTGTAATCCCAGCTACTAAGGAGGCTAAGGTGGGAGAATCACTTGAACCCGGGAGGTGGAGGTTGCAGTGAGCCAAAATCACACCATTGCACTCCAGCCTGAGTGAAAGAGTGAAACTCTATCTCAAAAAACAAAAAAAAAAACGACAACAACAAAAAACATTTTTCTAAGGCCTCAAAGTTTATGACATTAAAACCATCAATGTGGCAAGACAACTAGGGAGTAAGGCAAGATAAGCTTGACAAAGTTAGTAGTTAACAAGAGTAGAACCGCTACTATGGGAATAAACAGTCTAGGAGTATAACACATGATCTGCAAAGGAAAAGAAAAGCCCACAGAAGATTAAATAATATGGCTCTGTAATGACCACATTTACTACAGTTTAATTCTTTTTCCCTAACAATAAGGATCACCACAAGAGCAGAGGATCTAACAGTAAGAATTACCTAAGAATAGATGGTAGAAAAATAAGATAACAGAAGGTTAAACAGTTTCTAGATGATATCAACTGTAAACTTCTGAAGGGCTGAAAGTAGGGTTCAAGGATGGCAAAAGAACAAAAAAAGCCAGAAACTAAGTAAGGAGCTGAGAAAACAACTGGTTAAGGTAAGGGTCAAAACAAACTAGATATAAAAGAGCAAATGATATTGGTAGAAAAACGTTAAGTTGTGATCTGAGAGTAAAATTTTATAGTTTCAAAATTTTAAGGCGGAACAGTTTCAAGTGATACTGAGGTCCAAAATATGGTTGAAAGTTAAGTGGGGTCAGACGACTTGAGAATAAGAAACTATAATGCCAGCTGCTAGGATGAACATAATCATATGTAACTGGAGGAGAGAGCAGCGAAGTAACTAAGAAAGGCAGACGAATGCTTTGGAAGTAGATAATGGAACAGTAGCGTGGCATGTACTTTAAAGGAGGAGATTGTTCAAATGAAGGGAAGGAGAAAAAGGAATTGAGAACCAAGTGTATGAAAGCCCCTTCCTAATTTGTCAGTATTAGGAAGAATGATTTGTTAGCAAGAAACGTTACATTACAGTAGGTAAAAGGAGGCAGAATGAGTTTATGGACAAACTTTAAAGACACATTGCAATTCGTTTACAGTAGATCAAGGGTTCCAAAGGTTCCAGTGGAAGAAGTTGATACAGTTACATACTAAAGGAAGCCTAGAGTTAATATTTGCTGTGTGCCAGTATTATATTCTCATTTAATCACTGATGTAAATGATTAATTGATCTGTGGTATTATCTCCATTTTAATGTACAAATTGAGGCTCAGAAGAGTTAAATAACTTTCTCAAAGTTACACAGTCACTAACTGGCAAAGACGGCATATAAACCTTAATCTAATGTACTCCAAGGCCCATGCTCCTGAACACTTCGCTATTCTCTTTTCTTTTATTTGCATGAAGCTTTTCCCCTTTCAGATGGCAGTCTAAATTAGTGTCTGGAAAATCAAGTTGTTATTATCATTTACCAGATGCTAGTTGATTCACTGTAGCCCACTACAGCATGACAGCCTAATGCTTTAGCATGTGATTTTATTTCTTGTCTGATTTCTGCCCACCATGCATCTCGAGTTTCTGGTTCATCTGAAAAATAAATTTTAAATCAGTTTATTACTCAATAGCACATTATATATATGAACATGAAATGTTTAAAATAAACATACTATGGGAAGTAAAGAAGTTTTATTCTATAATGGATTTTTAAACTTCCCATCTTTAAAATGCTACTTCTCAAAAGGCATAAGATTTAACCTTTTAAACTCAATTGCTGGAAAACAAACCACCTATCTGTATTTGCTTTATTACTTTAACAGATATCTATAGGAATATATGATTAGATATAATTTTAAATGTAGACCCAGAGTTTCCAAATTCTAATCTTAGCTATGATTAGAATTTTAGAATTAGACTAAGAGGATATTCTACATCTCACCTCACTGAGTGAACACCTTATGTGTTATATCCATAAATTTAACTTTAATTCTGATTTCATTTCTTGGTACCTATTTTTATAACTCACTATATTGTGGGTTCTTTCCAAGGCAAAGATTTGTCAATGTTAAAAGAGAGAAAGCCATCTGTAAGCCATCCTTCTACAGAGATGTGGGTCTTTAGGCAAAATACAAGAAATTAGAGACTAATTTAAAAAAAAAAAGAAAGAAAGCAAGCACACTTAAAATATTAACACAAATAATTTGGTAATGTATATAAGGAAAAATTTCAGATATAACACTCCATGTATTGGTCTGTAATTTTAAAAAATGATTTAGAGTCACAGAATTCTATTTTATTACCAGAGAAGTCCAATATTGCTTGTAATGGAGCACTATAAATGAAGCATCTGTCATACATATTTCCTAATCACTTGCATTTAGCTGCAAACTACTGGTGACAGCAGCTGCAAATTATAGTAACATTTTATGTACAATGTGTTAAAAACAGAAAGTCTATAATTAGCATATCATAATTTATTTCTTTTTGTGGCCAATTCTCATTTGGGAATAACTTGAGATAGAAAAAAAAATCAACTCTAGATAGAATGCTAAGCTCTCATTGTAATTTTTCCATATAAAAGCCACTATTAAATCTAAAAACCAAAAAATCCAAAGTTTCTATTTTTGAATTGCAGTATATATCCAATTTTCAAAATATGTTTTTCAAAATTAGTAGAATAAGTAGAATTATACTCACTAGTAAAATAGTGAAGACAGCAAAGTAAAGAAAGGTTAAGAGGCGTGTTATAGCTCACATTCCTATGATGAAATTTTTGTCTCCTCCACAGGGAGGAGGATCAGCAAAAGGGAGAAATAAGGAGATAAAAGCCAGAACTACAAATGATGCCAGCCAGTTCTTGAATTAAAGTTTTGGTTCCAAGACAAAGCTACCTTAAAACTTTCTTTCAGAAGAAAGAAATGCAGAATTCAGGAAACTGAGAAAGACATCAAAGTAGAAGATAAAATAAGGAAGAGAAATAGAAAAGACTACAATATGGTATTAGCAATCAATGTTATAAATTAAGAAATGTGTGAACAATTAAGTGAACCTATTTTACACAAATACTACTTGTGTTAAAGAATTTCTTCATATTCCCAAATGAAATGTATATAGTAACAGCAAAAATACACTTTCAAATCCATACTCTCTTTTTTCTAAGACATACACACTTACGGACCAATCTGAACATCCATTTAACATCATCCTTTCCTAAAAGAGAATTTTTCTATCATAAGATGAACTATTATTCAAGTGGTTGCTCTAATCTATTAAATGACTATGATTCTGAGAAAATAATTGTCACAACCATAGAAATGTATTTCAGTTTAGAAAATACCTATTTTCCCAAAAAATTGCATGAAATAAAATTCTAACTTTTCTTAAACTCACTAATAAAACCTACTGTTTACTTTTTAAACCATTCTAGAAGTTTAAAATATTATTTTCTAAAGCAAATAATTATGTACTATGTTTTTATAAGATTTTTCTCACATTGGGTTTGCCTTCTTCATCTGTACCACAAGTAATACATGGTGGCTTTACTGTTTTAAAAATGAATTTTACAGAAAGTAATCCATAAACAGTGTTTTAGAAATTAATAAAAAATGGAGGAAGCTACTTAAGTTCTACATATATTTATTTTTAAAACGCCAACATGTCTAAATGGGAAAGTATGTTATAACAATTCCTATGAGATACCACATAGAATACAAAGTTCATTTACGTTAAACTTACCTTAGTATAACACATAAAATAATCAAATAATTAAACCAAACACTATGAAAGAATAAGTGGCTGATTCAAAAAACAAACGAACAAAAAAAAAAAAGCTGAATGCAGCGCAAGTGGAGCATTCATATTCTTCTGACAAATTCACAAGCAGCCTTTATTTTAACACATGAGCCACACAATTGCACATGAGGATGCCATTATTGTATTTAATAAGTATTTACAAGTTTAATACAAAGCTAAAGAGTTACATAACATGGGAGCTAAGGAAGCAAATGGCATATGTCCACACTCCAGAAAACTTCTTAAATTTGGTTTTTGGCTAAAGCAAAAGCTCAAAGAACGAAGGGTTTGCAAAGCAGATTCAGCATACAGGAGCCAGAAACAGTGGATATTTTGGCGCATGCTTGGATCAGGTGACAGTACAGACTGAAAACTATGGCAGCTCACTGAAATGGTTACAAGAAAGTAATGGCCCTAGATTCTAGGTGAAAGCAAGGCAAGCATACAGTAGGGAGCACTTAATCACAAACTGGTAATTATATTAACAATTATCTACAACTGTAAGCAAGAGACTAAAGGAAAAATTTTTGGCTACTAAATTTAGGGGGCATTTAATTAAAACAAAATTAAGATTAATTTGTTTAACAGTAAAGAAAAGTTAAATTTATCTCCAAAGCTTATTTTATACTCATGCCAGACATGACCTAGAGAATCTTCAAGCAGTAATTATGATTCAGCCTATCCTATTACCAATAAAAATTCAGAGATATCACAGTATTTAATCCCTATAATAGAATGTTTAAGGTTTAAAAACTGATAACTACAGTCTTATAGGAATGTATTGTGTTTTCCTATAAGAAACACACTAATGAATTGGAATTATTTTATTCATCCTAAAAAGTACAAAATTGAGGATACTATACTAACATAAATGCAAACAGAGTCTAGCTTAAAATTTTGTGGCAACTATGTATGTGACACATGAAATGATACAATTTAGTTATCTGAAGGATATACAGCTGAGATGTGAGGTCATTTAATAAACATTAAATAAACATTTCAAAGATGTTAAGAAACAAACCTCTTCACCTTAAACACATTTCTTCTGATAATCTACAGAATTATTTACAATTATAAAAGTTATTATTTTAGGAAAATTTAAAATTTAATTATATACAAATTAATATATTTTTATATACAAATTATATATTTTATATATAAGTTTAATATACAAGTTATATTTTATACTATTTTATGTTTTTCTTCTGTGGGTCAAAACTCTTTGTAGATAATATCGCAAATCTTTTAATATATCCTTTTAATTGCAGGCATGAACTGAGCACTAAATCAATCCTCACTGATGTCTCTTTTAGGGGTAATGTCAGCACACTTAGGTTGACATCAGAATTCATTAATTTTTACTACGTTACATTCCTAGAGCATGGCCACAGCTCGATATCTTGCCATCTTTTTAACATTTTGTTTCTGAAGTGCAGGTGAAACTGGTAAAATTCTAAAACGGCAGTTTATATATCAGAAAATAACAATGTGAACAACTCAACATAATATGCTCTTATTAAACTCAACCTCTTTGAGATTTTAGGCTATCATACACTTGGCAATTAAGAAATACCAACTACCTGAAATGTTAAGTTCAGTTCATTTTTATATAGCTCTGGGAGAGAATAACTCTGCCTTGCAGATTCTTTTAATACGGTTAGAAGAAAAAAGAAATTATTCTAATGTTTTAAAGCAGAGTGACTATAGTTACCAACACTGTACTGTATATGTCAAAACAGCTACCCGAGAGAACTTGAAATGTTCCCAACACTTAGAAATCATAAATACTCAAGGTGATGGATACTCCAAATACCCTGATTTGATCATTATTCTATGCATGTAACAAAATAAAACATGTACCCCATAAATACAAACAAATATTGTTTAAAAATAAAAATTATTTTTAAAATGGACAGTTATTCAATCTAATTTATAAATCAACAAAAGGAGATAAAATGTTAGGTTGGATCAAATAAAGGTTAATACAATGATAATCTATCATGTTAACGGACAGTATAAAAAGCTATATTCCCAAATACCTGAAAGTAACATTCCAACTGCTAACCTCTTGAAGAAGATAAATTTCCCCTAATGAAAAAGAAATTAGAGAGTTCAGGTTCAAAGGAGTATATAATCTCAAACTGGGTGGGGATCAGTAGACTAGGAAGAAGATTCTCATTATAGAGGAAGTCATGTGCAAATACAGAGCAAACGTCAAGACCTAGTCATTTGTGATGTTAGGATGAAACTAAGATATAATCCATGTTTGACCAAACTGGAGTCTTTACTATCTGTAAATTTAGAAAGTCAAATGTGCAATCTACTCCATAATTGTGAAATTTCACTACATACACGCATGCACACACATACACACACACACACACACACACACACACACACACAATGTAACTGGATTTTCATTACTCTAAAATTACTGGTAATATAGAAAAGCTCACATATCACGCATGCTGTATTTATGCCATCTTGCATCTTGAACTCTTATTTATCTACTTCCTGAAAACCTTATTAAAATACTGAAAACCAAAAGCTGTATAAGTACTTTAGGTATAGTTTGCACATCTGCTCATAAGTATCTCTCAGGGAAAATGATAATTGCTGAGATTATCAGTAAAATTAAAGTTCCAAGAGAGCCTACCACCTATCTCCATTTAACTAATACACACATATGCACACACCAAAATAGTGTAAGAATTACCCTAGACTGGGTGTGTACAGGACGTCTGCCTGGCTTAACAATTATGTTTCCAGTACCCAACACAGTGTGCAACACATGGTAGGCACTCCACAAACATCCACTGAATAAAAACGTGACTGAATTGAAACTTAAACTAAAAAAAACAAAAAAGTTCATTCAGATGAGCAGACTGATCTGTACATTCTATAAATATATCCCTATATAATCAGCTGACCCACATTTTGTTACCATTAAATATTTTGTAAAGTAATTATACTTATTTTTATAGGACATAACTACTCACTTTTGCTCCTAAACTAAATGAATTTTCTAAACAACTATAATTCTGATGGCAAACAAAAAAGACTAATATTTTCTAATTTTGAACTATTAATCCAAAGCTTGCTTATCACTAGTAAAAGTTTATGATTGAGAAAAACTTAAGTATAATATGTCCTAAGATCTATAATCTGTCTAAAATAAAATTTGTTTAAAAACCCTTTTAAAAATTTTCTCAAAAACCAACAAAAGGCTATCTGGTGTTAAACACTTGTTTTACTAACTCAGGACTTAAAATATCAACTCACAAATTTTGTCTACGTCCAGAAGCTATCTCCCACTAATAAACAATTACATTTTGATACCACGCTATATAACTTC
The DNA here is from genome assembly GCF_000001405.40 of Homo sapiens. Lineage (NCBI taxonomy): Eukaryota > Metazoa > Chordata > Mammalia > Primates > Hominidae > Homo > Homo sapiens. The sequence goes on from NC_000012.12 coordinate 22,498,895, forward strand.
TTTACTTCTTCTTGCCACTTCCTGAAAAAAAATCTAAGCTGACATGCAATCTCTACAGAGGAAAAAATAGTAAATTATCCGCAACTATCAAGATTATCACTGATTTAAAAATTATGTATGTGAGCTACTCAGAAATACTTCTAGTGGTAACTCAAGGGAAAAAAATAAAAGATCATACTCATTTGAAAAATGAGTTAGGACTATTAAAACTTGCTCTTTAAATATTTTCCCATCTCAACACTCAAATAAACTTGAGTTTCCAAAGGGTAGAACTCAATTGCTATGTAGAATTTTAGAACTGTAGGTATGTGGGATAATTCCCCTTTCTTTCTCTTGTCTTGAAAGCAGACAAGAGCATGCTTCATTTGCCACATTTCAGTAGTTACTAGGTCCTGCTGTTATTATACTCAAAATATCTCATTAATTTATAGTTAAGAGTACAGGTTCTGAAGCCAGAGTACTCAGGTACAAATTGTGGCTTAGCCACTTTCTAACTATTCACCTTTGGAAAACTACTGTTTCACTTTGCTCACCTACAAAACAGGATTAGAGTCGACCTCAGAGATCTGTTTTGAGGATTAAATGGTCTACTATTATAAAGCACTTAAAAGAGTACGTGGCATGTAATAAGTTCTTGATCAGTGTAGCTCTCCTATCACCACCAAAACCTAGGTTACCTATGTAGCCAAGGTTACCACACAGTCTGCTAACTGGTCTCCCTGTCTCTAGTCTTATTGCCTTTAAGCCCATTCTCCACCCTATAGTCAATGATCTAATGCAAATGTGCCCATGGGCTACCCTAATTCTTATGCACTTCCAATCCTAGAATGTCACACATAAGATTTGTAAATGCTGCAATCTGCTTCCTAGCAGCAACACTCACCTGCCTGGCATTTCTCAAAGTCTGTTACCAAGCCAGAAACATAAGCAGCATGATAAGTAAAGGTAACATTTTAAAAATAAATTCTAATATTGAGTTCCCTTCTTCCTGCTCTATAAAAACATTTCTAGGTCTGGGTGCAGTGGCTCACGCCCGTAATCCCCACACTTTGGGAGGCTGAGGCAGATGGATCCCTTGAGGTCAGAAGTTCGAGATCAGCCTGGCCAACATGGTGAAACCCCATCTCTACAAAAAAATAATTAGCCAGGCATGGTGGCACGTGCCTGTAATCCCAGCTACTTGGGAGGCTGAGGCATGAAAATCACTTGAACCTGGGAGGCGGAGGTTGCAGTGAGCTGAGATCACGCCACTGAACTCCAGCCTGGGTGACAGAGCAAGATTCCATCTCCAAAACAAAAAATTCTAACGCTGTAGTTAACACAAACTAAGGCAGCAAAGCAGGAGAAAAGGAGACAGAAAAAAAAAAAAAGCTAAACTAACCAAGATATTTTGTACTCTGTGGCAAGCAACGTAGTAAGCATGAAGTAACTATGTAAACATCATCAAATGAGTACTGGCTAGGACATTGTTTTGTAAATGCTAGAAGTTTGAGAACCACACTCAAAGTATGCATAAACATGGGTCCAAAAACACCAAAATACAAATCTATGTGATTCTCCCATCTATCCTTCAAATCTGAGCTCAAGAATTACCACTTCTATAAGTTTCTCTCATACAGAGTTAATCAAGCCTTCTTCTTTAACTCTTTATCTTGTATCACACCATACCACACAGTAAATTATTTAATGTCTGTCTATCCTCCAAGAATATGAGCTTCATGAAGGCAGGGGGACTGGCAATCTTTCCACCCTAGACCTAGCAAATTGCGTGGCACAAAATAAATTCTGATATAAGCTTGCATGATCTGTCATATTTTATACATTACTGTATAATAACATTTTCCTATAACTTTCCATATTTTAATGTTTCTGAAATAAGAATGTCTAATAATTAATAAGTATATTTAATATGGTGGTATATATTTTTCTTTTTCTTGGAAGTCTGTTATTAAAATGATAATGCTTCATATAATACATGGTACAAAGCAGCCAGGAAATACAGTGTAAATGAGCAATTCTAGCCCTAATAAAAATGGTATCAACAATTCTTTTCCTAACATGGTTAGTTCTTGATTTTCTACATATGAGAGCAATGGCTAAATATTCTCAATTTACAGATAAGAATACATAAATGATTTGCATATATTTACCTATATCAAATTTTTCTTCAGAATTATCAAGTTATTTTTCCTAAACAAGTATGAAAATCAGTTGTTTCTGAAGATATACTAAGTCTTACCAGAAAGATTCTAATTAATCAAAAGCATACTACAAGGTGTCATCATTTATGTTCTTTTAACATTCTATAACTTATATCTACCTTTTTTCTTCACACACTTCCAACGTGACATTATTTTAAATGATGGCAAGATATACTGCTTCCTCAACCATGTTTTTCTTTGCCAAACCGTAATTCTGCTTACGTGGGACAACGTCCTTACTATGTCTATAAGATTTAATTACTGCCATTTCCATTTCCAAGACTGTTCTATCATTTGACCAACACACATCTCACCCTAAACATCTTTGCCCTGACAAGATTTCAGTTCCTTATATTATTAATGGTCAATATGCTCTCAATGTCCTTTTTCTATATATCTTTCCACTATACTAATCTGCCTATGTTTTAAAATTTCTTAAGAAATCAACCTAGGAAAGTATTTTTCAATTTCTCACTAAAAAACAATTACAAAATATTACACTAACAAATGATCATTTCAATTCTAATCAATGACAGCAGGCTGGTAAAAACTTGGATAGGAAATTTCCCTATGGATTTACCGATTGATATCAATCTACATCTGTAAATGTTGGACTTATCATATGGTTTACCAGACTGAATTTAGGTAAATCTACATGATGAACATGATTTACTTCATAGTCAAACATGCATTACTTACATCAAAACTTACATCTTGAACTCCTAAGAACAAAAAAAAGTTTACAATATTGAAAAGATTATGAGATATTATCTAAAATTCTGAGCCCCGTGGCGTCTTTGCTTTTCTGTAAGATATACTTTCTGAGACAAATAACTGAAAAATTTCTTTAGGCAACATACCAGCTTCTGACACTGAATCAAAATGGTTGTATTATTTCATTCTAAAAAATATAATATAAACAATTAGAAATGTACATTATGTTTTTATCAAAAAAAAAAATTAATTACTTTTGACTCTAAAACACATCATCAGCTGTAAAGCTCACTATCGTAGTCTGTTTATTTAAAAGCTACAAACTACATTCATATGTAAAATTACTTTTTAAAAATTATATTCACATGTGGAAAGGGAAGGAGGAAAGTTTAAGAAAGCTGTTAATCCCCAAAAAGTCTATTCTTAGTTATCTAATTTTGGAACACTTCTAGAATTATAAATAAAAATGCTAACAGTTACACTTTTACAGTAGCCTATAGAACACTAAATCTATTCAAATCTAAATGTGCATTTAAATATACTTTATTTTTAGATTTATGAAACATTACTTATATTTAACAAATATTTGCTTAATCTTAAAGCTAATGCCTACATCATTTACCTGATATAGAAAACCATCCAAAATGTAATAAATATAATTTTAAATGATCATTCTGAAGTTAATCACCTAAGAAAAGTCATTGATAATTTATGGTATTTCTATGGCTTTCATTAATTCATTTTAGTTAACACATTTTTATATTTGTATTTCCATTGAAATTACAAGAGTTATTACATACGTAGCACAGAATATTATCTGTATAACTGAATTGACCTTAAACCTACTTCATCTAGAACATTTCTAAAAACTTCACTGAGCTGCCATAATTTTTGTCAGCATATGTAGTACTGAATGACCATTAAAATACCTGAATTGAAACTATTCCAGTCTAGCAGTTTGTAAGATCTTGTGTTACCCATAATTCCGACAAAGGCTGAGTTCAAAACAGCAAATTAGTAGATCAGTTTTAGGTGCAGAATAGTAGGAATAAAACAAAAAACACTACAAACAAGAACGCAATTGACAACACCACTCGACAGGAACTGGAAAGACATAGACAGCAGAGTTAATAAGAAGTAGAAATAGAAAGGGGGAAAGGAGCATGCTATAGTAATCTAACATTAACTAATCTAATTATTTAATTACCTTGATTTTTAAAACCACCCCATTCTTTCCCTTGTTGTAGTCACCCGTTTGCTCAATATTTACCAAAGGAGGATGTTCTTTAAAAAAGCCTCCAAAATAATAATCCATAGTTAGCAGGTGGTAGTGGTTTTAAAATAAGATTTTTTCCCTTCTATAGTGAGAATGAAACAAAAATTTCCCATATTCACCGGTCAAAAAATAGCTGCAAAACTCATTTGAGAATGCAAACACAACATTTTTAACATTAGCACATGCATCTCAATCCATCGTTAAGTCTCCCTCAGCAGAGGAACTCAGTGTCACAAAATTAAAACATCATCATTACGGTAGATGTTAATCTAGAGTTTTGTTTTGTTTCAACATTCAGCTTTTCTTCAATATATTAAAATTTCTTCATAAATAATTACTTAAGAGGCCTGGAGATCAGTAAATGTTCTCAAGAAAATGTTCCTTTTTAGTGCGTAATAATACATAAAACAATCCGAAGAATGTGACATTTTATTTTATTTTTTGAGATGGAGTCTCCCTCTGTCACCTAGGCTGGAGTGCAGTGGCATGATCTCGGCTTACTGCAACCTCCATCTCTAGGGTCCAAGTGATCCTCCTGCCTCAGCCTCCCAAGTAGCTAGGACCACAGACAATGTACCACCAGGCCCGGATAGTTTTTGTATTTTTGGTAGAGAGAGGGTTTCACCATGCTGCCCAGGCCGGTCTCAAACCCCTGAGCTCATGCGATCTGCCCGCCTTGGCCTCCCAAAATGTTGGGATTACAGGTGTAAGCAACCGTGCCCAGTCAGAATGTGATACTTTAAATCAAAATAATATTAGAACCATTAGAATAATTACACATATTTAACTAAAAATAAAACAAAATGAAAATATAACTCATACGCCATTGAAAGCACTTATATGTATATGTCCATGACCTTTTGGGAAATAATCCATTAATAACTGAGAATTTCTAAATGTGAGCTGAGAAAATACTCTAAACTGGGAGGAAAGGCAGAGAATGGGTGAGCTGGTAGTTACAATACACAAAACACATTCTGTAATAGGAATCATTCTTTTCTTCCCTGGGCCTGGATTCTTACATTTCTTGCACAATTAGCATGAACTGGCACATAAAATAAACCCCAAAATGCAGTTCGTTTTTTTTTTTAAGTAGTGACATTTTAAATACAACTCTCTACTTAAACTTATTTAAGTAAACTTCACCTGTTCTCCCAGACTCTATAGCTTACTCAGAGTACATGGAAGCAACAAAATAAAATCAAAATGTTTTTTTTTCTTTTTTTTTTTTTTTGAGAAGGAGTCTCATTCTGTTGCCCAGGCTGGAGTGCAGTGGCACGATCTCAGCTCACTACAACCTCCGCCTCCCGGTTTCAAGCAATTCTCCTGTCTCAGCCTCCCGAGTAGCTGGGACTACAGGCGCCTGCCACCAGGCCCAGCTAATTTTTGTATTTTTAGTAGAGACAGGGTTTCACCTTGTTGGTCAGGCTGGTCTCAAAACTCCTGACCTCAGATGATCCACCCGCCTCAAACTGGCTTCCCAAAGTGTTGGGATTACAGGCGTGAGCCTCCGTGCCCAGCCCAAAATGTTTTTCAGTAAGCAGAAGACATCTAGTAATTAAATATACTCCTGAAACCATGTTTCGAACTATCAGATCAGTGGGTGCCATCTATTAAAATATTTGAGTCAATGGTCCATAGAAACACAGGTAACTAGCCTTGGGTCACAAGGGTGATGTCAGGTATTTTAACTCAGTATTTCCTTGCATTTTCCAAATAATTCAAGTTCCTTAACACAAAGATATAGAATTTGGCATAGTCTTCAAGATCCCAATACATTAAACTGGCATCAGTCTGAATTTTTCTTAAGTACTGTACACAAATACTACAATGGAGAAAACATCTTATATTGACCACAAAAATAAGAAACGGGGGGAAAAAAAACTAAAGAAGGGGAAAAAAAGAGAAAACCAGTGCTTAGAAGATGCATTTGCCCAGTTTTAGAGTTAAATAATCCTGACTCGCACTGTTTTTCTGAAATCTCATTCAGGGTCCAGAGAATTCTAGTCTTCTTCTCTGAAATAAACTCAAATGACATCAAACTACAGGGCATAAATTAAACTTTAAAAAAATTTTAAAAAATAGTAATGCTCTGTATCCTCAAAAATAGTCATTATCTACAATATTTTGGTCCAATAACTTCAAAGCATTTTTACCCTTCTTTCTTTCTTTTTTTTTTTTTTTTTTTTGAGACAGAGTTTCGCTCTTGTCGCCCAGGCTGGAGTGTAGTGGCACAATCTCGGCTCACTGCAACCTCCACCTCCCGGGTTCAAGCAATTCTCTGCCTCAGCTTCCCAAGTAGCTGGGATTACAGGTGCCTGCCACCACGCTCAGCTGATTTTTGTATTTTTAGTATTTTACAGGCATGAGCCACTGTGTCCGGCCACCCTTCTTTTTATAGCTGTCAATACAAGCCTCACAAAGAGGTCACTGGATGTGACAATTTAAAATTTTCAAAAATATATACGTCTATACACCAAATAAGAATACTAATATAACTTCAGGTTTAATGTATGTTGATTGAGCATCTAGTCAATGAGAGATGCAAGAACACATTCCATATGGAAAGTTCCCACTATTCATCATGCTTATTTTAGACGTAGAAAAATCACCAGAGGATTTCTGATCAAAGGGCCTGAATCCAGTGGGACTTTGATGCCTACTCGCTTTTATAATTATGGTCCTATGTTTTAAAGAAGTAAGCTACTATTCTTACTCGTTTGCTTAAACATAACAAATAGCTACATAAAAGAAACTGAAGGACCAGATGTTAGTTTGCTCATCTGTTTTTCAATTCTTAGCTACTCTAGACAACGCCTACAATTACTTTGTTGCCCATGCTGGATTCCACCAATGACAGAGTGGAATCCCAGCACAGTGCTGGGATCTGGGTTCTGTGTCTCCTGAGTGCTGCCTGGGTAGACTGGAGGGGACAGGTGGCCGTGGTCAAAGACAGTCCCAGTGTGTTCAAGTTACACAATGAGCTCTAAGAAATGACAGCTCCAGTAGCCTGCTCAGCAAGAGGGTCTTTGACCCATGGACTGGTTTGGTTCCCTCTGCTACCTATCTGTTCCTATGACACCCACAGTGTTTACATAGGTCTTGTTGTGTTGCCCAGGTTGTTGCCCAAGTCTGGCTATGTTGCCCTGGGCTCAAGCGATCCTCCTTGCCCCGGCCTCCTGAGTAGCTGGGACAACAGGCACATGCTACTGTGCCCAGCTTTACAATTACATTTTTAAAAATACCTGTTTTAAGAACAAGGAAAATAAGTAATCTATAAAAAGCTACTGCTAATGAAAAGAACTAACATCTTAAACTAATGGCCATAATGGTCAATTTATAAAAATGTTTATCTCCCCTGGGTCAAAGAAAAGTTATTTAAGGATTTCCTTAAAGTGATATTGTGACCAAAAATAAATCAATTGGTTTTTTACAGAAAAGTAACTAAAATACACTTAGTTTATTTATAATTAAGATGACTACAAATATATTAAAGTAACGTGCTAGTTTATACTTTCTTTTCATTTCTCTTTTCAGTTAGATTTGGCTTTAAAAAAATCATAAAAATCAATTTTAATAACCACAATTTAAATAAAGGAAACATTGAAACTTTTTAAGAACATACCAGGATTGTGGATACGATCCAAAAGCTTCACAGAACGTGCACTAACTACACCCCCAACGTGTACAAGGAATCCAGGAGGAAATGCCGTCAAGGTAAAAAATGGAAATTCCTAGTGGAAAGAATAAGGGAAAAATACAACTTATCGTGTGTAGAGTGTAAAAAATTTGCTTATTAAAAAGCTTGCCATAGCAACTGTATTACATCCCTTGAAATAAAAGGCCACCCATTACACATCACACATGCTTTGTAATTAAAAGTTTAATTAAATGTTTAGAGTTTCAAATCCATTTCCCCATATATACAATGTTATACAGAATCCAAAGACCCATTTCATCAGTTCTCAATGAAGAAAAAAAAAGTGTTCCTTCAATTTAAGATATTTGAAACACACTCTTCCTTCCTCTGAATCTCCAACTCTGATGGAACTTCTCAATGAGATGAGGGAACTGCCCTATCCCTCTTCCCCTTTATCTATCAGTGGTTTAGACACCCCCTTCACATGAACACCCAGTATAAGACACTGGTAAAGACTCTAAAAACCTGGGGCCAAGGGATCTAAATGAAAGTGGGACCAAAGGAGGATAAGTGAGAGGATAAGCAGTGTGGGTTAAGAGAAAGAGGATAGTGGCAAATATCAAGTTGAGATGGGTAGAGAATCATTGTGTGAGGTTACTCTATCAACACCAATGTGGCAGGAACAAATACAAGTGCATAAAGGTACATTAAGGAAAGTTGAAAGGTACATAGATAACAGCTAGGAAGGCAATAAAATTCCACAAGTTCTTGCAAGCTTTATTCTATCCTTCTCTCTTAAAGAATAAAATTCATCAACTTAGAGACAAAGAGAAACACAAAAAAGACAAATGAAAAAGCCAAGAAAGGAAATTCATTGAAATAGGACCCAATAAGAAAACGGAGCTCCTGTGAAAACATGGAGGCCCCTCACATTACACAAATTGGATGCAAGTAAGGAAAACTTGATGTTTGACCTGTCTGGCTGCAAGATTAATGTAGCTCACTTAACTGGAATCACTTACCAGTAGCCTCAGCTATTTAGAACATAATTGAGCATAATTGAGAAAAATAAGCAAAACAGGGCTCTCAACGGTCAAAAGAACTGTTACGGTCTCAAGCTCTAAAGCTCATATACTTTATTCATAGGAGACTCCCACAGATCATATTCATACTATATTATAGTAGTTATAAATTTTTATCTTAAAAAGAAACAACTCTAAAATTTATCATGATCTCATTTTCAAGACCACCTCAGATTAAATGCAACAAATAAAAGCTGGTAAAGAGATACAGAATACCACCAGAAGCAGGCTTATTAAAAGCAGCAAGAATTATTCACTGGCTGCTTCAAGCATGGAGAATACAAACTCACAAAAGCATGATCACAAAGCACGGCAACTTGGAATCATTTTGCACAAAAGCTATCAGTCCTGTGCACCTCAGTAACCCATGAAGGTTGAGTATAAAAAAGTTTCTAAAATTTATTTAGAAATAAATTCAGTTCAAATTTAGAAGTAATCTTTAAACAAGAGAAAGAAAAATCTATGCTATGTAAGAAAAGAGTAAAAAACTGGTCTATGGAAGTGGTTAGGTATAGCCCAGCAGAAAGGTAGAGGGAAAATAAGGAAGAGGATGGAAGGAGAGTACGTCACTTATAATAAATGTATTATAATATGTTTAGTCAAAATGCATCCTTATTTCCATTTAAACTTCTTTTTCTGTCCTCTAAGTTTTGTTCCTGGAAATCTAATAAAAATTGTACAAACTAGAGGATTACCTCATAATGAATTCATATTTATTATTAGGAAATTTGAATGTAAATGAAGTTTTGAGTCATAAAAATATTCGAATGGATTTATTGTTAGGCACAGCACACACGGGGTAATTACACAATATAAGTATTAAGAAAGAAGTTGGGAAAACAGTTCGGTAATCACTGAGCAAGTACATTTGAACTTTGTAAATGTGAGTTTTAAATGAGAAACGTATAGGTAAGCTTATATTATTAATAATGTAGTTAGGTCTTTCAGATTTTTTTTTCAGTGTTAGGATCACTTAAATTTTAATATTTCCTCAAAATATCTGAGGCATGTGGTGGTCTCACAGAATAAAAAATCACTTTATATGTAATCTTTATACTTAAATCTTTTTTTTTTTTTTTTGAGACGGAGTCTCGCTCTGTCGCCCAGGCCAGACTGCGGACTGCAGTGGCGCAATCTCGGCTCACTGCAAGCTCCGCTTCCCGGGTTCACGCCATTCTCCTGCCTCAGCCTCCCGAGTAGCTGGGACTACAGGCGCCCGCCACCGCGCCCGGCTAATTTTTTGTATTTTTTTAGTAGAGACGGGGTTTCACCTTGTTAGCCAGGATGGTCTCGATCTCCTGACCTCATGATCCACCCGCCTCGGCCTCCCAAAGTGCTGGGATTACAGGCGTGAGCCACCGCGCCCAGCCTTAAATCTTTTAAATATCTAGACAAGAGATACTGAAAATAACATTTTTGTAAGCTAAATGGAAGATAGTACTTCCTTTTTCCTTCTAAAGAAATAGGTAAATTATGTATTAGAAAATATTTTCATATAAGATTTTACATAAGTATGAATAAATGAACCTAAATGACTTCTCAATTCAGGGTTCTTTACCCTTCTCCCCAAAGTTCTTTGTTTGGGATAAAGAAACGAGGGCAAGCATTGTACTAGAGCTGGTCAGAAAGAAACACACAGGGCGATGGCTGCCCATTGAGGCCACGACCCACTCTCCACCTCACATGTCCCCAGTTCACCTAATCGGCACACCAATTCACTCTAAAACACAAAATTTAACCTATAATAAATAAAAATGTCATTGTTATTTAACCAAAACTCCGTCTTCATACAATTCTCTCATGAGAAGAGCTACTGCTGAAATCTATAGCAGATTGTTAAGTACCTATCATCACCACCATAACTAGCAACTACTGTCAAGTACTTCTATGTGCCAGGCCCTGTAGCTTGTGCTGTATAACCTTTCCCATATGAGGGAAGTACTATTATCTCCATTTTTTATATGAAAAACTGAAGTCAAAAGGGCCTTTTATTCCTAGATTCTTTATAAGCAACAAACTTTATCATCTGGTTTCACTGTCATTTAGAGTTAAGGATTTGATTTTATTACACCTGATGAATTTATAGATTTTTCTTCTGTTTAAAAGAATAGCTTCTGCCGGGCACAGTGGCTCACGCCTGTAATCCCAGCACTTTGGGAGGCTGAGGTAGGTGGATCACCTGAGGTTAGGAGTTCAAGACCAGCCTGGTCAACATACTGAAACCCCGTCTCTACTAAAAATACAAAAATTAGCCAGTTGTAGTGGCGGACGCCTGTAATCCCAGCTACTCAGGAGGCTGAGGCAGGAGAATTGCTTGAACCCTGGAGGCGGAGGTTGCAGTGAGCTGAGATCATGCCATTGCCCTCCACCCTGGGCAAGAAGAACAGAACTTCATCTCAATGAAAAAAAAAAAGAGAATAGCTTCCTTAAGATCAGCACAAGCACATCCCGCTTTCAATGTCTAGATGTGAATTTCAGGAACTGCAGAAGAAATTTTCTCCAGAAGTCTTCATATTTAAAGTAGCTTTCCCTGTGGTACCTAGATAAAGTTACATGCTGATGCTTTGACATAAGCCAAGGGCAGGCAGCATAAAAATATTTAATAGTGTGTGCTCAAAGACAGGTTAGTTGAAAAATCATCAGAGCACAATGGGAGTATTCTTTTAAAAAGAGATTTAAATAGGATTTTTCTTAGGAGCTATTTAAATAGTTTATTCTTTAAATCAAATACTCTTTTTATTATTGCAAAAGACTAAACTTTCTAGATATAAAATCCATAACAGATTTCTGCCATGGTTTATTGTACAATTTTACTCCCACTTCTAAAAAGATCAAAATTCTTCAAGAGTTTACCTTATATCAATGTTTCCCAAAATGTGTTCCTCACTAACAGGTATTTTAAAAGGAAAGTTCTATGGTAAAATGTACTTGCGAAATACTAGGTTAAACTAAGTTCACTAGGTTTCTTGACTGAAGGAACTAAAAAAGTACTTCCATATTTTCTCACAGGTAAAATAAAAGTCTTATTGAAAAACAAATCTGGCTGAGCACAGTGGCTCATGCCTCTAACCCCAGCACTCTAAAAGGCTGAGATGGGAGGATCACTTGAGCCCAGGAGTTCGAAACCAGCCTGGGCATCATAGAGAGAGGCTCTCTCCTAATTAATTAATTAAATATCTATTTACTTTACATCAAAAAATTCATAGGTGGAACTTAAATCTAAATAAAACTTTTATCTCTATTTCTCATCTCCCGAAAACCTAGCAATGCTTCTGTGGAGTAAAGAATAACACTTTCAATTTTGACAACTACTACTTGAATAATCCGTAAAAGAGATTGGGCAAATAAAGTTTCTCTTTCCTCAAGAAAAAAAAAAAAAAAAGGCCATATAATTTATTAAGGGTGGTTTACCAAAGGGATAGAAACGAATATTAAAGAAAGGAATATAAAACATCATATAAGTAGATCATGTCAGTGACATAATCTAGTGTTCAGATTAGCAGAATTAAGTCATATCTGAACACATATGGAGAGAATTCTTCATACTTCTTGCTTTTCCCAAAACAGAAACCATACTAATGGCAGTCGCAAGTGAATAGGAAAGCCAAAGATGATAATGCTTTGGCTGCTTACTTTGTACACAAGGTAGAGAAGTACTCTCATAAACTTAAGTAACTGCTACTTCGAGGACAGGCGATATAGATGTACTGCCAACTCAGGACTGACAAGGTTGTAAATGAAAACTATAGTTCTCTACACCTTTACTGTTAATTCCATGAAGTTTATTTAGTAATCTATGTCCAATGTGTAAATGTGTCCAAAATTTTAAGAATGTTTAAATGCATATCTGAAAACACAAATTTTATCCAAACTAATTCAAAATGGTTTTCACTGCTTAATATTTTTTTCCCTTAAAGTGAGATGGTTTTTAAAGATTCTTGGTACAGACAATAAAGTCACAGGCACAACATACAAGTAAAATCTTATTATATCGAATTTCAAGGGAACCCACATTTTTCTGTTGATGTGAATTCCAGAATGGTAATTTCATTATAAGCAAGCATATTCCTCTTGTGAAAAACTCTGTAGAGAACATAATAATGGGACAGGGAAAAAGAGCATTCTGGCCTAAAAAAAATGGTAAGTGGACACACACACACAGCTTCACTCTGACCCTCTTCAACGTTTTCAGTCTTTTATTATATTTGGTTTTAATAGCTGATTTGAATGTTTAGGTGGGCCTTTTGGTGGCAGTTGTAGGTTTGCCTGCAAGGTGCGAGAGTAGTTGGAAGGTAACTGCTGCTTGATAGAGCATGAAGCAAAAAATGAGCTAAAGCCTCATCATTGCTTAGTTCAGCTCTGCTCTCTTCAGCCTTCTCTAGGTAAACAGTGCATACACAGATACTGTCAGCATAAGGAGGGAAAAGTCTAGAAAATAAATCGTACCAACCTCTAGAGGAGAAATACTTTAGTTTTATGAAATGTATCCTTTTTACAGGTATTTACTCTTTCACCTTTTTTCCCCCAAATGCTAGTGTAATATAGAACATGTAAAAGAAAATTCTGTAAATGCTTATAGCTTCCAAATCAGACATAATGAAAGCTATAGAACTATGTCTTAAAATTACTGACATGACATATATAACATGCACCATATTAGTTAGTAGAAAAAAGAACATGAGTCTCACAGTGCTATTAAATAAAAAAAAAACTTTGCATTACGAAAAGAAAAACGCTGTCAACATTTGCTAAGATTAAATAAAATTTAAATGACCAAGATTAAAACTAGAAAGCTATCAATACAAGAAATAGGCTCTCACACATTTTTCAGAAACATACCCGCCTTCTACAGAACCTATGAGGCGATCCTCCCTTAGCAATGAAGTTTATTTAAAAAAAAAAAAGAGAGAGAGAGAAATCATCCAAAAACTGTAACTGCTTATTTTCCCAATGAACAAATATAGCTAAATCTCAAACTTACAATAACTGAAATAGATGCATTATACTGAATAACCACATTATTTATATTAATCTTTAGAAATATAGAATCTGTACATTTCTTATTCCTAAGAGATTGGTCAATGATAAAAGTAATCTCAGCAAATAAATATATTTATATTCTAAGGAATTATTTTTAATATAATAAAATGCTACTGGAATTTTTTTTCTGCAAAATGTTTACCATCTCCTTTCCAATGATAAACGTAATGGAAAATTACTTCAGCATTCAATAGGTATTATCAAAAATAGTATTTCTGATAAAAGATTAAACAAGACAAAAATTATTATTACGTAATTATTCCAAATCAACAGTAATTATCCATAAACAAATTACTTTGACACCTTAAATCCATTTTGGACTTCAAAACTGCAATATTATAGATATGTAACCAAAACAGTTCATGAAAACATGCAAGTACATGGAAGCATAAGATAACAAAGTCATATTAACAGTGTAAGAACAAAGAATATCAAGTGAATCTTACCCTCTGTTCCAACGCTGATTGAGTCTGTTGTCTTAAAAGAGCTTTAAAGGGCCCCCCTTCTTTTCCAGCACTACCACTTCCCATTCCTACAGAACATCAGTACATAAATAACAACCAAAAAAGCAACTATAGAAACAAAGTTTAATTGCATTCATCTTCATAAACATCATGAGTTGAAATGTGATAAAATGATCGAAACATTTAAAGCACTGGGGATGACAAATAAAGCACATATTTTACTCTACTTTTATTCACAGTTTTCTTTAGATGCAACATGTCAGAGCCCTACTGACCCCAGCTAGTTTTGGACTTAATTTTTTCAGAAAATTATAAGAAAAAGTATGTAAAGGTGATGAATCTTTGCATAATATTCCATTTTAAAAGCTGAGTCTTTTAATTAAAATAATCAAGATAATAACAATTACTATGCTAACAATTTAAGAATACTAACAAATGAGAAATATAAAATGTCTGATTAAATGTAAATATAGAGACAAAAGCACTACTTGTGCTCACTGAAAATATTCCAAAATTCTCTAGAAAACATAAAATTCAGGTGAGTCTGAAATATAGTCAAATCTATTTTCTTATAACTTCCCATTTCTAAACATATCATGACAAAACAGTATTAATTTCATACATGTCAACGCTCATTCACAAAAATCAACATAAACTTTTTTTAAGTAAACAAAAAACCACAGACATGTAATAGACACATCACAAATGTACATAGTTATGAATGAAAGAATTATCTTTCCCAAGCTCTTACATGTATTTTTTACGGCTTAATTTTAAATTTCTTTCCCTACCTTATTTTATTGTTCTGACCATGCCAGTAGATCAACTATGGTCAAACAATCATAGAAAGCAGGGGACAGGTAAGAAGCCAGTGCTCTACAGACTAGAGTTAATCCCATCCCTTTCAAAACGTAAGATGCATACAGCCAAATTTACCACAACGACTTAAAAAGGAACTAATTAACTTTTACATTTTTAGCTGTTCTTGGATAAGGAAACAAAGGTTAGCATATGTATAGTCCCATTCTGTTCCTAAAAACAAAAAAATGGTTTTTCTTATAGTAATCTGAACATTATTTTTAGAGACTATACAATACTAAACATAGAAATGAAACTAAGATCTTTATACGAAGCATATTAAAAGCCAGAAAATAAAATGTAAATTTGTAGTGATAATTGAAATATCAGAAAATAGAGCAGAAAAATTTAATAATTAATGCAACAGACAGAAAAAAAGATAATAAAAGAATATCACCAAAATGAGACTTAAACTGATTCAAACAGAATAATTTACTAATGTAATCATATGGTTTAGCAACATGATGACACAGGTCCAATGTGAATGGAGTTGGTATGAAGGGAAAGAAAGTAAAGCATCTAAAACAGAAACTGTAGTAATAAGAATCTAATAATATTAGAAATACCCAGATCTATGTCCTTATATAATTTTTTAATATATAAAATAATTTGGCAGAATATTCATGATTAGCCATCAAGTAATCCTCAATTATATCCTTATAATTCCAATTATTTAACTCTGACTACCAGTAAGAAAAATAATAGAAAGGCATCTTGTATAAAATACCCAATAATTTTTTACAGCATGAAAAATAAAGGGATTAAAAAGCTGACATAATGTGATCCTACCAGAAGCAGCCAGGAACAGCTCTTCACTGAAAGAAACACTTTTCCTCAGAACTGGGCTGACAAGGCTAGAATGATGAGGGGTAAGGCTAGATTCCGAGAGGAGGAGACAGGACTTTTTAAGATGAAGGGAACCACAAGAGAGAGAGGGGGAGCTGGGACACAGGTAAATCCTAGGTCCCTGTGGGTAAGGTGCTGTGGAGGAAAGTAGCAGAGAAAAGATGCAGATTCAGAAGATGATCAGAAAATGCAGGCTAAGGAAAGCAATGATGAGGCAAAATATAACAATAAAAATGAACTTTAAAATGTACAGACAAATTACACTAAGCAAATGAGAAGTCACTAGCAAGACCATCTATCCCACGTAATGAAAATAACAGGCATAGTCTAAAACTTAACAAAACCTTTACAAACTTCACATTCATTAAAATTTTTTAAATCACTAACTTAGGATTTTATGTGATTCTAATAACTTTTAATTAATGTCTTCAAAATACTTAACTTGCCTGCCCTTTTTGGCTTAAGAATTTGTAAGATTCAAATGTACCCCATTTTCAAATTTTTAGAGCCAGACTTGCTGCCTAAAATATAAACACTTATTTAAAGTTATAAAGGTGCAGTACTTCAAATGTTACTAACTAAAAGATAGCATCAATGGGCACTTTAATTGAATATCCATAAAAAATACTCAGTACTGGATTAGGTAAACAGTTGTCAGTATTAATTTTAATATTAACTTCTGTCCAGTTTTGAGATATATATTAATACTTTTCTTTTTCCTCTAAAATGTTTAATACTTTACTCTGATCATAGTATTATTTGCATTTACAGAGACGTGAGTACCCTAAGGGTCAAATACCCTCTATAAAAACTATACATAGTTAAAAGACTGGCTAAAAAAAATTAGCTAAAATCAGGTGTCAAATCAATATTCTAACACTAGTAAATCTAAAATTCCACTATTAGTTAAATACTTGGGAAAAAATATAAAAATAAAACCTTGTAAATGTCAAAAATTAGTATCTACAGAAATATAAAATTTTTTAAAAGAGACCTACCAGAAATACAGATAATGTAGCTTTAACTACAAACAGAAAAAAAAAAAAACAACTTTCTCAGTCTAAATGTTATTAACTTTATTCTACTTTTGGATTCCCAAATAAATTATAATCAGCTTATCTCTGTCCATTATTTCTCAAGACACTGATTCTGATATAGGTAAATCAGAAGGCAGAAAATCATGAAATACAGGCTGAAATTATAGTTTTAGAATTTTTATAACAATCACAATTTTGCCATTTGAAGTCTCCATGAGAAATAGGAGTGCTCCTCAGGACAATTTAGAGATATTTAGGGACTCATAATATAAGGCCAAGGGGCTGAAAACTGCTAATATTATATAAATAAACTATTGAAGTAATAAATAATTTTAGGAAAAAAATTATTTAGAGGTAGCTTATAAATATAGGAATACATGAGAATAACACCCCATTTGAGAATAAATTTTTTTAAACTAAAAATTTGGAGCCAGAAGATAAAATATGACAAGTTCATTGATATTTATTCCTTGACAATCTTCTTTAGGCTTGGCCTTTTTGGTAAATTAAAAAAAAAAGAAACAAGAAACAAGAAACAGAAAGACCAAGGAAATGCTTTCCAAACTTTATCTGTGGTATGGCAAAAAAAATAAAATAATAATAATAATAACAATAAATAAATAAAGGCCTGGAATATGCAGTCTGTGGACCAAAGTCTCAAAAATATTTTTTTAAACTTATTACTCAAATAGTAATGTAAGTCTTTCTTGTCTTGATTGTCATGAATTTTAAGGCCAGAGCCTCTTACTCTTTATCTGAAAAAAAAAATCTTTTTTCACTACAATCTGGATGGTTCCATTTTTATGGCATAAACCTCGTAAGGTGCCAAATTCCAAAGCATCCATTACTGTCAAATAACTACATTATTTGTAGACATTATTCACAATTATCTAGAAAGATGAAGCTGTTATCTTCAAGAAAACAGGTGTTTATAATTATCTTTATATTTTACGACTTCATTTATAAAAACAGAAATTAAATCTATAGGCTTTTTAAAAAATGATCTTTCCTTAGAAGTAGCACTGCTTTGGATTTAGACTTCTTTTCCTTGTTTTCACAAAATCTAGGATTGTTTTATAAATTTCTTTTCTAACATACATATAGGGCTACTAAAAATATTAACTAAAAATAACAAATAAGAACTATGTTTTAATCATCTGATGGGAAAACTGTCAGACAAAAATACTATTTATAAAAATTTCATCACTATTAAGTTTTTAAATTTATTTTAAATTTTTCTAAACAATAATAATTTAATGATTTAAATAAGTTAATTCTATTCTAAGGTATAAAGAACTAATCTGATTTTTCATCAACTTTTTATCATAAAACATATTCATAAAAACCCAGAAATCATTCATCAAAATACAATAGAAAATACAAATTTAATGAACAGAAAAATTTAAGAATAAGTAAAAATGCTATTTTCTAACCTAGAAAGACTAGTAAAACCAAACATTTTAAATACCCAGTTAATAAATAGATAGATGTACTCTAATATAACCATTTCAGTGGTTTAAAGTTTTTTCATAATAAAATCTTAGAATTATATTCACTAATAGGCAGAAATAATAAATTCAAAAATGCTTGTATGCAATTGATTGCAAGCCACTAGTGTTACTTTTTAGTCAAAATGTTTTAAGATGTTATTCCTTTTAATTCGAGCATAAAATGAAAAATGTCTACATGCCAAAATAAATCGTGGACTTTGATATCTACACTATGATTAAATCAATGAAATGTAAACAAGATAATTTCTGAATTATACAAAATTTTCATATTTTAATTGCAGTAACTGAAAATGGTCAGTATTCACATTTTCTTTTTAACTTAAGTGCCAAAAACAAGAGGAAAGATTTGGATGGAAAGCTAATAAGAAATAGAAACAAATTTTTAAAAAAGAAAAAATAAAAGGTGGGTGGAAGCGCCTTACCAGTTTTGGGTGTCAAACTCAAATCTGTGTCAGAAGAAGAGGACTGTCGACTGTAGGACTTGGAAGGTGAAAAGGAATAAGTTTGGTTTTTCAGAGGGGTTGAGGGTCCTGATGAGTGAGTATTGGGATTGGGATCTTCATTGAAGGGAATCCTGCCAGAAGAAGGTGGAGAAATATTAAGTAATCATGTGCCAAAGGACTTGACAGGTGGCAGCATGATCCAAACACCAGGAAAGAATTGGGGCAGGGCCAGCAGTCATTTCTTACGTGTGGAGCTGGGAATGAGGCCAAAGACAACCAATTGCTGTTTAACCATTCATCACTCTCCAGATAAATATTATCTGCATTGAAACAGTTAATAAGCCAAGTGAAAAAGCAAAAAAGCATGAAATGACAGACTAAGGGGATAAAAAATATCAAAAGGAGAAATAAAAAGAATATATGACAAAATATTTTCAAATAAACAATGCTGTAAGTTACAAAAGAAAAATGGTAACTACAAATGGTGTGTGTAAATATTCATAATTGTTTTTATATTTGCACACACACAGATATCCTCAAAAGAAAAAAATGTTTCCTTATCCTATAGCAGCAAGAGTGCCACAGCTAAAAACACAGCAGAGAGAAAAATGAATACAGCTACACAGAAACATTGCATTTAATGCAGAATAGTTGCTTACCTGTTCTCCAATAGCTCTCTTCCACAGAATGAAATAGGACCTACTGTAATAGGTTTTGTATATAAAGAAAATAAGCAAATTGGAAGCTTTGGCAGCTATTTCATTTAGAATCTAATCATCAATTTTATTTTTAAACAAATGCAGAAATAATTATAAAAATATATATGGGAGGATTCGCCACAAAATTCACAGTACACACATACAAAATAGCATTATTTGAGGATCTGTGGAAGAGACTTTGGAAGCTGGAAGAATACCTTCACTTCCATATAGTTAGAGACTCTGTGGCAGCTAAATACAGAAGTTCCTCACTGCAGCTGGACTTCGAGTAAGAAAAGGATGAAGCAAAGATTTATGGTACCTGCCTACACTACCTGCCTGCCTGCCTCTGCAGCCACTCTGCCCGTGGCCTGCATCTCCCCAGCTCTGGAGTCTGAGCAGTCTCGTACCAGTATAGATGAGAGTGGGAACAGACACAGAGAAGTTCTGAGTAAGTCGTGAGCCAGTAGCAGTGTGAATTGGGCTGTTGTGAGTCGAGCGGCATCCATGGCTTGGAGGATGAACCAGCGGAGACCTGAGGGAATTTGTGGTCAAAGTGGAAGAAAAGAAAACAATACATACAACAGATTGCAGAGTTATGTTAAAATAATTTCAAAGGAGCTTTAGTCAGGGAAGAGAACTTATTTTTTTAATCCCTAGCATGCAAAAAACAAGTTGAAATTGAAAAATAGCTAAATATTAATTTGTTAGGATACATAGTTTTAAAGTATCCGATTAATAAATTAATTGTGATTAATTTATTAATTGTGAATAAGAAAATAGCAAGCAGAATAGTCAATGAAATTAAATGAGAACAAGACTAAGATCTGTATTTTAAGTTTCCTTAACATATTTGTCATTATTTTCATCACAATAGAACTTACTATGCACTATTTATGGGGAGGGACGCCCATAAAAGTAAAAAGTCAAATATAAAGTTCTTATATTACCTTTGAAACTGAGATATGAATTGCTGATATAATTAATTATATTTTCTATAAAGAAAGTTAAATAACTGTCTAGGCTACTAAGATAGGGGTATTTAAGAATATGAGAGATGATGGCACAAAGAG
The DNA here is from genome assembly GCF_000001405.40 of Homo sapiens. Lineage (NCBI taxonomy): Eukaryota > Metazoa > Chordata > Mammalia > Primates > Hominidae > Homo > Homo sapiens. The sequence goes on from NC_000012.12 coordinate 22,519,778, forward strand.
AAATGAGTGAACTGATTGGATATACGCAGATAAACATATTCCAGTATTTCAATACACCAAATATATAGCTTAAAATCAGGTTACACTGGAAACAAAACAAGGGGACCTTGCTTTTAAAGACATCTTCATAAAACAATGTCAATAACTTTGGCTCTCATACAGAATATATCATATAAACTATATTCCAAATCAAAATTTTATAAGATATCAACATATATCCTATAATAAACCATATCTATGTGTGTGTATACTTAGAGCAGTTATACAAGTATATATTGATATATAAGATTTGAAATTTTTAAGAAAAAATTTGGCTAAAAGGATTACATTGAATGTTGTAAAAAGGTATACTACATAAATAAGAATCCTGAATTTAATATCAGCAATTATTTCACTGTGCAATGCCTTTGCTTACACACAATGAGGGAAACAGAATCATATGAATCATATGTGAGTACACTCTGAAAAACTATCATCCCCATTTTTTAGAACGCAAATTAAAGGCAGGCAAAGAGCCCAACTTTACCTGATCTTTTCTTTCTTTTCCATTGCTATATTACTGACTGCCCAGGAACATTCCCCAATTCACAATTTGTCAAGGTTCTAACATGAGCTATCACTAACTGATCATAATAGTCCTTCCTAAGGTCTACAGACTACTTTATGAAAATATTACTGATTTTGCAATAGGAGAACTGTTTCTACGTTTGTTGCTAATAGAAATTAAAAGGTATTTACTATAATGGATAAAAATCAAACAATTCATTGGTGATCTACTTTTACACCAAAAAATGAGTAAGGTTTTGTTTTTGTTTTTATTTCTCCACTGAAGTGAGAAAAAGTATAAGAATTCTCAAAAAGAATTAAAAAATCCAAGACTTAAAAATAAACAATGCTATATTTATTATAATCAGTAGTATACACAGGAGAATTTGTCTCGTAGTACTTTTTTTAAGTAAAGAAGCAATAACTCATACTTAAAAGCACTTTCTATTGTCAAGAGAGTTAAGCTGGAAAACACCAAAGGGATTTATAGTGTGCATGACACTAAACATCAAAAAGAAAAAAACTTAGGAAGTAGAACACACCATTAATGTAGGTAAAATAAAATGAAAAAACTAAAATGAACAGTGTAAAATGTTCAAACTATGGCATCAAATTAAAATTCAAATACACTGGAACATCACCATAATGTACTCTTGGAGTTTTCTGATTCGATCAGTCTCTCTGCATGAAAGGATGCCTCATAATAACCTGTGGTATTTATAATATTAATATTCCTTTCCAGTCAGTCAATAACATAATCTAAACCACCTTTTATCAAATTCCTGTCTAGAATCAACAATATTACATAATTAAATACCAGAATAGTTATAATCAGCTGAATCATAAAATAGGCTTTGAAATAGAACCCAAATTGCTTCATTCTCAAAAAATACAATGAAGCCAGTTGAAATAAAACAGCCTGAGTATTGAGGGTTTTTAAAAAATAACTTGACTTAATTAGTAAGATGCCTTTTAGAAAATCCTAAGGAAGGAACTTACGTCCATCATGAGGCTACAACAAGATTAGAAAAGGAGAAAACGTATACAATCCCAGAAGATTTACACTAATAGAACTCTTCCTGAATGCATGCAAAACATATCCCCTTGCTCTCTGTATTTCATTCTAAGGAACCAACAGGTAATATAGCTTTGTCATTCTCCTTCCACTAGGTAACTTACTTAAATTTGCTTAAACTTGCACTTTAATTTGCTAGTAAATATTTACTTAAATTTGCTACAGAGAGAGGGAAAAAAATCTGAATACCTCAAAAAGCTAAACCTGCAATCTGACTCTACTGCTGGCAGCTGGCAATTCTTATCTTTCTAGGAGATATTTTAAATGGAATATAAAGCAAATTCATTCTTCGATTTATTTAAAACAATTATTTCATTTGCCAATGTGTTTCCAAATAAAATTAAGCAGTATGTAACACTGTGCTTCCTCTTATGAATAAAATTCAACCCAAATGACTAATGGCCAGCAGAAATAAAATGGCTAACAAAAAGAATGCACTTAGGATAAAGATGAAAATTTCACTTTAAAAAAGATGGTGAAAAAACATGTTTTTTCATACTATGATACCTTTCTATTCAACCCCTCCTGACTACTGAACTGGGAAACATTTTAGGTTTCCTGACTATACAACTCTGACTCCCTGATTATCTAGGACAGGAGTCCACAAACTACAGACTGCAGTCCGAATCTGTCCTACCATCTGTTTTGTAAGTAAGTTTTATTTGAACACAGTCACACTGTATTCACTTGCATACTGTTTATGTTTGCTTTTGTGCTACAATGGCAGTTATGAAGTAGCATCAGCAAAAACTAAATCATTTACCTGTACCATTTGGTCATTCACAGAAAAAGTTTGCCAACCCTTGACTTAGAAGAATCTCTAGATGAGTGGTCTTCAACCGAAGTACTAAAGGCATTTAGGATGAAACAAGTCTTCATTGTATAGGGTTGTCCCTTGCTGTGCGGGATAGTCAGCGTTTTTAGTCCCCAACAGGACCTAGCACCCTAATCATTATGACTGAAAAATCTTGTTCCAAACACTCTGTGATGACAGTCATGACCACCATCATGTTGAAAATCTCTGCCTCTGACACAATGATGACACACACAGGCCAAATCAAGCCAACAGAAGTGTTTTGCAGGATCACACATAGATTTTCTAAAATGCATGACTCTAAATTTCTTTAGAATAGGGATCAGCAAACTCCTTTTTTTGTAAATAAAGACAAGAGATTGTATGGGCAGACCCTAAAGTATTGGCCTTTCCCAGAAAAAGTTTGCCAACCTTGGCTTTACAAGCAGCAGTATACTCTATTTAATTACACTCAGTTAGTTTATTCATATAAACTCCCTGGCCTCTAGACATTTGAGTTTAACACTTCTGCACAAATCAATTTTTCCTGCTTTATATACTATGTGGCCATTAATAAGTATAATTGGATTATCTGGTAGAGGGTTTTAAGTATTCCTCAGAAAATAAAATGCCACACAATGCTTGAATATTCATTTTATGCTTTATATATGCAGTGTCTAAATATCTGGAATAAGTTTAATTTTATATTACTTAATTTGTTTCATATTAAGATGGCATAGGCAGGGCACAGTGGCTCACACCTGTAAATCCCAGCATTTTGGGAGGTCAAGGCAGGTAGATCACTTGAGCCCAGGAGTTTGAGACCAGGCTAGGCAACATGACAAAACCCCATCTCTACTAAAAATACAAAAGTTAGCTGGGCGTGGTGGCCTGCCCCTGTAGTCCCAGCTACTCAGGCGGCTGAGGTGGGAGGATCACCTGAGCCTAGAAGGTCAAGGCTGCAGTGAGCCAAGACTGTGCCACTGAACTCCAGCCTGGGCAACAGAGCAAGACCCTGTCACAAAAAATAAAAATAAAAATAAATAAGACGGTATAAATAAAATATTAGGAATATTTAAATATTTTTAAGTTTTAAATTTTGACAGTCATCACCAATAAAAATCATCACAGAGAAAATGTTGAACAACCCTACTAAAATGTTTCAAATCAAATGAAAAAGCATAGATAAAAGATAAAAATCTTAGCAAGAACAATTTCATTGATTCATACTTACTCCTTCATTTCTTTGGATGGGGAATTACATGCAGGAAGGAATGCTGCTGGGCTACTTAATTTATCCAGAGTACACGCCGTTCCTATGGCTCGCACCACTAACCCAGACTCGCCCTCCAGATCGAAACACTGTAAGTACCCCACAACTGCATTTCCTCTCATTTCAAGTACTTTCAAGCCAATCTTCCTCTGCAGCTCACCTACAAAACATGGGAAATCTCATTCTTGCTTTGTAGCTTTACATTACATACTATAAGACTGGACATGGTAGTGGTAAAAAAAAAAAAAAAGACCAAGAAAATCACAGATTTTCAGAACTTGAAGGAAACTTAAAAGATAATCTGGTTTAGCCTCTACAGAATACAGAACATAATTCTATTACAATATAGCATAATTATAAAATATAATATATACTTATACAGCACAAATATATAGAATAAAAACAAATATATTTGCTATATAAATATAACATTGATACTTTGTGTGAAATACATGTATGAATATATATTCACACATATACACATATAACTCTTAATATAAATGTAAATTTTAAATAAAACAGTAAACAAGTTTTTCAAAGAAAAATTTAAAAAGGGAATGAGGTCAGAGTGGCAGGGAAAGTGGTCAAAAGGATAGAGGGAACTACAGTACCTAGGGAGGAACTGTGAAAAGGCAACATCTGAACAGAAAGTATGAGAGACAGAAGAAGGTGATTTGCTTAAGCTCTGACAAATAAATGGTAGATGAAGGAAAACTAGAATCCAGGTTCCCACTCAGGGTTCCTTCCTGAACGCCCCTTGCTCAGCGCTCTTTCCACTACACTACCTCATCAACACAATTTCCTTTTACTACAAGCTTCTGATTTGCATTTCCACTTGTTAAAAGAGGGCAATGCAAGTGTGTTCAGGAAGACTGGCCCAGGGGAAGGCATGCAGTCACTTATAATTCATAGCCTTCATTGTAAAGTTGAGGTAGCATGTCAAAGGAAAGCAAAAAATTTAAGAGAGTACTAAATCAGTCAGTAATAAAGTTATTTTTTTTAAATACCTGACATTAACGAAATGAGTCTCTGTCTGGCCTCATTTGATGCCCTTGGTGTGCGAATTCGATCAATCCACTGATATTCTGGGTCTTCATTGACCACAAGTTCTTCTACAAATCCATGAATTATCACAGCTCTATAGCATTTTGGAATAGACGTTGCTGTTAAAACAAATTATTATGCTTCTGTTTATCAAAAGGTAAAACTCAATTTTTAAAAAATGTACATCTCAATTTTCTGACCTTTAGATACATAATACAAGAACATCTTTTACTGTAATATTTTCAATGTAATTATAATAATACTTCCAGTCTTCTAAGATCTATTTCATTTTTAGAAATAATTATTGTCTTTCATGGAGGCTCTCACCTTTCTCATGTAAGCAAAGTAAATATAAACTGCATTTGTATAATTTGGAAAACAGCTATAGAAGACCTTAAACAGAATTCAATACAAAGTTTAAAAAATCAAAATTTAAGTCAGCTAGCTAATTATTATATAAATAGGTAGAAAGCAGATAATGAATTTTTTTAAATCTTTAATTATTCAAAGCCCTTTGTAAAAGTACTTCTGTACACCACATAGCAGTTTCAAAAATCAAACCATTACCTTTCTGACATAACCTGAGGAGTCAAGTTCAGATTCAAAAAGGAGAGAGAGAACCTGAATACATCTGTACCAAATTAGTCTCTTAAAATAAACATTGGTGCACTGAAGCTAAGTCAACTACTTAGGGATTTCAATCCTACTACTGCAGGCGGGCTGTGATCACCAAGATCTGCCCATTTCAGACCCATATATTTCATGGAGTTCCCTAGACCCAATACCCATAAAAGCCTGTGTATTTTGGGACAGCACCATAGTGCTTAGCCGTAGTGTTCTGCTCCTTTCTTTTAGTGTCCTATACTACAGTGAAATGTCACTGGATTTTTCTAATAAAAATTTCTATAAATTTTCAAAAACTAGATATCATTTATACTCAAATCAGAACTACTGTAACTATTCTAGAAAATTAACAATTTTCTCTTTGGCATTAAAACCAAGTACAATAGCTTTTCTACTTGCCTTCTGAAATGTTAACTTGATTTCTCATATTTAACAGTTATTACATTTCCTGTTGAGTAATAGAATGTATTTACTTACTGCAAAAGAATTTGACTCCACATGATGACTGCCTAAATCGATTTAAATCATTGAAGAGGTCTACTTTGACAACTACATTGATTTCCCCACGGATACCTATAAATTTAAAAAGAAAATCAAGTTTCTACCTTAAGAAAGTAATGTACAATTAAATAATGAAGCAAATTAATGCTAAATAATGATTTTAAAATACAATGATTTAACTCACAATTTTTTGAACTTTACCATGGTGCAAAACCATTCTGATTTTCACTTTCAGTCCAGAATTCAATGAATTACATGAGATGTTCAATACTTTATTTAAAAAATAGTCTTTGTTTTAGTTGATTCTGTCCAACTGTAGGCTAATATAAGTGTTCGGTGCACATTTGAGATAGGCTAGGCTAAGCTATAATGTTTGGTTGATTAGATATATTAAATGCATTTTCAACTTGGGATGAGTTTATCTGGATATAACGCCATCACAAATCAAGGTGCATCTGTAATGTGTTGATCATAATAGTAATGCCAGCTTTGTTTCCTAGTTATTTTCTTTTTCAGTAGTTTCTGTATATTTTCTGAAGCACAACACGTATGCATTAGAATATGAATAATTTTCATTTTCACAAGTCTCCACTTTGACCCAAGACTAATTAGAAAGGAGTCCCATTTGAATTGATGATGATGATAATGATTATGGTGACAACATTTGCTGAGCACTGATACACGATGTACTAAACACTTTACAGGTAGTATCTCAGAGCAGTCACATCAACCCAATAAGGTAGTATCATCCCCATTTTACAAAGGAAGAAATTTTTAATAAAAATTAAGTAATTTACAGTGTCAATAGCTGTTAAGTGGCAGATCCAGGATTAAAATTCAGATCTTTATGATCCCAGATTATATATTCTTAACAATGCAAGAATCTGATTTAAAACAAAAGAAGTTTTATTCTTTTCAATGAATATAAGTTAAAGCAAGCTAACTAAAAAATTCCAAGCCAGGAGTAGTGGCTCATGCCTGTAATCTCAGTGCTTTGGGAGGCAAGGCAGGAGGACAGCTTGAGCTCAGGGGTTTGAGACCAGCCTGGGCAACACAGCGAGAAAAAAATTAAGTAAATAAAAAATTCCAAGAATAAGGGTTTTCAAAACATGCTCTGATAAATAAGAATGACCCAGATCTTATCTCTAAACATTTACTAAATATTTTCACTTGACTGTCCTGACTTCATGTCAAATTCATACTTATGGTGGAAGACTTAAGAAAACTGACTCAATAATTTACCTACTAAAATATTAAGAAAGCAAATCCCAGCACTCTGGGAAGCTGAGGCAGGCAGATCACTTGAGCTCTAGAGTTAAGGCCAGCCTAGCCAATATGGCAAAACCGTGTCTCTACAAAAAATTTAAAAATCAGCCAGGTGTCATGGCATGTGCCTGCAATGGCATGTGCCTGCAATCGCAACTGCCCGGGAGGCCCTGCTTCAGGCAACAAAAAACTTTTAAGTAACTTTTAAGTACAAAAATCATTATTAATCAGTTTGAAAATGTGTTTTAGAAACACAGTATCAATACTAGATCAGTTTTAAATCATGCATTTACTTACTATACTATACAAATTTAGCAAGCATTATCTCAAATTATGTTGAGAGAAGCAACAATTTTACTAACAATAATTTACTATTATTTATTTTTAAAAAGGCATCATCTTAAGATATATTATATACATATATATATATATTTTTTTTTTTTTTTTTTGAGCTAGAGTTTCACTCTTGTTGCACAGGACACGATCTCAGCTCACCACAACCTCCGCCTCCCGGGTTCAAGTGATTCTCCTGCCTCACCCTCCCAAGTAGCTGGGATTACAGGCATGCACCACCATGCCCAGCTAATTTTGTATTTTTAGTAGAGACGGGGTTTCTCCATGTTGATCAGGCTGGTCTCGAACTCCCGACCTCAGGTGATCCACCCGCCTCAGCCTCCCAAAGTGCTGGGATTACAGGCATGAGCCACCGCACCTAGCCTAAAGATACATATTTTAAACCAGCAAATATAGCACAAATGTCTTTAAGGACAAATAAAAAAGATTAAGATTGTTATTTATAATACTTTCTTATTATTCCTTACCATGTATGGTGTCATAAATTGGAAACCATCCTGAGATGACTGTTGCAGCTTCACTATACAGTAAAGGATCAATATCAATGTACACTTTACCAATGGCATCATTTGCACTGTAAGTATCATGGTCAAGAACTGTGATCTGTAAAGGTTCATCTTGTAAGTCTTCATCATCCACCTACAAGTATACCTTAAAATTAAAACTCATATAGTTTTTAAATCTTAATTACCACAAATGTATACCTATATCAAATGAAAAGGATGACACATCTGCAAATAAAATCTTACAGATTTCTAAGCACCAAAGTAAAGAAAAGAATTAACACACAAAAAGATATAGCTCCTTTTCCTACACAATATCCCATCTTTCTAAAGAAAAAAAGTTTATCTCTCAGCACAAGACTGGGATGACTAACAACAAAAAAATTTAAATCTCAATTTTTTTTACATATTATCCTGTGTTTTACAACTTTGCCTATGATACATAGCAAAAATGCCTAAGGAATGTCATATTAGAGTTCATGTAGTATCTATAGAGAGAAGAATGCTAATTGAGCACAATGACACCACAATTTCTAAGGGCGATTTCAGAGAACAGAACCATAAGCAAAATTAACATTATGTGTAAGAAAAAACAACCTAAGTTCACAAATTAAGTTCATGATATAAACATCTACCCTCTCTCCTTTTATTTAGTCATTATCGAGTTGTTATCATATGCCAAACACTGTGCCAAACAGAGGCATTTACAATGGAGAACAGTGCAAAATGATTTCCTCATGGAAGACGTACTCACTATTTTGGCTGCCACCTTCTGGATATCATGCCATTATCTAATTTACCAGTCCCCTTCATCAAATATAGTGGCCAGAAGGGAACATATTATAGACACTATTAAGATTGGGACAGAATACCAAAGGATTATTATTTTCTATAATTAGAAAATTATACTTTTAAAATGCAGTCCATGGATGTTCTTCTTTACATCAGACATACCATACTATTAAGACTGAGTCTGTGGTTGGCTAAAATCTCTGTATCATTCTTACATATGCTTTGGTCAAGTGATAGCTCTGCAACCCTTATACTCTGGTTGGTTTTTTAAACTTGGATATGAAACATTTATGCCTTTCCCTATCCCCTATTTAATTTATTGTTGATGTTAAGCTAATAATCCAGCCTCTGAAGATTATTTTAAAAATTAAAGAATATTAAGGAATTATTGATATCATTAGTGTGATAATGTGATCTAAGGTTTTGTTTATTTATAAGGGGTCCTCCTTTATAAGAGGTATATAATTTGGAATTCACAGATGAAATCATATAACATCTCAAATTTGCCTTAAAATATCCCCACAAGGAAAACCGGGGTGGGCAGGAGTTAAAAAGGCAAAACAAGAACAGTAGAACGTAGACAGCTGTTAAAGGTGGGTGAGGTTCAATATACTAATCTATCTTTGTGCATGCTTGAAATTTTCCATAATGAAATGTTAAAATAAAATGATCATTTTGAATCCCAATCCATTCCAAATCATCTGTCATCCAATGGCATTCTCTCCACTACTATTGTTATGTATACATTTAACAGAAGAGAAAGAATCATAAACCAAACCATTAACCATTACTCTAAGACATTCCCCCCAATTTCTAACTCCATTAAAAATACTCTCTGTATATACTTATTTAACCACCTGTACATTCACCTCTGAGTATTATTTTTTCTCATGGTACACTAAGGTATCCCTTCCCTGACATTAGGGGGTGCTATACTAACAACTAAGTGACTAAAAATAGCTTGTGATACATACATAGATAGCTAACAAGATGAATAACAGGGAAAATCAAGAATTAATCATAATGAATTAAGAATATTTAGTACAGTAAATGAAGCCTATCTGGAATCGCAAAATATTATAAATTAAGACTTTCTGAGAAATGTTTTAAATGTTTAAATTAGCAATATGCACTGCCAAAAGACTGCATTTCTTAGCCTCCCTTGCAACTAAATGTGATACAAGCATAAATCATTACAGAGAGCTTGGTAGGGAGGGGGCAAACTTGTTAAAGAAGGCTTGCTCATCTGAAACTGTTATGTTAACTCATCAGCTCCTCCTCCTGGACTCCCCTTCACTCTAGCTCCTTCTGCCAGCCTGGAACACTCATGTGCTCACTGGAACTCCAGGTGCTAAACTGGAGCCAAAAGGACCTTGAATCACTTTAAGAGAAACCACAGGCTATGTATAGATGATGGAGTCCCAAATGACTGCGTGGAGCAACCACACTACCCTTACACTGCCTGGCACGACATTTCTTTCACATAAGAGAAAAACATCTATTTTGCTTAAGACATGTATTTGAGTGCTATATATATATATATATATATATATATATATATATACACACACACACACACACACACACACACAGTGTATATATATTATACACAACTGTATACATAACAACTATATATACAACTGTGTATATATATACAGTATATATATAACTGTATATATACAACTATGTGTATATGTATACATACAACTGTGTATATATATATACACAACTGTGTGTGTATATATATTTAAAACTGAATATATATATATAACTGAATGCAATTAACAACTGATAAACAGGGTTAAAAAAAGTACTACATAATCAATGTTAACTATAAACACAAAGTTTTAAGTACATTTTTCACAGCATATATATTATTCGGGAAGACTAGTCAAAACAGTAACTTACTAAATTTTTTTTTTTTTTTAAGACGGAGTCTCACTCTGTCACCCAGGCTGGAGTGCAATGGCGTGATCTCGACTCACTGCAACCTCTGCCTCCCAGGTTCAAGCGATTCTTGGGCCTCGGCCTCCCACATAGCTGGGATTACAGGTTCACACCACCACACCCGGCTAATTTTTGTATTTTAGTAGAGACGGGGTTTCACTCTGTTGCCCAGGCTGGTCTTGAACCCTGGATCTCAGGTGATTCGCCTGCCTCGGCTTCCCAAAGTCCCAAGATTATAGCTGTGAGCCACTGCACCCAGCCACTAACTTAAGAAATTTTAAGGGAACTGCCTGGTAAATCCCTTATTTCAGAAAATAAATATATTATTTTTCATATTGTTAAGTAAGCTGCTTGAGTACTCACTAGCTTTAAAAAATACCAGTTTATTACCATCATCATTAAAATGAAATATCATTTTTTAATATTTCCTAGTATCATGAAAATTACTCTGACACATGAAGCTTGCCTCCTCCCACCATTCCAATAACAATGTAATGAAAACTATTCGTTTTTAACCATTTCTAGGTTATAGTTGGGGGGGAAAGGCTATCAAAATAAACTATATAAACATCCCAGTGTTTTGCCTGGGTAATGAAGATAGACTCTAATTCTAAATCCATCTGAAATCATGTAAGGAAGTTACTCTGATTATTTTTTGACACATATATTCCACACCTTTACCTTAATAATGTAGTTTAAAATGCCACAATAGACTCAATACATGTGCAACGGGTCTTTCAAAATAGATAGTGGCATTTTAGAAGCAGCTAAAAGAAAAATTTGTACATATACACAAAAGAAAATGAGAAGAGAATCAAAATATTTCACCATGAAAATATCAACTAAAAATATGAATTTGTAGGACTCTCACTTCCTGATTGCAAAACTCACTACAAAGCTATAGTAATCAAAACAGTATGGTAATAGTATAAAGACAGACATACAGACCAATGGAATGGAGTTGAGAGTGCGGAAATAAATCCTTACATCTATGTCCAACTGATTTTTTTTAACTTGCCTCAAAGGTAAAGTCCTAAACAATTTACTGACTTCCAGTTCAATGTTCTAGCAGATAACATGGAAGTCCATTTTAAAAGAGGAGGAGTTTACAGAAACTAGAAATTACCTTCCTTAGAGAGATCCATTTGCTTGAAAACCTTTGGGTAAAAGCTACTGGGAGGTTAAGAATAACTGTTTCTATAACTGAGTCCTTTTGACAGAAGACTGAGACACAGCCAAGCTACTCTGATGAGGTCGTAATTTTGAGAAACACAGTTATATTCCACAGAGATAATAAATAAAAGCTGTCACTGTCCATAAATGCTGAGTCTACAGACGAGGTACACCTTTCTTATACAAACTGAGATTTAATTTTAGCAACAAAAGCTTTTCAAACTGCAGTTCTATTTTTTTAGCACACCTACACCACTCAGACTAATTAAACTATACATTAACGAAAGAACAGAAGATATACCCCAAAATGCTAATATTTAAACCCACTTTCTGCCAAACGCTGAATGTCTATCCAAAATGCTGAGTGATTTAAAAATATTATTCCCAGGCCGGGCATTACGCCTGTAATCCCAGCACTTTGGGAGGCCAAGGTGGGTGGATCACCTGAGGTCGCGAGTTTGAGAACAGCTTGACCAACATGGAGAAACCCTGTCTCTACTAAAAATACAAAATTAGCCAGGTGTGGTGGCGCATGACTGTACTCCCAGCTACTCAAGAGGCTGAGGCAGGAGAATCGCTTGAACCTGAGAGGCAGAGGTTGCAGTGAGCCAAGATCCCACCATTGCCCTCCAGCCTGGGCAACGGGAGTGAAACTCCGTCTCAAAAAAAAAAAAAAGTTTACATATATTATTCTCTTTTTTTTGACTAGTGCAACTCATATTAACATACAGCAACATGCTTCATAGCCACCTCAATACTACTCTGGAAAGAATTCATGTTTGAAAAAAAACAGAGGCTCCAAATGGTAAGGCTGTCTGAGGTCATCTGCAAATTAGCAGGCACCAGAAATAGAATTTGTTTTCTCTTAATCCAGACCTTTAAGCTTTTCCAATAGAGGGCAGCTATGCAGTATCCCAACCACTACAGAATGTGCCTTCCAACACTAAAAGAAAGATCACGGTCCTAATATAAACCATAAGCAAAGCAGCGCCTAAAAATCGTAGTGTCATTTCTTCCATCTTCAGGTATCAGTTTGGCAGGTTCCCCAGCATGATCAAAGCATCTTTCAAGCAAATCAATACTTTCCTTCCCTTGTTCTCTTTCACTGAAGAATGACACCTTACCCTGCAAGAGCTAAACTTTACCCAGGCTCCATAATGGTTATGAAATAGGCCTCAGAAAAGGCACAGCAGCCACAATGCTGCCCAATATAAGGGCCAGCATGAAATAGCAGGGGAAGAAAAACCAAATTGGTCCTCACAAGGTTCTTAAGTAGTCCAATGAAAATTCCAAAGAAGAAAATTTCAGTTCCAGCTGAGGGGTGAAGGAAGTGGTATCAGAGAAATGGGCAATATGTGTGGTAAATATTTACCGAGAGTCTATTACACGCTCTTCTGGGCGTTGAGGACATAGCAGTGAAGAAGAACAAAAAAAGCAGGGAAAACATTGCTGGCACAGGGAACAATAAATGACAAAGATGTTTAACTTGGGAAGGGGGGGTGGTGGGTAGAATGGGAGAATGTAAGATGGAGGTGTGGTGGTCTGGTAATAGCTTTGGAGTCAGGCAGTCTTCGGTTTGAAACCTCACTCTACCACTTAGCTAGCTCTGGGTTGGACTTCTGAGTCATCTTAAAATAAAAGGTGCCTTCACGGCATTGTGAGAATTGAATGAGGTTAACACATGTAAAGCACTTCACCAGCGTCTGGGCTATAATAAGCAGTCTGTAAATGAGAACTGTATCTCCTTTTGTATGTCATCTTGTTGTTCTCAAAGCCTAGTACAGTCCCTATAATCTCCTGGAGGATTGGGGCATGCCGACAGACCAAATCAACCCATGAAAAAATAAACAGATGTAGAGAGAAAGAGGGCAGAAACTGCAGGGAGGTGGCTGGGCGCAACATAAAACAGACATCCTAACAGTAACACAACGGACTTCCTAAGAAGAGCACAAGAGGAGAACATGAGTGATAGGGACCTCTACATTCAAGGGCCTCAAGGAAGGAAGCACAAGTGGGAAGAAGGGAGGAATGAAAAGAGACCTGGGTGAGGAGATGGGAGGCTCTCCTTTTGGAGAAGTCCCCTCAGATCACCAGGCCATGAGCCATTTGAACATAACCACCTCCTGTCTCTATGTGGACTACCAATCAATGGTAAAAGAACAGTCTCTTCAACAAATGTGCCCAAACAACTGAATTTCTACATGCATGAATTTCTACATACATGAATGAAGTTGGGGCCACGTGTGGTGGCTAACGCCTGTAATCCTAGCACTTTGGGAGGCCAAGGCAGGCAGATCACTTGAGGTCAGGAGTTTGAGACCAGCCGGGCCAACAGGGCAAAACCCCATCTCTACTAAAAATACAAAAAAATTAGCCAGGCATGATGGCGCATGCCTGTAATCCCAGCTACTAGGGAGGCTGAGGCAGGAGAATCGCTTGAACCCAGCAGGCGGAGGTTGCAGTGAGCCAAGATCGCACCATTGCACTCCAGCCTGGGCAACAAAGCAAGACTCTGTCTATTAAAAGAAAGGAATGAAGTTGGCCTCTTACTGCACTCCATTATAAAAATTAACTCCAAATGAATCCATGACCTACATATAGGAATTAAAACCATAAAACTCTTACAAAAAAACATAGGGGTAATCTTCATGACCTTAGAGTTGACAATGGATTCTTTGATTTCACACCAAAACAAAAATAAATATATTGGACTTCATCAAAATTTAAAACTTTTGCGCATCAAAGAAAATTATCAAGAAAGTAAAAAGACAACCTATTGAATGAGTGAAAATATTTGCAAATTATATATCTGATAATAAGTTAATATTCAGAATATATAAAGAACTTTTACAACTCAATAAAAATAACTCAATTAGAAAATAAAATGTGGCATACACATACAATGGGTTATTATTCAGCCATAAGAAGGAATAAAATTCTGATACATGTTACAGTGTGGATGAACCCTGAAAACATTATGCTGAGTAAAAGAAAGCAGATACAACAGGACAAGTATTATATGACTCCATTTATATGAAATATCTAGCATAAGCAAATTCAAAGAGACAGAAAGTAGATTAGAGGTCACCAGAGTCTAGGGAGAGGAGGGAATGGGAAGTTATTGGTTAGTGAGTACACAATTTCCATTTAGGATAAAGAAAAAGTTCTGGAAATAGCGGTGATGGTAGCAAAACACTGTGAATGTAATTAATGCTACCAAACTGTACACTTACAAATGATTTAAATGGCAATATTCACAATATATAGTACTACAATTTTTAAAAATTTATTTTAATCCATATATTATTCTTAAGTAATTTTTGGTATGTGCTAAAATCTAGAGAAAACTACAATAATAATAATATAATACATCTGAAGACTTCTTTTGTTAATGTGTTATCATATACTGTATTTTCTTAAATGTAATACAACTTTTTTTAGACTCAATATTCCTAGGTAAGCAGAAAAGAAAATATTTTTGTGATGTAGAAATACTACTATGCCTGAAATAAAAGGTTCTCATTATTCCTGAGGGAAAAGAGTCACCTCAAAAAAATACACTCAAAAATGCTGACATTTAAAAACTTACCTCAAATTTAAACCACTCCGAGTTCCACTGAGGGTTGAGTGACTTAAGGTACACATCTGTTTTAAAGGTGGTATTACCAAATTTTACCTAAAAACAAATAAGAAATTATTCACATATGAATATCAAAAATGTGAATAAAAGTAAATTTTAATGTCAGCCAACCAATAGAAGGATAAACCATAAAGGGGACAAAAGACTATTATCCTCTGGGACAAAGGGAAGAAGGTACAGATGGATCCAGGTAAGATTGTAGACTAATAATAATACCCACAACAAGCAATCACCCATTGCTCTGCTTGACCAGCTCCACACATCACAAAGAACTAACTTCCTCCGTTTCTAAAGAGCATATAGAGAGCAATAAAAGATCAACAACCCAATAGAAAAAATAGGCAAAGGATATGATCAGGTAAGTCACAGAAATGGAAATACAGCTGTCTTTAACCACATCAAAAGATGATCAACCTCATTCATACTAAGAGAAATGCAAACTAAAATATTTTTACTTATCAGGCTGGCAAAGACCAAAAGATTTGAAAACAGAATTGGTGCGGTACTGTCATGCTTTGCTGGTAGGAGTTGTAGAACAATCTCTACAGAGACTTTGAAAACACATCAAAATTTTAAATGCCTTAAATCCCTTTTAAGCTAGCAATTCTACTTCTTAGAATTTATCCCACAGAGGTACACAATGGCATATATCAGCAGCATTACTGTAGCAAAAGCTTGGAAACAAGTTAAATATCTGTCAATATGGAACTAATTAAATTTATGGTAAAGCAACACAATGTAGCACTAAATAGAATAAAGCAGTTCTCCATGCACTGGTAAGGAACAACTTCCAAGATACATCTTTCTACTGCAGATATATGGCATTCTTCAGCACAAAAAAAAAAAAGACAGAATTCATATAATAGTTATATGTCTGTATATGCGCACATTATTTCTAGAAGTATATACAAGAAATAGTAACAATGGCCACTACAAACAGCAGAAGAGGTTGGTTAAAGGAGAGGCTGTGAAAGAGAAGCTGACTCACTTTGTACCTTTTGAATTTTGAACCATGCATAATACTACCTATTTTAAATGCATTATTTTAAAATTCAAAAACATCAAAAATTAAAATAAAAATGGCAATAACTTTATTTTCATTCAAATTACAGAATCCTAGGTTTGCTACCAGGAATTTAACCTACAGAAGTACTTTCACATAAGCCCTCCCCACCAAAAATATAGTCATTCAGCAGGAAAGTGACTGAACAAATCATGTGCCCTATAAATAATGGAGTCGACTATATGTACTGTCACTAGAAGATATTACACAATAACTGAAAAAACAAGTAGCAGAATATATAAAGTATGATTATATTTGTTTCTAAAAATGTGATATAGATATACAAGTATTTGTTAAGAGGATGAAGAATAGATTAACATAAGCCAAAGAACTGACAGCAATTATCTCTGAAGAAGGGACTGATAGGGTGTAGGAAATAGAGTACAGTGGTGTAAGAAGAAAGTAAGGGGTTTTCGAGTTATATTTGAGTGTTTCAATCTTTTTTAATGGGGAGCATTCAAGTATTACTTGCATAATTTTTTTAATCACAATGATAAAGAAATGAAACTTAATGAGGAAAAAGGAAGAATAGAGGTTCTTGTTTAATTACTAATTTAATTTTCATTCCATTTAAATATTCAAGGCATGATGGAAATACTTATTGTTTAATTTATCTAAAGCTGCTTTATATGAAGTAAAATACTGTTAGGATTTATAAAAACATTCAAAATCATTCAAAAGCAATATACTTAAGGGTTTTGGCTCAACTGCCAAAAGTAGTACATGATTTTTTAAGTGACAAGTTTAGAGCACTCTACAGTTTTGTCCCACTATAACAGTTGTGCTATACTGTGCCTTTTTGTTGTTGTGCAACTGTTCATTCTAAATAAAGATCCGATAGTCCACAAACTGCTTTAAACAAACAAAAAAGACTTTAGAAAAAAGGAAAAGTCATCAGCCAGGCAGGGTGGTGCGTGCCTGGAGTCCCTGCTACTCAAGAAGCTAAGGCAAGAGGAGCTTGAAGCCAGGAGTTCAAGGCTGCTGCATTCAGGCCTGGGCAACAGAGCAAGACCCAGTCTTTCAAACAAGAAAACAAATAAAGGACAAGAAACAAAAAGAAAAAGGCTGGAGTGTGTATTTTGCCAACATTGGATGATTTCCACTCTAGTACAGAAGAATCTCGGTTCACTTAGTCTTAATTTAATTAAAAGGACATTTTATTACTCAGCAATTAAATGAATGCCTTATAACTCTGTTAAAGAACATCAGGGATTTTAATGGAGATTTCCCCCAGTAAAGTAAAGCATTCTCTTTACCTACTCATTAGCTAAATTACCTTGAGAAAGTTATTAACCTGTTATTTAAATTGGCTTCCTCCTCTGAAAAGTGGGATTGTAAGTGAGCATTACATGATATAACACATGTAGAGACCTAGCAAAATGTCTGCACATAGGAAATATTCATTAAATATTTACTTTCCTCTCCCTGTTCCCTCAAAGGTTCCTAGAAAAACACAAGATGACAATGTAGTTTAGCCAAACAATTGGTAACACACATTAACATTCAGATATATTTCCATTAATACTTCGCTTGTACAGAACCCCATCTTACTCTAGAGATTCCTGCAAGACTACTCGTCTTGAAGAATTATTTGGTCTTCACTGGGTCCCTACACTCCTGACGTCATATATAGTGGAAATTCTCTCAATCAATGCAACCAGGACCAATACTTGATCAGTTAATCAAATAACTTGGTTAAATTAGAGGATCACTAAAAATAATACAAACTGTAAACATTTTAAGATAAAACATATAAACAAACATTCATTCCTGTCTTTTAATGTAAGGCTAAGACCTCTTCTTTGTGTAAAAGTCAACTGTTTAGTCATCTTTTTTTGCATAAGCCACATTCATCTCTGATTTCCAGTTTGGGTTGCTTTAAAAAGTACGAACAAAGAATCCTCTATTTTTTACAGTCTTTTCTCCACCTAATTCAAGAGCTATTTTTAGTAACCATTTCCATGTCTTTACATTCACTCATTTATATAAGGTTTAAATAAAATATAGTAAGAAATACAGTTGACATAAGCAGATTTGGGAATAAACACAACTGCCTCTTGGTAAAGTATATCAGCCAACTGATGGGAAACTCCAGACACACTGGAGAGTAGTCTTACCCAGAGGAGTATTTACGAATACGCTTTATGGAAGGATGCAGAACGCTGAGGATTGCAATGAGTCACTTAACGGAGGTTGTTAAGACAGCTTCAACTGTATTGACCTCTCCTCCTAATTTTTGGACTACTCAGTAATCTGTATCCCCCTTTCCTAGCCAGATTTATTTCCCACTTCTATTCAACAAGAATCTTCCTTTCAATCACATATGAATGAAATTCATTCAATTGAAATACATTCAATTACATCAATACATACTCTGTTCTTTTGCTTTTATCAAGTTTGTCCTAGTCACCTGAAAATTTTTTCTTCCTTTTTCTCTCTGCCTTTGTAAATTTTACCATCCTCCAGGCCCAGGATAAAGGTTTCTCATGACAAGCCCACGCTTCATTATCTCCCTCTTCTATGAACTTAAGTCTGTATCAAGCATTTATCCCTTTATTATATTGTAATCCTTCATTATCCCCCTTTTCCTGCATTAATTTTTCCCCTTTCTACTGGATTATTCCTATTAGCACACAAATAGGTTCTGTATCTTTTCATTTATTTTTTAAGTACTAAAACTACTTCTCAAACACCACAGTATTTTTCCTCCCCCCTTCATAGCCATACATCTTGAAACAGTTGCCTATTCATACTCTTTCTACTTCCTCACTTCCCATGTACTTTCTCTTTAAATCACTACAGGATGGGATTCCACCCTCATCATGCCTCTTGTCACAACCCCCATGTTGTCCAATCCAATAATTTTTCTGTCTTCTTACTTGACCTCAGTGACATCTGACAATTGAGCTTCCTTCCTCTTTCTAGAAACTTCCTCTCTTGCCTTCTAAGACATTATGTTCCCCATTTTTCTCCCACCCACTGGCTCACAATCTCAGTTTCCTTCCTCTAGTCCTCCTCTTCTAATAAACCTCTTAATATCAAGTTTTTTCAAGGATTCATCCTGTTTCTCTCCCTTCCCCTAAGTCACAGGTTTGCAAAAAAGACAGAACCAACTCCTAAAGCTTTGCAAAAAAGACAGAACCAACTCCAACTCCTAAAGAAGCTTTAGACATTTCTAGCAGTGGTTTTGGGGAAAATAGTAATTGCATTAAGTGAGGAAGGGCCAGAGATGCCAGGTATTCTTCAATGCAAGAGAGTTCCCAACAATGAAGACTTTTACCATGTCATGATTTTCAAATGTGCCACTAGATAATCACATGGGTAAGAAACCTACCTAGAAGACCAGGTGTGGTGGCTCATGCCTGTAATCCCCGCACTTTGGGAGGCCAATGTGGGTGGATCACCTGAGGTCAGGTGTTCAAGACCAGTCTGGGCAACATGGTGAAACCCTGTCTCTACAAAAATACAAAAAATTAGCCAGGCATGGTGGTGCACTGGTAGTCCCAGCTACTCAGGAGGCTGAGGCAGGAGAATCGCTTGAACCTGAGAGGCAGAGTTTACAGTGAGCTGAGATCACGCCATTGCACTCCAACCTGGGCAACAAGAGCGAAGCTCCGTCTCAAAAAAAAAAAAAAAAAAGAGAAAAAAAACCCTACCTAGAACCTCAGTTTTACAGATAGAAGTATTACAATCGGGTTTCAATGTACATAATTGTCAAGAACTACAACCATCATGTAAATCAAGAGGCAACTCTGCTTTTTCCCATGAGTTGACTATTTTGAAAAATCAGATAACCAATGGCAATGAAGATCTGAGATGCCAAAACTACACAACTGTCTCACTCTGTTTGAGAAGCAGTCACATTCACGTGGTTTTAACATAGGCGAGGCACTCCCTATTCTGTGTCCCAGCTTTATTTTCTCCATATATTATTCTTAAGTAATTTTTGGTATATGCTAAAATCTAGAGAAAACTAGACCATCCAGCATACTGTATCTTTTACTTACTTACCTTATTTATGAACTCTCTCCTCCCACTAAAATGTAAGTTCCGTGAATGAAGTTTTTTTAAATTTATTGCTATATCCCCAGCATCCAGTACAGTGTCTAATACATACAAAGGCTGAATTCATTGATTCATCTGATTACTTCATGTTTTCTATTATGGTCATGAAAAAGTACTTCCATATTAAAATAATAACAACAGGCCAGGCGCGGTGGCTCACATCTGTAATCCCAGCACTTTGGGAGACCAAGGCAGGTGGATCACCTGAGGTCAGGAGTTCAAGACCAGCCTGGCCAACATGGCGAAACCCCGTCGCTACTAAAAATACAAAAATTAGCTGGGCGCGGAGGCAAGCACCTGTAATCCCAGCTACTCTGGAGGCTGAGGCAGGACAATCGCTTGAACCCAGGTGACGGAAGTTGCAGTGAGCCAAGATCGTGCCACTACACTCCAGCCTGGGTGAAAGAGCAAGACTCTATCTCAAAAAAATAATAATGATAACAACAAAAACAAATACTTCTATTTGTTATAGTTAAACCGTGGTACTGATTTTTTAATTGTAAGGATATATTAACTAAAAAATATCATGCCAGGATAGAAAGGGTAGATTCCAAAATACCAGCTATCTAAAGGGAGTCCTGGGTCTCACAGTTGAGAAACACTGGCTTGTGTGCTCATTTTTAACTCAGACCTCTTTTTTTTGAATGCCATAGTCATAAATCACTTCCTTAACATCTCCAATTAAAGACCCTAAAGACATCACAAACCTAACATGCTCAAATGGAAAATGATCCTCCTCAATCTTTACCATCCCCCTGGAGTATCAGAAAACCCAATACTTCAGAAAGCTAGGAGTCATCTTTTAATCTATCTTCAAAATATACCTGGAATTCATCCACTTGTCCGCATTACCAAATCCATCACCTTGGATAACATTACCTGTTATTTGAACTATTATAGAATCTCCTAACTGCCTGATTTCTACTCTTTCCCCTTCAATCCATTCTCCATATAACAGTGCTCATCTTAACAAGGGCTTCTCAATGAATTTAGGGTAAAATTCAAACTCTTAATCATGGCCTTAGTCCTTGCAAGACTGGTTCTTTGATTAACTCTCCAACTTTATCTTATACTACTCTTCCCTTCACTGACTACGTGCCAGCCACACGCATTTTCCTTCACTTCTTAAAACACACCAAATCTCTACATGAGATCTCCGGGTTACCTTCTGTCCACCCACTCCCCTACACACACAAATATGCTCCCTCAGCAGCAGGCTCCTTCTCATCCAGCAGATCTTGGTTTTGACAAACACTTTTCTCAGGGGCCTCCCCTGATTACTCAACCTAAAGTAGGTGTTCCCTGTTGTTCTCTTTCTATTGTTCCCTTTCATGGCACCCATCCCAACTTGTAACTATATATTTAATAATTTATTTACCTTTTAAACATCTGTCTCTCCCACTAAAATATAAGCTGAATTAAGAGAAGGAACCAAGTCTGTCTTATTCACCATGTATATACATCGGCTAGACCAGTAACTAGCCCAGAGCCTGGCAAACGGCAGACACTCAATTTGTTCAAAGAAGGAAGTAATAAGTAACCCCTGAATCAGCCCCCTTCCTCACCAGCAAAATCCACCTAGTTATCAAGGCCTGACTATTTTAACCTAAGAAATGTCCCACAAATCTTTCTGTTCAAATCCATTCCTATTCCCATTCCCACATATTACCTGGATAATTTTACCACCTTCTTAACTGATCTCCCTGCCACACTTCCCATCTGTCTAGTCCATCAATAGCATCCCCATTCAGGCCATCCTATAAAGAAACAAACTAATACAAACATGATCTTATTTTATTTCTGCTTAAAAAACTCCCCTGGCCAGGCGTGGTGGCTCAGGCCCATAATCCCAGCACTTTGGGAGGCCGAAGCGGGAGAGGCAGGAGGATGGCTTGAGGCCAGGAGTTGGAGGCTGCAGTGACCTGCATTCAGCTTCCTTGTCGCTCCTTATAAATATTACAGAAAATGAGGTTTTATAGAAAATGGGGCTTTCCAGCCTCATCCCTAACAAGCTCCACTACCCACATATCTCATACCCTTTCCTCCAGACACGTACTAAACTAAGGCAGTTTCCTGAACATACTATATATCCCAGTCTATGCCTTTGCCTTTGATGTTCCCTTTGCCTGGTAAAATCCTGGGTGTCCTTCAAGGCCCACTTCAAATGTCACTTTCACAAGAAGCCTTTCTCAACCTTCAGAGACAGAATTCTTTCCATATTCTAATACAATACTCATCACTTTGGTGAGGCCGTATTAGCAGAGTGGTTAAGAGAACAAACTGTCAGGCTGTGGAGGTTTGCAAGCTATGTAACCTTAAGCAAATTATTTACCCTTCCTGGGCCTCAGTTACATCCACTGTAACATGGGACAATAACAATACTCCTATAGCAGGACTGTTGTGAAAACTAAGAATTTAAAAGTACTTAGTACAGATCTGGCAATTATTAAATTCAACACGTTACCTATTAGTTATTAAATAGGCTGTGTGGGTCAATGTCTGAACTACCGGAAAGCAAACACTATGTTTTAGTTATTTGTGGATTCCTATCACCTAACATCTGGCACAAGAGCACTCAAGAACTTTCTCAAATGAAGTGATTAAGAATCACCATGACAATGGGCAGGGGAGGCAGTGAACTGTAATTATTCGGTTAGAGAACATTTAGGAAACATCAGGAATATTGAGATGAAATCGAGCTATATATTATGATATATCTATCCATCAATTCTAAGCACTAATAGCCCAAATGATTGCTGCTCTAATGCTCTGGCTCATCACGCCAATTTTTATTACAATCTTTACTTGGCTTCTTTCAGACTCTGGGTTATTACCTTCCGGCCGTAGGCCTTTACTAATTTGCATGACTTTTAAACTAATCATTAGACTTAAAAAGCAATTTTGCAATTTAAGTCCATGGCAATTAAATGACTTCCTACCTCAAGGCGCTAAATTACCCTGAAACACCTCATCAGACCTACCAGCCTATACAAGAGCAGGAAGTGTTGCAGTTGTGTTTTAGAACGTGCATGGCAGATTCACAAAATGTTAGGCATGAGAGTGGATTTCCTCGCACTGTGGGACTCCAAGTGCCCATAAAGGGCTTCATGCACCTTCTTAAACATGATGTCCAGCACTCTGGCCACCCCTTCCAAGGGTGTGTGTGTGCCTGTGTGTGTGTGTGTTTCAGTGGCTGCGGGGCCACACCTTGGGATCTCCTGAGTGGCAGGTGGCCTGTTAATGAGTCCTGACATCAGAGTCATTCCGGCATTTGTGTGTGTGTGTGTGTATGTGTGTGAGTGTGTCGGTGGCTGCGCGGCCACGCCTTGGGATCTCCTGAGTGGCAGGTGGCCTGTTAATGAGTCCTGACATCAGGGTCACCCCCGCATGCACAACAGTACAAGCCTCCCCGCGCAGCGGACTGTGCCGCGGACGCCTGCAAGCCGTGCACCCATCGCACACACTGAGGTCTCGGCGGTCATCCCTCGTGGGAGAGCTGGACAACCACGGCCGAAGGGAGGGCAGTCGAGGGGGGAATAGGCTGAGGGGCTGGGGGCGAGGTGGGTAGATCCTTCACAGGGCTTGGCGCTCCCTGTGTTTTGAGGGGCAGGACCCTGCACCAACCTCCACGAAGGCATCAGTCAGGTCACTAGCACGGTCCATCACTGGCAAATGGCGCCCGGCCACGATTTTCACCTTCAGCTTCCCTGGCATGGTCTCGGTTTCGGCCTCTTCTTGGGCTCCTGCAGAAACAAACAAACGAGTCTGCGCCGAGCGCGGGGCCGGCGGGAGAGGGGCGGAGGCGCGCGGGGTAACTGACAGCGAAGGAGCGCGCGGGGGCGCGCGCGGGCGCCCGGCAGTCGCGCCACGGGTCGCCACTCACTGTCGCAGGAGGAAGGGTGCTGTCCCGCGCGGGTGCTGAGACCTCATTCCGGAGAGGCGGCGGGAGGAAGGGCTTTGATGGGTTCTTCCGTCCCGGCCCCACAAGGCTGGGACGAAAAGCAAAACCCAGTCAGCATCCCGTTGAGCCTCTGCCGCCCCTGCTTGTCTCTCCTCCCCCGCTCTCAAAAATGGCGGCTCTCGGGGCGCGGAAGAAAGCATCGATCGTTCGGCGCTCTGCCCACTTGGCGGGGCGAAACTAAACTCGCCGAGGAAAGATAAGGGGGCGGGGCTGACGTTGAGAAAGCTGGAGGGCAGGGAAATGGGCCGAGTCCTGCATCATCCACCGAGTGGGGGCTGTGGATAGGTGCGGCGCTGCTTCCCTGGAGGGAAACGCTCCATCTTGCGGGCCGAAGCGCGAGTGCTGCTCTGTGACAGCCTCCGGCCGCGGCCTTCCCAGCTGCTACCGCCGCTTTTCGGATGGGCTGTGATAGATGGAGTAGCAGCGAAGACTGCTAGAAGAGCGTTTTCAGTCGGCCTTTAGTGATTCGTAAAACCAAATTAGCTGGTTTCTACTTGGAAGGGGTACAGGTGCGTGTGGTGGTTCCAGTTTTCTGTGAAATAGAGTTAGATGGCCAGGCACAGTGGCTCACGTCTGTAATCCCAGCACTTTGGGTGGCCGAGGCGGGCGGATCACCTGAGGTCAGGAGTTCAAGACCAGCCTGGACAACATGGCGAAACCCCGTCTCTACTAAAAATACAAAAATTAGCTGGGCGTCGTGGCGAGCGCCTCTAATTCCAGCTACTCAGGAGGCTGAGGCAGGAAAATCGCTTGAACCTGCGAGGCGGAGGTTGCAGTGAGCCGAGATCACTCCTCTGTCTCCAAAAAAAGAAAAAAAAGAAAGAAAGAAATAGAGATACCAGGCACATCTCGAATAGTGAAATAAATATTTAGTGAAATATTTTATTCAGTCATAGGCACTTGTGTTGTGCACTGGGTCACAGATATTACTGTGGGCGGGGTGGGGGAGGTCACCTTGAAATCCAAAGTCTCCTCTTGAAAAAAAGTTTCTGCTGGTAGGTGTGGTGGCTCAGATTTGTAATCCCAGCACTGTGGGAGGCTGAGGTGGGAGGATCGATTGAGTCCAGGAGTTCGAGACCAGCCTCATGGAGACGAGGCAACACAGTAAGACCCCTTCTTTACAAGAAATGCAAAAATTAGCTGGGCCGGTGGCTCGTCTGTGGTCTCAGCTACCTAGGAAGCTGAGGTGGGAGAATCTGGGAGAATTGCTTGAGCCCAGGAGTTTGAGGCTGCAGTGAGCTGCCATCTCACCACTGCACCCCAACCTGGGCAACAGAGCAAAACTCTGTCTCTTAAAAAAAATTTTTTTTTAATTAAATGTCCTGCACTCTTAGATCATCTCAGTGTTCTTATTAAGCATCCACAAGCCTAAAGATAAGACCTACAGTAGTAGCAGAAGTTCAGGACTTCCTACCATGGAAAGTATAGTCAACCACAAGAAATAAACATGGAGAGCGTTAAACATCTTGAAGAATTGACCCAACTATAAATAAAGTAAGGTGTTATCTACAGGCTCAGACCATATTAGGGAAATTGAGGCACACACAAGATGTAAATAAATCAGTCCTTACCAAATATCAAAATCAGCATTGACAGTATACCCAGTATCAACAAAATCAGAGTTCATGCCGGCTCAAAGATTGTAACATTTCATTCCTAAGTGAAGATATCCGTATGATCTTTTTAACTTCGAAAATACTCAATAGAGTAAATACTCCAAACAGTAGTGATCCCGAATTATCTTTTCATGACAAAAATTCCTTCTATGGCAGGAATATTGTTCACATAAGTGAGAAATTGAACTCCTACAGAGAAAACGACTTCCTCAAAATAAAAATCTAAAAAAATCGCTTGCTTTTTGGACTAGAGAAACTTTTATCAATTCAAACTATGTCAAAGGAATAGGGGTCATAGATCCCATGCGAATTTCCTTAGGTCCACCTGCAGCTTTTTCTGGAGTCTGACTCTGCCCTTAAAATACCCTTGCCAGAATTCTGAAGGTTGGCTACACTATGTGATCAACGTTTTTTATTTATTTATTTATTTAGAGACAGGGACTCACTCTGTGTCCCACACTGGAGTGCAGTGACATGATCATAGCTCACTACAGCCTCAATCTTCTGGGCCAAGCGATCCTCCCACCTCAGCCCCCCAAGTTCCTGGGACTACAAGCACATACCACCATGCACCGCTAGTTTTTTAAATTTTTTGAAGAGATGGAGTCTCCCTGTATTGCCCAGGCTGGTCTCAATCCTGGTTTAAGCCATCCTCCTGCCTTGACCTCACAAAGTGGTGGGATTACAGGCATGAGCCATCTTGCCCGGCATGATCAGTGTTTTTTGTTGTTTTGGGTGGTAGAGTTGAAGTCGTTTTTGTGGTGAAATCGAAGTATTACCGTATTACCAACTCATTTTTTAAAATATGAAATGTATAAAGAAAAAATATTAGAAAATTGAAGTTTAGCACCAATATTAATGGAAAATAATGCATTGTGTTCCAAAATGTAAAAAGTTGCAAATTGCACAATTAGAGGTTAGCAATCTCAGCCTCCTAATTAGTAGACTTTGAGGTACTTGTACGTACTTGTTGCCTTAGGCTTCATCAACAAGAGATTATAATTAAGATGCTTCCTGAAAACTATTTTTAGTAGATTTAAGCCTGACTTCAGTTGAACTGTTTCCTAATAATTGTTCTCGTTTGTTTTCATTAATGCTGGGAACAGTGCTAACTTTCTGACAAATCTACCATGATGTGACTCCTGATTACCTTGTTTAGCTTCATACCCTGACACTCTTTTTGCATTTTAAATTATCAATAACAAGAATTAACGTGTATTGATGGTTTGCCGCACACCAGCTACTGAATTCAGCGTTTCACAGCTGTTAAGGCTCCCTAAAATCCTGAGGTAGGAATTATCAGCCTTCATTTTATAAATGAGAAAATTATGGCTTTTCAAAGCTCTGGTGATTACCCAAGGTCACAAAGCTTCTAATGATAGAGGCAGGTTTTAAATCTAGACAATGTGATTCCAAGAACTCACGTCTTTGAAGATTACATGTAGTTTTCTAATAAACTATACTTTTCCTTCTTCCTGGAGTATCTCTCTCATAGTCATCCTACCAAATAGCTATGAATTCATAACTCAGTTCAAAAGTCAATACTCTGGTTTCTCTTTAGAGTGTATAAATCTTTTGCCTTTTACAAAAGTCACTTCTACATCTTCTCTAATCTCCTTCCTAATAAATATGCTCTTCACTCCCACCTATGCTACTACTAAATCTAATACATTTGTTATTATACTTTCCATGCAATAATTATTTATCCATCTCTCTCCCCCCCAACCCCCACTAAACCATGAGCACTCTGAGGGAATGGATTGCTTCTCACTCATCTCTCAATTCTCAGTTCTTTGTCCTGTGCCCTTCATGTGATCAACAAATTATTGTGGAATTAAATTAACAGTTAACACTTGCTATTACTACTTAGATTGCTCTTCTTTCCTGGCTTCCTAAAATGTTCCTGTTAATCTTTCCCATTCTTTCAGGTTAAATTACTCAAGGGTTGTCAGTACTTGGTGCCCTCTCCTCACTTCCTAAGCGCTCCAAAAACTATTAATATCTGGGTTTAGCCACCACCACTCTACAAAAACAGCTTTCACTAATGCCATCAATAACCTCTGGTTGCTAAATGCAATGAACACTTTTTTTAGTTTTAAGTTTTTATTTTTGAGATGGGGTCTTGCTGTGTTGCCCAGACTGGTCTCAAACCCTTGGGTTCATGCAGTCCTTCTGCCTCAGGCTCCCAAGTTGCTGAGACTACAGGCACGTGCCACCATGCCTGGCTTCAGTTTTTTATTTACGTGACTCTCAGTAGCATTTGATGCTGTTGACCACGCTGTCCTTAAAATAATCTTCCTCTTGGTATTCAGAAACCAAGCTTCTCTTACCTATTCTGGTTTATACATCTGTCTTCTCAGCCTACTCATTGTCCTTAACTATTAAATATGTGTTTTTCTCAGGTTCAGTTTTTGTCTCTATTCTCTTCCAACTGTACTGTCTCCCTAGGTGATCTCATCCAAGCTCACAATTTTAATTTCCATCTGTTTAGTCAGGGACTCTCAAATCGTTATCTTTAGTCTGTAACTCGCTTCTGGGATCTTGACCCATATATGCAACTGCCAAGTTACTATTTCCATTTGGAGTATCAAAGTGACCTCAAAAGTCAAGATGTCCAAAAGTGACCTCAAAAGTCAAGATGTCCAAAACTGACCTGATTTTCTTTACCTTTCCCATAACTACAACAACGAGAATGACAACAACAACAACAAAAGACCTGGTAGTCTTCTACTAAACAGCAATGCCAACTACATAGTCAATTGCTCAAGCCAGAAACTCACTGATTTAAGTTTGAAAGTGGGCTGGGATTACAAGTATAATTATACAAATGACAACTTGGGCTCAGTTCAGTTACTTTTGCTTTGATTTTTTTTTTTCCTTTGGGCCAGGGTCCCACTCTGTTACCCAGGCTACAGTGCGGTGGCAAGATCACAGTTCACCACAGCCTCAACCTCCCAGGCTCAGGTGATCCTCCAACCTTAGCCTCCTGAATAGCTGGGACTGCAGGCGCACACCACCACATCTGGCTAATTTTTATATTTTAGTAGAGATGAGGTCTCCCCATGTTGCCCAGGCTGATCTCGAACTCTTGGGCTCAAGTGATCTGCCTGCCTCATCCTCCCAAAGTGCTAGGATTGCAGGTGTGAGCCACCATGTGGCTCACTTTTGCTTTGATTAAGGAGTAAAAATGAGATAAGTAGGCATCTAGGTAAACTCATCATCTTATTAGTTCCCTTGTATCTTAATGTACCATGGGCATAAGGTACCATACCATACTTAATGTACCATGGGCATAAGGACTGCATCAAGTAAAATATTCTCTAAATTGGAAGATTATTGCAGTGGAACACATTGCTTTTTTTGGGAGTTTTGCTCTTGTTGCCCAGGCTGGAGTGCAATGGTGTGATCTCTGCTCACTGCCGCCTCCGCCTCCCAGGTTCAAGTGATTGTCCTGACTCAGCCTCTCGAGTAGCTGGGATTACAGGCACCTGCCACCACACCCAGCTTATTTTTGTATTTTTAGTAGAGATGGGGGTTTCACCATGTTGGTCAAGCTGATCTCGAACTCCTGACCTCAGGTGATCCACCCAGCTTGGCCTCCCAAAGTGCTGGGATTACAGGTGTGAGCCACCACAGCCAGCCCACACTGCTTTTTATCAGTGCCTATCAATGCACTCAATGAGTCATGGTACTGAGATATAAATAGGCAGACACTTCCTTATTGTGTTAGCACCAGGACAAGTTCCCCTTATTCATGCTGGTACTGCAAAGCCTGCAGGTTTTCCATTTGTGTCTACATAAGGGCTTTGTGGAAACTCTAGTCTGAACTGACCCTTGCCTTTGATTCTTCCTCAACCCTGACCAAATTAATCACCAATTCCCTTTTTTTGTTTATTTGTTTGTTTGTTTGAGACAGAGTCTCGCTTGGTCGCCCAGGCTGGAGTGCAGTGGCAAGCAATCTCAGGTCACTGCAACCTCCGTCTCCTGGGTTCAAGTGATTCTCCTGCCTCAGCCTCCCGAGTAGCTGGGATTACGGGCGTGTACCACCATGCCCAGCTAATTTTTGTATTTTTAGTGGAGATGGGGTTTCACCATATTGGCCAGGCTGGTCTTGAACTCCTGACCGCAGGTGATCCACCCACCTAGGCCTCCCAAAGTGCTAGGATTACAGGCATGAGCCACTGCGCCCAGCCCCTATTGTTTATAATTCCTACAGATCTGTCGAATTCATCTATTTTCCACCATTATCTATCACCTGGAAGACTGGATCACTCTTGCTCTTCTCTAATCCTTTCAGCACAAAGTGACCCAAGTCAGCTTTTTATATAGCAAATTTGTCCCTCTGTTTTAGGAGAATTTTTTAGGAAAGATCAGACCTTTATATTAGTCTTATTAGAATAAGACCTTATTCTTGTCAGACCTTTTTGTTATAAAAAAATGTTTTATGTGTTCAGAACTTCAAGAGACAGTTCGGTCAGCTGTGGATTTTTTTTATTTTATTTTTGCTTTGTTGGGTTTGTTTAAAATTAAACTCTAGGCTGGGTGCGGTGGCTCACTCCTGTAATCCCAGTACTTTGGGAGTCCACAGCAGGTGGATTGCTTGAGATGAGGGGTTTGAGACCATCTTGACCAACATGGTGAAACCCTGTCTTTACTGAAAATACAAAAATTAGCCAGGCATGGGGGTAGGCGCCTGTAATCCCAGCTACTTGGGAGGTTGAGGCATTAGAATCATTTGAGCTCAGGAGGTAGAGGCTGCAGTTAGCTGAGATTGTGCCACTGCACTCCAGCCTGGGCAACAGAGTGAGACTGTCTCAAAAAAATTAAAAATAAAATTAAAATTAAACTCTATGGCTTCTCCACCTTGTATTAGCTTGTCACCTAGTGCTAGATCGTTCCATTTTAATTTAACATTATCTACAAACTTAAGGAGGTCCCAGTTCACCTCAGTTCATGGGATCCAGGTTCTACTCCTGACTCTTAAAAATTTTAACCCCAAAATTTTAATCCAACACTACATATTTTCTTTTATTCACACCCCTTTCCCTTTGCCAATTAGATGGCATTAATAATCAGAGTTTTTATAGTCCTATAAGCCATTATGTTCACAGAGGCACTATCTGTAACATTAATTAGATTAATTAAATTGACAGGTAATTTCCCAACCCACTTGTTAACTTCCAGTCTTTCCCTGTTGTTAGAGGAGCAATCTGATAACATATCCAATGTACCTTGAAAAGTAAAGCTAGATTTATTTGCTAAATCTGTAAAGACTAGGATACCGTGGCTCTCCAGCTGAACTCGCTATGCACTAGTGTTATTTAAAGGAGTGCTGACAAGTGGGCAGTTACAAATTACTGCAATTGATGGGAAGAGCAAAAGTGAGCTGAGTCCATGACTAGTGTCCGTATACAGCCCACGCGATATGGCACCTATCCAGTTTGTTCCAGACAGCTGCATAAGAGAATTCTAAACTTGCTATAGGTTGTGTTGCTTCCCACAGAGGGAGTAGCTTCTTCACACATTACAGGTACCATCATACAGGCAGCTACTGCAGTTCAGATGAGGTGAAGTTGAAATTTTAACCTTAAGTAGCAATACTTATGGGAAACATATTAGAATGAGATAAGTCAATACAGGTCTTCTAATACTAAAGCTATTGGGGCTTTAGTATGTTTAATACTAAAGATTCATACCCTGGGACTTTAGTCATTACTTCTACCCCTTGTGGTTTGGTTACCAGGTCATCAATGTCTTGATTCCTATTTGAGCAAATAAACCTACCATCCCTAGCTAAGGGAGGTTTGCTCAAACATCCCCTGACACATTCTACCTAGCTTGAAACTCTTCAGTGGTTGTCTACTGCTATTAAGATAAAAACCAAAATTTCCAGGGTAGACCACAAGACTCTATGATCTGGTCCCTACCTACTTTACTATATTTATTTCACATGACTCTCCAACTGCCCTATTCCAACTACACTGGTCTTAATTTCAATTGCATAAAAACCATATTCCATTTCTTAATCATTGACGTTGGGATAACTGGATAGCTAGATGAAAAAATGAAAAATTGCATGTGTTCCTCATAATATTTGGAACTTATACCACAGAAAAAAGAATTAATATATAAAGGACTGATATAAAGAGCTTCTAAAAGAGCTAAAAATCCTTTTGAAAAATAGACAAGAACTAAAAACAGATGAGTCACAGAAAAAGAAAGTCAAATGGTCCTTTACCATGTAAACAGATGCCATAATAAAAGAGATGCAAATTTATATTATAATGTAAATTTTTTGCATATTAGTTACAAATCCAAATGTTTGACAACGTACTCTATTGAAACGGCTGTGGATAAATACACACCCTCATATATTTCAGCCCAGCATGCAAAATGATACAACCCCTATAGAGGAGAATTTGCCAATATCTAGCACAATTAGGTATGGATTTGTGCTTGACCCAATAATTCTACTCCCAGGAATCTATCCCAAAGAAACACCAGCAAAAACACAAAAAGTTGTGTGCACAGGGATATTAATGGCAGTACTCTTTGACATAACGAAAAGGCTAGGAACAATGCATATGACTACCATAAAAAGATTGGTTGAATAAACTGTGATTTTGCATATTTGAATAATATTCAGCCATAAAATAAATATCTACATATGACTGTGGTGTAATCGCCAGGGTTTACTAGGTAAACATTAAAAAACAAGCATGTTTTGGAAAAAAAAGCATCTTTTATCTAAGAAAGGAGTGCAAATATAATACAGAGAAATCTATTTGTATATATTATTTTTAAATGGAGGATAAACAAAAATGGTTACCTATGGGGGGAAGAGAGGACAGAGTGAGTAAAAAAGTAATGAAGCTAAACTTTTCTGAATGTACCTTGTTTGATAGTATCAGCTTTGGAGGCATGTAAGTGATTTATATCATTTGATATGGTTTGGATTTGTGTCCCTGCCCAAATCTCATGATGAATTGTAATCCCCGGTATTGGAGGAGGGATCTGGTGAGAGGTGATCGGATCATGGGGGCAGCTTTCCCCCTTGCTGATCTCATGATAGTGATTTCTCATGAGATCTGGTTGTTTAAAAGCGTGTGGCACCCCCACCCCTTATCGCTGTCTTTCTCCTTCCTGATCATGTGAGGCGTGCCTCCTTTCTCTTTGCCTTCTGCCATGATTGCAAGTTTCCCCAGCCATGCTTCCTGTACAGCCTGCATAACCATGAGCCAACTAAACCTCTTTATAAATTACCTAGGCTCAGATAGTTCTTTATAGCAATGCAAGAACAGACTAATACATCTTTATAAAGTAAAATAAACCAAAATAAAATTTTAATTGAAAACAAAATGAAATAACAAGGTAGAGATATGGAAAATTAACCACACAGAAAAGAAGTATTTTAAGTTCTTTTACAATATAGGAATTTATCTAAACATCCCTAGTGGGAAATGGCCTAAGGACAAAAGTAACTACAAAAAAAATCTTAAACTATTTTGTGATCATATTGCTAGTAATAATACCAGTATTATATATCTGTAATTATATATATATGTATGTATGTTTACGTATAGAGAAAGAGTGTTCACACAATTATTTCAATCTCTTCAGGAACCAAGATTTTCAGGGTTGGAAAAAAAGAGATACCATATAAAAATTAAATGAATATAGTCATCCTAATTTATAGTTAGAAATAACCTTATGAATAGTATGAATTTATAATATATTTTCTCTTTTCTTTTTCTTTTTTTTCCTTTTGAGGCCGGTCTTGCCATGTCACCCAGGCTGGAGTGCAGTAGCGCAGTGATGCAATCACAGCTCACTGCAGCCTCAACCTTCTGGGTTCAAGTGATCCTCCCAGCTCAGCCTCCCAAGTAGCTGGAACAACAGACACACACCACCACACCCAGCTAACTTAAAAAAAAATTTTTTTATAGAGATGGGGTCCTACCATGTTGCCCAGGCTGGTATGGAATTCCTGGGCTCAAGCAATCCTCCTGCCTTGGCATCCCAAAGTGCTGGGATTACAGGCATGATGTTTTATTTATTTATTTATTTAAGTTTTTTTCTAACTGTATTCATGGAAATGTCTTATAAATATTTACCAAGCAGTAACAATGAATTCACCCAGTGCTGAGATTGTGGCCTTTACTCTAAATGCTATTTCCTACTTAAAAGAACCAAGACATGTCTATAGAGAAAAGGCTAATAGGAAGACAAATCAAGATGAGTTGATCATACTGGAAAGCAAGAAATCTATCCAAGACTGATAGGATCACAACAAAGGAACACAGGAGCCAATAAAAGAGGCTCCCAGTAGCCAGAGATGGAGCGATTTGAGCATCAAGAAGATCAATACCTGCAATTAATTGGAACACATCAAATTTGCAATAATCCAGAGTTCATAATGATATTAACAACAACTACTACTACAGAAATTATCAGGGGAACCTGCCCCCAATATTTCAATGTAGGTTCTTTCTATTTTCTGTAGGTGTCAGCTGGCTGAGAAATAAAGAGAGACAGTACAAAGAGAGGAATTTTACAGCTGGGCTGCTGGGGTGACATCACATATTGGTAG
Source organism: Homo sapiens (assembly GCF_000001405.40). Lineage (NCBI taxonomy): Eukaryota > Metazoa > Chordata > Mammalia > Primates > Hominidae > Homo > Homo sapiens. Next base: position 22,554,604 of record NC_000012.12, read on the forward strand.
GACCATGATGCCCGCCTGAGCCTCAAAACCAGCAAGTTTTTATTAAGGATTTCAAAAGGGGAGGGGGTGTAAGAACAGGGAGTAGGTACAAAGATCACATGCTTCAAAGGGCAAAAAGCAGAACTACTAATAAGGGTCTAACAAAGATCACATGCTTCTGAGGGAACAGGACAAAGGGCAAAAGCAGAACTACTGATAAGGGTCCAACAAAGATCTCAAGGCAAAGGGCAAAAGCAGAACTACTGATAAGGGTCCAACAAACATCTCAAGGCAAAGGGCAAAAGCAGAACTACTGATAAGTATCTATGTTCAGCGGTGCATGTATTGTCTTGATAAACATCTTAAACAACAGAAAACAGGGTTCAAGAGCAGAGAACAGGTCTGACCACAAATTTACCACGGCGGAGTTTTTCTCCACCCTAGTAAGCCTGAGGGTACTGCAGGAGACCAGGGCATATCTCAGTCCTTATCTCAACTGCACAAGACAGACATTCCCATAGCGGCCATTTATAGACCTCCCCCCAGGAATGCATTCCTTTCCCAGGGTATTAATATTAATATTCCTTGCTAGGGAAATAATTTAGTGATATCTTCCCTACTTGCACGTCCACTTGTAGGCTCTCTGCAAGAAGAAAAATATGGCTCTTTTTGCCCGACCCCACAGGCAGTCAGACCTTATGGTGGGGTGACTTATGAAGACATTCCCTTGTTCCTTAAAAATTGCTGTTATTCTGTTCTTTTTCAAGGTGCACTGATTTCTTATTGTTCAAACACACATGTTTTACAATCAATTTGTACAGTTAACACAATTATCACAGTGGTCCTGAGGTGACATATATCCTCAGCTTACAAAGATAACAGGATTAAGAGACCAGCTCCAGCAGGTCCCTCCATTCAGGGTCCCTGACTTCCTGCAACAAGAAATGACCAACAGGCCAGGTACAGTGGGTCACACCTATAATCCCAGCACTTTGGGAGGCCGAGGCAGGTGGATCACGAGGTCAGGAGATTGAGACAATCCTGACTAACACGGTGAAACCCCATCTCTACTAAAAATACAAAAAAATTAGCCAAGCATGGTGGCAGGCGCCTGTAGTCCCAGCTACTCTGGAGGCTGAGGCAGGAGAATGGCGTGAACCCAGGAGGCAGAGCTTGCAGTGAGCTGAGATCACGCCACTGCACTCTAGCCTGGGCGACAGAGCGAGACTCCATCTCAAAAAAAAAGAAATGACCAACAAACTTATTGATTCTTTTGGAGAATGCTGGGAAACCAATATGTTATTCTAAAAACAGAAACAACAAAAAGAATGAATCAAGTGTTTATCTTGCCCTTCCTGGAAGAACTGCACCTCAGGGTAACCTAAGGGAATAGTTGATGCGAGAAAGTTTGTCTATAAGAAATATTGTAGTTAATAAATGAAGAAGAATTGGTAAAATTAAAATATCACCTGTCTGCAACTCATAATGAAATCTTGGGTCCAGGCAATGGTGATTAATTCTTGCTGACATCACAGAAAGAGAACCAACCTTATGTGTCTCCTGATTTGATGCAATAGTGCAAACAATACTTCCCATGACATATTCCTGCTTTAAATAAAATTGAAACTGAGTTGAATCAAACCTCATACCTATTTGCCAATTTTATAAAAAATACAGTAGACAGAGGAGCATGTTAAATAACAGCATTGGGATGCAATCAGGAAGATCTAAAATAAAGACAATTCTGTAAACAAATTCGTGTTTCTTCAACAAATACATTGCAAGAAAAATAAAGAACTGGAGAAATGTTTTATATTTTAAAAGATTTAAGACATAATTCAACCAAAGGCAATGTTTGAATCCTGATTGGATCCTTCTGTTAACAAACTGCAAGACCATTTCTGAGACAATCAGGGAAATTTTAATCTTACCTGGATATTTGATAATATTTATTGTTAAGTTTTTAGGCATAGCATCTGTGTTGTAAAGTGACAATTGTGGCCCCAGGAAGAGTACCTAAAAGCAGCCTCTAGTTGCTGAGAGAAATTCCTAGCTGATAGCCAGGAAGGAAATGGGACCTCAGTTCCACAACCACAAGGGACTGAATTGTGCTAACTGTACCACTGAACTTGGAAGCAGATTTTTTTCTCCAGAACCACCAGATAAAAACTCAGTCTGACTAACACCTGGTCTAAGCCTTGTAATACCCTGAGCAGATGACCCAGTAACACCATGCCAGACTATTAAAACAGTTGGTGAGGTATAGGATGGGAGAGAAACAGGTGATTCTGTAATGACTTCTCCCTTTGAGAATCAACATACTGAAATTACACTGTTAAATTAGGTGCTGTGGTCTGAACGTGTCCCCCCAAAAATCATATGTTGAAACCTAATCTCTGATGTGATAATATTAAGAGATGGGGCCATTGTGGTGTTGTGAGGATGGAACCCTCATGAATGGGATTAGTACCCCTATAAAAGAGGCCCCCAACAGCTGTCTTGCCCTTCCACCTCATGCGCACAGTGAGAAGGTGTCATTCTGTGAACCAGGAAGCAGGCCCTCACCAGACATCAAATCTGCCAGTGCCTTCAGCTTATACTTCCCAGCCTCCAGAACCATGAGAAATAAATATTTATCATTTATAAGTTACCCAGTTTATGATATTTTGTTATATCAGCTGAATGGACTAAGACATAGAGCATTACAAAGACTCACAACAAAAGGAAAATAGGAATAAAATGTCATGTGTTCCTGACTTGTGTTTGAGTCATATTCAACAGTAGCAAGCCAAGCACAGTCCCACTCAATTCACCACTGTCGTGAATAAAAACTTCTTGTAGCTGGCACATATGTCATTTCTAAGTATGTGTCTTACTATGTAAAAAATGTATAAGCCTATGTTAAACTTCAGATTTTCTTTTCTTCTTTTTCTTTTTTTTGAAACAGAGTCTCACTCTGTTGCCCAGGCTGGAGTGCAGTGGTGTGATCTCAGCTCACTGCAACCTCCGCCTCCCAGGTTCAAGCAATTCTCCTACCTCAGCCCCCCACCGAATAGCTGGGATTACAGGCGTGCACCACCACACCCAGCTAATTTTTGTATTTTTAGTAGAGACAGGGTGTCACCACGTTGGCCAGGCTGGTCTTGAACTCCTGACCACAGGTAATCCACCTCGGCCTCCTAAAGTGCTGGGATTACAGGCCTGAGTCACCGTGCCCGGCCCAGCATTTCTTAATTACTTTACCCTCTCTTGTTTTATTGCTTCATTTGCTTCTCTGAAGAAAGCAGGTTTCTCATTATCGTCAAGGTAACTGCTTCCCCCTGCAGTGTTTATGGGATACTTAGAAAAAAGCCCACTCTCTTTCCTTTATATTTTTATTCTACCTCAGCGCCTCCCCGAATAGCTGGGATTACAGGCGGGCACCACCACACCCAGCTAATTTTTGCATTTTTAGTAGAGACAGGGTGTCACCACGTTGGCCAGGCTGGTCTTGAACTCCTGACCACAGGTAATCTGCCTTGGCCTCCGAAAGTGCTGGGATTACAGGCGTGAGCCACCGTGTCTGGCCCAGCATTTCTTAATTATTTTACCCTCTCTTGTTTTATTGCTTCATTTGCTTCTCTGAAGAAAGCAGGTTTCTCATTATCGTCAAGGAAACTGCTTCCCCCTGCAGTGTTCATGGGATACTTAGAAAAAAGCCCACTCTCTGTCCTTTATATTTTTATTCTACCTCAGCGCCCCCCCCCCCCCCCCGAATAGCTGGGATTACAGGTGTGCACTACCACACCCAGCTAATTTTTGTATTTTTAGTAGAGACAGGGTGTCACCACGTTGGCCAGGCTGCTCTTGAACTCCTGACCGCAGGTAATCCTCCTCGGCCTCCTAAAGTGCTGGGATTACGGGCGTGAGCCACCGTGCCCGGCCCAGCATTTCTTAATTACTTTACCCTCTCTTGTTTTATTGCTTCATTTGCTTCTCTGAAGAAAGCAGGTTTCTCATTATCGTCAAGGTAACTGCTTCCCCCTGCAGTGTTCATGGGATACTTAGAAAAAAGCCCACTCTGTGTCCTCTATATTTTTATTTTTTCTTAACAGGAAGGCAAATTTGGTTGCATTTTAAACTTAATAATCGTCATTTTAAACATAATTGTAGTATAAACACATAATCCGAACCCTCTTTGACTGAGGAATCACATTCATTTATTCACTCAACAAATGTCTGTTGAGCTCCAGTTGTGTATCTTTTAAGTAAAGTTCTCAGGATACAAAAGAACAAGATCCCAGTCAAAGGAACTTACCATCTAGAGGTAGAGATGGGCTCACAACCAGGAAATGCAATGCAATACGGCAAGTGCTGGGTGAGAGGCAAGGACAGGAAGTTGTGGGAACATTTGGGAAGAGCATCTAACATAATTTGAGGGGACCAGGAAAGGCATTCCAGAGGAAGTGTATTAGTTTCCCATTGCTACTGTAACAAATTACCAGAAATTTAATGGCTTACAATAACACAAATGTATTAGCTTGCAGTACTGGACATTGAAAGTCCAAGATCAAGGTGTTAGCAGGGCTGCATTCTCTCTGGAGGCTGTAAGCAATAGTCTGTTCTTTGCCTTTTCTGACTTTCAGAGGCTGCCTACATTCCTCATGGCCCCCTACCAGCAATGGCATCACTCTAACCTCTCTGCTTCCATCATCATATCTTCTCTCTCACTCTGATCTCCCTGCCTCACTCTTGGAAGGGCCTTTGTAATTACATTGGGCCCATTCAGATAATACAAGGATAATTTCCTATCTCAAATTCTGAACCTGATCACAACTGCAAAATCATTTTACCACGTTAGGTAACAGGTTCCAGGGATTGGGATGTGAATGCCTTAGGAGAGCCACTAATCAACCTACTGCAGGAAGTAACCACAGCAGGATATTGGAGAGTTTTCCAAGGAGGGGAAATGTAGAAAAGCATATAAAGACCTAGGGGAAGGGAACTATGAAACTTTATAGCTTAGTGACTGACGTGGTTTGGATGTGTGTCCACTCCAAATCTCATGCTGAAGTGTGATCCCTAATGTTGGAGGTGGACCTAGGGGGAGGAATTTGGGTTATGGGAGCAGATCCCTCATGAATGTCTTGGTGCTGTCCTCATGGTAATGACTGAGTTCTCTATGAGTTCACACGAGAGCTGATTGTTTAAAAGAACATGGCACGACACGCATCTCTCTCTCTCTCTTGCTCCCTCTCTTGCCATGTGGTATGCCAGCTCCCGCTCTGCCTTCCACCATGATTGTGAGCTTCCTGAGGCCTCACTAGAAGCTGTGCAGATGTTGACGCCATGCTTGTACAGCCTGCAGAATCGTAGGCCAAATAAACTTCTTTCTAAAATAAATTCCCAACCTCAGGTAACTCTTTATAGCAGTATCTTTGGCTATAAAATAATACAGAAATAATATAATAGTATCTGTATCACCTCATCATATAGAATAAAGTAATACATGTAAAGCTCTAAGAACATTATGTGTTCATTCTGTGTCAGTACATGATGTTAGCCATGGCAATGACAAATAGAGGAAAAAGAGGAAATCCAGAATAGAGGTTGAAATAGAAAGCAGGGACCAGAACAAGATTGATCTGGTGAGGTCTTGTGGAATTAACCTGAGGGGAATACTTTGATGAATTTTAAGCAGGAATGTGGCATGATTACTTACGTATTTTAGTTGACTGGCTGCCTGGCTAAATGGAAAACAGATTGAGGGAGACAAGACTGGAGGTAGGAGAAGGGCGAGGACAAGAGTGAAATGAGGACAGCACTTGCTTTTTGTGCACACCTTAAGGAGGCACCAAAATATTTGGGAATCAAGATAAATGAAATTTTAATGCAATATTTTACAAAATCAAATTAATGCAAAAAAACCATGATGAACAACTTATGAAAATTTAAATAAAGCAGGGTTATTAGGGAGTTCACTGAAAGGATGTTCTAATAATCCAAGTCAGAGATGATGAGAGCCTAAAGCAGAGGGGTAGCCCTGGGTATGAAGATAGTTGGACAGACTAAGGAAACCTATGGAAGGAATCGGGTGAGGGGAGGGTCTGGTAATATCTTTTACTGAGAGAGTTACACAAAAGCAGGCAGGAGTTTACCTGGCAGCATAGGCAGAATATGTCAAGGAGGAAATTCAGTTCTATTTTGCACATATTGAGCTTAAGAAGCCTCTGATTCATTCAAGTGGAGATTCTAGTCAGAAGTTGAAATATGTAACTACAATGAAGCAAAACCTGCTACTTATACACATCCCCAGCTTTTCTATTTCTTATATGTTAACCTCTAAATTTCTTCACTAATGTTTTCTTCCCAGTTCCTGACCAGTTCTTTGGGAGGAAAGAAAAGGATCTTAAAGGACCTAAATTCTTGGGGTATAGAAGCAAATTGGGAGCTAATTTTTGGAAGGGAGAGGACAAGAGAATGTCAGGCATGAGTTAGAGTGACTGATCTTCCCTTTGTCCCTGAACCATTTCCAGATCATTACATTTTTACTCTCATTGTTTCTTTATGTTCACGACATCAGCTGTGTCAACCTCTAATCTCTGTTGGTGCTGTCACTTACTGACAACGTGGCCATTTTCTCTTTCTCATCAAAGACTTTGTCCCCTTGGATGTGCCACACACTACATCGTAAAATTACCTAAACTCTTTCACTCTTAGTTCATACATTCCAACATACCTCTCTAGAACTTTAATGTTCCAACTCTTCCCTCAATCATTCCTATTATATTGGTTCCTTGAGCTCATAAATACTTAATAGGGCTGGGCGCAGTGGCCTGTAATCCCAGCACTTTGGGAGGCTGAGGTGGGCGGATCACCCGAGGTCAGGAGCTTGAGGCCAGCCTGGCCAACATGGTGAAACCCTGTTTCTACTAAAAATACAAAAATTTGCCGGGCATGGCGGCAGGCACCTGTAATCCCAGCTACTCTGGAGGCTGAGGCAGGAGAATTGCTTGAACCCAGTAGGCAGAGGTTGCAGTGAGCCGAGATCTCACCATTGCACTCCAGCCTGGGCGACAAGAGCCAACAGCAAGACTCTGTCTCAAAAAAGAAAAAAAAATACTTAATGGCCCTTGATCCCCTTGACTGGATGTCTATCAGCACCTTTCCACCTTACCTCCCACCCCTATTCAGATAACACTAAAGTGACCCGTCTTTTCAGCCATTTTTGTGCCGATATCCTCACTTTCCATGCTGTATCCGAAACAACCATCATTTGGGGGTCTGATAGTCCCCCAAATCTGAAAGCATAAGAGCAGTCTGTGCACTGCACAAAAGCACCCAGCAAAGGGGACAAATGGGAAAAAACTAAAGCTTTGCTCAGAGTCCTGGGGTAGATCTGTCCTGAGCATGTACCTTTCTCTAATTTGCCACATAGTTTAGGGCAGAGGTTTACAAACTACGGACCCCACAGACCAAATCAACCTGCTGCCAATTTTTGTATGGCCCACAAGCTAAGAATTTTTTGTTTTTAAACAGTTGAAAAAAAATCAAAGGACGAGTAATGTTTTGTGACATGAAACGTGTTAAATTCAGATTTCAGTGAACATAAGTGTTACTGGAACACAGCCATGCTCATTTGTTTATATATTATCTGTGGCTGATTTTATACTACAAAGGCAGAGTTGAATAGCTGTGATTGAAACTGTACAGCCTGCAAATCCTAAAATATGTACTATCTGGCTCTTTATAGGAAAAGTTTGCCTACTCCTGGTCTAGCAGGTTTATTGTCTACTTTCTCTGTACTAATACCTGGGCTGTTAAATATTTGCTAGAGAAAATCCATCAATCATATAGATTGGTGCCACAATACAGTCACAATTTCTAACCCCTCCTGAAAAGTCAACATTACCTGGAAACCCTCTAATTTTCCTCATCAGCTCTCTCTCCTCATTTCTTCAGCCTTTCACTTTTCCTACTCTTCTAAGCCTCCGAAACACTTCACCCCCTCATTTCAAAAGATGCTTCAGTCCTACTTCAAAGTGAAAATAGAAACCATCAGATTAACACTCTTAGTTTCCTGCTCCTGCACCTATAAATTTGCCCACAGCTGCCTTCATCCTTTATTTACTACCTCTTGTTTCAGAAGTGGGAACTTTTCACTCATTTAAAGCAATTTCTTCAACCAGTGCCTTGACAGTTCATTGTATGTGTCAAGTTGACTGGGTTAAGTGATAACACAAATAGCTGATAAAACATTTCTGGGTGTGTCTCTGAAGGTGTTTCCAGAAGAGATTAGCATTCGGCTCAGTAGACTCAGTAAAGATAATCCACCCTTGCCAATGTAGGCAGGCACCATCCAATCCCTTGAGTGCCCAGATGGAACAAAAAGGCAAAGAAAAGGCAAATTCTCACTTTCTTGTGTAGCCAAAACAACCATCATCCCCTGCCTTGGAATACCAGAGTTCCAGGCTCTCAGGACTCACACCAGCAACGCCTATACACATACACTACTTGTCCCTGGCTTTCAGGCTTTTGAACTGAGAGTTACAGCATTGGCTCCCCTGATTCTCAGGCTTTGAGATTCAGACTGAATTACACTATTAGCTTTCTTGGTTCTCCAGCTTGCAAAACAGCGTATCATTCTAATTCTTGTCCTCCATAATCACATGAGCCAATTCCCGTAATAAATCCTCTCATATATCTATCTTTCTATGTATCTTATTAGTTGTAATTCTCTAGAGAACCTTAACTAATACAGATTTTGGTAACAAGAGTGATTCTAGAGGAACAGAATTTTTTAAATGAGTTTTCTGAATTGGTTTTGGGGTTCTGGAACTGGCTCTTTAATCTGATTAGATCTAAAAATGCTCAGGATCTCATTTCCCGTAGTAAAGAAAGCACTAATAGTCCATGCTGTGAATTGTTTATAGAAATATGCAAAATATCTGCATTGGATATTCCTAATCAACCCCTTATAAGAGGCAAGGAGGTGAGTAACTCTGTATATGATAGTTTCAAATATTTTTGTAAAACTGAAAAATATAATGATGTTGATTGGTTGCTACTAATGCCACTGGATAAAGTAATGAAAGAAAATGATGAGCTCAGGAATTTAAATTCCCAGGTCAAGCACAGCATAAATAACCTAAGAGCTTCTAGGTGTGCCATAAAGGACAGCCTTATTTCCTATAGTGTAGGGTATCTACTGTCAAAGTATAGGCACCAACTGGGAAAGAATGAAATCCTATAAGTTGGAATGGGGACATGTGGGTAGACCCTGATGAACCTGGGGACCTTGAGTCCCTAAATTCTGATTAGTCCTCTTTGCCAGTAGATGAGGTCTTCTCACCCTCAGCAAAGGCCTCCCCAACCCAAATGGACAAAGACAAGTGCCCTGGATGCCTTCCTCTTCTCCAGTGTCCTACAGTGAGTGATTAGCCCTTCTGTCTCTTGAAGCTTAACATTTCCCTGTCTATTGGTTCCTTATCATTAGCATTTTTTTGAGACCAGTATCTGGAGTGAAGTGGTACAATTATGGCTCACTGCAGCTTTGACCTTCTGGGCTCAAGTGATCCTCCCATCTCAGCCTCCCAAGTAGCTGGGTCCACAGGGGTGTGCCACAGCACCAAGCTAGTTTTTTTATTTTTTACAGAGATAAGGTCTTGCTATGTTTCTCAGGCTGGTCTCGAACTCCCGGGCTCAAGCGATCCTCCCTCCTCGGCCTCCCAAAGTGCTGGAATTACAGGTGTGAGCCACTGGACCTGGTCCTCCTTACCATTAGCATTTTGATGATGCTATTATCAGTTGACACAGTTAGTCTCACACTCTCCTCCTTGAAACAATTTGTTCACTTGGTTTCCAGGATATCCCATTTCCAGTTGTCTGCCTTCCTCAATGGGCCACTCCTCCATTGTCTCATTTACTCATTTCTTCTCATGTCTCCTGCCTATAAACCAGTAGTTTTCAAACTTTTTGGTATCAAGGCCCCATTTACATTCTTAAAAATTATTAAAGCTCTCAAAGAGCTTTTGGTTATGTGGCTTTTATCTATCAGTTATGATTGTATCAGAAATTAAAGTTGAGACTTGAAAAGAATTATTGATTAATTTGTTTAAGTATGATAATTAGAAACCCACTACATGTTAACAGAAATACAATTTTTATGAAAAAATAGCTACATTTTCAAAACCTATGTACAATTTTTATGAAAAAAACTGTTTTTCAAAACAAATTAGTGAGAAAACTGGTATTGTTTTATAGTTTTGAAAATGTATTTACTGTCTAGTGTGGGGCTAGGTTCTGCAAACTACAGCCTATTGGACAAATTCAGACCACTGCTTGTTTTTATAAATATTTATTGGAATACAACCATGTTCATTAACTTACACAGTATTTGTGGCAGCTTTCTCACTACAATGAAAGAGTTGCATATTTGTGACAAAGAGAGACTATATGGCAGGCAAATCCTAAAATATCAACTATTTGGACTTTCATGGAAAAGGTTTGCCCACTCCTATTCTAGTTTAAAAGAAGACAGCTGGAGTGTCATTTCTCCTTCTAATTCAATCTATTCTAATGCATTGTTTGGGTTGAAGGATATGAAGAAAATCTGACCTAACTTAGGTAATATATTTGGAAAAAGGAAGAGTATTTTAATAGTCTTTTGAAATAATTTTGGATGTCCCCCTTTGATTTTGTACTTGAACTCCAAGTGGTAGTTTCTTGAAGGTCACTTGTAAAGTGCAATCTAAAGCTGTATCAGTAAACTTTTTGTACTCAGTTATGTGAAAATCTATTGTCTATCCTGCACTTTAAATGGCTTTTTTACCCATTCATGATTTTGTAACATTATGCATTGGTCAATTAGAAAATATTAGTTCCCTGAATTATGCAGATTTTTCAAATGTTGACACATCTCATTATATAATATCAAAAAATCACATTTCCTAATATCACTACTGATCTCACCTGACAATATTGGGAAGCTGTCAAGCTTACAGAGGCAAATCTTCCAAAATTTTTGCTTGAAAGTTTAAATGTTATCACTGGCAACAAATACAGTCAGTTGTTTTCCTTAAAGTGACAAGGTCACTTGGTTATTTTCTTTCTTTTTTTTTTTTTTTTTTTTTTTTTTTTGAGACGGAATCTCTCTCTGTCACCCAGCCTGGAGCGCAGTGGCGCGATCTCGGCTCACGGCAAGCTCCGCCTCCTGGGTTCCCGCCATTCTCCTGCCTCAGCCTCCCGAGTAGCTGGGACTACAGGCACCCGCCACCGCGCCCGGCTAATTTTTTTGTATTTTTAGTAGAGACAGGGTTTCACTATGTTAGCCAGGATGGTCTCAATCTCCTGACCTCGTGATCCACCCACCTCGGCCTCCCAAAGTGCTGGGATTACAGGCGTGAGCCACCGCACCCGGCCTACTTGGTTTATTTTCAAGAAAATGTCTGCCAAAAACCCAAGTTTGAATAAACCTAATTTTTCTGTTAGTTGATTTTCAGATAAAAAAATGTGTTTCATAAAGAAAGTCATCCAGCCTTCAATTCAAACAATGGCACAAGTGTCTTTCCTTGAGCCAATCAAAGTATTTTACTTTGGACCAGAAGTACTTTATGAGAAGTTTCCATGTTTTTACACTGAACATTGTTAATAAATAGATGTGTAATAAAGGATCATCAGGAATGGTTACTCTCTCCTCAGAGGCATTCTTACATTTTCATTTTAAACTACGAGAACAATAGTTGGCATTTCATTTTAACTACAAGAGCAACAGTGGTGAAGCATATAATAACTTCTAATTGAGTTTAGTACCACTGTCTTTGATTTATGCTGAAGTGACAGCAATTTACCCACCATTGTTTTTGTATTTCAGTGCGATTGTCAACACAGTAAAAAAAGAAAAAAAAAAGGCAGATAATATCTTTGTATGATTATGAAAATGTAGTTTTGACCTCCAGGTTTCCATATAAGAGTCTTAGGGAACCCCATGGGACCACAGATCATACTTTGAGAACAGCTGCTCTAAACATTGAAGTGTCTGTCTCAGAATTTAGTTATTGGATCTTCTCAATTTGCTCTAAATCCCTAGAAAATTCCATCTAGACTCATGGCTTTCAATCTTATTTCTATGCTCACAACTCTGAAGTTTATATCTCATATATAAATCAAGAATCATTGTCCTGCAGACTGGATGTCTATAGGTATTTCTAACTTAACATTCCTGAACAGAATCCCTGATGTTATTGTCCTCCCCCAGCTTACTAGTTTTGCCCTTTTTCTCATGTCATCATCTGGCCAAAAAATCCTTGAGACTTCTTGATTCTCTTTCTTTCACCTCACATTAAATCTATCAACAAACTTTCTCATAATTTAGAACCCAGATTCTGACCATTTCTCATCATCTGCACTGCTACTACCCGACTGCCACCATCATGTCTCAACTAGCTTACTGTATCACCTTGCTAAATTGTCTCCCTCCTTCTTTCTTTGGCTACCTATGTTGTTGTGGTTTTTTTTCCAACATAGCAACCAGAGTAATCTTCTTGAAAGGTCAGATCATGTCACTCTGGCTCGAAATATTCGAATGTCTTCCCATCTCACTCAAAATAAAAACCAAACTTCTTACAATGGTATATTAATTACCTATTGCTGCACAAAAATCAACCCCAAAACATAGTGCCTTGAAACATCATCCATTTTATTTGCTAATAATTTTATGGGCCAACGCAACTCGAGCTGGACTCAGATGAGATATTCTTCTATTGGTATTGCTGGGAATTACTCATGTGACTGAAATCGTGAGGTAGCTTGACTGGGGCTAGATTTTCTGAAAAATGCAGTTACGTGCCTGGCGGTTAGTGCTGCTGTTGGTTGGGCCAAATGACTCCAGCATGAAGCCTACTAGCTCAGGCTTTTTTATATGGCAACCTCAAGGGTGTAAGAGAGGGCAAAGCAAATCACAGTGCCAAGCCTGGAGTCACTGTGGTGCTGCAGGATATTTTCTTGACCCCTTTGTAGGACTTGCGACAGAAGTGCCCCTTTAACTCAGCCCACCCTGCTCAACCCCTCACAGGTGGGAGAACTTAGGTGCCGTAAGGAGCAAACTCCACTCTCTCGGGTCTACTGTGCTCCACTCCTCAGGGGAGGGAGTGCTCAAGTGAGCAAGTGTGGGAACCAGCAGGAGCAAACTCCATGCAGGCCCCACGGCAGCATCCAGGTTGGGGTGCCTATGACTCCAAGGCCCCAGAGGGTGTGTTACAATGCTCCCTTAGCTCTGCTGTCTGCAAACAGCAGTGTCACATGGGGCAGCTTCCCTCCACCAGTGAGGGCAAAGGGCCAGTATGACAGCTTTTTTTGGGTACCTGTGCTTAGTGCATCCCGAATTCTTTTCTGGTGCTCAAAAGGAATGAGGTCATACAGACGAACTGAAGCATGGTGAATGTGGAGAATTTTATTCAGTGATGAAAGCAACTCTCAGCGGAGAGGGGAGCTGGAAAGGGGATGGGAAGGGCAGGTTGCTCTCCCCTGAGGTTAAGTCACCTCTCTGTCTCAAGGGCAGGTTGCTCTCCCCTGAGGTTAAGTCACCTCTCTGTCTCTCTCTTCGGAAGTCAAATTGCCTCTTTCTGACATCCAGCTGCTTTCTCTGAGGTCAACTTGCTTCTTCCCAACATCCAGCCACTTCTCTCCTCTGCCAGCTGAGTCTGGAGTCTTTACAGACACAGGATGCGGTGGGGAAGGCCGTAGATAGCTTTGGAACAGGCAATATTTGATTGGTAGAAAGACATTATTCAGAAAGAACCAATAGGGAGGGAAAGAGCAGGCACACAGGGATGCAAGTTCTCACTTTGGGTGCTGGGTTTCAGGCTTTTCACCTGGAAGGTGAGGTTTTGCCAGAGACCCGCCCCTGTCTGCCTAGAATTTCTCTTCCTCCAGCCTCTATCATTGGATCAGTGGGAGGGGTCTAACAAAGTATGGACCAGTGATGTGCCAAAGGTGGGACCATGAGAGCAGCCTATCTTAAGAGCAGGCACTAAGCAGATGTATTGTCCATTGAGAATCTTGAAACAGTACTAAAACCTACTAAAAATTACTTTGATTTTTATTAGCACAGTGAGCCATTAATTCTAGATAATGGCAATGATAGCATACTCCTTCCTGAAAAATTATTTTGTTGGTTTAGTTTTAGTAATTGTTACAGATACTATTACATTTTATTTTATTTTATGATTATTATTTTTTATGAGATGGAGTCTCGCTCTGTTGCCCAGGCTGGATTGCAGTGGTTTGATCTTGGCTCACTGCAATCTCTGCCTCCTGGTTTCAAGGGATTCTCCAGCCTCAGCCTCCCAAGTAGCTGGGATTACAGGCACTCACCAGCATGCCCCACTAATGTTTTGTATTTTTAGTAGAGATGGGGTTTTACCACGTTGGACAGGCTGGTTTTGAACTCCTGACCTCAAGTGATCTGCCTGCCTCAGCCTCCCAAAGTGCTAGGATTACAGGTGTGAGCCACCAGGCGTGAGGTTAAGAGGTAACTTAACCTCAGGGGAGAGCGACCTGCCCTTCCCATCCCCTTTCCAGCTCCCCTCTCCACTGAGAGTTGTTTTCATCACTCACCTAGCCACATTTTTATTACTTTTTAAATAAACGTTTTATTCTACATGGTAGCTAATTCAGAGAATTTCCAATTATATAGTTGCCTCCAACACACATAGACTCAGCTACCTGTGTTGGTTGCAAAATTACATTTTCAACATTTATGAATAATTTGAGCTCCCTTGGATCCTGTCTCCAATCCCCATAGCACTACCTATTCCTGAATTTATACAGTAGATTCTAAATTAGAAATCAGGCTGGGCACAGTGACTCATGCCTGTAATCCCAGCACTTTGGGAGGCTGAGGTAGGAGGATTGCTTGAGCCAAAGAGTCAAAGTTCAAATGGTTAGGCAGACAGAAAAGCCATTAAATAAGTCAATGTGCTTTTTAGTGTATATTTGCTCTTTATTTTTTACTGGCAGTATTGTATAAAAGTTGAATAGAAGAACATTTTTACTATATTTCTTTTCTGATCATTATTATGATTCATTTTATTTTATGATTATTTCTGAGAATAATTTTTTCATGTCAAAGAGGGAGTTGTTAAAAATTATCTGCTTGGAAGATGAAAAAATTTCTGGAAATAGATGCTGGTGATGGTTGCCAACAATGTAAATGTATTTAATGACACTGAATTGCACACTTAAAAGAGGCTAAAATGACAAATTGTATGCCATGTATATTTTACCACAATTTAAAAAAAACCTGCTTGGGCCACACTCCAGAGTATTAAATTGGAATATCTGGGGGTGGGACCTAAGTATCTTTTATATTTGTGATTTGTAAGTTTACTTTGAAAGTAGTAAAGAACAGAATAAGTACTAAGAAAATGGGATTTGTGATGGAGAGGGCAGATCTGAAAATTTTCTAAAAAAAGAAAAAGCCACAAAAACAGCTTAAAATAATGAGAAAGGAGATGATAAAGATGGAGAAGAGTAAAAAAAAATCAAATTTAATAAGTATAGGATTGCCTGAGGAGCAAATGAGAACAATGGGAACAGAAACGAAAATGAAAGATGTAACTGAGGAAAATGTGGCTGAGAGAAAAAAAAAGAAAACAACCAATTTGAGCCTATAAATTAGAAAAGCTTGCTGTATTTTAGGCAAAGTCAGTAACAGGGGACTCATATCTTTATAGAGCCTAAAGAGAATGATGGTTTATTTTGCATTACCAATAAATTTTGGTTAAAAAAATTGTACTGTGGGTCAAATGTACTAGGTATACCACTGGTATGTATACAAGGTAGCATACTTCACTTGGAACGATTATGGAAACAATCTACCATAAAGCCTTATGAAATAGGTGACCACAGGTGGGACGCAGTGGCTCACATCTGTTATCCCAGCACTTTGGGAGGCTGAGGTGGGCAAATGGCTTGAGCCCAGGAGTTCAAGACCAGCCTGAGCAACATGACAAAACACTGTATCTACAAAAAATACAAAAATTAGCTGGCTGTGGTGACACGCACTTGTAGTCCCAGCTACTTGGGAGGCTGAGGTGGGAGGATCACCTGAGCCTGGGAGATCAAGACTGCAGTGAGCCATGATTGCACCACTGCACTCCAGCCTGGGTGACAGAGTGAGACTGTGTCTAAAAAAAAAAAAATGACCACATATCCTACTGCCCGCTCACTTTAGCATCTTCCTGGATTTTTCATTTTAAATAAAATATGATTATCATTTTAAATAAAATATAATAATGCAATAGATGCATTTTAATAATCTGAGATGATTTTGGTAAGCCTTCACTTTATACTTCCAGCTTCTGTCACGGTGTCTTCTAGTAGTATGAGAGATGTAAGTGCACCAAACAGAGACTTCAGCTACGCGCATGTTAAATCTTAAATGTGATCAGGTTATCAGTCTTTCCCCAGCCCTTTCCAGACATAAAATAACTTATGCTCCATTTTGAAGATACCCATTCAGGGAATCTGTGAATATAGAAAAGTTCACTTGGACATGAGCAGCAAGGATCAGCTGAAGTTGGTCTCAGGTGGCAGTGAGTGAAGTAATTAATTAACACAGCTGTTCCTTCCAGCCACTTAGTTTATCAGCCAGTTGTGCCATGACCTGTGCCTGGCATGTGTTTTAGCTTGCAAGATGCACATATCCACCAGTCTGCCAGTCCCTGGAGATGAGTGAGAAATATAATAAATTGTTGGTTGGAAGTACATTGGTTAGAAGTACATGAGATACATGCAGGGAATAAAGGTGGCACAGTCCTACTATAAAAGTATATTGAGAAGTCTGGGAACTTTTTTTTTTTTTTGAAACGAAGTTTCACTCTTGTTGCCCAGGCTGAAGTGCAATGCTGCGATCTGGGCTCATTGCAACCTCCGCCTCCCGGGGTCAAGTGATTCTCCTGCCTCAGCCTCCAGAGTAGCTGGGACTACAGGCATGCATGACCACACCCAGCTAATTTTGTATTTTTAGTAGAGATGGGATTTCTCCATCTTGGTCAGGCTGGTCTTGAACTCCTGACCTGAGGTGATCTGCCCACCTCAGCCTCCCAAAGTGCTGGTATCACAGGCGTGAGCCACCACACCTGGCCAGGAATTTTTAGTACTATGTTTTGTCATTCATTGCACAATTCACATATAAAATGGCTTAGTTATACTATTGAGTGGTAATGCATTTTTATTTTATAATAAGCCTTTTTAGCAATAATGAGCTTAAAAATAATGTAAGCAATTGTATTAGTCTGTTAAGGTTGCTGTAACAAAGTACCCACAATGTGGGTGGCTTAAAGAACATAAATTCATTGTCTCACAGTTCTGAAGGCTGGAAGTCCAAAATCAAGGTGTCAGTGGGATTGGTTCCTTCTGAGGGCTATGAAAGAGAATCTGTTCCATGCCTCTACCCTAGCTTCTGGTGAATTGCTGGCAAACTTTGGCATTCCATGGCTTGCAAAACTATCATCCCAATTCTCTGCCATTATTTTAACATGGCATTTCCCTTGTGTTCATGTCTGTGTCCAAATTTCTCCCTTTTTGTAAGGACACCGTCACATAATTACTTTTTGTAAGGACACGGTCACATTGGATTAGAGGGGCACTCTACTCCAGTATTACCTCATCTTAACTAATTAAGCCTAAAATGACCCTATTCCCAAATAAGATCATATTCTGCAATACTGGTGCTAGGACTTTAATATACAAATTTGTTGGGGTGGGGTGGGGCACAATTTGACCCATAACATATGTGTTTAATGAAAAAATTACTGCGTTTCCATTTCTTAAGAACATTAATGATGGACGTGTTATTTGAACAGCATGTTTGCCACTATTTACATCCACCATAGGGACCATAGTAATATCACTGACTACTGAAAATCCAAAATAAACAAATCAGTTAAAGAAACATTGGCTTCTACTTTAAAAGTGAATACTTAATTTTAAAAGACTGTACCCAGAGACAAAAATTTAAAATATGAAGATGTATAAAGCCTATTTACATATCACTTTGTGAAGCACACCTTTGGATTAGATCAATGTTTCAATTAATTTTGCCCATTTTTATTGAAACTTCTTTTGTGCACTTATGAAAAGTGAAGCATTAAGGTGTTGGCTCCATTAGCAGAAGGAAAGGCTTTGCAAACAGTTAAATGGTGGCTGTTTTTTTTTCCAGTGTTATCAGATACTTAAAATAGAATATCAGTTAATTTCAGTAATAGAGTTTCTTCATCCAATTTTTAGAATCAAAACAAATCTTTTGGAAGGCCATTATTCTGCCTAAAGTGAAATATCTAACATTATTGTAAAGGCTTTTGTAAATTCCGTTTAAAAATCTTTCAGGGCTGGGTGTGGTGGCTCACGCCTATAATCCCAGTACTTTGGGAGGCCAAGGTGGGAGGATCACTTGAGCCCAGAAATTCAAGACCAACCTAGACAACACAGTGAGACCTCATCTCTACAAAAAATTAAAAAATTAGGAATGGTGGTGTGCACTTATAGTCCCAGCTACTTGGGAGGCTGAGCTGGGAGGATCACTTGAACTGGGGAGGTTGAGGCTACAGTGAGCCGTGGTCATGCTACTGCACTCCAGCCTGGGCTGCAGAGCAAGACCCTGTCTCAAACAAACAAACAAAAATAAAACAACAACAACAACAACAAAACTTTTAGCATTGAATGGTGGCACAGCTGCTGCAGCCTGTGGGGTGAGAGGAGTACGTGGAGCAGCTGGTAGGATGCTGCCTCTGCCCTGGCTGGTTCATCCCCTCTGGCCCCCATTCTGGCCACAGCTCTGGCATTGGCCCCAGTGGGCGTAACTAGAAGAAGGAAACACATTAAACATTGCTGTTAATAATTACTTATTGACAGTAAAAAGAGTAACAGGTGAAGATTTTTGGATTCATTCTAAAATTTTTTTTTTTTTTGAGACAGAGTCTCACTTTGTCACCCAGGCTAGAGTGCAGTGGCGTGATCTCGGCTCACTGCAAGCTCTGCCTCCCAGGTTCACACCATTCTCCTGCTTCAGCCTCCCAAGTAGCTGGGACTACAGGCACCTGCCACCACAACCGGCTAATTTTTTGTATTTTCAGTAGAGAAGGGGTTTCACCATGTTCACCAGGATGGTCTCGATCCCCTGACCTCATGTTCTGCCTGCCTCAGCCTCCCAAAGTGCTGGGATTACAGGCTTGAGCCACCGCACCTGGCCTCTTTCTAGAATTTTAAATAGTTAACTAGCCTGGGTGCAGTGGCTCATGCCCGTAATCTCAGAAATTTGGGAGGCCAAGGCAGGAGGATCACTTGAGCCCAGGGGTTCAAGGCTTCAATGAACTATGATAGTGCTACTGCACAATCTCAGTTCTTTTTTTTTTTTTTTTTTAAATAATCAGTTATATATTGAGTTTGGATGTTAGATATAACCTCATAAGTGATGTTGGCACATATTATAGTGTAAAACTACTTCAGAAATAACTTAATCTCATTTACTTAAACCTTATGTTTGATGATACTGGGCCTGAAGGAGGAGAATTTTTCTTTCTCTTTTTTTTTTTTAACAGAGATTTGCTCTGTTGCCCAGGCTGGACTGTAGCGGTATAATCTTGGATCACTGCAACCTCCACCTCCCGGGTTCAAGCAATTCTCCTTCCTTAGCCTCTCGAGTAGCTGGGATTACAGGCATGCACCACCATCCCTGGCTAATTTTTGTATTTTCAGTAGAGACAGGGTTTCACCATGCTGGCCAGGCTGGTATTGAACTCCTGACCTTAGGTGATCCACCTGCCTCGGCCTCACAAAGTGCTGGCATTACAGGCATGAGCCACTGCTCCCAGCCAAGGTGGAGAATTGATTGGCAAAGCACTAAATGAGAACACAACTCTGAAATACCTAAGAATGACTGGAAACAAGATTAAAAATAAGAGTGGAATATTTTTTGCTGCAATGCTGCAAATTAATTCATCCTTAGAGAAAGTAGGTCTGGGTTACTGTGATCTGGGAATGCAAAGTGTGATAGCATTTGCTACGATACTAACTCAAAACAAAGCAATTAAGGGAATAAACCTAAACTGACCTATGCAGTATGGCAAACAGAAAGAGTCCACAGCCCACGTAGGCCATATGTTGAAAGAAAATAACTGCCTTGTTCAACTACACATGTGTAAGCATAATATAAAAAACTGTAGTATACAACAATTATATGTTATTCAATGTATCTTAACAGTAGCCTATGCTACCTTGATGTCAGCTGCAATCAAATATCTCAGGATGGAATTATGTATCTAGCTCATGTAAAAGCAATATTACCCTAGAAGCAGTAGATTTTTCTTTTAACAGAATAGAAAATGCAGGAGCTAAGTATCTCCAAGAAATTCTTACTTTACACAATGGGCATTTTAAAGCATTGTCAGTAGTCAGCAACAACATAGAGAAGGACTTGCACTTTCACAATCAATGAAAACGAATCCCACATTTTCTAATATCTACATTTGGAGAAACAAATTTAGCCTGGGCAACATAGCAAGACCCCATCTCTACAAAAAGATTGCAAAAATTAGCTGGCCATGGTAGTGTGTGCCTGTAGTCCTACTTGGGTGGCTGAGGTGGTAGGATCACCTGAGCCCAGGGAGGTCAAGGCTGGAAGTGAGCTGCGATGGTGCCACTGCACTCCAGACTGAGCAACGTGAGACCCTGTCTCAAAAACAAAACAAAACAAAAACAAATTTGATGAGGCTACAGGTGTATCATGTTCAGACATAATTCAAATAGGCCATCTAAAAACAGACAATAGGCCAGGTGAACTGGTTCATGCCTGTAATCCCAGCACTTTGGGAGGCCGAGACAGGCAGATCACTTGAGGCCAGGAGTTCGAGACCAGCCTGGCCAATATGGGGAAACTCTGTCTCTACTGAAAATACAAAAATTAGCTGGTCATGGTGGCACACACCTGTAGTCCCACCTACTCGGGAGGCTGAGGCACAAGAATTGCTTGAACCCAGGAGGCGGAGGTTGAAGTGAGCTGAGATCACACCACTATACTCCACCTGGGCGACAGAGTGAGACTCTGTCTCACAAATAAATAAATAAATAAACAAAAGCAGATAACCCAGATGTGGAGTTATTTGTGGTGGATGGATGCTCACAGAAGTCTCCAATGACCTTAAAAAACATTATTATTGAACTCCAACTTATGGAGAAGTTTAGAGTCTCTCATCTAATGCAGATTTTGCTCCTGTTCCAGTAAGTCAACACCTAGGAAAAAGAAGATATAAAATCATTTTTTTTTTTTTGAGATGGAGTCTCGCTCTGTTGCCCAGGCTGGAGTACAGTGGCACAATCTTGACTCACTGAAACCTCTGCCTCCAGGGTTCAAGCGATTCTCCTCCCTTGGTCTCTTGAGTAGCTGGGATTACAGGCACGTGCCACCACACTCAGCTAAATAAAATCATTTTTATACATTTGTCTTATTGCTTTCACAGAGATTTTTATAGCTTATTAAATTTTTCTTTCATAAATTAAAACAAGTTACTTTTATCAAATGTATAAAAGGTAATCACTATATTAAAGTTTGTATAACTGTCCATTGTGGGAAAAAGAAAGCTTTCAGCACTGAAACATAATTTTTGCAAAAATTATTCATCCAAACACAGACGCTGGTGAGTCACAGAATCATGGTAAAGACAATGATCCTAATGAATTAAGAAATCTGTGGAGCAAAGTGTACTTAGAATTGGTTTTGGTGCACAGAGTTATGAATTTTGTGCAGACACATACTTCATAAAAAGAGCTAAAGATGCAAATAAGCACATGAAAAGATATTCAATATCATTAATCACTAGAGAAGTACAAATGAAAACCACAGTGAGATAACACTATACAATCTGTACTAGTCTGCTTGGCTATCACAACAGAATATCACAGAATGGACTGCAACAGGAATTTATTTTCTCACATTTCTGGAGGCTGGAAGTCCAAAATTAAGAACCAGTATGTTGGTTTCTAGGGAGGCCTCTTTTCCTGGCTTACAGGTGGTGCCTTCTTGCTGTGGCCTCACGTGGCCTTTCCTCTGTGCACGTGAATTCCTGGTGTTTCTTCCTCTTATAAAGATGCCAGTTCTGTTGGATTACAGCCCCACCCATGTGATGTCATTTAACCTAAATTACCTCCTGAAAGGCCCTATCTCTAAATACAGTCACATTGAGGGTTAAGATTTCAGCATATGTATTTTGAGGAGGACACAATTGAGTTCATAACAACACCTAAAATTAAAAAAAACAAAACAAAAAAATGAAAATATAAAATGCTGGCTAAAATACAGAGCAACTAGAACTCCCATACATTGCTAATGGAGATCCAAATAATACAACCATTTTGGAAAACAGTTTGGCAGTTTCTTATAAAGCTAAATATACCATTAACCCAGCAATCCCAGTCCTATGTGATTACCCAAAATAAATGAAAACTTATATTCATACAAAGATTTCTGCATGAATATTTATAGCACCTTTATTTATAGTAGGCCCAAATTGGAAATAACCAAAATGTTCTTTGGCTTGTGAATGAAAAAAAAAAAAAATATATATATATATATATATGCTACATCCACACAATGGCATACTGCTTAATAAAAAGAAACAAATTTGTTTGTCCATTCACCTATTGATAGACATTTGGGTTGGATTCAGTTTGGGGCTATTATAAATAAAGTTGCTATAAATACTCAGATTTAAATTCTTACGTGGATATGTGTTTCCATTTCCTTTGGATAAACCTAGGAGTGGAATTGCTGGGTTGAACTATATGTTTAACTTTATAAGAAATTGTTAAACTATTTTCCAAAATTCCCATACCATTTGCATTCTCATCAGCAATCCATGAGTCCTAGTAGATTCACGTTCTCCCCAACATTTGATGTTATCAGTCTTTTTAATATTAGCCACTCTAATGGATGGGCAGTGGTATCTTATTGTGATTTAAATTTGCATTTCCATGATGACTTAAGATAATGGACTTTTTTTGTTTTCTTTTTTTGCTATTCATATATTTTCTTTTGTAAAGTGTCCTTTCAGATCTTTTGCTCAGGTTTTTTTTTTTCTTAAAGCTGGAGTCTTACTATATTGCCCAGGCTGGAGTGCAGTAGTTATTCACAGGTGTGAGGATAGTGCACTACAGCCTCAGACTCCTAGCCTTAAGCAATCCCCCAACCTCAGCCTGCTGAGCAGCTGGGACTACAGGCATGTGCTGCCATGCCTGGCTTTTTGCTCAGTTTTAAGAACTGGTTTCTTTGTCTTTGTGAATTGTAAGAGTTTTGTATATAAGCTCTTTATCAGTATATACATGTACGACAAATATTTTCTCTGTGACTCACCTTTCATTTTCATGGTTGTATTTTTCAGAGCAAGAGTTCTCATTTTGATAAAGTCCTATGTATTCATTTATTTCTTTTATAGCACATGCTTTTTATGTTCTATCTAAGAAATCTTTACCTATGTCAAGGTCACAAATTTTTATAACTTTTAACATTTACATTTAGTTCTGTGACCCATTTCAAGTTAAGTTTTGTGAAATGAAGATTAAGGATTAAGCTTCATTTTTTTTCCCTCTTGTCTTAATCTGTTTTGTGTTCCTGTGAAGAAATACCTGAGACTGGGAAATTTATAAAGAAAAGAGGTTTATTTTGCTTATGGTTCTACAGGCTGTACAAGAAACATGGCACCAACATCTGCATCTGGTGTGGACCTCAGGCTACTTCCATTCATGGCGGAAGGTGAAAGGGAGCTGGTGTTGCGGAGATCACATAGAAAGAGAGGAGGAAAGAGAGAGAGGGATAAGGTACCAGGCTCTCTTTAAGAACCAGCTTTCTTAGGAATTAATAGAGTGAGAACTCACTTACCCCCAAGGAAGAGCACTAATCTATTCATGAGGGATCTGCCCCATGACTCAAGTACTTCCCATTAGGCCACCTCCAACCTTGGGGATCAAATTTCAACATGAGATTTGCTGGGGACAAACAACCCATATCCAAACTATAGAACTTCTGAATAACCAGTTCTTCCAGTATCATTTGTTGAAAAAGATTATTCCTTTCACATTGAAATACCTTGGTATCTTTGTCGAAAATCAATTGGCCATGTATGTGTATAGTTCTATTTCTGCCTTTTATTCTGCTTACATCTATATTCCATATATAAAAATATATAAGTTATATAAATATATGGAATATATATAGAATATATGTATATATATGCATACCATATATGGAGTATATATAGAATATATATGTGTATATTCTATATATATGTGTATATATGCACATGTCATATATCATATATATTCTATATATACTCCATATACATACATATTTATTCTATGCATATTCCATATATTCATATAATGAATGCCAAGATTTACTATAAAGCTACAAAAATTAAGAAAGTGTGCATGCCAATACATACTTTCTTAATTTTTGTATCTTTATAGTAAGTCTTGAAATCAGTAAGTCCTACAAATTTGTTCTTCTAGACCATAATATTTTTAATACAGAAAATATTCTTTCTACAGATTCTGAGGTACTTGGGAAATTCAGAGAAAATTCTGCTAAATGGAAGATATTATAAATTTTATTTTTTATTGATATGTAAAATACTTTGGGCTCAAATATTTTCAGAAGTAAAGATTTTTAACCTCCATTCATATTATCTTTTGTGTGTGTGTGTATGTGTGTGTAGAGATGGGGTCTCACTATGTTGCCCAGGCTGGTGTCAGATTTCTGGCCTCAAGCAATCCTCTTGCCTTGGCCTTCCAAAGTGCTGGGGATTACAGGCGTGAGCCACCGTGCCTGGTCCATAGTATCTTTTTTTAAAAAAGATTTTTTTTCAAGATAAACCATCTTAAGTTGTCTCTAGGGTTTGTAAGAATATTTATCAAATGTAGCTGCAGCAAAATTATTGGATTTATCAATTTCACTCTTTCCGTTATAAAATATATTCAAAGAATGAATCTATTATGATGGAATTCAATTTTTGTTAATTTTACATTCTCGTTAAATGTTCTATTTTTTCTTTGCTTTCATAGAGGTAATTTTAATGTCTTCCTGTTTGAAAGCTTAGTTTTAATAATCAGAATTTGCTAAAACTTAAAAAGCTGAAGTCTTTTGATGCTCCAATGTTTTAATTAAATTTTGCAACTGATTTTGAACAAAATTAAACCCAAATAGAGAGTACTAGTTTGCAAAATTTCAATACCATTGTAAAACACTTAGATTGGTTCACAAAATAATTATTAAAAGGCTCATTTTAAAAATCTTATTGATATTTGAGAACAAAGAGAAAGTACATACTGTAATGCTAAAGTTTTTGGTTGCTGTATTCAATATCAGCTTTATTTTTTTTGATCTTGCTCCGTCACCCAGGCTGTAGTGCACTGGTGCGATCTCAGCTCACTGTAACCTCTGCCTCCCAGGTTCAAGCAATTCTCGTGCCTCAGCCTCCCAAGTAGCTAGGACTACAGGCATGTGTCACCATGCCTGGCTAATTTTTGTATTTTTAGTAGAGATGGGATTTCACCGTGTTGCCTAGTCTGGTCTCGAACTCCTGGCCTCAGGTGATCCTCCAGCCTCGGCTGGGATTATAGGCATGACTCACTGCACCTGGCCCAATATCAACTTTATAACAATAGTTTTTTTTTTTTTTGAGATTAAGTCTGACTCTATCGCCCAGGCTGGAGTGCAATGGCGCGATCTCGATGCACTGCAACCTCCACCTCCCTGGTTCAAGTGATTCTCCTGCCTCTGCCTCCCGATAACAAAAGTTGTGTAGTCAGTTTTTCTGAATGGATAGATAGAGAGAGAGATGGATAGATAGATAGGTGGACAGATAAATACAGATATTTATCTTTTATAACTACAATAAAAAAATAGAAATAGAGACAGTGTCTCACTATGTTGCTCACATTGGTTTCAAACTTCTAAGCTGAAGTGATCCTCCTGCCTTGGCCTCCCAAAGTGCTAGGATTACAGGCATGAGCCACCACACCCAGACATAACCACAATTTTTTGATAACTACATATTTCTATTGGCAGAATATAGCAACTTGTTTGTACACAATTATCAATTATGTATGTATTGCAACCAATTCCAAGTGCGTTTATGCCTCATAAGTTTCTTAATTTGGTAGCCACCGTTTTTTCCTTAGTGGTATGCTTCTTTTAGATAGACACACACACATACATATGCATATATTATTAAAGTCAAGTTTATTAATGTAAAATTTACACCCAGTAAAAATCATCCCTTTTAGGTACACAGTTATATGAGATATTATAAATGTATGTAGTTATGTAATGCCCATCACTTTGAAGATTTGGAATATTTTCACCACTGCTAAAGTACTTGAATCAGAATATGTGTAGCTATTTTATTCATAATAGCTAGAAACTGGATCCAACCCACATGTCCATTAGTAGGTAAATGGATAAACAAACTGTAGTGTGACATAGTCTTTCAAAGTAACACTATTCAGAAATAAAAGGGAATTATGGATGCACGTCTCAATATGGATGAATCACAAAAAAATTTTGCTGAACAAAAGACCAGACACAAAAGAGTACATATTATATGATTATACATTGTCTAGAAAAGGTGCAGTTGATGAAGTCAACAACTCTAAATTAAATAATTAAATGCAGCCCTCAAAAAGAGAAATGTTATGAAAAATATGTTAAAACACCATGTTAGTAAAAAACATATTCTTCACAAAAGCACCAGTCACACTATATAAGAGACAGAGGGCTGAGCACAGTGGCTCATGCCTGTAATCTCAGCACTTTGGGAGACCGAGGTAGGTAATCACTTGAGGTCAGGAGTTCCCGACCAGCCTGGCCAACATAGTGAAACTCCATCTCTACTAAAAATATAAAAATTAGCTGAATATGGTGGCACATGCCTGTAGTCTCAGCTACGATCTTGTATTCAATAATAAAGGCAAGTTAATTGCATAAGTGCAAAAGGGCTATACCAGGCCGGGCACAATGGCTCACACCTGTAATCTCAGACTTGGGAGGCCGAGGCGAGAGGATAACCTGAGGTCAGGAGTTCGAGACCAGCCTAACCAACAAGGCAAAACCCCATCTCTACTAAAAAACACAAAAATTAGCCAGGCGTGGTGGCAGGTGCCTATAATCCCAGCTACTCAGGAGGCCGCGGCTGTGAGGCTAGAGAGTTGCTTGAACCCGGGAGGCAAAGGTTGCAATGAACCGAGTACATGCCACTGCACTCCAGCCAGGGTGACTGAGCAAGACTCCATCAAAAAAAAGGGGGAGGCTATACCGTTGACTCTTGAAAAGTGTGAGTTGGTGCATTGACCCCACTTGCAGTTGAAAATCCATGTATAACTCCCCTGAAACTGAACTACTAGTAGCCTACTGTTGGCCAGAAGCCTTATTGATAACATAAACAGTTAATTAACACATTTTTTGCATGTTATATGTATTATACAATGTATTCTTACAATAAAGTAAGATAGAGAAAAAAATGAAGAAAATCATAAGAAAGAGAAAATATGTTTACTATGTATAATATTAAGTAGAAGTTGATCATCATTAAAGTCTTCAACTTGGTTGTGTTCACATTGAGTAAGGAGTAGGTGGAAGAGGAGGGGTTGGTCTTGCTGTCTTAGAGGTGGCAGAAGTGGAAGAAAATCCATATATAATTGGACCTGGGAAGTTTAAGCCTATGTTGCTCAATCGTATAATGTAAAAACACATAATTTGTAGCAATAGACACTTTCATTCCTAAGATTTTTTAGATCTGTCATAATTTGCTGATAGGAATGAAATTTTCTAATTTTAAATATTTTTCTAATCTTTCTTACATTCCACTTCCACATAATTGTGACTACAGAGTTATATCTTACTGTTCCATTGCATTTGTCCAGAATAAAATTTCAAATTAATTTCCCCCATAGCTACATGTGAAACGGAGGTAAATTAATAGCACTGAATCAACACACAAATAGTAGCACTTAAGATGAAGGAGGCAAAGATAAATTCTACTGTGTCACCTGGTATGGATTAAGGAATAAGATTTATCTGAGAAATAAAAAATGAAGGGTCAGGCTGGGCATGGTGGCTCATGCCTGTAATCCCAGCATTTTGGGAGGCCAAGGCAGCCAGATCACTTGAGGTCAGGAGTTCGAGACCAGCCTGGCCAACATGGTGAAACCGCATCTCTACTAAAAATACAAAAAAATTAGCCGGGCGTGGTGGTGCACACCTGTAGTGCCAGTTACTTGGGAGGCTGAGGCAGGAGAATGACTTGAGCCTAGGAGGCAGAGGTTGCAGTGAGCCAAGATCACACCACTGTACCCCAGGCTGGACAACAGATCAAGACTGTCAAAAAAAAAAGAAGGATCAGCAAAAAGAGACATATATAAACTTTAGGCCCCAGAAAATCCTAGATCCACTCCTTCCTGAAGATCTTGGGGCCCATGGGAAATTGTAACCTTCCTGCTAGGGAATAAGAAACCACCAGCTTGTGGATAGCTAAGTTCATTGCATCCCTATCCACTGGGAGAGGGAGCTGTTAATTGTCTGAGAAGCCTACAGTGAGTTCTCTGGGTCACTTTTGGACAATTCTTGAAGTGCAATACTGAAAAATGAAAAAAAAAAACAAACCCTCTCTCTTTAGCAGTGTATTACTTAAAATGCTTAAACACTCAAATTAAATTTTAGAATTGTAAATTTTAGCTATTAAATTAAATAGAAAAACAAGGCCAAAGAACACACACACACACATACACACACACACACACACACACACACACACACACACACGATAGTATTGTATTCCTTTTCAATGAAAGCTGTTGTCAAAGGCATTTGAACCAGAGTGACTCCATCTTGAATAAGGGCTGGGTAACATGAGGCTGAGACCTACTGGGCAGCATTCCCAGGTTAGGCATTCTTAGTCAATAGGATATGTACAGTTAAGGAAACAAGTTAATAATGTTTACCGAACAGACTCAGGACTTAACAGACACAGAAAATAACAAACTTGGGAAATGTCCTGAGTCCCATATCTTAAGAACAAAAGCATTCTTAGTTTAATATATTACTGCAGAAGACAGTAGTTACACAAAGATTAACAATCCGTTGTTACACGCCCTTGTAGGACAGCACATCTCCCCATTGGTGTGTTCCCCATTTTTTTCTTTTTATATTATATATAAACAAGCCTCTACCTAAGGTGGATGTGTTCCTCCTCTTGCTTTGTCTGCTCTTGAATGCCCTGCTCTGTCTATGTAGTAACCATTCTTACTATTCCTTTACTTCTTAATAAACTCACTTTCACTTTACTCTGGACTCGCCCTGAATTCTCTCTTGTGTGAGATCCAAGAACACTCTCTTAGGGTCTGGATCGAGATCCCTTTTCGGTAACACTGCACTGTTACTTAACACTGATGAGCTTGATTCGTTTTTGTCAAGGACAATATTTTGATGTTCTTGAGAATGACTTAGGGAAATATTACTTGAGGTTATTAAATTCATATTTGATTTATTAATGTTACAAATTCAAAAACCTATTCCTTCTTAAGCTTTTAAGTTATGAATCAAATTATTAATTTATAAATCTGACAAATTTTAACAGTTACTTTTATGAGGACTTTGATTTACATTTGGTTTCATTTACAATTTTAGTTAAATGTTTAAATTGTCCATTTGACAAAATTTCCCAAGAATGTATATGACTTATAAATCTGGCAAATTAAATATGTATACATATTAATATTGAATCTCAACTTATTTTAGGGGTTAAAATACCGTTTATAAAATTAATAACATTGCCTTATACCTTTCAACTTGAAATTGCAAGTCTGAATAAATGAGACATTTTATATTGGAATCATAAAAGTAATCTGTAAGATATTAAATATACCAAACTTCTTAAAACATAAAATGGTAAAATATATCAACAACAAACAACTTATTCTCAAACCTACTGCAAAAATATTAATACTATGATTTTTGTCTGCTTCATCATCTTACTATTTCTTTTTTTTTTTTTTTGAGATGGAGTCTCACTCTGTCGCCAGGCTGGAGTGCAGTGGCACGATCTCAGCTCACTGCAACCTCTGCCTCCCAGGTTCAAACAATTCTCCTGCCTAAGGCTCCCAAGTGGCTGGGACTATAGGCGAGCACCACCACGCGAAGCTAATTTTTGTATTTTTAGTAGAGACGAGTTTTCATCATGTTGGCCAGGATGGTCTAGATCTCTTGACCTCATGATCCGCTCACCTTGGCCTCCCAAAGTGCTGGGATTACAGGCTTGAGCCACTGCCCTCGACCTTTACTATGTAATTCTTAATAGAATTATGCTATATTTTGTCATGGAAGGACTATAATTTCTGTGTATATTAAAATGATATTCTAGTGAATATATTTGTTAGAATTTGGTCTATGACTTACGTTTATTATAAGATACCACTTAACAATACACTGATATCAAGGCTTTTGGAAATTTGGGGAGGGAGGTGGACCCCAACTACATTTAATTACTAGAAGCTACCAATATTTACAAAAATATTATGAAAATTGTTAACTGGTAAAATTAAGTTTTCTTGCAACGCTAACGTCTCTTAGCTCCTATCACAGTGTCTGGCACATCATAGATTTTCAATAAATAGCTGTTGGATAAATCATGCTTAAATCAGTTTCTACAGATTACAAGCTTGATAATTTTTCTGCTACTGCATACTCTGGGTTCCCCTTTTCTAGTTTCCAATAATTGCCTCATTGCCTCTCCAGCCTCCTCTAATGCTGTTTTTGCTATTTCTCCAGTCTTTATTTACACAATCCTCACAGCTTTTCCAGCCTCCTCCAACAGTCTCCTTGCATCCTTCCATTCTCTGTCCACCAGCTAGTCCAAAAGCCATTGCTGTGTATTTTTAAGTTTTTGTTATGACTGAACTCCACACCCAGTAGCAATTTCTGTCTGTTTTCTGTTGCAGAAGATCAAACTCTCCCAAAAAGTAGAGATTAAACAACAACTAAAGATGGCGAATCATAGAAGGTAATCAAATCACACAATGGCTATTATTCATCGTTCTTTTGATTCCAATGTATTTCATTTTATGCATTAAAAGTTATTCTGGGAGTCCGTACACTTAACTAGAGGGCCAACGGAGTCCACAGCACAAAAATGACTAAGGATTATTATTTTTTTTTTGAGACGGAGTTTCGTTCTTGTTGCCCAGGCTGGAGTGCAATGGCGCGATCTCGGCTCACTGCAACCTCCGCCTCCCAGGTTCAAGCAATTCTCCTGCCTCAGCCTCCCGAGTAGCTGGGATTACAGGCATGCACCACCACGCCTGGCTAATTTTGTATTTTTAGTAGAGACCATGTTGAGGCTGGTCACGAACTCCTGACCTCAGGTGATCCGCCTGCTTTGGCCTCCCAAAGTGCTGGGATTACAGGCGTGAGCCACTGTGCCCGGCCAAAAATGACTAAGAATTCTTGACCTAGGCAATGATGAAGAGACAGGATGGAAAAAATCAGGGCCAATTAATGACCATGTAGAGCAGAACCAGCCAGAAAACTTGGTCCAATAACCTCAGGATTACATATGAGAAAACTAAATACTTACATTTTAAGTCATTATTTGGTGGAGTATCTTTTCTACAACAGTTTACCTTAAGAAATATACAGGAAGCCTTGTAAACATAGCAATACCCTGTCTCTACCAAAAATTTGAAAATTAGCTGGGCGTGGTAGCATGCACCTGTAGTCCTAGGTAATCAGGAGGCTGAGGCAGGAGGATTGCTTGAGCCCAGAGGTTTGAGGCTGCAGTGAGCTATGATCCCACCACTGCACTCCAGCCTGGGTGACAGAGGGAGATCCTGTCTCTAAAAAAGCCTCCTGGGCTCAACTGATCTACCCACCTTAGTCTCATGAGTAGCTGGGACTACAGGTGTGAACCACCACACCTGGCTGATTTTTATTTTTTTCATAGAGGCAGGGTTTCACCATGTTGCCCAGGCTGGTCTCGAACTCCTGGCCTCAAGTGATTCACCCACCTCAGCCTCCCAAAGTGCTGGGATTACAGGCATGAGCCACTGTACCTGGCGTAAGAAAAGTTCTTTAATTAAAAGAAAAAAAGAAGTTTGCTCTCCATTCTTAGATCATCTCAGTGTGCTTATTAAGCATCCACATACCTAAAGATACCTACAGTATTGGCAGAAGTTCAGGACCTCTTTATCTGGATGTTCATTTGTACCCTTTAAAACAAAGGAAAAAAAGAGAAGAAATTGTATGATGAGATCTACTATTTGAACAGATAATAAATAGGATATTCTAGAATTAAAAAATGTCATAAATCTTGAAAATCATAGTGTACACTGAAGTTTAAAATAAAGTAATCTACACTTAGACCCGTCATAGTGAAAGGAAAAATAGATTATCTTAAAAGTAAAAAGGCCAGGCCAAGTGGCTTACACCTGTAATCTCAGCACTTTGGGAGGCCAAGGTGGGTGGATCACCTGAGGTCGGGAGTTCGAGACCAGCCTGACCAAAATAGTGAAACCCTGTCTCTACTGAAAATACAAAAAATTAGCTGGGCATGGTGGCGGGTGCCTGTAATCCCAGCTACTTGGGAGGAGGCTGAGGCAGGAAAATCCCTTGATCCTGGGAGGCGGAAGTTTGCGTGAGTCGAGGTTGCGCCATTTCACTCCAGCCTGGGCAACAAGAGCGAAACTCTAACTCAAAAAAAAAAAAAAAAAAAAAAAAAAAGTAAAAAAGGTATTCAATGTAGCTGAAAAAATTTTCTGTAAATATTGATATAGAATAATCTGTAAGATAATCTTTTCCTTAAACTTCTACAATTGTTTATTTCTCCTGCCATTTAATCACATAGATATCAAAATTGCAAATGTATCATTTCTCTCTCGCTCTCTCTCTCTCGCCCGAGTGCGTGCGTGTTTTTAACTATAGAGATAGGGTTCCCAGGCTGGCCTCAAACCCCTGGCCTCAAGCAATTCTTCTGCCTCGGTCACCCAACGTGTTGGGACTATAGGTGTGAGCCTCAATGCCTGGCCTCATTTTAGATTTAATAGTAAACCTATGTCCTGTGTATTTCTTCTTTTTTTTTTTGCCGGGGTTGTGGGGGCGCAGGAAGACAGTCTCTGTCACCCAGGCTGGAGTGCAGTGGTGTGATCATGGTTCACTGCAGCCTCTTGTTTCTGGGCTCAAGCAATCCTCCTGCCTTAGCCTCCTGAGTGGCTAAGCCTGCAGGCACACACCATCACACACAGCTAATTTTGAAATTTGTTGTAGAGATAGGATCTCACTATGTTGACCAGGCTTTCCATATATTTCTTAAGGTAAACTAATGTAGAAAAGATGTATATTTTTTTCAATCACACATATTAATAGAACATTTACAAAAAAAAAAAAAATAAGAGAGCAAAGCCAAAGAAAATAGGAAGAAAAATAATAAGGATAGAAAATAATGAAAGATCATCAAAGGAGACAATAAAAAATTAAGAAACTGATTTAATTTTTAATGAAATTTTAATCGTTAATAAAAAAGCAGTTTGTAGATTACTATTTTTAAAATAACAATTGTGTAACATTTGTAAATATGCAAAATAGTACTACATAGTGTTAGTATATACATATATGGTTAAAAAAACAAACATGAATGGGAAATTAAACATATCAGCTTTAGGCTGGAGAAAGAGGAAGGAAAACGATTTGGGAAGGCTCAAATTCTTTTTTTTTTTTTTTTTTTTTTTTTTTCAGAGAAGGGGTCTCACTCTGTCACCCAGACTGGAGTGCAGTGGCAATATCTCATTTCCCTGCAGCCTCTTCCTCCTGGGTTCAAGCCATTCTTGTTCCTCAGCCTCCTGAGTAGCTGGGACTACATGTGTGCACCACCATGCCTGACTAATTTTTATATTTTCAGTAGAGATGGGGTTTCACCATGTTGGCCAGGCTGGTCTCGAACTCCTGACTTCCAGTGATCTGCCTGTCTCAGCCTCCCAGAATGTTGGGATTACAAGCATAAGCCACCATGCCCGCCGGAAGGCTCAAGTTCCATAATGTTTCATTTCTTAGGAAAAATGGCTGAATGATAATATTGGTTAAAACTGACTTATGTGTACATGGTTAGTTTTTATATTATTCTTGATACTCCTCTACATGTTCTCATTATTTCATTTTTTAAAAGTTTAAGACGTTTGTCTCATGTGACTAAAGCAAAATGTTTGATTTAGAGAGGGTAATAGTGGCTCCTACAGAGACCATAAAGCCACAGTTAATTATACACTAGTTCTAATATTGACATTTGTTTTCAGTTACCTCTTTAGCTTCATTCATTACCATACCAAAAGGGTGTGTCTTCAGAGTTTGTATCCTTGGGAACCGCATGGTTGCTAGGTCGACCAATAACAGCTCTAAGATTCGCATGCTGTTGTCCATGACTGTTACTAAGCTAAACAGAGCCAAAAGAGGTAGGAGAAGAACTCATATGTTCTCAGAAAATTATTAGCATTTCAGTCTAATGTTCAGCTTACATGTGGAACACCACATTAACCCCTTGGAAGAGTTCAGAAAGATCCAGAATGTTGTCACTGCTTTCAAATAAATTCCAACTCAAATTTTAGTTTATATACTTAAAATATAGCCATAGGGGAGTATATGAAAATGAGTGGTAAATATAACAAGAATTCAGAAGCAGAAAAACATCTCTGTGGAGTGAGATGGCTGGTGAGATTTCAAGAGGAAAATAGAACTTGAGGTGGGAAATCAAGGGTGAGAACCATTCAGATAAGAAGGTGGCCAGGCACGGTGGCTCATGCCTATTATCCCAGCACTTTGGGAGGCCAAGGCGGGCAGATCACCAGGTCAAGAGATCAACGTGGTGAAACCCCGCCTGTACTAAAAATACAAAAGTTAGTTGGGAGTGGTGGTGCGCACCTGTAGTCCCAGCTACTCGAGTGGCTGAAACAGGAGAATCCTTTGAACCTGGGAGGCAGAGGTTGCAGTGAGCCAAGATCGCCTCACTGCACTCCAGCCTGGTGACAGAGTGAGACTCCGTCTCAAAAAAAAAAAAAAAAAAGGTAAGGGTAAACAAAGTCAGGATTTAGGATGAGGAAGTCTGGCCATGGAGCTGACAGTATGACAGTATGGGATTTGAATGCCTGTTGCTTTATTCACTTCTACTAACTCCAAATTATTATTTTTTTAAGTGCAAACAACACTATTTTACACATAGGTAATTTTCCTAAGAAGTAGAAGTATGGCATACAGAGAATAATTTAGAGCTAAATTTCCATGAAATGGAAGGTTAGGGAGGGGAAAATCCAATGTGAGGTGACAATTGTGTTTTGTTCTTGGGAAGGATAAAATTTTTTTTCTTTTGTAGAGACAAGGTCTCCTATGTTGTACAGGCTGGTCTTGAACTCCTGGGCTCAAGCAATCTACCCTCCTCAGCCTCCTGAAGTGCTAGGATTACAGGCATGAACCCCCATGCTCGGCCTCAACTAACTCTTTATGTGGAAAAAAGTACAAATATATTTATTATTTAACTCTTTACGTGGAAAAAAGTATATTTATTATTCTACTTGCTTCTATATTATTTTATTATTTGAGTGCCAAGGGTTGGGGTTACCTGTTCAGATAACACCTTTCTCTATATTAATCTCAGGAGACATGCTGCCTGTCCCTACCACTGGCTCTTGGATGAATAAAGCCTACATTCTCTAGCTCAGTAGTATTCTCTAATTTCACATCTCAGAGAAAGAGGGAGTAGTGTATCCCAGAGAAAATATTTAGGATTTTTTTCCCTTCCCAGAAGGCCCTGGGTTCCTCATGCAAATTGATCTACCTTTGTGCCAGTAGTCAGCCTCACATTCCCAGAATCACAGTGAGTGACTGACTCAATGGAGTCATAGAAGATATTTGCTATACCCTCATTACAGGGCAAAGAACCCTGCTTGTCTTACATTTGCATAAAGAATTGGGCCACTCTAGTGACTCTTCAAGAAATAAATAATAGGCCGGGCGCAGTGGCTCATGCCTGTAATCCCAACACTTTGGAAGGCCAAGGTGGGAGGATTGCTGGAGCTTGGGAGTTTGAGACCATCCTGGGCAACATAATGAGACCCTGTCTCTACAAAAAAATTAAAAAATTAGTCGGCGTGGTGGTGCGAACCTGTGGTCTCAGCTACTCAGGAGGCTGAGGTGGGATGATCACTTGAACCCAGGAAGTTGTGGCTGCAGTGGGCCATGATTGCACCACTGCAGTCCAGCTTGGGCGATAGATTGAGACACTGCCAAAAAAAAAAAAAAAAAAAAAAGGAAAAATAATAATAAGCTTCTTTTAATCAATATTTTAAAATGTCTTACCCTGCTATTCATATATGTCCATGATACTGCCTTGGCAATCAAAACATGTTAGTTCTTTTCCCTTCTCTCTTTAGTTACCACCATTCCTGGTATTGGTCCCAGTTCTTCTAAGAATATTTTTGATGCAAGAGCTGTTTTATCTTGAATCCTACATAGCTTATTTTCCATTTTTCCATTCAAATAAAACAACAAGAGAACAATAGAGTGAAGAAAAAGGATGTTTAAGCCTAAATCCAAGACTGAGGTACAAGACCAAGAAAAGTGGGGCAGAAGATGGAAAAGAACAAGTGAAGAATCTTGGAAACAATTCAAAGGCACGTTGGATTCTTTGCTTGTAATAAGAAGTGCAAGTTGGTGTTACTTCTTAAGATCTAATGTTAAAATTTCTTGAATCTGATCTTTATCGTATGCATATTTTTTCATCCTTGGATAGTTAGACTTTTTTTATATGTCAAGAACTCATCTATATTTTTTCATCTATATTTATTCTACATAAATCGATAAATCAAGATGTAATATAAAAATAATGTTGTTGATAGAAAACTTTAGTTTTAGAAACTTTATTTTTAAAAACAGCTCAAAATTGCCTTCATCATATTACTGATTTAAATATTACAAAAAATATTAAACATTTACAAAAGTATTACAGAAAGACTAGCATAATGAAACCTCATACATGTACCACCCAGATTTGAAAATTATTGGAATTTTGTCATATGGGCTTTAGCTACCCTTATTTTCTTTCTTTTTGTTGCTAAAGTATTTTAAAGCCCCTCCAGGACCTCATGTGACTTTATCCTACATACTTGTAATTCTACTGATTTTTAATTAAATTATTGATTAAGTAGTTAACAGAAAACAGGATATTACAGGAAGCATCTAGTGGGGTGCAGAGTCTAGCAATTAATCTTTTCTCATTTAATCAAAGACAGCAGCAGGGCTCTAGTAAAATCAATTATGTTTAGAAATGGAAATTTTTAAAAATTCAAAAACAAGGAAGCATTTTAAGTATTCTTACAGCCTTTACTTCTGTTTTCCTTCCTCTTGACATATTCCCCATTAACAACTGGCTACTTCTTATCTCTTTTGCCCCTCAGTGTAACCAGGATTTATGTAAATCATACGTCTTAACTCAGCAAGAAATTGGCAGGGTCCTAAGACATAGTTCCAAGTAAATTTTATTTTTATAGTAAAATCCTGGCCCTTCTGTCTGGGAGACCTTTCTAGTCCTTTACATGTCAGCACTACCACTTATGCTAATATTATAATTGTGTATTTATCAGTATTTTAACATAATTTTTCTTAGTTTTACCTGAAAAAGGAGACTAAGAAATAAAATGCCCAATGCTGATGAAGGTATATATTGTGGATATTTTAATGTATTTCTGGTGGGAGTATATATATTTGAATCAAAACCAGTTTGACAATAATACTTGAGTACCAAGTTTCAATATTTGGTATCTTAAATTTTGTTAACTTGTTTATAACTAAACAGGATAAAAAATTATTAATGCGGAGATGACCTTCCCTCTACCAGACAGAATGCTGACTTTGTGTGTTTCATTCCAGCCTCTGCCTCCTTTCCCCCAGAGAAGGCTCATCTTCTGCCAGGCTGTAGTGATGGACTTTTGAGATGCAGAATTCAAAATTGGGAAGGGGTGAAGGTGGGGAGAGAAAAGCTAAATTGATCTGGGATAACTTAAAAAAAATAACTGATAGAGGGGGATAGAGAGAAAGAAAGCAGCTGAGAAAAGGGGAAAGGGGAATATTGGATTGTGGTTTATAAGTAAGAGGCTCCAGAATAATGTGGGGTTGCAGAGAATTGAAAAGAAGAGGAAAATGTGGGAAATGTTACTGAGGTATATGAATGGAATTTATTCACAATTTTAGAAGAGAGCCAAGTAAATTATTACAAGTCCTTTTAAAAATGTTTTGCCTATGTATACTCAGGCTGGAGTTCAGTGATGTGATCATAGCTCACTGCAGCTTCCAACTCCTGGGTTCAAGCAATCTTTCTGCCTTAGCCCCCTGCTGACACACATTCTTTGACAACATCCTTTTTTTTTGGAGACGGAGTCTCGGTCTTGCTCTGTCGCCCAGGCCGGAGTGCAGTGGGGGCGATCTTGGCCCACTGTAACCTTCACCTCCCAGGGTCAAGTGATTCTCCTGCCTCAGCGTCCTGAGCAGCTGTGACTACAGGCGCACATCACCACGCCCAGCTAATTTTTTGTATTTTAGTAGAGACGGGGTTTCACCGTGTTGCCCAGGATGGTCTCGAACTCCTGAGCTCAGGCAATCTGCCCGCCTCGGCCTCCCAAAGTGCTAGGATTACAGGTGTGAGCCAGCGCACCCAGCTGACAACATCTTTTTGATGGCAACATAACATTCTATTCATTGAACGTACTGCAGTTAATGTACTATTCCTCTATAATTGGATTTATATTATTTCAAATTTTCTACTATTTAAAAAACACTGTGATGAATATACTTATGCTCACAGCTTCTTAAGTTTTTTTTCACTAGGATAGATTCACAGAAGTAGAATTATGATGCGGAAGTTATAAATGTTTTATTTTGTCAAATTATTGTTTGTTGAAATGTATCAACGTACATAATCCTATCAAAAAGATATGACAATATCCATCATATGTACCATCAACATTGACTATTTTGTATCTTAGGGTCTTTTTTATGTAATTTTTTTTCATGTTTGATATATTTACCAGAGCATACATTGGATAAACCTTCCTATTCTCTTAGGAAACCAGTGACTCATCTTAAATTTACTTTCCACTTACTTCTTGAAAAAAATCTTTAACAGATCATCCCTTATGTTTTTACCAAGCTCTCTCTCTTTTCTATCTTCTTTCCTTTCTGCCTATCTTCCTGCTTTACCTTCCTGCTTTATTTCTTTCCTCTCATTTTTTGGTAAAGTTGTTTTGTATTTGTTTTGGAATAAACTTAAAAAGAATAAAAACAAGCTCTACCCTGATAATGATAATCTTGAGCACTTTTAGCAATGCAAAGAGAACTCATTGACTCACAAAGTCTCCCTGCCCCATTTCATGTATCTTATTTGTGCCTGGCAGCAATACAAAAATAAGATCCAATCTGTTCTGTACAAAATGCCCTTCAAATATCTGAAGATAGCTGCCTAAGTAGTCTCTTCTCTATGCTAAAGTGTCATAGTGATTTTAACCTTTCCACAAGCAACAGCATTTTTGAATGCTTCACTAACCTGCTCAAGTTTCTCTGGACACACTCTTAACTTTCTCGGAACAGCAGGATCTCAGCTGTGGCATTATATATCATTCGTACAACTACAACTGAAAATAATTGTCCATTGTAGAGGAAATGCCCTTTAGGAATGGATTCACACAATTACCTAATATTGCTCAGTTTTAGTAAGCAGTTCTTCTTTCCTTGAAGAGAACTACGTACTGAATCATGGTTTTCTTTCATATAGTGCTTGTGAAAATTAATGATATTTGGGCCAGGCGCGGTGGCTCATGCCTGTAATTCCAACACTTCGGGAGGCTCAGGCGGGCGGATCACCTAAGGCCAAGAGTTTGAGACCAGCCTGGCCAACATGGTGAAACCCCGTCTCTACTAAAAATACAAAAAAAAAAAAAAAATTAGCTAGGCACGGTGGTGCATTCCTGTAATTCCAGCTACTTGGGAGGCTGAGGCAGGAGAATCACTTGAACCTAGGAGGCAGAGGTTGCAGTGAGCTGAGACTGTGCCACTGCACTCCAGCGTGGGTAACAAGGGTGAAACCCCACTTTGATAAAATAAAAAATAATAAAAAATAAAGAAAGAAAATTAATGATATATATATTTTTTTATTATTATACTTTAAGTTTTAGGGTACATGTGCACATTGTGCAGGTTAGTTACATATGTATACATGTGCCATGCTGGTGCGCTGCACAATTAATGATATTTATAAAGTAAAACACTGGCTGGTATAATGTTCAATAAATGTTAATTATATATTAGTAATTAATTTTTTTTGGCAGTTATCCGAGTATCTGTTTACCCCTTGGTCTATGGATATAGATTAAGAAGAATAGAAGGATGGAATTGAAATGAAATAATAACCAAAAAAATGAAAAATATTGCAATGACAAACCAGGTGGACCTTTCTGAGGGTGTGGGGTTGGCCTTGTCTTTCTTCCGTGAATGGAATCTTGACTCCCGTATTTTTAGAAAAAGAAATAAATATTTTTTAAGGGTATATTTCTTAGTTATTATTTCTCTCCTTGCTAAATGGAGGCAATATTTTAAAAACCTCAATAGCACCACTGGTGGGAAAAACTAACTGGGATGCTGTTTAACCGAAGGTGGAAAGAGAGGAGACCAAGGGTTGGACATTGTTGTTTTGCCACTGAGGGCCCCGAGCTCTCCTAGGCCTTTTAATCATATCAAGTAGGATATTCTAGAATCGGCCAGCAGCTGGGGCTCTGGAAGTCAGAGATCAGAGCCAGGGAAGGCTCTGGGCTCCCAAACCTGAGCCTTTCCTCCTAGCCGCAGCCTCTTACCAAGGGCCAGCCCCAGACATCTTTCCCACCTGACCTGTTCTCCATACAGAATTCCCAAAGGGTTACTGGCCAGGAGGCACAGATACAGGTTAGATTTTCTGGTTATATTCCTCCACACCCTCATTAAAAGTCTTATTCTGTTGTATTTATTTTAGTGACATTATAAATTAATAACAGGCCGGGCACAGTGGCTCACGCCTGTAATCCCAGCACTTTGGGAGGCTGAGGTGGGTGAATCACTTGAGGGCAGGAGTTTGAGACCAGCTTGACCAACATGGTGAAACCTTGTCTCTTCTAAAAACACAAAAATTAGCCAGGCGTGATGGTGCATGGCTGTGGTCCCAGCTACTCAGGAAGCTTGAGGCAAGAGAATAACTTTAACCCAGGAGGCAGAGGTTGCAGTGAGCCAAGATCACACCACCGCCCTCTAGCCTGGGTGACAGAGTGAGACCCTGTCTCAAAAAAAATTAAAAAAAAAGTTAATAACAATTCTATAAATATTTGATTTGAACTGAATTCAGTGAAACCATTACTTTTCTTGATCGAGATGTTTGTTTTAGTGCAAACTAAGGATTTGTTTTAAATTACAATCATTACTAAATAACAGAAATAACATTTTTCTGTACTCTTATCATCTGTGTATAGAAAAGATAGTAATGTATCAAAAAGAAAGAAAATGCTTTGATTCCTGTAATGACTGCTTCCTGGAAAGCAGCCTCATGTGGAACCTCTTAGTCTCAGCATCCGGAGCTCTAGAAAAGGAAAATTTCAAGTCTGATAGAATTCTATGTATATCATTTCTTTGGAACCTTCAGCCCTCAAGATTTCAACAGCATGGCCTCAGTTTCAACATAGTTATCCTTAGTTCTCATGTCACAGTTTTGATGCTGCCTGTTGTTGAAGCAGAAGAAGCCAGTGATGTAATCGATCTCTTGTCAGGTGTGGTTCTCAGCATTACAGGCATTTGTGCTTACTTGCAGGTATTTGCACTAGAAAGATATGGACACATGTGACTTTGAAGGGCCTACTGAATCAAACCTCAGCCTGAAAACCTTTGTGCTATTGAGGCTAAACCTGAGCTTTGGTGTCTGAAAGTTTTCAAGAATCAGTAAATAGGGGAGTTTTACATTCTTCATTGTTTCCATGAAATGAGAACAAACAGATATATGTATATATATGGAAAAAGAAGAGTTCTTTACAACAAATAATGCACTGAAAAATGCAGCCTATGATTTGTATTTGCTGGTCAAAAAGGAGGTCAAAGAAGTAAGATGGCTGAAATTTTCATAATAGTTCATACTTTTAGAATTTCAAAGCACATAAAATAGAAAGAAGGAAGTTCTTGCCCAAAATTCTAGGAAATCACCACTGTTCACTTGTAATCACTGCGTCCTGAATCATTTCAGAGTCTTTTCTCCATATTTTTATTAAATTTTTGTTTTGTTATCTCCCAAGTTGATATTGTATTTAGATATCAAATAGTCAGCCAAAAAGGGGAACTTTTTATCTCTGGGGGAAAAAAAATTAGAAAAATGTGTTCAGTGTATCTAATACTGAAATGCAGAAAAGATTTAAAGACATTGACATGGAAAAGAGAGTTAATGTTTAAAAAAAACTTTATATTAACTGAGTAACATCCTCCTGATGAGAAGTAGTATATTAAATATAAACCCATTATGTTAAAAAAATAAAATCCTTTAATTACCGTTTAGTTTAAGTACTCTTTAATTGTAAGACAATTAGTTCAGGCTCTTTTTTGGTAGATTAATTTACGTGCTAGGAAACAAAAGATGAACAAGACAAACATAAATGTCTAGATTGTTGCTAAACTGAGTTTTCACTTAGAACTACTTCTGAAAATATTTCATCTTCATTTGAAGAAATTGTATCTTTATATCAGACACTTTTTTTTTTTTTTTGAGATGGAGTCTTGCTCTGTTGCCTAGGCTGGAGTGCAGTGGCGAGATCTCAGCTCACTGCAACTTCCACCTCCTTGGTTCAACCAATTCTC
The DNA here is from genome assembly GCF_000001405.40 of Homo sapiens. Taxonomy (NCBI): domain Eukaryota; kingdom Metazoa; phylum Chordata; class Mammalia; order Primates; family Hominidae; genus Homo; species Homo sapiens. Next base: position 22,597,553 of record NC_000012.12, read on the forward strand.
CTGCCTCAGCCTCCCAAGCATGTGCCTGGGATTACAGGCACATGCCACTACACCCGGCTAATTTTTTTGTATTTTTAGTAGAGACAGGGTTTCACCATGTTGGCCAGACTGGTCTCGAACTCCTGACCTCAGGCGATCAGCCCCCCTTAGTCTCCCAAAGTGCTGGGATTACAGGCATGAGTCACTGCACCCGGCCTTATATCAGACCCTTTACTCAAGTCTACAGATATGAAAATACCTGTAGCGAGGCTTGTAAAACTAGGATAATAGCCAAATTAATACCGATGTCACTCTAGTTTAGAATTTAAAAGGTATATCATTCCATATAAGAATATAAACCAAACAATATTAAGTTTGCTTTTTAAATAGAATCTTTTAAAAAAATTAATCACTGTATTACTATATTTACCTCTTAGAAGAATATTTCCTTGCATGCATTTGAGTATGTGCTAAGTAGAAAATTCCATTGTTTTGAGAAATAATGCACAAAGACTTGCAAAGTTGAAATGAGGACTTTACAACTGTGTCTGCACCATATTTGAAGTTAAAAAAGAAACACACCAAGCAAAAAATTTGAGGCAGTGTCTCAGTGAATTAAGACAGCTCACACACAGTAGAGTATCTATTTTAATAACAGCATAAAAGTGTGAAAGATTTCCCTGTTGCAAAAACATTTATTAGTCTATTTAGTTATTTCAGAATCATCCTGCACTTTGCTTAGTAAGACAAACAGTTAATGAGTTACTTGAGGAAGCTAAACACTCGTGTAGAATTGCAAGCCTTAGGTCGTATTCCACCAGCCAGCTCACTATCATGTTACTGGGAAATTAAGATCTCTTAGAACTGTTCTTTGACTTCATAGTAATAAATGCATCACAGCCTGAAGTAAACAGAGTGATCTTTAAAAAGCCAACAATTTAGATGTTTTTCATAATTTTTAATACCTATGTTAGAGTCAGCAATTTGGTGAGCAATAAAGTCAATTATCAGCTCTGCCAGTAAATCTCCTGTAACCTTATGAGAAAAGGTCATACTAACCTAGTACATTGAGCACCTCATGCTCATGAACATCAATGACTTTCCCAAAATATTCTAGTTATTCAAAACTTAATTTCAACTCTAATGATAAGAAATACAGCCATGCCCCACATAACAATGTTTGGTCAATGACAGATTGCATATATGATAGTGGTCCCATAAGATTATTATTCCTTTTAAAAATTGTACCTTTTTCATATTTAGATGCACAAATACCTGCCATTGTGTTACAACTGCCTACATATCCAGTACAAAAACATGCTGTTCAGGTTTGTAGCCTAGGAGCATTAAGCTATACCATACAGCCTAGGTGTATGGTAGGATAGACCATGGAGGTTTGTGTCTATGATGTTTGCACAGTTGTGAAATCACCTACCAGTGAATTTCTCAGAATATATCCGATTGTTAAGCAACGCATGACTCTATATATGACTTATTCATTAAATAACTCAGTCACTTATTAACTGACTACTACACGTCAGGCATTATACCAGGTAGGGAATACAAAAACAAATAAGATATCTTCTTATTTTTGAAGAACACGTATCTAGTAATGGGAAAAAAATAAACAGATAATTATAATACAATGTGATATAGAAGTACATTATTTATAACATTCCTAGAGGTGGCATTTGTACTGATCTGGAAATAAAAGTATAAGTTTTTGTCAAGCAGCAAACTGAAGGAGGGACATCCTTCAGATATCCTGCTGTCTTTGTTATAAATTATTAAGCACAATTCACAAGTGATATTTCTAGCATGATAAAATTTAATGAAAATATAAAAATTTTATTACACTACGTATTCATTACATTGTTTTTAATGTTAATATCAGGTGATTTACATGTATTGTAAATTATTTTCTTCTTAAGTATCGTATGTCATAAGTAACATTAATTCTTTCTTGGTTTTAAGGTTCTTAAACTCTTTAATGGCTCTAAATTTTTCCAGATGTGATCGAGTACACTCAGGTGGTATGGCCATGGACTCTAAAAGTTTTTAAAAGTCTTCAAAACTTTTATGCAAAATATGCATAATGAGCTTAATAAGCAACTTTTCTACCTTAGGGTATAAAGGTAAAACTTTTTTCTAAGTGACTTCAACTCTGTTTTATCAAATCCCCCTGACTCATCTCTTAATGATACCTCAGGAAAATCCCATAGATTTTCAGTCACATTCAGTTATTTAAAATTCAGCCTAGTTTGATGTACTTTTTATTTTTTTATTTTTTTTTTAATTTTCTGAGACAGAGTTTTGCTCTTATTGCCCAGGCTGGAGTGCAGTGGCGCGATCTCGGCTCACTGTAACCTCCACCTCCCAGGTTCAAGTGATTCTCCTGCCTCAGCCTCCTGGGTAGCTGGGATTACAGATGCCCACCACCATGCCAGCTAATTTTTTGTATTTTTAGTAGAGACGAGGTTTCACTATGTTGACCAGGCTGGTCTTGAACTCCTGACCTCAGGTGATCCACCCATCTCGGCCTCTGAAAGTGCTGGGATTACAGGGGCGTGAGCCACTGTGCCCAGTGCCTAGTTTTACCTACTTCTGTGCACGAGTGTCCCTTCCCCATCAATGTTAGCCAGCTTGTGGTCCGAGGAACTTGAAATGGGAAGGGAAACTCCTTCCTTCACTCCTAGTTAGAGCTCTTCACAGATAAATATGGTGGAGTCTCCTTCAGCACAGGTATAATGAACTATAGACTATGAACTTCATTATTTGTTTATGGGAAGTCAATGAAGCCATTAAGACTTTTATCTACCATTATCAACCAAGGCTTTCAGTGATGTATGTCTTGTGCGAACTCAGAATATAACATTTCACAATTCGTAGGATGTGGTAGCCGCTTTATAACCATACAATACTGTTCATTCAAGAAAGATTTATTACTTTGTGTCAGACACTGTGTGATGTAAGTCAAATGATAGCACACACACACACACACACAAATAGATTTCATTTGGATGTATCACATTTTAAAAAGGTGAAAACATGGTGCTAGTTAGTGAAAACAAAATATTTTATTTTTATTGATGCAAAATTAATTTAAGTGATCTAACTCTCTAAATATCTGAAGGTCCCCACTGGTATTAATAGTTCAGATTGACATAAACTGACCAATACTATTAATAAAAGGAAACGTGTACTGAGTAGGTACTCTGTGCTTTTGTGTTAAGTGATTTATACATTGTATTTAATCTAGTTAATAATCTGATGAGCTAGTTAGTAATATTATTCATATTTTACAATGTGAAAACTGAGTGTGAGTGATCATTACACCAGCTTAACTTTACCTACCTGCTAAGCCAGCCTTAAACTCCCATTCAAAAGCCAGCTAAGCAAGCCCAATTGGCTGACTGGATCCATGGTGTTTGTATAGATAACAATACACTTAAAAATTGGTTAAAAGGGTAAATTTCATGTTCTGTGCTTTTTAACCACAGTCTATATAATAAATAAATAAATAAATAAATAAATAAATAAATAAATAAATGTTGTATGACAATAATATGTAGCCAACAAAATTATGCTTTCTGTGAATTTTAGTGACATGAAAAAATGCATATAATGTGAATGAAGAAAGCATTATACAAAACCTGATATACAATATGATAAAAATGATGTAAGATATACATGTGTGTAAAATTATATATAAGTAAATCCATAAATTCATATGTATTTTATGTTTGTATGTTACATATAGCAAATAAATATGTGTAAATGTATATATACATATATAGATATATTTTTCTTTTTTGAGAAGGAGACTTGCTCTGTTGCCCAGTCTGGAGTGCAGTGGCACAATCTCAGCACACTGCAACTTCCACCTCCTGTGTTCAAGTGATTCTCCTGCCTCAGCCTCCTGAGTATCTGGGATTACAGGTATGTGCCACCACGGCCAAGTAAATAAATATTTTGAAAAAAATTGTTCAAACCTTAATATTCCTGGTTATTAGTTTTCACATATTGATTATCTGACTTTTTTCTCTCAAATTCTTTATATCTAAATACGTTTTAAACAATGATGTTAGCCTTATGCTGATTTTTGTGGTCTTGAAAGGAGTTAAGAAGTGAATATCCAGTTTCCTTAGCATTCCAAGAAGCTGTCCAGGAAGCCCATTTCAGTCTCACCTCATGGGGATCCCTGAATGTAAATAGAAAGGATTCAAAGCATACTACTACAGAAAATCATGAAACCACAAAGTAAGACAGCAAGAGAGGAAGAAAGAAATACAGTCTCTACAAACAACCAGAAAATAAATTAAAAAATGGCATTAGTAAGCTGTTATCTATCAATAATTACTTTGAATGTTGCCACGGTTTGACTGTGCCACCTGAAGTTCATATGTTGGAAACTTGACCTCCAACGTGGAGGTGTTGGGAGGTGCAGGCCTATAGGGAGGTATTTGGGTCATAGGGCTCTGTCCTAATGAATGAGTTAATGCCATTGTCACAGGAGTGAGTTCCTTATAAAAGGATGAGTTTGGCATCCTCTTGTTCTTTCTATCATCCATGTGATGCCTTCTACTGTGTTAGGATGCAAGTAGGCCTTTATCAGATGCCGATCCCTTGATCTTGGACTTCCCAGCCTCCAGAACCATGAGCCAATACATTTCTGTTCATTATAAATTACATAGTCTGTGGTATTCTGTTATAGCAGTGCAAAATAAACTAAGACAAATGTAAGTGGATTACATTCTCCAATAAAAGACAGAGTAGTTGAATGGATTAAAAAAAAACAGGACCCAACTATATACTGCCTAGAAGAGACTCACTTCACTTTTCAGGACACAAATAGACTGACAGTAAAGAGATGGAAAAAGATATTCCATGCAAATGGAAACCAAAAGACAACAGGGGTAGCTATATTTATATCAGATAAAACAGACTTTAAATTTAAAAAACTGTAAAAAGAGACAAAGAAGGTCATTATATAATTATAAAGGGGCCAATTCATCAAGAGAATATAACAATTGTAAATCTATATTCACCCAACATTGGAGTCCCTAAATATATAAAGCAAACATTTAAAAATCTGAAGGAATAGATAGATTGCAATATAATAATAATAGGGGCCTTCAAGTCCTACTATCAATAATGAACAGATCATCCACATAAAAAATTAATAAGGAAACACTGGACTTGCACTACACTTTAGATCAAGTAGACCTAAGAGACATATACAGAGCATTTCATCCAACAACAACAGAATACACAGTCTTCTCAAGAACACACGTAACATTCTCTAGGATAAATTATATGTTAGACCACAAAACAAGTCTGAACAAATTTAAGAGGATTGAAACATATCAAGTAACTTCTCTGACCACGATGGTATGAAACTAAAAATTAAATAACAGAAGTTTTGAAAATTCAGAAATATGTGGAAATTAAATAACATGCTCCTGAACAACAAATGGGTCAAAGAAGAAATCAAATGGGAAATTAAAAATTATCTTGAGTTAAATGAAAATGGAAACATAATATACCAAAACTTACAGGATGTAGCAAAAGCAATTCTAAGAGGGAAATTTATAGCAATAAATGCCTATTTCAAAAAAGAGGAAGTTCTCAAATAAATAATCTAATGTTATGCTACAAGGAATTAGGAAAAAGAAGAAAAAACTGAGTCCAAGGTGAGCAGAAGGAAAGAAATAACAATGATTAGAGGGTAAATAAATAAAATAGAGACTAGAAAAAAATTGAAAAATATAAACAATACTAAGAGTTGGCTTATTAAAAACATAAAATTGATAAAAGTGTAGTTATACTAAGAAAAAAAGAGAAGAAAACTCAAATAAAATCAGAAATGAGAGACATGACAACTGATACCACAGAAATAAAAATAATCATAAGAGATTACTTTGAACAACTATATGCTAACAAACTGGATAACCTAGAAGAAATGGATAGATTCCTCGACATATACAACTTACCAAGAGTGAATCTTGAAGAAATAGAAAATCTGCATCGAACAATAATGAGGAAAGAGATTGAATCAGTAATAAAAAGTCTCCCATCAAAGAAAAGCCCAGCGCTACAATAAAGTTTCAGGATACAAAATCAATGTACAAAAATCAGTAGCATTTCTGCATACCATTAATGTTAAAACTGACAGCCAAATCAGGAATGCATTCCCATTTACAATAGCTACACAAAACAATACCTAGGAATAAATCTAACCAAATAAGTGGAAGATCTCTACAAGGAGAACTATGAAACACTGCTAAACAATATCACAGATGACACTAATGGAAAAACATTCCATGCTCATGGATTGAAAGAATCAATATTGTTCAAGTGGCCATACTGCTCAAAGCAATCTACAGATTTAATGCCATTGCTATCAAACTAGCAATATCATTTTTCACAGACATATAAAAACTATTCTGAAATGTAAATGGATCCAAAAAAAGCCCAATACCCAAAGCAATCTTAAGTAAAAAGAACACAAGTGGAGGCATCATGTTACCTGACTGCAAACTATATGATAAGGCCACAGTCACCAAAACAGCATGGTACCAAACCAGACACATAGACCAATGAAACAGCATAGAGAACCCAGAAATAAAGCTGCACACTACAGCCATCTAATCTTTGACAAAGTTGACAAAAATAAGCACTGGGGAAATGACACCCTATTCAATAAATGGTGCTGGCATAGCTGGCTAGCCACATGCAGAATGAAACTAGACCCCTATCTTTCAACAGATGTATAAATTAACTCAAGATGGATTAAAGACTTCTGTTTTGTTTTGTTTTGTTTGTTTTTTGAGACAGAGAGTCACTCTGTCATCCAGGCTGGGGTGCAGTGCCAGGTTTATAGGTCACTGCAGCCTTGACCTCCCTGGGCTCAGGTGATCCTCCTGCCTCAGCCTCCCATGTAGCTGGGATTACAGGCACATGCCACCAGGCCCGGCTAATATTTTAATTTTTTGTAGAGACAGAGTTTCACCATAGTGCCCACACTGGTCTTGAACTGCTGGGCTCAAGTGATCCACCTACTTCAGCCTCCCAAAATGCTGGGATTACAAGCATGAGCCACTGCACCAGGCTTGTATTAAAAATTTAAATATAATACCTCAAACTATAAGAATTCTAGAAGAAAACCTAGGAAACACCATTCTAGACATTGGTCTTTGGAAAGAATTTATGACTAGGACCTCAAAAGCACTTGCAACAAAAACAAAAATTGATAAGTGGGACCTAGTTAAATTAAACAGCTTCTGCATAGCTAAAGAAACTAACAAGAGAGTAAACAGGCAACCTACAGAATGGGAGAAAATATTCACAAACTATGCATCCACGTAGGTCTAATATTCAGAATCTATAAGGAACTTAAACAATTCAACAAGCAAAAAACAAATGACCTCACCAAAAAATGGGCAAAAGACATGAACAAATACTTCTCAAAGAAGATGTACAAGTGGCCAAAAACAAGACATACGTCTGATAAGAGATTAACACCCAAAATGTATAAGGAACTCAGAAAATTCATTAAGAATAAAACAAATAACCTGATTGAAAAATGGGTGGGCCAAGCGTGGTGGCTTATGCCTTTAATCCCAGCACTCTGGGAGGCCAAGGCAGGCAGATCACCTGAGGTCAGGAGTTCAAGACCAGCCTGGCTAACATGGCAAAACCCCATCTCTACTAAAAATACAAAAATTAGCCAGGCATGGTGGCGCATGCCTGTAATCCCAGCTACTCAGGAGGCTGAGATAGGAGAATTGCTTGAACCTGGGAGGTGGAGGTTGCAGTGAGCCAAGATTGTGCCACTGCACTCCAGCCTGGGCAACAGACTGAGACTCTGTCTAAAAAAAAAAAAATAAGAGAGAGAAAAAGAAAAGAAAAGAAAATGGGCAAAAAACTTGAATAAACATTTCTCAAAAGAAGACATACAAATGACCAACAGATATATGAAAAAATGCTCAACATCACTACTCATTAGGGAAATGCAGTTTAATACCACAAACAACTATCACCTCATACTTGTCAGAATGGCTATTATCAAAAAAGATAAAAGATAAATTTTGGTGAGGATTTGAAGAAAAGTAAACCCTTTTACACTGTTGATGGGGATGTAACTTAATATAGCCATTATGGAAAACTGTATGGAGATTCTGCAAAAAACTAAAAATACAATTACCATATAATCTAGCAATGCCACTTTTGGTATATAAGCAAAGGAGATGAAATCAGTATGTTGAAGAGATGTCTGTGCTACCATGTTCATTAGAGCATTATTTGCAATAGCCAAGTTATGGGATCAACCTAAGTGTACATCAATGGATAAATGGATAAAGAAAACGTGGTATATATTCACAGTAAAATAATATTCAGCATTAAAAAAGAGGAAATTCTGTCATTTGAGACAACATGGATAAACCTGGAGGACATTATGCTACGTGTACTAAGCCAGGCACAGAAAAACACATGAACTCACCTAATGTGGAATGTAAAACAATCAAATACTTATATAGCCAGGCGTGGTGGCATGAATCTGTTGTCGCAGCTACTCAGGAGGCTGAGGCAGGAGAATTGCATGAACCCAAGAGGTAGAGGCTGCAGTGAGCTGAGATCGTGCCACTGCACTCCAGCCTGGGTGACAGAGTAAGACTTCCTCCCTCCCTCCCTCCCTCCCTTCCTTCCTTCCTCCTTCCTTCTCTCCTTCCTTCCTTCCTTCCTTTTCTCAAAAAAAAAAAAAAAGAAGAAAAAGAAAACCAACCAAATAAACAAAAAAACAATTGAACCCTTATAAAAGTAGAGAGTAGAATGGTGGCTATCAAAGGCTGGGGATAGGGGGGATGTTGGTTAAAAGGTAATAAGTTTCTGTTAGGAGAAATATGTTTTTTGAGATTATTGCACAGCATGATGACCATAGTTAATAATAAGTGGGAGTCGAACAATGAGAACATATGGACACAGGGAGGGGAACATCACACACCAGGGCCTGTCGGGGTGGGGGGCTAGGGGAGGGATAGCATTAGGAGAAATACCTAATGTAGATGATGGGTTGATGGGTGCAGCAAACCACCATGGCACGTTTATACCTATGTAACAAACCTGCATGTTGTCCACATGTATCCCAGAACTTAAAGTATAATAAATAAATAAATAAGTAAATAAATATAAATAAAAAAGATTTTAAAAGTTGCTAAGAGAGTAAATTGTGAATGTTCTCATCACAAAAAATGATATGTATTTGAGGTGATGGATGTGTTAATTAGCTTGATTTAATCATTCCACATTGTATATATATATGACATAATATCACTTTGTACCTCATAAATATATACAATGATAATTTGCCAATTTACAATAAAAATACTGATTTATGTTGTTTATGTCTAACAATGACTTCTACCTTCCCAAATCCCTTTCTGGGCATAAATATAGATATATATGTGCATACATATGTATTTTTTAATTTTAGTTTTTTAACTTGAAAACACATATGTACGGTTTGATCACCTTATTTTGTTTTTCATTTCAATGGATACTTTTTGTGACTACATTTTAATTTATTGACTGCCTAAGTTTATGGGGCCTGGGTAACACAAATTTCTTGTTTCCCACTTAGTATTTAGGTTATTTTTAAAATTTCAGTGTTCATGTAGCTCAGACCTATAGAATTAGCTGAAAATACTTAAGAAAAACAGGAAAACCATCTGAAAAATTCCAAAACAGACAAAAATTATTAAAGATGCATAATGATTGAGAAATTGGTAAATGGAGCATCATGTGTAAAAGTTAATTACTGAGAATGGGTTTTGACCACTTTGTCATTTAGACTAATCACCATTTGGATTAAATTATTTTTAACGAAACCATGTGGAGCTAATGTTATTTGTAATTATTGCTGAGTAGAAAAAAGACACTATTTGTTTCTTTTTACATTTTAATATTTTATAATTTAAAAAATGAGCATATACCAAAGAAGAAAAAGTTCTTGCACATCTTTATTCCTGAGTAACTTACTCTTTATGCTGCATATGCCTATGCAATCTTTTTTTTTTTTTTGAAAAAATATTTTCCCCCAAACTGGTTATTGGTGGCACAACAGAATCCCATTTATATTTGCATATTCTATTATAGCTGAGGTAGCCTTGGCTAAGCTGAGAGATTGATTTTCTGGAGACTGCTCTTCCCATTTCCCCTCCCTGCAGGTTTTTGTTTTTGTTTTTGAGACACAGTGCAGTGGTGCTATCCCAGCAAACTGCAACCTCTACCTCCCAGGCTCAAACAATCCTCCCACCTCAGTCTCCCAAGTAGCTGGGACTACAGGTGCAAGCCACCATATCTGGCTAATTTTTGTATTTTTTGTGGAGACGGGGTTTTGCCACATTGCCCAGGCTGGTCTCGAACTCCTGAGCTCAGGTCATCCGCTCACCTCCTCGGCCTCCCAAAATGCTACGATCATAGGCATGAGCCACTGCACCCAGCCCTGATATTTTTTTAAATGTTAAACACAGTGCTTATTTTCTCTTGCCCTATTCTGATAATAAAAAAATTTCTGATTTAGCAGTAGCCCGTTTTTGTATATACTTTTCTTATCAATAAATTTGAAAATAGTATTAATATATGCATAGTTTGGATATTTGTCCCCAGCTAAATCTCATGTTGAAATATAATCTCCAGTGCTGGAGGTGAGGCCTGGTGGCAGGTGTTTGGACCATGGGAATGGATCCCTCATGAAAAGCTTAGGCCATCCCATTGGTGATAGGTCAGTTCTTGCTTTAAATTCACTCGAGATCTGGTCATTTAAAAGTGTGTGGCACCTCCTCACTCTACTCTCTTTCTCACTTTCACCTGCTTTCACCATGTGATGTGCCTGGTCCCCCTCCACCTTCCACCATGATTGTAAGCTTGGTGAGGCCTCCCTAGAAGCTGAGCAGATGCCAGCACCATGCTTCCTGTAAAGCCTACATAACTGTGAGCCAATGAAATCTCATTTATTTATAAATTACCCAAGCTCAAGTATTTCTTTATAGTAATGCAAGAATGGCCTAATACAATATATTTTAAATTTCCTTTTGACTCAGTTTTTACTTAGAAGAATTCATTTGCTTCATAATATTTGGTCCTTCTTTTCACCCTCAGGTTGATAATTTTGGTTTTTTATGATTTGTCATGTGTACTGCTTTTATCATTTATTATTTTGTGATAAACTCATGAGATAACTAACATTAAAGGAGGCAATTTGTATCTATCTAAATACATAAGTTTTGTATTCCTTTTATAGTTAATTAGGACATCTTATATTATTTAGGTTTTTCTACCACTCTGCCTCTTCCCCTTCCCCACCTTCCTTTTTATTTTTTCCATCTGAAGGTCTGTGTTTGGACACCTCTTACATATTTGTTTCAGACATACGGTTTTGGGTCAAGAAGGTGTACCTCAGTTTGGCAATTAACTGTTTCTAAACACTGACTCAGAGGTGTATGAGTGGGTAGAAACTCCTACTGTTTTTTTTGTAAAATGTCTCATCCTTGTCTCCTATAAGTATATTAAAAATCCCTTGGACTGATCCTTAAATAGACCCATTTAGTAAATTTCAGCAGCAATAGCACTGTGAACCAGTTGGATAGATTTCCAGTCAATTTTCTAATTTATAATACTGGATTCTAAACCATATGGTTTTAATGTGTTGACAAAAAGAAAGAATCACATCTTACCACAGTTCAAATATATTAAATCCAATGTTTCCTCATTATCACTAATGGTCTAACACTATCATAAAAGTTTACTAATTGGTACAGTAGGCTTTATTCTTTTAAAGCCATCAGGATTTTGCCTCACTGTACTTTAAACTCTTGTGGATGGTTATTACTGGATTTCTTGACAATCTGTCGTCTAGTGGTTACTGGCATCCTGGTTTATCTTGCCAGTTTACAATTAATAGGGCTACATTCTGCCTGTTTTTATAAACAAACAAACAAACAAACAAACAAAAAACACACACAAAAAAACCACGCTAGTATTTCACTTAACTCTTTAGCAATCGTCAGAGTCTTCACAACCAGAAGTCCTCCAAATCCATCAATCTCCCTGTGTCTGCAATGGTTTTAGGTGACTTGCAGACATTATCTCTTAGCCTCCAGTCACTGTATCACTCCTCATTCCTTGCTAGCGCTGTCTTTCCAGATCGTGTTACTCATAGCAGCTTTAAAATATACAATGGGAAAAAAAGGAGAGTAACATGAGCAGACTTAGTAGATAACAAAGGACCAGAGAAAGTAGGTCCTTGATATTCTCTTTACTTTTTCCCCAGCATATTCCCCTCTAGCCTCTGATAAACTTACCCCAAGGAAAGAAAAGAAAAACATCATTGGATTAGGCAGACCCCAAAGTTTTAACTCAGTTCTAGATTTTGAAGTTCTGGGTTCTGAACTAACTAAGGTTTAAACATTGGAACAATTTCCCTGGATTAAGTTAAGAATGTCTTTTACCTCCTTCTACTATTTATTAATAATAACATAACTCATGCAATAATAGCTATTACGTACCATTTTATTTAATCCAGATAAATATTTAATAATATTGGCCAAAACATATCTGAGCCCTTACTAGCACCAGGCATTATTTCAAAGACTTGACAATCATTTATTTAAATCTTCTCTGCATCGCTGTTGTTATCACTATTTTGCAACGGTTTTGCAGTGATAACAACAGAGATGAGGAAACTGAGGTTAAAAGAGATGAAATAAGTTGCTCAAATTCGACAGCAGGACTGTCTAACTACAAAGCTCATCCTTTTAATCCCCTTCACCACATCTCTAAAGAGGAAGAAAGTCTTAAAACCATTGCATCCTTTGGAGCAAAGCCAAGTAGAATCTGAAGGGGGAGAAAATGATTCTTGTGTGTCTTTCATATACTGCAGTCACACAAGTAGTAAGCATTAGCCTTTTGTAGTTTGTGGGTACACATAACTGTTCTGAAATCCTTTCTTCAAAATATCAAAATATTTGTTTAAATATTCCTTATGAAGAACCAAATAGGTATAACGATATTAAAAGTTTAACTTAGGAATTGGTAATTACATTCATTTGGGGGAAAGTTGGAATGGCAGTAAAACAATAAAGGCTGATTATTCAATTCAGTGTAGAGTCTGAAAAAAAAATTTTAAACCATAATGCAGAACATATTTAGTCTGTCACCTGTTTTATCATTCAACAATTAATTATTAAGTGGCTACTAAATGCCAATCATCACCTAAGCCCTGGGGAAAAATGGATTAAGAAACCTCCAGGATTTAAGCAAGCTAAGTATCTATTTTTTCATCTTTAGAGTGATGTATTTGTTACTGAGATACATGTATATTTGTTATATACATAAATATATATTTATAATATAAATGCCTACATTTATATATGCACATATTTATATATTATATACATACATAATATAAAATATATATGCACATATTTATATATTATGTATGTATAATATGTAAATATGTATAAATATATATTTAGAATATTATATATGTTTGCATTTGTATATGCAAATATATATGCATATATTTGATATTTATATAATTATGATGAAGTATTTATCAGCACTTGTGAATTTTTTATTACTACAACTTAAATAACATTGATTACTAAACCAACTTTACCAAAATCTGTGAAAAGTAATCTATCATTATCATTATTATTTTAAAAAAGGGTCTTGCTCTCTCACCCAGGCTGGCATGGTGCTGGCTCACTGCAGCTTCAACCTCCTGGGTTCAAGCAATCCTCCCAGCTCAGCCTCCTGTGTAGCTGGGACTCTAGGTTTGCACCATGGCCACATTCAGCTAATTTATTTATTTATTTTTTGTAGAGACGGGGTCTTACTCTGTTGCCCAGGCTGGTCTCAAACTCCTGGGCTCAAGTGATCCTCCCTTGCTCAGCCTTTCAAAGTGTTTGGATTACAGATGTGAGCCACTGTGCCCAGCCTCAATATTATTTTTTAATAACTTTCCCCTACTGAGTTAAAATATTGCCTTTTTTGCATACTACATACCCCTATATCCTTGAATCTTTCTTTTTGTATTGAGCTCTTTATTCCTGTGCTGACCTCACAATTTATAGCTTAAAGATGTGATCTAACATTTGTAAGGTACATCCTCTTTCATTACTCATATAATGATGTTTACAATTTTTCTTCTTATATATTTTAGATGATGAAAATTAGGGACAGTTTGGTATGTTTCTTTGTTCAATTAAACCCACAGTTGTAATTTACAATATGTAAACACAGTCTTAAGACTGCTAAGGATATAAAGGGGAAAATGATAGAATTCCAGCTCTTGAGATAATCTTATGTATGAAATAGAGTTATAGTTTATAACTCTATAATTTATAATTTCTGATTCTAGAAATACAAAAAGAGACAAGATAGAACAAGAACCAAGAGGCAGGTTGTACAGAGTTAAATATTAGGTGCTACAACTGAGCACACATATAAGTAGTAAGCCTTTCTTAGATGATTAATGTGGTTGCTGCAGCAGTTTTATAGATGACCAGATCCCTTAGTCTATCTTAAATTTGAAAAGTGCAGAATAGTGGCAGCCTCATTTCGACGTAGCATCTCTAAAAATCTTAGCCCTTAGCAGCCTTCTTTTTCCCTTGTTTTCATGGGGGGGTAGGGCAGAGCTTGCATGTCCTTGAAGTCTGGTATCACAGATGTTTTGAATTCCTTAATATTCAGTTCACTCTACAATGACATGAATTAACTGATTTTCCATGAGGTGTGCGAGAGTGATTTCATTTTAAACACGTCTGCAATTTGGTGGATGATCTAGCTGTTAGACTTGCCTACATGATCTTGTTTCACAGAATATTTTCTTCTGCAAATTCTTTATGTTGTTACTCTGTATTGGGGGAAGCCGCCCCCAATATTTCAATGTATGTTCTTTCTATTTTCCATAAGTGTCGGCCGGCTGAGAAATAGAGACAGTATAAAGAGAGGAATTTTGCAGCTGGGCCACCAGGAGTGACATCACATATCGGTAGGACCGTGATGCCCACCTGAGCCTCAAACCAGCACATTTTTATTAAGGGTTTCAAAAGGGGAGGGGGTGTAAGAACAGGGAGTAGGTACAAAGGTCACATGCTTCAAAGGACAAAAAGCAGAACTACTAATAAGGGTCTAACAAAGATCACATGCTTTTGAGGGAACAGGACAAAAGGCATAAGCAGAACTACTGATAAGGGTCCAACAAAGATCTCAAGGCAAAGGGCAAAAGCAGAACTACTGATAAGGGTCTATGTTCAGCGGTGCATATATTGTCTTGATAAACATCTTAAACAACAGAAAACAGGGTTCGAGAGCAGAGAACCAGCCTGACCACAAATTTACCAGGGCCACGTTTTTCCCCACCCTAGTAAGCCTGAGGGTTCTGCAGGAGACCAGGGCATATCTCAGTCCTTATCTCAACTACACAAGACAGACATTCCCAGAGCAGCCATTTATAGACCTCCCCCAAGGAAGGCATTCCTTTCCCAGGGTATTAATATTCCTTGCTAGGAAAATAATTTAGCGATATCTCTCTTACTTGCACGTCTGTTTATAGGCTCTCTGCAAGAAGAAAAATATGGCTCTTTTTGCCCAACCCCGCAGGCAGTCAGACCTTATGGTTGTCTTCCCTTGTTCCCTAAAAATTGCTGTTATTCTGTTCTTTTTCAAGGTGCACTGATTTCATATTATTCAAACACACATGTTGTACAATCAATTTGTACAGTTAATACAATTATCACAGTGGTCCTGAGGTAACATACATCCTCGGCTTATGAAGATAACAGGATTAAGAGATTAAAGACAGGCATAAGAAATTATAAAAGTATTATTTGGGAACTGATAAATGTCCATATTAAAATGAAATCTTCACAATTTATGTTCCTCTGCTGCAGCTCCAGCTGGTCCCTCCATTTGGGGTCCCTGACTTCCCGCAACACTCTGGTAACTAAATCTAATCCCATTATAATTAAAACATTTATGACCATGTGAGAGGCATGTGAACCAGAGTAACTCCATCTTGAATAGGAGCTAGGTAAAATGAGGCTGAAACCTGCTAGGCTGCATTCCCAGATGGTTAAGGCATTCTAAGTCACAGGATGAAATAGGAGGTCGGCACAAAATACAGATCATAAAGACCTTGCTGACAAACAGGTTGCAGTAAAGGAGCCAGCCTAAACCCACCAAAACCAAAATGGTGACGAGAGTGACCTCTGGTCTTCCTCACTGCCACCCTCCCATCAGCACCATAGCGGTTTACAAATGCCATGGCAACATCAGGATGTTACCCTATATGGTCTAAAAAAGGGAGGCATGAATAATCCACCCTTTGTTTAGCATATCATCAAGAAATAACCATAAAAATGGGCAACCAGCAGCCCCGCTGCTCTGTCTATGGAGTAGCTGTTCTTTAATTCCTTTACTTTCTTAATAAACTTGCTTTCACTTTACACTGCAGACTCACTCTGAATTCTTTCTTGCATAAGATCCAAGAACCCTCTTTTGGGGCCTGAATCCAGACTCCTGTCCTGTAACATATTTCTAGTGACCACAGGAGGGACTATAGTACAGAATCCCTGACCCAACAGCTACCTTTGGGTAAGTGTTGGGGTCCTGTAGAATATTTCTGGTGAATCTTGAAGGGACATTACTAAACACCCCCCCAACCCAAAGGAAATAGACTGCAGCACTGATTGGATGATTTTGGGTAAGTGGTGGGGTACCCAGATAAAGAATGGGCTTGTTCAAGGCCCAACTTGGGGGAGTTAGAGTCTCTCCTAAGGCAGAGTAGGTTAGAGGCCCCTCTTCATAAAAGGCAAGGATCCTTGACTGGCATTGGGTTAGAGGCCCAACTTAGAAGGGGATTAGAGGCCTTCTAAGATTTAGGGGATTAGAAGCCCCTCTTGATAAAATCCCTCTTGGCTAAGAACAGGTTTGGCACTACGGGTTGTTAACTGCTGTTCTCTTTGGATTAATCTGCCTTGCACTCTTCTTTGAGGCCTGTGGGTGATGGGATTAGGCATGTAGAGGATTGTGTGACATGTGGAGCATTTTCGTCCCTAAAAGGCGAAACTTGAAAACTGATAGGATTGCTGGAAAAGATCCCTGCTTGACCGGCAGCAGCCACTAGAACTTTTCAGTGTCGATGCAATGGGTGAGTCTTTCTCTGGCCTCCTTGATAATTTTGCCTTCCCCACCCTGCCACAGGCAATGCTTTTCTTTCTCTCCTTTCTCTTTCTTATCTTCTCTATTATTCAGGGTGACCATCTTGCCCAGAGACCACATGTTGAAACTCCTGGTCAGAGGTTGGATTAACCTCATGACGGGGCCCAACCAGGGGCAAGTTTAAGCCTTTTGAATTTAATAGTGGGTGTTAAGCAGAGTGGCTAATGTC
The DNA here is from genome assembly GCF_000001405.40 of Homo sapiens. Lineage (NCBI taxonomy): Eukaryota > Metazoa > Chordata > Mammalia > Primates > Hominidae > Homo > Homo sapiens. Next base: position 22,614,987 of record NC_000012.12, read on the forward strand.
TACGTTTTGTCACATGTATTTTGCTCTGGCCAGAACAGAAAAAGATAATTTTCCTTTGTGTTGTGGCTTGGCCCCTAGGGCTGTGTACAGCCAGCTGGGTCACTAGGGCTGCTCAGGGAAAGGGAATCCAGAAGCCTGGCAGGCCAGCAAAAGGATAAGAATTTCTTACCAATCAGATTTCTAGCTTCTCCCTCTGTGTGTGTGTGTGTGTGTGTGTGTGTGTGTGTGTGTGTAAACTGGATAAAGTTTCTCTCTGGTCAGTTATGCCCTTGGGAACTTGACCTTGTAACCATGTGGCCATGCTTTCTCTTTTCACAATGGTGGCCTGGGTTTAGGGTTCAATTCCTGGCCTAGGGGATGATCCTTTATCTTCTGTCTGTCTATGTGTTTATATGTGTTATGTGTTTGATATTTACATATGAAACAGCTTTAATTAGTTTAAAAATAATAAGAGCTTAATATTTTATTAGAAAAGTAAAAAAGTATAATGAGTTTTAGTCATGTGACTTAAGTAATCTTTGGGAACTAAAGATCGTTTTTTGTTTTTGTTTTTTTTTAAGATGGAGTCTCGCTCTGTCACCAGGCTGGAGTGCAGTGGTGCAATCTGGGCTCACTGCAACCTCCGCCTCCTGGGTTCAAGTGATTCTCCTGCCTCAGCCTCCCAAGTAGCTGGGACTACAGGTGCGTGCCACCACGCCCAGCTCATTTTTTGTATTTTTAGTAGAGATGGAGTTTCACCATGTTGGCCAGGATGGTCTCGAACTCCAGACCTTGTGATCCACCCGCCTTGGCCTCCCAAAGTGCTGGGATTACAGGCGTGAGCCACTGTGCCTGGCCAAGATAGTTTAAAAAATTATTGGTAAATAAAGACATTTGGTCTAAGTTATGCAGGTCAGATATTAAATTTAGTAAATGCTTTAAGGTCATAAACTGCTTGAAAATTGTTCAATTTATCTATCTTAAAGCCATTAGATTCTAGATAAGGCCTGGGGACATGTGGAATTCGCCATACCCCCTAGCTATACAAAGAAGATTATTAAAAAAAGAGATTTTATATGAGAAAGGATCTTGTATGGTAAATTCTTGTCTTAAAGTAAAATGACTATTGATGTTTAGGGCAAGTCAGAAAGCCCAAGAATGTCTCAGATGGTCTGTGGAAGTCATGAAAGGATTTGTGAAAGGAATTTATGCAAGAAATGTACAATTCAAAGGTTGTTAGGCATTCTAAATGCTTCATACAATGCCACCATGACTCTTACTGTAAAACTTGCCTGCTTAAGTAAGGCAAGGCCTGGAGACATGTAGAATCAGCCACACCCCCTAGCTATGCTGGAGAGTCAGCTCTTACATGCACTTCTGCCTGGTGTCTCTTAGGCTAGGATCCACACTTAATACATAATTAAAATCTCAGATTTACCAAAGTTTTCACCAAAAATAGAAATTGCAGAACGTTAACATTATAACATGTAATTAAAACTACAAAGAAACAATTTTACATGGAAGGTGTGTAAAGAAAGTAAAATGTGTTTTTGGTGAAAGAGTATAAGAAGTCATGGGAAGGTGGATTTTTTTCTGCCTACATTAAAGTGTTAAAGGATTGTTTAAGAAAGAAAAAAAATTCTGATGGTTTATGAAAACTTAACCTGCAAAAAAGATTCTGTGTGGACACTGGCTAAAGTAAAAGGGGTATTATTCAGTTTTTCTGCAAATTAACCATTGGAATAAAAGCACAACAGAGTTTCCTTTTTTTTTTTTTTTTTTTTGAGGCAGAGTCTCGATCTGTTGCCCAGGCTGGAGTGCAGTGGTGTAATGTAGGCTCACTGCAACCTCAGCTTCCCGGGTTCAAGTGATTCTCCTGTGTCAGCCTCCCAAGTAGCTGGGTTTACAGGTGCATACCACCATGTCCAGCTAATTTTTGTATTTTTAATAGAGATGGGGTTTCATCATGTAAGTCGGGCTGGTCTCAAACTCCTGACCTCAGGCGATCCACTCACCTCAGCCTCCCAAAGTGCTGGGATTACAGGCGTGAGTCACTTTGCCTGGCCCAACAGGTTTTTCTTAAAGCAAGAACCTCCTTATGATCTGCTCTTTAACAAAAATTGTAAAGGGTTGTAAAAGGTTTATGAAAATTTTACCTATGGTCAAACTGATTAAAATTAAATACATTTATTGATAAGGTTTCATTAAGAATTTGGTTTGAAGTCAATAATGCACTAATGAAACAGTGACATTTGGCTTATTTGGTATAAAAGTTATATAGGAAGCATTATCAAATATGAAATGGTGTTTGGTTTCCTTTGGGCTGTAAATGTGTTATTAGCATATGTTCCAAAATTATGGGAAACTTCTATAATTCTAATATGGCTTAGTGTATGTTATGAGTAGTTATATTGTTACATAAAATCATTGTGTGCCACAGAGGTAACCAAAATTTCTTTGTCAATCGTGGTTTTGACTGTAGCTGTCCTAAGATGTTTTTGTCATCCACAGACAATTTTTGTCTTGTTTTAACCCTCTTTAGATGGTGGTTTATAATCAGCTATAGAACTCTAACAGGTATTCTTAAATGCAGGTTTCTGATAACTTTGAAAATTGTGACATTAGAATAGAGGAAACACCTTTCAGAACTGTCAGAGAGCTAAAGTGTTCGTGAATATCAAGCAAAACAGGAGTTAACTAAATAACCAGAATCAATAAAAAACAGAAGTAATCTTTGTGACTTTTTGCTTAAAACATTGCTGATCCTTTGTTTTGTTTTTCAGGGTCAAGAAAACTTTTCTTTTGAGCTATTTACAGCTTGTAGCAATCGAGTAACCTATACTGCTGTGAATAACATTTGGAGCATATTTGTTTCTCTACCTGATTTCTCTAGAATTTGGAGACTATTTGTGAGCTTTCTGAACTTACAGCAATGTGGTTATTTGCATAAGTGCAATAAGAATCAGTTTTCTTTTGCAACAGGACACAATTGGAGAAATTGGTTATTTTACCAAGGCTTTAACTGGAATGGTGTGCTTTCCTTTAAGGAGTCAAACTTGACTTTTAAAGCCAATAAAAGCCCTTTGGGGAACTGGCCTCATACCTTGCCTACACAGTCCCTTGTACAGGGTTTCTGACCTGTGGTAAGTAAAGAATGTCACTTTCTCTTAGGCCCAGAAGGCCCAAGTTTTCTTGGGACCCCAAGAGGAAAGAAATTTACTTAAATCACATATTGAGGGTACAAACCCATGGCAGGACTTGGCTCTAAAAAAGTCTTATCTGAGATTCCTTATGGAACAAAGTTCTATCAAAGCCAGTTAAAAAGCCTATATGGTAAATAATGATTCTTGCTGCAGTTTATACAAATAATCAGGCCAAGTTTAATAAAGCAAATTGGTCTTACCATAATTTGTCTTTAGTAAAAATGGGAAACTGGAGACAGAGATTATGTTTCAATAACTATGGTATACTTGCTATTAAATTCTAGTCTCATCAGTTGTTTTTGCTTCTGCAATTTAGGCCAACCCTGCTTATTCCTGTAAACCAACCAGTGATCTCTGGCTGCTGCTTAGAAGAAACAAGAGGGATGGCTAATTAAACAGGTTGAAGTAAAGGAGCCAGCCCAAACCCACCAAAACCAAAATGGTGACGAGAGTGACATCTGGTCGTCCTCACTGCTACACTCCCACCAGCACCACGACAGTTTACAAATTCTATGACAATGTCAGGAAGTTACCCTATGTGGTCTAAAAAGAGGAGGCATGAATAATCCACCCCTTGTTTAGCATATCATCAAGAAATAACCATAAAAATAGGCAATCTGCAGCCCCCAGGCTGCTCTGTCTATGGAGTAGCTGTTCTTTTTTTCTTTTACTTTCTTAATAAACTTCCTTTCACTTTGCACTGCAGACTCGCCCTGAATTCTTTCTTGCATGAGATCCAAGAACCCTCTCTTGGGGTCTGAATTCAGACCCTTGTCATGTAACAACCAGAGCACCCCCGGGTTTATATTTAGTGATCCTTTCATTCCCTCATACAAATGCTCATTATGTAACAAGTCAGAAACAGCTTTTCTAGTCTTTTATATGTGGTATAATCATTATGACTTAAATACACAATGTGGGTGTCATAAGGCAGAATTTTGTAGGTGTTTTAACAGATACATAAAAGGGAGAAGTAAATTTGGACTAGGAAAATCCAGATAAGCTCCATGAAGAAGACTGCTGGAGAGTTAAGCTTTGAAGGATGAGTGAGGGTGTAAGAAGCAGACATAGGAGACAGGACATTCCAGGTATTGGAGGGTCCCAATGCCATGTGAAGTATGGGAAAGGGACTATTAAATGTGTTGGATACTTCAAAATAATGTTACATCTTCATAGCTATGTTATATTCTCTTGACGTGTGTTGCAAGTTGCTGGAATATTTTACTGACACCCTGTAGCTAAGATTTTTTTCCAGACTCAAAGATAACTAGTGGGCTGGCCAGTGGTCTAGGAAATAATCAGGCAGGTGATTTCAGCATAATGAGTTAAGTGGATACAGCCCCTGGCTGAGGGCTATTCTTATGTGACACTGGCAGAGTTTCAGAACTACTTAGGTGGGCTTAAGCATTTATTTATTATCTTTTATGTTCTAGGCACTATTGTAGGCAGTGGAAATGTGGCAATAGACAAGCTGTGGCTCTGCTTTCCTGGCGGTAACATTCCAATACATAAGAGGGACACTAAAAAGGTAAATAAAAAATACACTGATTTTAGCTGATCTCATTTCACAGAGGTCAGCGCACTCTCCCCTCTCTGAGAGTGTTACTATGCTTAATAAACTTTTGCTGCTTTGCTGAAAAAAAAAAGTGAATACATTGATTTCAAGGTAACTCACGTTGTTTCATGATATATAAAAAATAAAAACAGGTTGTTGTGATAAGGGAAGTGATGGATGGAAATGCCCCTCCAGGGAACAACTTTTTAGTAAGATCTAAATAATAGGAAGACACGTGAAAAGAAGCCAGTAGGCAGAAATCATGAGGAAGCAAAACTAGGCAATCAGAAACAGAAGAGAGGTAAAAACAGGTGGAGAGAAGACACAGAGAACTCAACTAACCAGAAGGGCTGTTGGGTTTCCAGAACTATTGCTTGAATTTTGACTTCTAGGGTCCCTGTTGGCTCCTGAATAGATGCATAAGTAGATGCATATGCTCCATTTTCCATCTTTATTCTGTTATAATATATTCCTATCTATCTAACATCTAATGATCTATTGATCTAACTGTCCATCCATCCAATCATTTTCATATTGTGGGACAGTTAGGTTGCTGCCAGTTTTTAGCAACACAAGGAGCAAGACAGCAGTGAACATTCTTGTACACACTTTATCAAGTACATGGTATGGGATTTTTGCATGTACCTGGAATTGAAACTGCTGGGTGGTAAAGGATGTCTACCTTTAACTTGATAAAAACCTGCAAAATTGTTTTCCAAAGTTTTTACAAATAAATTTACTTCTCCACAAGAAATGTACACTTGGCATTATCAGACTTCAAAATTTTTTCCAATCTAATGGTGTGAAATGGTATCTCATTATTTTAATTTATATTATCTTAATTATTAGACATTACAATTAGGGAGGTATAGTTTCAAAAGTTTATTGGCTATTTGGGTTTCCTTTTCTTCAAACTGCTATTTGTTTGCCAGTTATTCTACTGGGTGGTTTAACTTTCTTATTTATTAGTAGTATCCTGAGTATAAATACTTTTTGATCATACACATTGCAAATATCTGATCTTTTTATGGCTTGTCATTTATCTTCATGGTATTTTTGGTCATGAGGTTTCAAATTTTAATGTTTTCAAATTTATCAGTCCTTTTCCCTCATAGTGTGTGCTTTATGAGTCTGTTTAGGAATCCTTCTTTAACTTGCAATCATAGAGATCTGATCCTATATTTTCTGACTTTTTTATTAATTTACATTTATTAGCTACTACTGCAAGGCAGTATGTGGATTGACAAAAATACAAATATGAACTAAAGTCCATAGTTTATATTAAGGTTCACTCTTTGTATTGCATAGTTCCGTGAGTTTTGACCAATTTATAATGTCATGTATCCACCATTATAATATCATACAGAATAGTTTCATTGCCCTAAAAATCTCCTATGCTCCATTCTTCCCTTCTTGTGACTTGGTCCTTCATTTCTTTTCATCATTCAATAATGTTCCATTTTATGGATGTAGCAGTTTTTATTGTACATTCACCTATTTTCTTGGTTGCTTCCAATTTTTGACAGTTATGAATAAAGGTGCTAGAAACATTAGTGTGCAAGTTTCTGTGTGGATGTAAGTTTTCAAGTCATCTGGGTAGATACCAAGGAACATGATTGCTAGATTGTATGGTAAGGCTATGTTTAACTCTGTAAGAATCTGCCAGACTGTCTTCCAAAGTGGCTGTACCATTTTGCATCCTACCAGTGATGATAGTTCCTCCTCACATCTTCATAGCATTTGGCTGGTTGTGTTTTGGATTTCAGCTGTTCCAATAGATATGTGATGGTATCTCATTGTTTAGATGTTGAATATGTTTTCACATGCTTTTGTGCCATCTGTATATCTTCTTGATGAGATATCTGTTCCGATCATTTGCCCATTTTAAAATTGGGTTTTTCTATTGTTAAGTTTAAGGAGTTCTCTGTATAGTTTGAATAGAAGTCTTCTATTGAATATGTTTTGCAAACATTTTTTCCAGTCTGTGGCTTGTCTTTACATTATCTTAACTATCTTTTGCAGAGCAAAAGTTTTTAATTTTAATGAAGTACAACTTAACAGTTTTCTTTCATGGGTTGTGCTTTTGGTGCTGCATCTGAAAAGTATCTGCCAAACCCAGAGTCACCTAGATGTTCTGTTATGTTGCTTTCTAAGAATTGTATAGTTTTGTGTTTTATATTTATGTCTATGATCCATTTTAAATTACTTTTTGTGAAAGGTGTAAGATCTGTGTCTGGATTCTTCTTCTTCTTTTTTTTTTTTTTTTTTGCAAGTGTATCTCCAGTTGTTCCAGCACCATTTATTGAAAATTTGAATTGCCTTTTTCCTTTGTTAAATATTAAATATTAGTTGACTATATTTGTGTGGATCTATTTCTGGACTCTATTTTGTTCCATAGATCTATTTCTCTATTCTTTTGAGAATACTACACTGTACTACACTGTCTTTTTTTTTTGGTTTTGAGACAGAGTCTCACTCTATTACCCAGGCTGAAGTGCAGTAGTGTGATCTTGGTTCATTGCAACCTCCGCCTCCCAGGTTCAAGTGATTCTCCGGCCTCAGCCTCCCGAGTAGCTGGGATTACAGGTGCCTGCCACCACGCCCAGCTGATTTTTATATTTTTAGTAGAAACAGGGTTTCACCATGTTGGCCAGGCTGGTCTCAAACTACTGACCCCAAGTGATTCACTCGCCTTGGCTTCAATACTACACTGTCTTGATTATTGGAACATATACTATTTTTTTTTCTTTTTTTAGGCAAGGTCTAATTCTGTTGCCCAAGCTTGAGTGCAGTAACTTGATCATGGCTCACTGCAGCCTCAATCTCTTGGGCTCAGGCAATCCTCCTGTCTCAGCCTCGGAGTAGCTGTGACTACAGGTGTGCACCACCACACCTGGCTAATTTTTTTTTTGGAGAGATGAGGTCTCACTGTGTTGCCCAGGCTGGCCTTAAACTCCTGGGCTCAAGCGAACCTCCTGCCTCAGCTTCCCAAAGTGCTGGGATTACAGGCATGAGCCACTGCACCCAGCTATACTGTCTTCAAGTCTGTCTGTTTTCTCACTTTGTTTTTCTTTAATATTGTATTGGCTATTCTGGCTCTTGTGGCTTTGCATGTAAACATTAGAACTGGTTTGCTGATATCCACAACATAACTTGAGGTGATTAGAATTGAATCAGTAGATCAGGTTGATAAGAACTGATATTTCTTGCACATTTTTAAAGTTTTGCTTTTAACATTTAGGTTTCTAATCTTCCCCAAATTAATTTTTATGCATAATAAGAGGGAGGGATCAAAATTTTTTTCTCATACAAAAAGCAATTGTATCACTACGGTTCATTGATCAGTCTGGACTTTCTCACTAATTTTTAATGCTACTTTTGTTATATACAAAGTTCTCATATGTGTGTAGGTTTTGTTCTGGGACTTTATTATGTTCTAGTAGTTTATTTGCCCATACCTAAACCAATATATAATACATCCTGGTAGGGTTGGTCCTCCCAATATATTCCCTGATCTTACCTGTCCCTATCCTCCTCTCCCCAATTACAGCGCTTTTCTTGGACCTTAAGTTTTGATATGAATTTCAATGTCATTTTAACAAGTTCAGTAAAAAAACCCTTTTGAGATTTTAACTGGAATTGCATTATATGTACTGATTAGTTCAGGGAAAATTGAGGCCTTTACATTAATCTTTTCTCATTTATGAATATGGTTCATTTCTCCATTAATTTTATCCATGGATCCTGTACATTTTCGGTTACTTTTGTTCTCAGGTACCTAATAGTTTTTTTTTCTTTTCTTCTACTTGTTAATGGACTCTTATTTACCATTACAAACTAGTGCAGTTTGCAACATAATTTTCAATTAAATTGTTTTACAGTTACATAGTTTTAAAATTCTTAAAATGTCAACTGCTTAATAAAAAATACAATTTATACAAAAATACAAGAGATACTATCTGAAATGTGAAAGTAGTAGTATATTTATGATTTCTCCCCAAAGTGGAAGGAACACACACTCTAATGTTTCTTGTAGAAAATTATGCCTAAATCTGGCAGGGCGCGGTGGCTCACGCCTGTAATCCCAGCACTTTGCGAGGCCGAGGTGGGTGGATCACCTGAGGTCAGGAGTTCGAGACCAGCCTGGCCAACATGGTGAAACCCATCTCTACTAAAGATACAAAAATTTGCTGGGCGTGGTGGCACGCGCCGGTAATCCCAGCTACTCGAGAGGCTGAAGCAGGAGAATCCCTTAAACCCGGGAGGCGGAGGTTGCAGTGGGCCAAGATCGCGCCATTGCACTCCAGCCTGGGCGACAGAGTGAGGCTCCGTCTCAAAAACAAAACAAAAAAAAACAGAAACAAAAAACAAACAAAAAAACCACTAAATTTGAAAAATGTTAAATCAACTTCTTTGCTGTATTATAAAGCTCCATTTCCACCCCTCTTTTTAGTTTAGGAAGTTTACCGTTATCGGTGAAGTAATTATTTTGTTAATTACAAAGGTAAGTAGGTTCTTTCTGAACAATCAGGATGTAAACTTAATGCTAGTGAAGTAATTAAACATTTTGAATGTTAATTAAACTCAGTCCAGTTAAGGGTTTTATTTACTACTAACAAACGTATTCACCGTGTGCTAAGTGCTGCAGGGAATCCCAGCCCGTTTTCCTCCATCTAAAAGGAAAATTAGGAGGTCCCAATACTTTACTTGTAGATTTTCCAGTTTCTACCATTCCCTGTAAGGCACTGAGACGCAAGATTTCAAGGCCCACTCGGGGTACCCTGGCATGGACATCGAGTCGTTCTAGCGCTGAGCTTCAAAACTATTCCTTTCCTTCCCTTTCTTCTTCATACCAGACTCTAATCTGTTCTCCCTAGCTTCGAATTATTCACTGTATGGTCGAACATCTTACTCCACAAATAACCTCTGAAGTGTTGCAGTTGTCTTACCCAAATACCTGAACTCAGCTTGTCCCGAGTACTGCGATCCCGCGTACTGCTAATGGGAATATAGTTAACCCAACTAGTATGAGGTCCCCAGTACACAGCAGCTCCAAGATCAAGGCGACCGAGTAACACTGCTTGCCTAGACTCAGGCCAAGTTCGGAGAGTGATCCTGGGGTTATTTTAGAACGTGTCCCTTGCTTCCCAGAAAAATTCAGTCGTTAACTCAAGTCCAGATGCCCAATGACCATTCGGATAAGGTGAGCTAAAGCTTCAATGCCTTGAGGGGCTTGGCAGGGCTCGGGCTCATCCCGGAGAAGCAGCCCCGCTTTCCAGACTAGCAGTTCCCAGGGATGGGTGTGTGCTAATCGCAGGCCAACAAGCCCAGCGCGGTACAGAGGTCCCATTGTGACCGGAGGCGAGAAACCCCGCCTCGGCACCCTGACGCAGCGCAGGACCCGCCCCGCGCGTGACGCCAGCGTCAGGCCAGCCCCGGCATGCTCTGCGGCCGCCCGCGGTCCAGCTCCGACAACAGGAATTTTCTCCGAGAGCGGGCCGGGCTCAGTTCAGCTGCTGTCCAGACCCGGATCGGCAACAGTGCCGCCTCCAGACGTTCTCCTGCCGCTCGCCCGCCCGTCCCAGCGCCCCCAGCCCTCCCGCGAGGGCGCCCCGGGACGGAAGGATCCACCAGTCTGTCGGCGCCCGCCGTTCTCGTGGTCGCCGTCGCCGTCGTCGTGGTGGTAGTCTCCGCCGTCGCCTGGGCCATGGCCAATTACATCCACGTCCCTCCCGGCTCCCCGGAGGTGCCCAAGCTGAACGTCACCGTTCAGGATCAGGAGGAGCATCGCTGCCGGGAGGGGGCCCTGAGCCTCCTGCAACACCTGCGGCCTCACTGGGACCCCCAGGAGGTGACCCTGCAGGTAACGCCCACACCTCAGCTCTGGGTCTCTTATGCCCCTCACGCGGCTCTGGGGGTCCTCACCACAATCGCCTCTGTCCCACGATGACCGAGGAGGACCTAGGGCAACATCTCCTTAAGTCTATTGGGAAGTGACCCTGTATTTCCCCTCACACCTAGGAGGGTCACTCCCCCTTCCCGTCGCAGTTGCTCTTTGAGATTGACCTGAGGCACATTTTCTCTTTCTAGAAGCCGCTGCGTAAGTGACGGACCCATCCACGGGGGGAGATTCCTGCTGATAGTTGCCCCTCCTCCCACTCCCCAGTCCACGGTCACTGCAAAATGAACCTTTCCACTCCCCTTGCACGGGGTCCTCGTCTACCTCCTCCCCTCCCACCAGTAATGCAGTCATTAATCCTCTCTGATCTTTCCTTCCTCTCCCCTCCCCCTGCGATGTGCTTTCATTGATGCCTCACACTGCGTTTTGTCTTCCCAAACCCTAGCGTACTCAATTCCCAAAGTAATGACCACGACCATGCATCGCTAGGTCGGTTCTTAGGCAGCACCACACACATTGTTTTGTTTGAGTCGATATTTCTGAATTATTAAAGTCGTCTTACTGAAATTAATACCTGATACTAGAAGGAGCAGTGGCTTGTGACTGTTTCCTTTTCATGAGACACCGTGTTGATAGAGAAAAAATTGGGAGGAAAAAAATCCCTGAGACTCTAGGAGTTTTCTAATAAGTTGGAAGTTATGATTTCCACTACGTGATTTTTTTTGAATACTAATCTGTTTTTAGCTTTAGTTTCAGGAACTAGATACAAAAATAGATCTCTTTTTCTCCTTTTCCCTTGCAAACAAAAAAAAACAGTAATTTTCAAGATTGGGATATTTGGGATTTGTTCTAAATCTGAGCAATAATGTAAGAACATTCATTTGAATTAGCCAAATCATCTGCCTCGTTTTGATGACTAATTTATTCACCAATATTTGTTGATTTATTTGCTAAATTCTTCGCTAAACTAGCCAGCCACCCACACAAAGATGAATAAAACATGAGCAGTGCCTAGGGCCCAGAACAGTTCCTGACACTTGGGTTTTCATGTGTTAGTTTCAGTTCTTATTACCTAGAAGAGTTTTTAAGCAGATTATTTTAAAGGACCCGTATGTTTTGGAGAAGAAACTTGTTAGACAACAAATTTTGAAATTTAAGGGAGTATTTGTTAGCCGAGAATATAGGAAATAGTGAATCCAAAGTGATTTTTATGTCATTTAAAAAATATATTTCCTTTAAAGGAAATGTGTCTTCCAAATTGAAATTCAGTACTTGTTTAGTTTATCAATTTGTTTGTATTTTATTATATAAGACTCTAAAATTTATTAAGATGATTTGTTTTCTGGCAGTCACTTATACATAAAACATTATTAATTAAAAAGTGCTACTTCCTGGTAAACTCTAGTGTTGGCAGATCAGTTACTTTTAAGCAGTGACTTTAAAGTTTAAAGCTTTGAAGACTGGAATTTCCTTTGATGTATTTGTCTGTAGAATAGTAATAATAGCTACTGTGGGGTTAGTTAAATTATTTTTTTTTTATCTTAGTCGCCCGAACAACCATATTAGGTAGGCACTATCATTTTAGGTGAAACTCAGTGAAGTAAGCCAGGATGTAGGTAAAAAAGGGCAAAATGTAGTGACATTAAACTGTTTTTGCTTGTTGGAAAGTAACTACGTGTGTTTAAATCTTGGTTTCTTGTAGCAACTTTTAACCTAAAGACCTTTGGGTTTATAATCCGAATTTTTAATATTTGTAAGTGCAGGTAAATACTACCATTTATTTTTCCCTAAGATGATTATTAGTTAGAAATACATTCCCTCCATGTGCAAGCAAAGCTTTGGTCTAGAAGCTGTCCTAAAAGCATCTGCTAAGCTGAATTGATGATTATTCACCTTTCAACTCAGTAGATCTGGCTCCTTGCATTCTAGGTCATTGCAAACACTACTTTCATAATGGTTCAGAATTTCTTTAGTAAATCTCAAAGGAAATATTTTCTTTTGAGATTTTACTGTATTTCCCTTGAAATAGATAAGAATCATACCTCACATTTCAGAGGAAGTATGTATTATATAGTCGACAGAGTATAATGTAATTTTAGAGCAGTCGAGTATCAGTAATGTAGCCTGTTTTTTTCTCAGTTTTTTTCTAACATTTTTGTATGTTTAAGATATACTTTAAATGTACTTTAGAAACTTACTGTAGTAATACTTATCTGGTGATTGATTATTCCTGCAAGCTGAACTATCCAGAGCATATCAGAAAATAAAAAGAAAAAAACAAGCTAAAAAAGACTTACTAGAGTCAAAATGATAGAAGGCCCAGTCTTTGCTCAGAATTTGTGGGTACATGGAGTAAATATATCTCATTTTAGACAGAATTCCTGTTCTTACTAGATTAAAAGAATAAATTATAAAGGAGATGGTGAGGTTTTCGGAGTATAGTAGCAGAATAGGCAGAGTAAATCTAAAACAACAATACAGCCACAGTGCTTTGTATTTAATAATCCTTTACTGTTTATAAAGCACTTTCACATGCATTCTCCCAACTATCCTGTGAGGTAGATGTAGACGGTACTGTTAATATGTATCATATAGTTAATGAAACTGAATTTGCCGTTTACAAATGGCAGATCTGAGATGATAAACCATCTTATGAATTATTGTTCTATGACCAAGAGTTTTGTTTGTATATTATGATTTAGGCAGGGAAGGTGCTTCTGTATAAAATTAATTTCTTAAAAGCTTTGGCTCATAAAAAGATTCTGCTTTAAAGTTCCCTTGAACATAAATTTGCATTACTTTTTTCATATGTGACACCATTTTAGGAAAAAGGGATTACTTAAGCTTTCCTTCACGAGTTACTTTTGTTGTGTAACAACTGTTTAACTTATTTGAAGATTTTGATTTTTAATTTTTATACTTTTCTTTGGAGAGTCATCGTATAAAGGAATAAAGAATCAAGTCAGATCTCAGGTCCATAATAATTCTCAACGGACTCTTAAAATTGTTTTTCATTTTCTGAAGAGCTGATGAATTAGTGTTTGGAATATTCCAGTTATGTTGTCTCAGGGTCTTTCTGTTTGCAGTATTAAGCAACGTTGTTTTTCTCACTAACTTGTCACTATGAATTTTTCCATTACTTGGGACTTATAGTAGATAATGGCAAAGGCTTCATAGGTAGGAATTAATACCGTAATTATTATTTAACATTACAAAACTAATATATTTATTCCTTTGTTGGGTCTAAATGAGATTGCTTGCTATATGGTACCTTATAGCAACTTAGCTTTTCAATAACAGTGTGTTACAGTGCTCAAGAGCATGGGGTTTGAACACAGTGCTAGTTTTGAGTCCAGATTCTATACTTTACTAGCTTTGTTACTCTGGTCAAATCATTAAACTTCCTGTCTCAGTATCCTGAGCTGTAAAATTGATCCAGTAGTTGTCCCTACCTCAATGGGTTATTGTGAGGGTAAAATAAATGCTGTCTTTCATGATAATTATTATTGCTGCTGAGCACCTACTATATATTGGATACTTGAATCAAAAAACAAATATTTGCTCTTTGAAATTCCTAGTCCGATGGGGAAGACAAATAAGAAAATTATAACAACGTAATGTTTATGGAATGAACATTCAAATTTAGTTCACATGCAAAGATTACCCAAGAAGTTTAAAAAATGTACTGTTCTTTCTGCTTTACTACAGGTTTTTGCCTGTTATTGAATGCATATTTTAAAAAATCTTTTCATCATTTTTTTAAGCATATGTATTCTATCATGGAAATTAATCTTTGTGTTAGGTTGTGTAGCTACACAGCAGTTTTCATATCCTTCCTCTTTCTAACAGTGTTGGAGGTAGTTACCTAAATAATCTATTAAAAACCTGTAACTCCTCTTAATATTGATAGTTGATATTTTATATTGGTCTTTGCCTTAAAGGAAGAAGAAAAAGCCAGATCTATACAATTGCTGTGTTAAGTTATGTCTCCACTAGTGTTCTGATATAATAATTGATTTTCTTTTCTGTTTTTAAAAAGATGAGTTTGTTCCTTTAAGCAGTAGCTTCTGAAAAGTCTTAGGTAAGCTAATGTAGTAAGTTACGGCTAATTTTTTAATATATTAAAAAAGTAAACAATATATTAGTTTACTTTCCCTAAGATTATAGGAAATCTTGAGTCCTGTAGATACAAATAAGGAGTCATGGTTTATATTCAGTGTAACTTTTAATGTTAGTGATTACATCCAGTTTTCTGTTTCCTATTCCCTCCCTGTCTTCAGCATTTTAGAATAATAAAGTATATAATGTTTAATAGACGCCCATCAAAAACATGAAATATTTGTTAGGCTCCCATGTATTTTATTAAGATGTGACTATGAAGACAGGAGCCTAAAGTGCTAGTTTGTTTTCCTGTATAATAGCCATGTAACTTGGACTACACAAACTGCGTCACATCTTTTTGGGGACTGAGCATAATGTGGAAAGAGGATGGTTTTTGAATATTATTTCCAGCCATTTATAACCTTTGGCAAGTTTTAAAGTCTCTATAAAATGGTATTACCTTGGAAAGTAGTCATGAGAATTCAATGAAATACCTACAATTACGCATCGCATGTTTTGGTACTACGTTCTTCCACCTCTCATTTCCAATTCTCCCATCCCAACTGAGAGAATTGTGAGCTCCTAAAATTCAGTAATTCTGACATGTGTTTTTTGTACTAGCTGTAATGCTAGTTTTCAGTAAGAGTCCTTGTACAACTAACTGTAGCACAAGGTAGGCATAGAAGAACGTAGGACAGAAGGCTTCATAGAGGTGGGGGTACCTGAGCTAAGCTTTGAAGGGTAGATGAGATCAGATTGAAAAGGGAAACATTTCTGAGCAAGGAAAACTATCTCACAAAGGCAATGAAGCTAGACTTTGAGTAGCTTACTCATCATTTAGGACATCATGGGAAGCCACTGGATATTTTTCTTTTTGTATTTTATTTTATTTTATTTTATTTTTTTTGAGACAGAGTCTCGCTGTAGCCCAGGCTGGAGTGCAGTGGTGTGATCTCAGCTCACTGCAACCTCCGTTTCCCAGGTTCAAGTGATTCTCGTGCCTCAGCCACCCAAGTAGCTTGGATTACAGATGTGCGCCACCATGCTCAGCTAATTTTTGTATTTTTAGTAGAGTCGGGGTTTCACCATGTTGGCCAGGCTGGTCTCGAATGCCTGACCTCAAGTGATCCACCCACCTCGGCCTCCCAAAATACTGGGATTACAGGCATGAGCCACCGCACCTGGCCTGGATATTTTTAAGCAGGTAAATTATATCATGTATTAGAGAAGTGACAGGCAACAATGTAGAGAAGGGTTGTTTGAGGGAAATGTTTTAAATTGGGAAATAATGATCACTCAGGACATTGGTTTTGAAACTAGTGGTTACCATACATTAATAGGATGCCAAATCAATATAGTGTCTTGAGACCATTACAGTTTAAAAAGATGAGTTAGAATAAGTTATGGTAGAGGTTACATCAGACAGAGCCTTGCAAGTAGTAAGGTAAGTACTCTTTTTTTTTTTTTTGAGATGGAGTTTCGCTCTTGTTGCCCAGGCTGGAGTGCAATGGCGTGATCTCGGCTCACCGCAACCTCTGCCTCCCAGGTTCAAGCGATTCTCCTGCCTCAGCCTCCAGAGTAGCTGGGATTACAGGCGCCTGCCACCACGCCTGGCTAATTTTTGTGTTTTTAGTAGAGACGGGGTTTCTTCATGTTGGTCAGGCTGGTCTCAAACTCCCGACCTCAGGTGATCCACCTTCCTCAACCTCCCAAAGTGCTGGGATTACAGGTGTGAGCCACTGCGCCCGGTGGTAAGTATTCTTTTGTGAAGTGTGCTTTAGTTTTATGTAAAAGTGTCTATGTACATATTATATCAAATGATAAATATATTTCTTCCTGTGTATTGCATTTAAAAAGTTTGAGAAAATAATTTGAGAGAGACTGTTGTGTTAGTCCAGACAAGAGGTGCTGGGGCCCAGATTAGGACAGATGAGATGGAAATAAGGTACAGATTTCACATTTCAGAAAATAAATGTGCAGGACTTGTCAATTGATTACAGGTTAGGGAAGAAAGAAGATTAAGGTGTTTTTTGTAGGGGAAGGAGTGGATGACAAAGATAGGGAAGTAGTAGAAGACCTTTAAGAAATCAGAGGTTCTATTTCTCTTTATTTTGTTTTCTAAGGAGTTATTTTACTCTTTGATATACCAGATTGGCTATAAATACATTTTTAACATTCTTTTAAAAATTGTGAAAAACAGCAAACATATAGAAAAATGGATGAATCATAAATTGTTGTAAAACATATACCCACCCCAACCCAGGAAAAGAAAATTAATTTCCAGCAACCAAGTGTCTTCATTTTCCTTCATAGTCTTGATCTCTCCCTCCCTCTAGTGGTAATCTTAATAGCAGATTTTTTTTTTTTCTAATTAACAAAATAGAATGTTTTGAATTAATTCTGTTTTGAAAATAAGTACTCTGAGAAAATAATAAGTGCATGAAGGTCTTTGTACAGGAAACCGTATGAACATGAAATAATTTAGTTTTACTAAAAGGTTGTACCACAATATTATATTAAAACTGAATAGGAGAAAAAAATCAATTTCCTATCATCAATATTCTATTCACAACCGTTTTATTTTTATTACCTTCTACTTCTCCTAAACATATTTTACATAGTTGCAATCATACGTATAATTTTATATTCTTTTTTTCACTAGCCCTTTATAAACATTTTCCCATGTTTGAATGGTATTGACTATAATTTTTGATAGTCACAAACCTAATATTTGATGATCATGTTAAACATAATGTGACTTAGTTATTATTTATTATTTTTTAAATTTTTACTTTTTTTTTTAAGAGATGGGGTCTCATACTGTTATCCAGGCTAGAGTGCAGTGATGCTATCATAGCTCACTGCAGCCTTGTACTCCTGAGCTCACGCGATCCCTTCTACATCAGCGTCCAGAGTACCTGAGACTAAAGGTGCATGCCTGCCTAATTTTTAAATTTTTTGTAGTGATGTGGTCTTGCTGTGTTACCAGGCTGGTCTTAAACTCCTGGCTTCAAGTGATCCTCTTGCCTCAGCCTCCCAAAGTGCTGGGATTACAGGTGTGAGCCACTGTGCCTTGTATCAGTGTTTTGCCTCTTTTTGAATTTTATTTAATGGCATCATATGAAATATGTGTTTTTTTAAAATTTTGGTTTGGCGTATGCCCAGATTTTGAGAGATTTATTCATGTGTATATAGTTGTAGTTCTTTTCCATGACCGACTAGCATTCCATTTTAAGAATATACCTCAATTTATATGTCTCCTACTGTTAATGGACACCTAGGTTGTTTTCATGTTTTGGCTATCACAAATTATGCTTCTTACAATTATACTTTTTTTGAACACGAATATCCATTTCTGTTAAGTGGATACCTAGAAGTAGAATTTCTGAGTCATCTAGTTGTGTATTTTCAGCTTTGTTAGACACTTTCAGTTTTCTGAAGTGATTGTCCCGGTTTATATTCCTAACAGCATTATGTGAGAGTTTCACTTATGGTATATCTTTACCAATAATTGCTATTGTCTGTCTTTATTTTTTTCTTTCACCACGTTGGCCAGGCTGGTCTTGAACTCCTGGCCTCAAGCAATCCACCTGCCTTGGCCTCCCAAAGTGCTGGGATTACAGGCGCAAGCCACCGCACCCGGCCTGTTCTTTTCTTTTGGTCTGTTTTGTCCGTTACTGTAGCAGTACCACTCTGTGTGGATTACTCTCAATCATTGCTACAGGACTTGGTATTTGATGTAGTTATTATAGGCTTTGGTGTAGGACTCCAGCTTTGTTCGTTTTTAAGATTGCCGTGACTATTCTTGACTTTTTAAGTTGCCATATAAGTTGTAGACTCAATTTTGGGATTCCCACAAAAGAAACTGGATAGGATTTTGATTATATTTTGTGGAATCAGTAGATAAATTTGGGGAGAAGTGAATTCTTTTAACAATATTGAATCTTAAAATAAATTTTTAATTTCTCTCAAACTTTTGAAGTTTTCACTGTGGAGATCTCACGTGTTTTATTTGATTTATCCCTAGGTGTTGACGCTTTTTGATATTATTGTAAAGGGTATCATTTAAAA
Source organism: Homo sapiens (assembly GCF_000001405.40). Taxonomy (NCBI): domain Eukaryota; kingdom Metazoa; phylum Chordata; class Mammalia; order Primates; family Hominidae; genus Homo; species Homo sapiens. Next base: position 22,633,795 of record NC_000012.12, read on the forward strand.
AATTACTTTATTGTTGGTATATAGGATTATAATTAATTGCTTTATACTGAATTTTTTTCACACACTCTAAAGGTTTTTATGTAGATTATTTTGTATTTTCTCTATGTATAATCTGAAAATAATACATATTGCTGTCTCCCCTTCTGTCTTTTTGTCTTACTGCACTAGTAAGGACCTCTCTAACACACTTGAAAAAGAAGATAAAAGGTGATAGTGGTCATTTTTATTTCCCAGTCTTAAGGAGAACATTTTCAATAATTTATTGTTAGGTATGATATATGCTATAGATTTTCTTTAATGACTCTACCAGATTAAGCAAGTTTCTTTTTATTCTTAGTTTGTTAAGTATTTTCATCATGAATGATGAATTTGGCCAAATGTTTTTTCTGCATTTCATGATGATTATAAGATTTTTCTTAATTTTTCTCTTATTGAGGTGAATTACTTTGATTGAAAAAAAATTTGAATGCTAAGTAACCTTTGCATTCCTGGAGAAAACCCTATTTGGTTGTATATAGTCTCTTTTTTATTACTGTATCAATTGCTAATATTTTGATTAGGATTTTTGCAGCTCTGCTTATGAAAGAGATTGGTTTGTAATTTTCCTTTCTTATAGTGTCCTTGACAAGTTTTGGTACCAAGTTCAGAGGTGTTTCTTCTTTTTCTATTTTTGGAAGAGTTGCTTTTAATAATACATGTTTAAGGTCTGTAGTGAAGTTCATTTCTTTATCATTTGTGTTGCTTTATTGTCTTCATACATTTTGCTAAGAAGTTATCAACTGTATTAATCTTTTCAAAGAACAATTTTTGTTTGTTTTGAGGCTGGGTCTCACTCTGTTGCCCAGGATTGAGTGCAGTGGTGCGATCATGGCCCACTACAGCCTCGACCATGTGCTCGCCCCATGCCCGGCTAATTTTTGTATTTATTTATTTATTTATTTGTACAGATGGGATTTCATCATGTTGCCCAGGCTGGTCTTGAACTCCTGAGTTCAAGTAATCTGCTCACCTTGGCCTCCCAAAGTGTTGGGATTACAGGCATAAGCCATCACATCTGGCCCAAATAATAATTTTTGACTGTTGAGTTTTTCTATTTTATTGATAGTTTTGTCCTTCATTATTTCCTTCCTAATCGTTTTTTGAAGGTTGATTGGCTGTTATTTTTCTAGCTTCTTGAGCTGGAAGCACTAATTTTTTGCCTTTTAAATTTCTATTATTCATTACATGTCTTTGTAAGTACCCACAAGTCTTGACATGTGTTGGAAAAGGCGGTCTCATGCACACAGCCTTTCCACCCCTTCTCACCAAATAAAAATGGGCCTTGGGCCTGAAACACTTTCTTACCAAGCGATAGAGTCCTCACAGCCTGTGCTGGACCTGTCACTCTGTGTGAAATATTTTTCCCTGTTTTACACTCAGTGTGTCCTCCTTTGCTCTGCTTCAGTATGTGTGTCATATGTCACCTGGCTCACCTTCAGTATCTCCCCATTGGGAAGGGGATGGAGGGACAGGGTTGGTCTGCTGTAGCCCAAGAAGGGTGTGTGTAGACCAGTTGTTGGCATCAGCTGCTGGGAGGAACTTGCTCACCATGGGATACCAACACCTATTACTGAAGCTGATCTTGCTTTGTCTCCTCTCTGTGTAAGTAAAGCGTTGTTCCATGCAGTGCTTGACTGTGCATCGTGTTTTCTTTGGTGACTATGATACCAAGATACAATGAACAGAAGTTCTAAGACTTCTACTCCTGATATTAGGTGACAGATACCACTTGCTTGACAATATGTGTTTATTATCATTCAGTTCAAAATGTTTTCTAATTGCCATTGTGGTGGTTTTTTCTTTATCTCACTCATTTTACATATGTATTTGATTCATTTCCAATGAGTTGATGCATATTTAATTTTTTAAAAAAATTGTTATAAAAACATAAAAATTTATTATCTTAACCGGTTTTATTTGGTGTGTGTGTTATTGCTATCTAGCTCATATCCACTGTAGTTTGAGATGATACTCTAAGTGATTTTCATCCTTTGATATTTGTTGAGGCTTGCTTTATAATGAAGCCCATAGTCAATTTTGGTAATGTTTTGTGTAGTCTTGAAAAGAATGTATGTTCTTGGCCAGGCACAGCCCAGCACTTTGGGAGCCTGAGGTGGGCAGACTGTTTGATTCCAGGAATTCAAGATTAGTCTGGCCAACCCTGTCTCTACAAAAAAAATGCAAAAAGTTAGTGGTGATGCATGCCTTAGTCCCAGCTACTCGGGTGGCTGAGGTGGGAGGATTGCTTCAGCCTGGGAGGTTGAGGCTGCAGTGAGCTGTGATTGTGTCACTGCACTGCAGCCTGGGTGAACAGAGTGGGACCCTCTCTCAAAAAAAGGTAAGAAAAAGAATATTCTGTTGTTGAGTGTAGTGTTCTGTGTATGTCAGTTAAGTTGAATTTTTAATTTTGTTGTTTAGAGCTCTTACTACATAATGATTTTTCTCTGCTAAAAAAAAATGAGGTCTTGGAAAAAAATAGTGTCATCTATAAGCATTAAAAAAATTAAAAATGAGGTCCTGAATGGTGTGCTCAAATTTCCAACATTTATTATGGGATTTGTTTAATTCTGTAAGTTTTTGCTCTATATCTTTTGAAGCTGTATTGTTGGATACATGCACATTTAGAATTTTTATATCTTCTTGGTGGATCAATCCCTTAGTCATTATAAAATGTCCCTCCTTATCTTTAGTAATATTTCATTAAGGTCTATTTTATTTGATATGAGATAGCTACCTCAGCTTCCTTCTCTATGTCTTTTGTAAGCAGCATATAGAGTTGTCCTTTCATATCCATGACTTCTGCATCCATGGATTCAAGCAACTGCAGATTGAAAATATTAAGAGAAAAAAAAGATGGTTGTTTCTGTACTGAACATGTGCAGATATTTTTTCTTGTCATTATTCCTTAATACAGTATAACAACTATTTACATAACATCTACATTGTATTAGGTATTAGAAGTAATCTAGTGATGATTTAAAGTATATGGCAGAATATAAATAGGTTATGTGCAAATACTACATCATTCTATACAACAGGCTTTCAGAACGTGTAAAATAATATGAACAAAAAAATTTAAATCAAAATATAACAGGCTTGAGCATTTGTAGATTTTGGCATTGTTGCGGGGGTGGGATCCTGCACCGAATCCCCCTCGGATACCAAGGGGATACAGTGGGACCATTTGCAGATCCTCTAGAGTGCTCTCTCCTGTCTGTCTCCCTGTCTTTCCGCTTTAATACTCTGTCCTGCATACTCTAGCTGTTTTGATATCCTCCGATGCTCAGTTTATCTCAATTAATGAAGTCCACACAAGCTCCATCTGGATTCTCTTTCCCTTTGCTGGGACCTGAGAATTCTCTCAAGACATTAAGCCGGGGCAGTCATAGAGTTCACGTTGTTTGTTTCCCATCTCTCAGGGATCACTGTTCTCTCTAAAGTCCATTGTCTTAAAAATTGTCATTTCATATGTTTTGTCTGGTTTTTATTTGTGGGAGAGGGGTTGTTTCAAGTAAAAGGGTAAAATCCTGTCCCCATTACTTTGCCTTGGCCAAGAGTGAAAGTGGCCCATTAGATGATTTTTATCAGTGATTTTCAACCTTTTCTACAGGGTTAGAATTCTTTGTTCAAGTAAAATCTTATCCCCAAGTGTCATGTGTATGTGAAATAAATGAGGGCAAGATGGTGGTAGTGTAGTATATGTGCACATGTGCCTTTGTATGTGTTGGGGATATAGCAGAGCTTTTTTGCTGACTTGGATTCCTATTCCCATTCCTTGAGGGCTTTATAGCCCAATTTGAAAGTCACTAATATAGAGAGTACAAATAGGTATATAAAAAAGTAAGCAAATGAGAAAATAAGCCAGTTATTAGTTACAGAGGAAACAAACTATCCAGGAAAGGAAATTTACAGTATATCTCATTTTGGGGTTTGGAAGGATGTGTACAAAATAGTGTAATTGAAAATTGATAAAATAAAAAATCTTATATACTTATATTGGGTAAAGGAAGATAGGAGAAGTGACAGAGCGAGAGAGAGAGAGTGTTTATGTGTGAAGGAAATAAGAAAGCTCAGTCTTATAAGAAGTCTCAGATAATGTGTAGACTTTACAGAAAAGCAGTTTAAGAATGGTATTTAAAAATAAGGAATTAAATAACATGAGAGTTGAAAGGTAGTTTAGGGGGAGGTCTATTGTTGATTGATAAAAATAAAAATTACAAAAAAAAAGCATATGGTAGGTTTGGAAGTGGAAATAATTGAATACAAAATTCTCTTGCAAGAAATTTGGCAGAGAAGGGAAGGAGAAAGAAGTTGGCCTCTAGAAGTGGGTGGGATACATGGCCACATAATCTGTTTTTCCATCTCAAAACACTTGGACCTTTTAACTTTTTTCCCCCTTTTTAACCTGTCTTTAAGGTGGGGTTTTTTTTTTTTTTGAGACGGAGTCTCACTTTGTCTCCCAGGCTGGAGTGCAGTGGAGCGATCTTGGCTCACCGCAACCTTTGCCTCCAGGGTTTAAATGATTCTCCTGCCTCAGCCTCCCTAGTAGCTGGAATTACAGGCATGAAACACCACACCCAGCTAATTTTTGTATTTTTAGTAGAGACAGTGTTTCACCATATTGACCAGGCTGGTCTCGAACTCCTGACCTCAAGTGATCCACCTGCTTCGGCCTCCCAAAGTGCTGGGATCACAGGCATGAGCCATCACGCTTGGCCTGTCTTTAAGTTTTATCATTTATTTGTTTTGGAATCTGCTAGCAAGTGAATCTTACATACTTGTGCTATATTATATTATATAATTCTCTAATAGAGGCTCTAGGATTTCTCATTGATGCTTTTATGTTTTGTAATTCTCTAATAGAAGCTCTAGAGTTCCTCACTTATGCTTTGATTAGTTGTATCATGCAAGTTAAAAATTATAATTTTGTAACATACCCAAATTGAGAGAATAAAATATTCATATATTATCCAGAATCCGTATTTGCTTCATTTTTTAACCCCTTTAAAGTATTTTAAAGCAAATCTCAGTCAGACCTTGTCTTTGTCTTTGTGTATTTCAGTATAAATTTGTAAACATAAAAAGTTATTTTTTTTGCGTGATCACAGCACCATTAGAACACTGAGCAAAATTAGCAGTAATGTCTAAGTACTGTTTAATAGTCAGTTCATAATAAAATTTTACCTCAAAAAGTATTTTTATACGTATTTGTTTGAGTTAGGAAACAAACTAGATCCATGCGTTTGTATGTTTCATAAGCCTCTTTAAACTAGACTGTATGCTATTGACTATTTATTGGTGGGGCGTTTGTGTAGAAAGACCTACATTCTGGATTTGTATATTTTTTGTTGTTCTTCTTTGTGGTGTTTTTTAATTTTTAATTAATTAATTTATTTTTTTAGAGAAGTGGGGTTTTACCACGTTGGCCAGGGTTGTCTTGAACTCCTGACCCCAAGTGATCCTCCTGGCTCCCAAAGGGTTGGGATTATAGGCATGAGCCACCATGGCCAGCCATGTGGTGTTTCTTTAACCCCTATATTTTCTTAAGAATAGGAAGATCTGGCCGGGCGCTGTGGCTCACACATGTAATCCTAGCACTTTGGGAGGCCGAGGCGGGTGGATCACCTGAGATCAGGAGCTCTAGACCAGCCTGGCCAACATGGCGAAACCCCATCTCTACTAAAAATACAAAAATTAGCCAGACATAGTGGCAGGCACCTGTAATCCCAGCTACTTGGGAGGCTGAGGCAGGAGAGTCACTTGAACCTGGGGGGCGGAGGTTGCAGTGAGCCGAGATCGTGCCACTTCACTCCAACCTGGGCAAAAGACTGAGACTCTCAAAAAAAAAAAGAGGAAGATCTAGAACCTTGATTAGATTTCAAATCATAGGTAGTGCAGTGTATTTCATATTGCATCACATCAGAAGGTATAACATGTCAGGTTGTTTCGTGAAATCAGGAGGTGACAGATGACTCCTACCATTATAAAATTACCTATCAATCTTTCATCTAATGGTTTTATTCATTGAAGATTGTTTCCTGAATACTTTTTCTGTTGTATCCTCCACATTTGTCAACGGGAATTCTTTGGTAGATAACTTTCTCTCATTAATTAGATCGGTTTGGATATTATGAAATACAGTTTGTAGAAAATGTAGGATAAATGCTTAATTCTATTTTAATTGCCAATTTTCAGAGTAACAGTGATAACTTCATCAATATTAAGCAATTAAAAAGTAGACCCTTGGGTTGTTGGAATTTGTTAAAGGGTAAGTTTAAATTGTATTTTTAACCAATATAGATGTTGTTTTTAAAAATTATGTGATGAGGTAAGGCAGAGAACAAATTGAGAATCCATTATTAATTTCCCTAGTATTTAAAAGCTGTTAATATTTAAACTAAAGATTAGAAGTGATTAGTAGCTAAATTTACTAGCTTAGTAGTATACATTTTAGGGATTAAAGTTTAACAGGATATAATTCGTCATGCAAAACCAAACGCATATAGGGTAGTACTAACTTGAGAGAGTAACGTTGAATGGCATTTCTAACTAAATTGAAAGCCTTTTTTTTTTTTTTTTTAAGATGTGAAAGAGAATTTGCCCAGAAATGATATTTAACATTTAGCTATTTGGATTTAAGCTACTTTTAGAGACATATTGAAATTGTTGTTTTTAAATATTGTTTTAACATATATTTTAGTCTTAATTATTATTTTATAATTTCATCATTACTTTGCTGTTTTTTATTGAAATTTAAATGTATCATTGGCTACATTTACGAGCTTACGGTGTGCCAAGCACTGTTCTAAGTACTTTTATGTGTATCAACTTACTAATCTTCAGAACAATGCAAGAAGTAGGTTCTAATGTACTGATTTTATATATGAGATAGAGAGACACAGAGGGTTGGTGACTTGCCTAAGGTTACTCGGTTTGTATGTAGCAGAGCTGGGATTCAAACTCAAACTCTGGCTCTGTAGCTCATCCTGTCAGCTACTACTATCTGAAATACTTGACAAATAGTGCAGGATAAACCCCATTAAAAGGAGCTCACTAAGATTTATATTTTGTCTCAACTCTACTGAGGTGGAATTTTATATTTCTAGTATATATTTAATATAGTATATATAGCTAGAGTGTGTATAGTGTATTTTAATAGTATATTTTAGATGATTCAGCACATTGAGTTACTTGTGGTTTATGTATGAGGTGGGAACAATGCAAAGGTAAGAAGTATTACCTGTACATCTTTAAACTGAAGTCATTGTTCTCCAGCCAGAGACCAGTAGAAACTCACCTGTAGCTGAAGAAGTTGGGTTTATTACTCACTGCAGTAAGGGAGAACTACATTGAGAATGGTGGGGATTTGTCTGGTGATTTGGGGGAGGGTTCGAGGTAACGGTATTCTCTGGATTGGATGGTGTCAGGAAGGAGGTGGGACAAATCTATGACTTATGGGCATCTTAATCGTACCTAGAACGCTGAAGAAATGAAGCAGGCCCAAAGTTTGACTGGAAAAGAGCAGCAGTCACTCATATTAGCCAGGATAAGGAGGTATTTGGTAATTTTTGTCATTTGGACAAAGTTCCTATTTTTTTCTACCTTCAGACATGATTACAGAGTGGTTTTGTTGTTTTCTTGACCCATTATGATCACAGAGTAACCCTATCTAATGTTGAATGTTGATGTTCTGTAAAACAGTTTATGTTCAGCATGACTTCAAGGCCTAGTGAGTGCCAGGCCGTTGTTTTGCTACTAATTTTTCCACTAGTAAACCAGGTTCATTGCTGTAAAACTACAAGTTAGTAAACATACCTAAGTCAAAAGAAAAAAGGTTAAATTACTTATGGAGAAACAAGAAAATAAAGAAACAAGATTTAAACTACCTAGTATCTTTGTAGACAAATAAATATTTATACATAAAATATTTTGATAAATGCGAGATTATATTATTCACATATCTTTTTATTCTAGCGGTTTCTTTCCAGTTATGTAGCTGTTGTGCAATACAGAAAGTTAGGGCTAGTGTCATTGGAGTTGTGACACTGTGTCTTCTTCATAAATGTTTAATTAGTGTTCAGTAATTTGTATTGAGTAATCATATCTGTCTCTAGCCCTTAAATGCACACATCTTTTTATGTTTGTACAAATAAATGTATAATATAGCATGGTCAATTTAGGGATAATAAGAGAATGCAATTTTTATAAGCTAGATGAAGACATTAATGTTGGTAGCTATACGAGTTCTAGTGTTTAAGTATTAAGTACCTACTGTTTGCTGTGAAGATTCAGAAAATGGAGATGATGATTTCTGGAGTTTGAGGAGCCTAGAGTTTCTTTCATTATAAGCATTTCAGAATGTTAAAAGGTTTCTCAATCTTTATTACCGTATTTGAAATATTTTATCTATGACATATGAAGAAGTTACAGAACAGCATGTGTGAATTGATAGTGGCATTGTGATAAGAAATAACATGTTTTTCAATGCAGATTTTAATAAAATTATGATTATGATAAAAAATAGTCATTTTAAGTATATATTCTTCCTGACAGTGTCTTTCATACAGTCTTTTTGAAATCTAGGTGGAAGGCAACACTAGTATGCACATTTTTAAAAAATGGGGATATTCAAAATAAGTCCCTTTATACTAGTTCATGAAGTTTTACTGCATTATGTGAATAAAGGTAACAGCTAAGCCCTATATATAATAAAAACCATTATATAAACACTGGTTAGTTGTATATTATTAATAGTTTTAGTAAATACTTTCACATCTTTTTTCATATGTCATTTAATATCATATCAATCTAATTGAGATAGAAATATTTACCCTCTTTCTTAAGCATTAGTTAAATGTATATACATACTTTTAAAACTTCTGTTCTTTTTTTCTATTCTTGCCCCATTGACATGAAAAAAATGTTCTGAATTCTTGCTTTCGCTTTTCTCTTTTCTTCCTTTGTTCCACTTGGGAGCCTTCAAAAGTTCTGAATTATAATAGAAGTGAAGTGTTAGTTCTAGTGTCAGATTAATACAGAGGAAAATGAAAATTACAATTTTTAATAGACTTTTATAACTAGTATTGCTAATTACCTGTTTCCTTTTGAAATACACCGTCTGTGCTCAAATCTAAAAAAGGATTTGAAGTACTTGACTTAAAGGTCTTGACAAGCCCCAAAAGTCTTATTTAAAAAATACCATAGAAATCTCTACTTACCTCTTTTTTCTTCCTGTAAGGTTGCGTTTTTGTTTGTAGCCATAGTGGTTAAATTATAATAGTCAAAACTGTTATACTCTGAGTGTATAACACAATGTTTAATGCATGTTTTGTTAGATAATCTTTAAAATTAATATATAAAATTGAGTTTTTAGTAAGTTGGAGATTTGCCATAATGTAAATTATGGTAGATTATATTTGTATATTTATTAACAAATCTATGAATGTTGTTAAGGACTTCTATAAGTAATGAACCATACTAGGAATAGGGCAGTGTTCCCATTCTCAGAGACTTTCCAATCTGTTGGACATAGGAGAGATTCCCTGTATGTGTACATTCCCTGTATGTGTACACACACACATACACACAAATGTGCAAAGATTGTGATACAAGGCAGACTGTGAGAAATGGCAGGTATCAAGAAAGTTATATAGAAATATTGAAGACAGAATGTATAATTAACACTTTGGATCAAGGAAGGCATGTTATATGAATTAAGGGCAACATGTTAACATTAGTGGTTCTCTTTGTTTAAATATAGAATTAAAATTATAGATGTTAGATAAAATTGTATTCAAAGATGGTTCTTTTATGTGAAGAAGTTGGTGTTTTCTTTAATTAGTATTTAACTCATGATTTTCAATTTATCTCCTGTTCTCTAAAGATAGATAATTGCTTTTTTTCCCATTTTTAAAAAAAATTTTTGGCAGCTCTTCACAGATGGAATCACAAATAAACTTATTGGCTGTTACGTGGGAAACACCATGGAGGATGTAGTCCTGGTGAGAATTTATGGCAATAAGACTGAGTTATTAGTCGATCGAGATGAGGAAGTAAAGAGTTTTCGAGTGTTGCAGGCTCATGGGTGTGCACCACAACTCTACTGTACCTTCAATAATGGACTATGCTATGAATTTATACAAGGAGAAGCACTGGATCCAAAGCATGTCTGCAACCCAGCCATTTTCAGGTACATTTTCTTTTCTGAATTTTTCCTTTTGAAAAATAGGGCATTTAAGTGCATTAAGGAAATATTTTTTAAAATTGTCTTTGTTTGAGCAACTATTTGGTTAACTTAGAAACTTTCTTTAGCTAGGGTTTTTGTTTTTGTTCTTGTTTTCCCTAAAAAGATAGAAGTAAATTTCTTTATATTTGCAGTTTATCATCGTTGACTCTTTGCAAAGGAAAAACTACAAGATGTTTTGGATTAACCGGCTGCAGAGGGTCAAGGCTTCTGCTTAGTTTTTTCTAGTTAGTGTTTGAGTTGAAGTGTTATACATTTCTTACTGCCGATTGCTTATTACTTAATTGTTCATGTTTTCAGAGTTCTTGCCTATTAAAATTTTATTAATTTGGTTAACAATTCTTTGTTCTTTACGTTGTTCATTATTTAATTTAATATATTATGTTTTCTATAAAGAATAATGTCATATATGCTTGATCATTTTTCCAAAATTGCCAGCTTTAAAAATTCTCTTTCTGCTCTTGAAAACTCTAGAAAATGGTCTGGATTTGAAAACAGCATTCATAGGTTAGACCAGCAGTTTGCAACCATTTTGGTCTCAAGACCTCTTTATAGCTCTTTGGGCTCTTTGTTTTAATATTTGATTAATGTTTATCAATATTTACCATATTAGATATTAAAACAAATTTTTTAGAATACAAGAATATCAAGTACATGTCCTGTTAGCTATCATTGTGATGAAATTATCACATATCATATAACCTCTTGAAAGGTACACTGTACACTTGTGAAAGAGTGAGAATGAGAAAGGTAAATAACGTCTTGTGAAAATAGTTTCAACTTTACAAAGCTCCTGAAAGGATTTCGGATGGCCCGGGGCTCCCTGGATCATAGGTTAAGAATTGCTAAGTTAATACACTGACAAAAATGGAATGTACCAGTAACACTTATCTATTGTAAACCTGTATCAAATAATATATTAAAATATTTTGTCATAGAAATCTGTTCAAACCCTAGTTTTTAGCCATCACATATATTTTCTTCTTTTACATGAGTCTAGTCTTTAGATGTATTAAAAGATTCTGATTAATACATTTGTGTTTACTGTGTGTCAATTGTTTTGTGGTCTTTAGGCTTGCATGTATTTATAAATCCTCAATCTTGTTCACAATGGTTGACAAATACCTATATAACAGCATTAAAAATTAATAGATGCATAGATTGGATCCCCCCAAAGCTGGTTTTGTATATATACAAAAACATATTTCATGAAGTTCCTAGAGAAGGGCCACATGAGTTTCCTTGTAACTAAAGCAGAGAGTAAAACATGATTGATCTATTTCAGTAACCTCAAATAGAAACAGTAAAATAATTATAGTTTTTGATCAAGAACAGTGAAGGTTTGTCAAGGCTGACTTTGGTATTTGATACAATGTTATAAACATGTTTTCAGTAAAAATATCCTTTTCTATACTTTTTGGTTAGATCTACTTACTTATTATTTCTTTCCCAAATGCCAAAGCCTTTGTTTATTTTTTCTCTACTTAGATCTTTTTAAAAATATATTTTTTATTGATATATCATAGTTGTACATATTTTTGTGGTACATGTGATATTTTGATACATGTATACACTGTATAATGATCAAGTTAGAGTAATTGGTGTATCTATCATCTCAGACATTTTTTTTTGGGTTGGGACATTACAGTTCTTCTTTTCTAGCTATTTTGAAATATACAATAAATTATTGTTAACTATAATTTCCTTGCTGTATTATTGAATGCTAGAACTTATTCCTCTGATTTAACTGTACGTTCATACCCATTAACCAACTTCTTTTCATCACCCCCCTTCCTAGATTTACTCAGAATATGTATAAGTGATACTAATGTAGGCATATACACATTTCATAAAAAGAATATACTGTGTTAGAAACCAAACATCAATACTCTGAATTCTTTGACAGCTGGCTTGTAATAAGTGATACATTGAATTGCCCCACAGTTTTGCAGAGGAGAAGCAGAGTGGAGGCCGAGAAAGTAAGCAAAAGAAGATGACACTGAAGAACCCTGTATGATAGGATATTGTTAGTTGGCATTATGAATAGTAACATTTGCTATTTAATTTGTTTCGCTGTTAAATTTATTTCAGACTGTATTCTAATTCCTATGGCATTTCTTATTGTTAAGCAGGTCTTAGTCACTATAAAACAGAAAATATGAAAAGAAAAGCTAAGGGAGGGAAAGGCAAGTTTTGATTAACAAAACGTCTGAGTTACACATGATTTTAAATAGGAGTGTGGTTTTATTTTTTTCAAATATGTACGGTGAAATACTTCTAAAATACCAAGTAAGCAGATCAGTAGACCATGGTCTGGAGCCCCAAGAAGAGGTTAAAGATGTAAATTTGGGATGATGTGCTTATTTAGCCCCTTTTAAATGAATTTTATATTCTGTGGTTAAAAAGAATCTTTGATTTGTTAATTTAATAGGGACTTACTGACAATTTGGGGTTAGTTGTCACATTTTGATTAATCCTTATGAGCTTTAATGTTTGAATATAATAATAAACTTTTAAGACACTATTGATTGTTAGGTCAGCCTAATAATATGCATGCAGTGATCTGGACTGATTGATCAGTAAATGTTGATGAGCGCTTTAGATCAAAGTCCACAGTACTTTCTTGAATTGGCTCATTCAACCATAGCTGTATGCTTATATTATGATTATGACGAAGGTATCTCATTTGAATGTAAAAGGCTTATGTTTATGTTTGGACTAGTCTGGGGGAGGAAGAAGAATCTAAACTGTCCTTGCTGTCTTAGTAATTTACAGTTTGTGACACAGTAACCTTGAGGGAAAAATAACCTAAATATTGTACAAAGAAGAACAGAAAAGGCTTTCAGAGAAAGTACAGGTAGTTGATTTTGGGCATACATAGGAAATTAGTATGTTTCACTGTGATCACATTTGAACTGAACTTTGAAGGACAAGGTAGCCTGTAGGAGGTGAGGAATGGTATAGGTAAAGACAATGAGCTATAGTGCCTGACGGGTAATTCCACTTATGGAAATTTATCATTCTCTGTTTTATTTGAGCTTTTTTGTAGCAATCAGTTATTACGGACACCTTCAGAAAATTTTTTAAAATTCAAAAGTGTTTAGAAATTTTTTCAAATTTCTTATCAGATATTTCTTAGAAATTTGCCTCTTGTCAAGAACCTGGCTGAAGTTTAATGACAAACCATCCAGTAACAGACATAATGGAAGAAATGCAGTTTCAAATCAATTGTTGCAAGTTTATCAAAGAGCATACTGAGGGTACCGTAGTGGAACTGGCACCTTGTGGGTTGTGTGCATGTACAGTTGGTAGTGTTTTCTTTTGGAAATCAAAAGGACAATATATAATAACTCAAAAGAAAGTTATATGCTGTATTTCTGGCAGCAACAATTAAAAGTCTCTTATATTCAGATATAACTAAGGTACCTCAACACAAAGGAGAATTATGCTACTGTTGAAATGTAACTTTTTGACTATTGTCTAATACATGCAAAATGGCTGATGCAGGGCAACAGGAAAAAATCAGCTTAAAAAATAGCTTAACTGTGGCTACAATTAGGCAGTAATTTGCTCATGCAAAAACTCAAAGGGGATATATAAAAATGAAATACTATGGGATGGTAAGATTAAAGATTATTTTTCGTTTCAAAATATTTTTGTTATTGTTAGAATACATTTAATTTTTTAAAAGCTTTCAAGAGAAGTAACAATTAGTGTTAGTGAATATTTGAGGAATTCTCTGAAGCCTTGAGGGTTTGAAACATTTGGCTTTAACGAGTATGGAATTTTAAAGCAGCGTTTGACTTGATGTTACTGTAGTAAAACCTCGCTTACTGAGACAAGGTAGGAGAAGGACCAATATATGATAGTGAAAATCAGATATCTTTTAAATGATTTTTAATTACCTTCTTATATATACAAAACATAAATTAATGATTATTAAATAATGCTAAGTTATCTGAATGAAGAGATTTTCCTTTTAAAGATTTTAGTTTTTTAGTGCATTTTTGATTCACAGCAAAACTGAGGGGAAGGTACAGAGATTTCCCAGATCCCCTCCTTCCTCCACAGACAACCTCCCCCATTATCAATATCAGAGTGGTACTTTTGTTATAATACATAAACCTATATTGATGCACCATTATCACCCAAAGTCCACAGTTTACATTAGCGTACACTCTTGGTGATGTACATTCTGTGGGTTTGGGCAAATATATAATGCATGTATCCACTGTTAGTAGTATCATACAGAGGAGTTTCACTGCTCTAAAAAAATCCTCTGTGCTCTGCCTATTCATCCCTCTTTTCCCCTTAACCAGTGGCAACCACTGATCTTTTTACTGCTTCCACAGTTTTGCCTTTTTCAGAATGTCATATATTTGGAGTCATTTAATTAAGTAGCCTCATTAGATTGGCTTCTTTGACTTAGTAATATGCATTTGTTTCTTCCATGTCTTTTTATGGCTTATTGGCAGATTTCTTTTTAGGGTTCTGAATAATGTTTCATTGGATATGCACCAAATCTATTTTGTTCATTCAACTACTGAAGGACATTTTGGTTGCTTCCAAGTTTTAGCAATTATGAATTAAGCTGCTATAAGAATCCCTGTGCAAATTTTAATGTAGACATACAAATTTTTAACTCCTTTGGGTAAATGCTGACGAGCATGATTGCTGGATTGTATGGTAAGAGTATATTTAGTTTTGTAATAAACCGCCGAACTGTTTCCCAGAATGGCTGTGCTATTTTACATTTCCACTAGCAATGAATGAGAGTTGCTGTTGCTCCACATCCTCACCAGCATTGGGTGTTATAAGTGTTTTGGATTTTGGCCATTCTAATAGATATATAGTGGTATCTTACTGTTTTTGTTTGCATTTCCCTGATATGTGATATGGAATATCTTTTCATATGCTTATTTACTCATCTGTGTATCTTTGATGAAATGTCTGATAAGGTATTTGGTCCATTTTTAAATTGGGTTGTTTGTGTTCTTATTGCTGAATTTTAAGAGCTATTTGTGTATTTTGGATAATAATCCATTATTGGATATGGGTTTTGCAAATATTTTCTTCCAATCTGTGCTTTATCTTTTTATTCTCTTGACAGTGTCTTTTGCAGAGTAGAAAGTTTTAATTTTAATGAAGTCCAGCTTATCTGTTCTTCCTTTCATGGATCATGCCTTTGGTGTCATTTTTAAAAAGTCATTGCCAAATCCAGGGTCATCTACATTTTCTCCTATGTTATCTTCTCATGGAATTTTAGTTTTGGATTTTACATTTAGGTCTGTAATCCATTTTGACAGAATTTTAATGAAGAGTGTAAGGTCTATGTCTAGATTCATGTTTTTGCACGTGAAGGTCCAGTTGTTCAGCACAATTTATTGAAAAGTCTATCTTTTCTCCATTATATTTCCTATGCTCCTTTTCAAAAATCAGTTGACTGTATTTATATGGGTCTGTTTCTGGGTTCTCTATTCTGTTTCTTCATCTGTTTGTCTAATCTTTTGCAGATATCACACTACCTTAATTGCTATAGCTTTATGGTAAGTCTTGAAATCAGGTAGTGTTAGTCCTCCAACTTGTTCTTGTCTTTCAATATTGTGTTGGCTATTCTGGGCCTTTTGCTTCTCCTTATAAACTTTAGTTTTTACATTTTAAAATGGACTTTTTAAGAATTTATTTTTAATTGACAAATAATAATTGTGTATATTTGGGATACAGTATACATGTAAACTTTAGAATCAGTTTTTCAATATCACAAAATAACTTGCTGGGATTTTGATAGGAATTGCACTGAATCTGTATATCAAATTGGGAAGAACTGACATCTTGGCAGTATTGAGTCTTTTTATCCGTGAACATGGAATATCTCTTATTTAGTTATTTGGTTTCTTTTATCAGAGTTTTATAGTCTTCCTCATATAAATCTTGTACATAGTTTGTTAGATTTATACCTAAGTATTGTATTTTTGGGGGTGTTACTGTAAAAGGAGTGCATTTTATTTTCAATTTTCACATATTCATTACTGGTATGTAGGAAAGCAATTGACTTTCATATTTTTTTAATCCTGCAAGCTTGCTATAATTGCTCATTCCGCGAGGTTTTTTTGGTCCATTCTTTTGGATTTTCTCCATAGAAAATCATGTTATCTATGAACAAAGACAGTTTTTTTTTTTTCTTACCTCTTATTTTTTTTCTTGTCTTAATGTGTTAGCTAGGACTTTCAGTACAGTGTTAAAAAGGATTGGTGAAAAGTGATGTTCTTTCTTTATTCCTGATCTTAGTGGGAAATCTTCAAATTACGTGTCATTAAGTAGGATGTTAGCTGTAGTTTTTTTTGTAGATATTCTTTATCAGATTGAAGATACTCTCTCTTTATTCCTAGTTTGCTGAGTTTTTATGATAATGAGTGCTAGATTTTGCAAAATGCTTTTTCTGCACATGTCGATAGGTTCATGTGATTTTTCTTTTTTAGTCTGTTAATGTATTGGATTACATTAATGAATTTTCAAATATTGAACCAGCCTTGTATACCTGAGATAATCCCACTTGGTCACAGTGTATAATTTCTTTTTATATATTGTTGGATTTGATTTGCTTGTGTTTTGTGTCAGCAAATATATTATATAAAAAATAAACATTTAAAAATAATCTTTTAAATAAATAGGAAATATAAAAATGTAGCATTTTCTGTTGTATATAATATTTGCTAGCAGAAAACAATTGAGGTATACTTGATTAAAGTGTTTTTAAGAATTCTTTTTCAATGAGCATTTTATTTAGTTAATAAAAATTTGATTTGTTTATAGTTGTTCTGAAAAAATTTGATTATGGTAAATGCTACATAAAATTTACCATTGAAGCAGCATTTTTATCTGGGGTAATACCTGAGGTTGGTTGTTCCACAACTACAGAAAACTAGGATACAGACAACCAGAGTGAGGTTAAGAGTGGAAGTTTAATAGGCAAAAGAAAGAGAAGAGCTCTCTGTGCAGAGAGGGGTCCCAGAGAAAATGGGTTGCCAGTTCTGTGGTGTAATGTACAGGGTTTTATAGATTAACTTGAGGAGGCAGTGTTTGATTTGCAGAGGGCACGGAAGATTGGTCGGACCAGGCGTGCCTTTTGCATAAAGCATGTAGAAGCTGGTGGCCCCACTTTAATCTTTTATTATGCAGATGGTTCTCTACTTGGCCAGTGCCATGTTGCCTGCCTCTTTTACTAGACACATGGTGACAAAGAAAAGGGAAGATGAAGGCTCCGTTGTGAACATACCTGACTTCCAGGTAGCCCTTTTCTACTGGCACAGCTGCTGGCATTCACTCATGCAAGCTTCTAGCTTGCTTATCTATGTCTGCAGCTTGAATTTTCAGGCTGCTCTTTGTTAGAAGTGATTTGGGGGCTGCTTTCTATTAAAAGGGAGTCCTTACCGAGAACTCCTTTACCCTCACTATCTGCCTAAATCATTTCTTTCTGGCTCCAGTTGTCACCATCTTAACCATTTTTTAAAAAATACAGCTCAATAGTGTTATTGCATTCACATGGTTGTGCAACTAATTTCCTAACATATTTTTTTTTTATAATGTAAAACTACAATTCTATCCCTTTTTTTTTTTTTTTTTTTTGAGACAGAGTCTCGCCATGTCGCCCAGCCTGGTGTGCAGTGGTGCCTCCCAGGTTCAAGTGCAATCTCTGCCTCCCAGGTTCAAGTGATTCTCCTGCATCAGCCTCTCGAGTAGCTGGGACTATAGGTGCCCACCACCTCGCCCTGCCGAGTTTTGTATTTTTTAGTAGAGACGGGTTTCACCATGTTGGCCAGGCTGGTCTCGAACTCCAGACCTCAGGTGATCTGCCCACCTCGGCCTCCCAAAATGCTGGGATTACAGGCGTGAGCCACCACGCCTGGCCAATTCTATGCTTTTTAAACAACAAATCTTCTTTCCTTCCTCCAGCCCCTGGCAACCGTCATCTACTTTCTATCCCTAGGAATTTGACTACTTAGGTACATCATGTTAGTGGAATCATGTAATGTTTGTCTTTTTGTGACTGGCTTATTTCACTTAGCATGAACACTTCAAGGTTCATTTATGTTGTATAGCATGTGTCAGAATTTTCATTTTCTTTCAAGGCTTAATAATATTCCTTTGTATTTATATACTACGTTTTGTTTATTCATCCATGGATGTATACTTGGGCAATAGTCACTTTTGGCTATTGTGAATAATGTTGCTGTGAACATGGATATGTAAATATGTTTTTGATACCCTGCTTTCAGTTCTTTCGGGTGAATGCCCAGAAGTGGAATTGCTAGATCATAATGGTAATTCTGGTTTTAATTATTTGAGGAACCACCATACTGTTTTCTGTAATAGCTGCACCATTTTATATTCCCATCAACAGTGCACAAGGGCACCAGTTTCTTTACATTCTTACCAATAGTTATTTTATTTTTGTAGTAACCATTCTAATGGATATGAGGTGGTATCACATTGTGCTTTTGATTTGCGTTTGCCTAATGAGTAGTAATGTTGAACATATGCTTATTGACCATTTGTTTACTTTTTCTAGAGAAACACCTATTCAAGTCCTTTGCCTATTTTCTCATGGGGTTGTAATTTTTGTTGTTGAGTTGTGGGAGTTTGTTATATGTTCTGAATATTAACTCCTTGTTAAATATATGATTTCCAAATATTTTATCTCATTCTGCAGGTTTCTTTTTCAGTCTGTTGATTGTGTCCTTTGGTGCGTAGTTTTTAATTTTGATGCGGTAGAGTTTATTTTTACTTTTGTTGCCTGTGCTTTTGGTGTCATATCCAAGAAATCATTGCCAAGTATCCAGTGTGATGAAGGTTTCCCCCTATGTTTTCTCATGAGAGTTTTAATAGTTTTAGTTCTTACATTTAGATCTTTGGTCCATCTTGAGTTAGTTTTCATATATGGTGTAAGGAAAGGGTCCAGCTTCATTCTTTTGGATGTGGATATCTAGTTTTCCCAGTACATTTTGTTGTCCTTTCCTCATTGTTCTTCTTTTCCCGTTGTTGTCCTTTCCTCATTTAAGGTTCTTGGCACCCTTGTTGAATACTGTTTGTATAATTGTGGGTTTGTTTTTGGGTTCTCTGCTCTATTCCATTTATCTGTATGTTTTTCTTTGTGACAGCACCATAATGTTTTGATTACAGTGGCTTTGTGTAATAAGTTTTGAAATCAGGAAGTGAAAGACTTCCAACTTTACTCTTCTTTTTCAATGTTATTTTAGCTACTCGGGTCCCTTGAGAGTCCATGAATTTTAGGATAGCTTTTTCTTTTTCTGCAAAAATTGCCTTTGGGATTTTGGTAGGGATTGCACTGAATCTGTGGATCACTTTTGGTGGTATTGACATATTAACAATATTGTTTTCCAATCCATGAACATGGGGTGTCTTTCTGTTTATTTGTGTATTTAATTTTTTTCAGCAGTGTTTTATTATTTTCAGTTTACAAGTCTTTCACCTCCTCAATTACGGTTATTCCTGAGTATTTATTTCTTTTCGATGCTATCGTAAATGGAATTGTTTTCTTAATTTCCTTTCTAGATTGTTCATTGTTAGTGTAAAAGTGCAACTGATTTTTGCGTATTGATTTTCTGTTCTGCAACTGCTGAATTTGATTTTTAGTAAAAACTGTAAATTTTCTTAAAATCATTCTTTACAAATTTCATGCTTTGTTCAGTCCTTATTTATAAAAAATTTTAGATGAGTATGGAACTTGTGATTAGGCCATAGTTAATTTTTTAAATCTCTTCACAGAGCCTAGTTTTTAAGTATATAGGTGGCTGCCATGGTTACAATTGAAGTGTACTTATTTCCATGAGAAGATTTGTGTTGTAAATCAACTTCCTTCCTTTCTGCTATGATCTGAATATTTGTGTTCCCTCAAAAACCTTTTGTTGAGACCTGATTCCAATGAAATAGTATTAAGAGGTGTGTCCCTTTGGCAATATTAGTCATGGGGTAGAGCTCTCATGAATGGCATTAATGCCCTTATAAAAGAGGCCCAAAGAAATTTACTTGCCCCTTCTACCATGTGAAAATGCAGCAAGAAGGTGCCATCTGTAAGGAACATAACTATGAGAAAGAAATTTATGTCATTTATAAGCTACCTTGTTTATGGCATTTTTGTTAAAGCAGCCTGAAAGGACTAAGACACTTTACATGTTAATTTTGTTATATAAAAGATAAAAAAGACCAGTAATTCTGAGACCTGTAGATACTGGCTTGAATTCTGGAGTGTGAGAAGAAGATGATGTGGCTTTATTATCAAAGAATAGGCAGTATTTTAAATGGATGCTCATTTGGTTTTTGTATAAGAAAACATTACTTTTGTTACAATTATTAGTACATGAGATTATTAAAAATCCAAAATAGATTTTAATCCACCTGACAATAAACCTAATAGTGGAAGACTTCTCTGGTCTTATGGTGAATTTCTAAATGTATTCCAGGTCTGTTGCTAAGATAACTGACTCTAATTTAGAATATACCTGTTAAGTACCTCCTCTAAGTTCTGACCACAAGAACAGATCAAAGAATAAGACAGTCTTTGTCCCTTGAAGGATATCTTAGTGGTTGTATTTATCAATTGTATTAATAAAGCAATCTTTATTATTATTATTGCTATTCTATTTTGAATTGTATAGGAAGATGCTAACATTTTAATTAACAATATATCATCTTATGTGGCAGATGTTTTAAAATTATATAAAAGTAATTCTCATTTTAGCTGTAATTTTAGAAATTTGTTCAAAGGAATAATTGTATTTGATACATTTTTAATAAAAATCACTATACTTGGAAAAATTTTACCTCTGTCACTCCATGACTTGTGTGCATTCAATCTTTCTATTGTAACTTGTAGGAAGTTTTTGTTTTTGAAACGTAGTTTCACTCTTGTTACCCACGTTGGAGTACAATTGGTGAGATCTCAGCTCACTGAACCTCCCCCTTGGGTTCAAGCGATTCTCCTGCCTCAGCCTCTCTAGTAGCTGGGATTACAGGTGCCTGCCACCACATCCGGCTAATTTTTTCTATTTTTAGTAGAGACGGGGTTTCACCATGTTGGCCAGGTTGGTCTCGAACTCCTTACCTCAGGTGATTCATCCACCTTGGCCTCCCAAAGTGTTGGGATTACAGGCGTGAGCCACTGCGCCCGGCCAACTTGTAGGAAGTTAGTGTGAAATGGCAAGTTAGTCTATAGGATATTTGGGGTTTGTTTGTTTTTTTTTTTTTTTTTTTTTTTTCGAGACGGAGTCTCGCTCTTGTTGCCCAGGCTGGAGTGCAGTGGCATGATATCAGCTCACTGCAACCTCCGCCGCCTGGGTTCAAGCAATTCTTCTGCCTCAGCCTCCTGAGCAGCTGGGATTACAGGCACGTATCACCACACCAGGCTACTTTTTGTACTTTTAGTAGAGACAGGGTTTTGCCATGTTGGCCAGGCTGGTCTTGAACTCCTGACCTCAGGTGATCTACCTGCCTCGGCCTTCCAAAGTGCTGGGATTACAGGCATGAGCCACCATGCCCAGCCTATAGGATATTTGTATATGAATCTGTATGTGAAGTTCATATTGTCATTATTGAATTTTAAAGTTTAAATAGATCAAATTTTTTGTAGATGTTAATTTTTTTTCCTGGTGTTTGGGGACATATGACATTAGATCTGAAAGATAACTTCAAAACTATATAACAGGCCAAATATTTTGATTCCTTGTAAGGAACCCAAAAACCAGATGAATTATTTGTTTAAGTTCATAATGCAAATACAGTGGCAAAGTCACAATGAAAACCCAACTAATTTTGTGCAGCGTTATAGGGGTGTTCTATAGTGATACAACTTGGCCTTTGCATCACATTATCAGTTCAAATCCTAGCTTAGCTCGTTAGCTACCTTCTTGCTAGAAAAGGCAAGACTTTCAAAATTAGTTAATACTTTCTCTTCTAGCAGCTATTGATGTTCAACAAATTTCATTAACCTGTAAATGCCCCTTGGAGTTGTGGCCATACTGTTTTATTCATTTTTTAAGTATTTACAGTAGAATTGTCATTTCAGTTACTATAAGCTGAGTAACTGGACAGCTTCTAAGATTACATTTTTTTAATACACAGAAAATTCAGGTAATTTAAAAACTGCTTTAGATTCATCTTGAAATATATATTTGCTCTGGAATGACCATATTGCAGCATGATTCTCATGAACTTCAAAATACTTTATTTAAAAAACAACTTGAGGCAGCAAAAGTATTATAGTTGTCTGACTTTATCCGTGTGATGTGCAGGGCCTCCTTGTCTTCTGATCTCAGTAAACTTACACTGATTGTTTCAGATCAGAAGAGCAGAAACGGCTTAGTTCTAAAGAGACTGTTTGGAAAACATTTCCAAATAACTGCAGCACTTGGATGACTACTTCCCTGAGTTTTGCTTATTCACTGAAAGCAGAACTACTGTGCCGAGCCCTCCAGTGACATGGGCCTTCTGCTCTCCCAGACATTTGCCTCTCTTCACACCTGTTCTGAATCCAGCATGGAGCAGACGAGAAGTCATGGAGTTCTGACAGTTCCAGCACGTGTGTCCCCTTTGCAAAGGGGAAAATTACGTTTTGTAAGAGACCCCAAATCAGGGTCTCTTATAAACCCTGGGGTAAAACTATTAGAAATGATATTATTTTTCATTTATTTAAAAAAACCACAGCAAATAAAATCTGTTAGAGTTAAATATCTGTGACGCCCTCCTAAATCATCTGTTTCATTTCAGTAAATATTTCTAAGATATAATATTCTGTTGACATAGATTGCCCCTTGTGTTTCATGTAACACAGATTGTATCTTTCTTCAAGCTTTTTGTTTCCTCCTCTTCTCTGAAGTTTTAAAACCAGTTTTAACTGGCTTACAGTGTGTGTGTGTCTGTGTGTGCATGCGTGTACATGCATGCATTTGCACTTTCCTTTGTTTTGATTTTATCACCACCTGGCCTTTCCATCAAGTTGCCTGGTGCTTAAGTACCACAGTTCATTTGGGCTTAGCTTTCTGCCTATATATGAGACTAACATAAAAATAGATTTGTTTTCTGTATTCTTGTGGACATGAGTGTATGGTCTTAGGGAAGGTCATTCAAAATGATTTAGTTTATAAAAATAAATGTTTATTTACTCATTTGTTTGAGAGGTATGAACCAAAGTACACATATATAAAAAGGTTATGGATTTTAATATTTTAATGTATTAGATTAAAGATGAGGCTAATACTGTTGCTTGAGGATGATAATTTGACAATTTACAGTGGCATAAAGGAGAAAGAATTTATTGGTACTTGTAATTGAGAATACTGAGTTCAAACATGGGGTAAATCCAGGGACTGTAACAATGTCATTAGGAATATCACTTTATTCTGTTTATTCTTTTACCTTTTTTTTTTTCTCACAAACTTTCCTTAGGACTATCCATAATGATAATCAGTAGGTTTCTCTAACCGGTTTAACCACCCCAGGGGGAAAATTTTCCTAATTTTCTAATAGCTTCAAACAAAGTTGATAGCTTCAATAAAATTAGGATTAAGTCTCTGGCTTAGCTTGGGTAATATGTGCTGAACCAGTCACTGTGGCCTGAATGATAGAATGCTCTGAGCAAGTCAGGGTCATATGTTCACTTACTACTGAAGTGAGTGATGCAGTTAGGATTGAGATCAGCTCTGTAGTAATGACATGAACTAAAAGTAAGAGTGATAGAAGTTTCTCCAAAAGAAAATAAGGACTCTTTAGTTACTAGGAATGAGATAAAAACAAGAATATTCACAATAGTATAGAAACATAATAATAAAAATGTGTTATTTAATGATTGATACAATACTAGATTCTCTGTGGGCCTTACTTAAGTGGCTTTCAAATGTTTTTGCATATTAAAATCACTTGGGAAGGTTTTAAATATCTCAGTGTCCTGGCTGCACACCAGGCCAGTTAAATCAGAATTTCGTTAGTACCTAAGCCTGTGTAATTTGTTTTGAAGTTCCTTAGGAAAATCATGCTAACAAGAACTAGGTAGACAGATCTGGTAGAGTCAAGGTTCAAAAAGAGGGATTTCAGGGGACAGAGAAGTTCACATGGGAGAAGCAGGATCCAATGGAGAGAACAGAGGGGCCTCAAAGAGAGAGAGAAAGAAGGACCTCCAGCCTAGGAGGTACCTATCAAAAGAAGCGTGGGACTCCAATCTAGTTTCAGAGAGTACACTCAAAATCTTAAGTATCAGAATTCTTGCCAGCTTCAGTGTATGTTCAGTGGTTCAGGAATCTGACTCACCAGTGGATCCCCATTAATCAGTCAGACGTGAATTCAAAGGTGCAAACATAGGGTCCTGGGTCCAGTGATGAATCTGATTCTGAGTCACAGCACCATAACTGTTAAAGAAAAAATTACTCAGTGATACTTGTTAAAGCATGATAAGGCTGACTTTCTTCAGAATCATTGAGATATAGGTATAGGGGCCACAGCTGTGGGATTTTGGAATTGGAGAAGAGAGACTGGGCCCAACTCCAAATACAGCATGGGCAAGTGGGAATGTATACCCAAGGAGCAGGGTCGGGGTTGGCGGATGGAAAATTAAGAGTAACATCAAAGTAAGGGGTTTCTGGGTAAAACAACCTAATGATTCTTGCTGAAGATGGCCAGAGTAATCAGAGTAATTAATTTGGGGAATGGTGAAGGATAAGGAACCTGATCAGATATCAAGGGTGGGGATACTCTTGCTAAACTGACTCAGTAGGGTTCTTGCTAAAACTGGTTTTTACAAGAGAGAGCACAGGTAGGTCTACAAGAAGATTCGGGAGACTGACTAAAGTTTCATCAAGAATCTTTGTCAGGAGACATGACCTTTATGATACTTAAGTTTTTCTTTTTATGCGGTTTTGTTTTAAACAGGCTAATAGCTCGTCAGCTTGCTAAAATCCATGCTATTCATGCACACAATGGCTGGATCCCCAAATCTAATCTTTGGCTAAAGATGGGAAAGTATTTCTCTCTCATTCCCACAGGATTTGCAGATGAAGACATTAATAAAAGGTAAAATTATTTTTACATTTGAAATTATGTTTTACATTGCTTTGCTCTATGATAGGGTTTCAAAGGTAATTGTAAAGTTTCATTGTATAAAATCTGGTTTTCTTTCTTTGCATTGAAGTAAAGTAAGCATTGATTCTTTGGCTGTCAGATAGCACTACAGAAATAACTGCCTCTCCATCCCCCTCAGTGTCCCCTCCCAAAAAATATGCCCTACAACAGCAAGGGGCAGAGGTGGAAGTAGGGGAACACCACTTAAAAATAAAGAGTTAGGTGGTAATGGTGAAGCAAGATTTTTCTTGACTTTTTAAGATACTGCAGGGTTGAGAGGCAAGTCTAGTATTATATAGAATAAGAGCACAAGAGCCTGGAGCCAAACTGAGATTAAATCTTAGTCCTGCTAGTTAACATTTCTGTTGTGTAACTCATTCAACTAGGGAACTTAACCTAACTGTTTCCTTATCTATAAAATGGAAATTACAGTAGTAGTATATTAACCATATAGAGTTTTTGTGAGGATTGAGATAGTATATGTAAAGTTCTTTAAAACAGTGCCTGGTCATCACTTAAGTGTTGAGGTAGCTGCTGTTTTAAAAATTACTATTGTTATTCAAAGAAGGTTATTTGAGTTATATTTTTTCCCTAGGCTCTCCAAGGTATACTTTAAATCCTTGAGGTTAATGATTCTTTGGAAAAGCTGGAGGTGTGCTGTGGTAAATAATAGGAAGAAAACCCTTGCCCCAATAGAAAATAATACAACTAGAACATAAAACACAATTAAAATATTAAATACATTTTGTATTTCTTTTATTCCATTTTGTTTGTTCATGATTTAAGTTTTATAATCCTTCGAATCCCACAATTTTCATTCGACACTACCTTTAAAAAAAAAAAAAAAAAAAAACACCGCAGTTTTGACCAGTCATACCATTTTGAAAAGAGCATTATGAGGATTACTTGTGGAAGTTGTATGTAGAGAAGAATACAGTAGTGGAGAAAATATAGGTAGAAACCACCTGAACAGGCAAATTAAGTAATGTAAAAAGAATCTGTATTATACTGTTAATGGAGAAGCAGGGAGTAATTTGAGAGACTTTGGAGAAAGAATCAAGAGGTCATGACTTAAAGTATTAAGGGAAGGAGTGAAGGAGTATAGCCGTTTTGTAAGCCTGATTGGTGCTATTGAGGAATTAGTGGTAGTAGCCCAATTTTGTTTCCTTGATTTTTTAATCAAATTAATACAAGTATAGATAATAATCAGTATAGATGAGGATAGGACAAAAAGTCGCGATTTCTAGTCCAGCTTACCATGTTGCCTCCCACCCTTCACAGTCTCACTACTCTGTGGCAATTTCTATAATAGTTCTGTTTTTAACATAACTGGATTATATAAGGATAACTTTATTTTTTATCAACTGTAGACAGTAATCTTTTGACTTTTCTGAGAATTTAGATTTATATTGCATTCACCCTTTCAACCTTGAAATATGTATTTTTAATTTTTAAAATAATTTTTGTAACTTTAAATAATATACTTAAACCTCTATTTATTAAATGCTTTGTGTCTTAGTTTTGTCATCTATAAAATTGACATAAATGTAAATTACTTAGAATAGTACTTAGTAATTGTTAACTATTACCTATATATATTACTTAGAAACCCAAGTTTTTAGTGAGTTTTTTAACTTTTGTCCTACATTTTAATTGCTGCTCAGTTTCTTCTATTCATGTCTAAACTTACTATATAGGTTTTCTTTATTCTAACTTTTGAAATAGAATAATTGGTCTGTTGTTTGAATTCAGCAGTATGTGCGATTAAATTGAAGGGATTTATTCAAAATAGATTTTAATCCTTAATCAAACTTGAAAAAAATGTCACACAAGATATAACTCTTCTTTTAAAACTAAAAGGTTCCTAAGTGATATCCCAAGCTCTCAGATTCTCCAGGAAGAGATGACTTGGATGAAGGAGATTCTTTCCAACCTGGGCTCACCTGTTGTGCTTTGCCATAATGACCTATTGTGTAAGAATATAATCTACAATGAGAAACAAGGTAGGTATTTGACCTTAGCAGTAAGTAAAATTGATTTCTTTTATGTTCTTAATGGTCATTTTATCTCTATATCAACAAAATAAATTCAAATGCAAGGAGTAAGAGCGTGCATGAAACCTTTAAAGATTTTCTTTTAGTTTATCAAGTTATGGTAACTGTGAAATTTAGGATATATATTCTTTTTATATTTGTATAAAATATGTTTTTTAGAATTGGTTAGAAACAGTTTGTGATTTCCATGGGATTTTTAGGTATAAAATGATGAAATGATTTGTTTATAAATTTAATTGCAAAACTTATTTGGTTATTCATGAGTTGAACATGTACCTGCTTGTAATGGGGGATGTGGAAAATCAACATATTGACATTAAACTGCTTTATAAATAGAAAAATTTTCTCACAGTGTTGGGAAGGACAACAGTATTAAAAACAAATGTGTCTCCAGGTTTCTCATTATCTAGTTATTGTTGATTTGTTAGATATTTTGATACTAAGGAGAGAGCTACAGATGGAGGAGATATTATTTGTAGTTGCTCAAATTTATATCTACTAAAGTAATCAAGAAACCTTGGTAGATAATTTCAACATTTTTTGAGGTAGACTGATACTTTTTGGTGAAATGTTTTTGTGTTTATATTTGTACACTGTATTCAATTTCTGTTTTCATATTTAAGAACCACTCGGTTGTATTATATTACTGGGTGAAGTGGTTTGAGGTTTGGTTGCTAAATGATAGATGCCCTTCAATGCTAAATTGAAATTTAAAAATAAAATTTTGGTTGAAGGAGTCTTACTAACTTAAAAAATGTTTTTGAAACTGTTTTCATTTTATAGGAAACTAGTTCCCCGCACCCCCCCCCCCTTTTTTTTTCCTTTTTTGAGATGGAGTTTCACTCTTGTCACCCAGGCTGGAGTGCAATGGCATAATCTCAGCTCACTGTAACTTCCGCCTCCCAAGTTCAAGTGATTCTCCTGCCTCAGCCTCCTGAATAGTTGGGATTACAGGTGCACATCACCATGCCCGGCTAATTTTTGTATTTTTTTTTTTTTTTTTTTTTTTTTAGAAGAGATAGAGTTTCACCATGTTGGCCAGGCTGGTCTCGAACTCCTGACCCCAGGTGATCCGCCCACCTCGGCCTCCCAAAGCGCTGGGATTACAGGTGTGAGCCACTGAGCCTGGCCTTTCCTTTTTTTTTTTTTTTTTAAGTGACTGGATCTCAGTATGTCACCCAGGCCTGGAATGCAGTGGTGTAATCATGGCTCACTGCAGCCTTCAACTCTTGGGCTCAAGCAGTCCTCCTGCCCCAGTCCCCTGAGTAGCTGGGACTACAGGTACATGCCATCATACCTGACTAATTTCAAAATTTGTTTTTGTGGAGATGGAATCTTGCTCTGTTGCCCAGGCTGGTTTTGAATTTGTGGCCTCAAGTGATCCTCCTGCCTTGGCCTCCTAAAGTGCTGGGATTACTGGCGTGAGCCACTGTGCCTGGCCTGGAAACCAGTTTTTGAAGATAGTTATTACAGTTGGAAGAGCTGATTTTGAATCAAAATTGTGCTGTTGTAAATATAGTAAAGCCTAAGAATTCACATTAGCATGGTCATAATTATATTAAATTACTGTTTATGACCCTTCTTAGAGTGTAAAGCGGGACTATTCAAATACAAAGGTTGATAGATATAGCTGACTTTCACTTTAAGAAAACCAAAGGTACACTGTCAAGAGTGGTAGGCTTAAGCACATATTGCCAAAAATATATTTGAGAATTTTTTGTTTGATATTTCAATGTTGATTAGAGATTCTATTTTTCAAAAACATACTGAGCTAACATTTTTGTTTTGAATCATCTTGAAATGCTTGTGTGGAATCATTTTTAAAATTTCGAGCATACCCTAAAACATTAAGTACTTGACAGTGTCCTTTAATGTCTTATTGTCTGTTATATATAATTATCATAGTACGTATGCACTACATTATATACTGGTAACCAAATCTCAATGCCATTTGTGAGACTAGAGCATTAGTTACGCATTAAAGCAGTGTATGAGCTTGTAAATTCAGTGCAGGACCTAATAACACATTTTATATAATGGAATTTCAAGTGAGGGACTTCATCTTACATTTGAAGTGGACACTCAGCTTTATTTTTAACTGCAAGTTGATCAAAGAGAATCTGTTATTTCCTTTAGAATATAATTTTAAACTTTCATATTTTTATTTTTGTAAGTTTCTTTTGCATATTCATTTCACAGAACAAAACTTGTTTATAAAACCAAAAAATAAGGGACCAAAAAAATCAGATTACTTTGTCTTGGGTGTTAAAAAATACATTTTCACTTTTTTATTTAAGTGGTCACTTATCTCTAAACTATTGATCAGTTATGTGAAAAGTTCCCATGTTTTCACATAAAATCTTTATTCAGTTTGGCTTTAAGAATGCAAGGTTGTCATTTGTTTTTGTGCCAAGTTACTTGAATTATACTTTTGTGTCTAATTTTCCTTTCACAGAAAAATTTTACAGCTGTACAGATGAACTATTTTGATACATTTTTTAGAATTTGCCTTTTTTATTGAAGTCTAGTTTGTATCATTTGTTTTTTCTTTGTCTTTGTGGTTATGTATGTGTCTTAGTTACAGAAATGTTCTGTTTTTTTTTTCTCTCTCCTTACGTGGTTTTATAATGTTCATTAGGAAGGCTGGTTTTGATCCCATAGTATCCGTTTAAAAGAGTAATTTCTATGTGATTACTTCAAACATAAGCATTAAGAAATATGGTTAGAATGTTCAAATAAAAATCTAAAACTAAAGTATGACAAGAAGCTTACTTAACCTAGTCTTTAGTGTTACGTTTCAAATTGGGAGCTAATGGTTTTAAGGTAATTTAACTATATGACATGTTTGAGTGTTTACTATAAGTAGAAGATGCCATGCCTTATACTTAAAAAGTATGAATTATATTATTTAATAAATTTAATAGTCAAAAATAGTCAATATTGAGTAAATGTAATATGCAAACTAGTTATATGTTTGCATTTAATATGCAAATAATATAATATGCATATAATATAACTAGTAGGTATGTTTGCATATTAAATGCAAGCATCTAACTAGTAGATATAGGACTTAATTAACAGATATGACATGACGATTCAGTTCACTAAAAGTGGAACTTTTAGTTTCTATCTTAACTATAACTTGAGAGATTAATTTAGATTAATTTAGAATTAAAATGTGTATGTATATGGGTATATGTATAAGTAACATATTTATACACAAGGCACACATACTATGAGCACCCTGCAATTTGTAGGCATTTTTACATGTGAATGTTATTGGAACTGGTAGACATCACAGGAAGAAATTTTATATATTTGAGATTGTAGCATAGCATTAACACTTATGGCAGCAATTTTGAAAAGGTTAATTAAAGATACAGACTGCAGTTATTTACCTTCTTTAGTTGCCTTATTATAGCATATAAATGCCATGTTGAGTCTTTTGAGATTAAGATAATTTCCATATAGAATAAATGATTAAGCTGCATATTCACAAACATGTTTGATTTTTTATTACTTCTTAAGTCATTCATATGACTTGAGCTCCAGGTTTCATTATTGTGTACCCAACTTTGAGATACCAATAGATAAAACGTAATAAGATGAAAGCCAGGGGACTGGCCTTGGAATCATCAAGCTCAGTATTTGTCTGCAGTATGTTTCAGACCCTTAATTTCTCAGAAGTACAAATTTTAGGCAAACTTCTTAAATTTATACTGGATTATCTTGATGTCTCTACATATATGTTTAAACCATAGTAACTTAGATTTTGTACTAGAAAATCTCTAACTCTTAAAAGCAGATATATTTATAGCTTAGTTACTATCAAGAGAAGTCAGAAAGAGTATAGATTTTGGAACTAAACACATTCGAGTTTAGATCCCTACCCAGTTACTTACAGAAATAAGTAGTATTAGACATATCGTTTTATCTCTTTATGTCTTTATGTAAACACAGACTGTTCTTGACAGTTTACATCAGAATCACCTATGGTACTTGGGAAAAAATTTGGATTTCTTGGCCCCACCCATGACCAATTACAAAATAATTTTTATAGATAGGCTTAGAAATTTTATGTTTAACAGATTCTGAGGCAGTTTTTGTACTATTGATAGTCTAGAACTTTAGTTTGCTTTATTTGTAACTTAGAGACAATATCTACTTCAGATGGATGCTGACAAGATTTTAGATCATGCATATAAAATATATAGCACTGGACCAAGGACTTAGCAGCTCTTAGTTGTAGCTATTATACTAACATAGGGGTTGGCAAACATTTTCTGTAAGGGGCTATGTAGTACAACTTTTAGGCATTGTGGGCTGGATAGTCTCCATTGCAACATTTCAGCTGTGTGTTGAGGCATGAACACAGCCATAGACAATACATGAGTGAGCTGTGTTCAAATAAAACTTTATTTCCAAAAATAGGTGGTGGATTGGATTTGAGCTGAAGGTACATGGTTTGCCAACCCTGTATTATGTTTATAGCATTTGTTTTACAAAATATACCTGATTCTGAAAAAATGAAAAATGGTTACTATAGGCTAGATAGTAGGTAGTTAAGTCCTATAACTACTAGTAGGTAGTTATAGGACTTAATTAACAGATAGATATGATGTGACAATTCAGTTTAAGTGCAACTTTCAGTTTCTATCTTAACTATAACTTGAGAGATTAATTTAGAATTACAAATGTGTGTATATATATATATGAGCATATGTATACATAACATATTTACACACAAGGCACACATACTATGAGCACCCTGCAGTTTGTAGGCATTTTTACATGCGAATGTTATTGGAACAGATAGGCATCACGGGAAGAAATTTTGCCTCTACCTGCTCTCACCATGTCAGTTGACAGGACTCAGGACATGGGAGAAGAGTGAGCTTCCTTTCTGAAGTTGATGGTAGCTGTCAAGATTTTTGAAAAGTTAGTGCCAGGAATTAGGTGATTGGTAAGCAGCGGCCCATTCCTTGCCTTCAGTGAAATGACATCCTGAAAAGGTAAGAAAAGAATACTTAATGATATGGTGATAGAATTTGATATATAATAAGGAAACCAAAAGCAGCAGTTCTTGCTCCAGAACTATAGGAATTATCAGTCATCTTTTAAATCAATCATTAATTTAATAGACTTTATATTAAGCAGAATAAATTGTAATATTGCCTATGACTAACTTCAAATCTAATATTTTAATTTCAACTAATCATTTAACTACTGACATCAAGAAATTACTAAAGCTGTTGAGATTTCTATCTCATGTCTTGATGTTCTCTCAGAATGTTTATTGGTCTCATGACTTTTGGTGACTTTCATTTCTCCTGCTGTCCCCATTTCTTCATAAAAGCTCATGTAAATACCTAATATTTAACTTTAAATTTCAGTAATGGCAATCACTGTTTATTTTCTCTGTCAGCACAATACAAGAAGCTGATTTACAGCTGTTTAAGGAAATACAAATGAGTGGAAGAAAAGGAAAGCTTTTTCTGGGAATTAAAGAGTAAATCAGGTTTTGTTTTATTTTGCTTTGTTTTAAGAGTTCTATACAATATAAATAGAAAATGGGTGAGTCCCCATAGTCACTTGTTTGGCTCTAAATCTTATCCATTCTATTATTACTCCTGAGAAAGCTTTGTAGTTGTCATGTTACTCATGTTTTAATGACTGAGAAGAGTTTTTTCATTGGTACTTTTAAAAAATTTAAATAAATACAAATTGATTTTTGTGTTTGGTAAACTATGTTTTCTAGGGTGGTGTTTTTAAATGTAGTTTAATTTTTAACTCTGTTTTAATTTGTATTCTCAACCACTAGTTAGCAGAAAATAAAATATCTGTAAGTCAGATAATAAAAAACTTAAATGAACTGTAAAAACCTGAAGTTATGAAGAAAGAGTGACCTAATATAGGTACTAGTTTGTTTGTTTTTTCATTCATTCATTCTGGCCCACTGTGTTCAGTCTTGTACTTGAATAAAAATGTCAGAAACACCACACTTTTTTCTTTAGTTTTTCATGCTTTTTTGTCTTTTCCCCTCCCCCAGCAAACGTGTTATTGTGTGTCAGCATTTTCTGCAAACTTCATTTTTTCTACTAGCATTTAAATATTTCCTGTGTCCTAGGGATTGCTCTGTGGATTGCAGGATAAAAGAGGGAAGGGACCCTAGTGCCCCTCCAGGAGGCTGTGTATCTTGTAGTGGAGGAGTCCAATCACTGAACAGATACTTACATTTAGAATGATGAGTGCTCTGGTGAAGGGGTACAGAGTACTACAGGACACCAGCGTGAAGATTAAAGGGAAAGTGTTTCAGACTAGAATACTCCCTGTCTTTTTCTGTATAAAATAGAAAACATTTTGCTAACATTAGTAGGATTATAGTTACTTTTCGTATCGTTCTCTTCGAACCTGCCTAACATTGCAGAGCAAGTAGGGTGAGTTGGAAAGATTTTTCAGGTTCTCATATTGACTATTTTGCTTTTCATTTTTATTCCTTTCTCCTAACAACAAAATAAAGGAATTCAGACAAACATGTCATGTGATAATTATATAGCCTTGGGTAATACATTATTATTTTTTAGTTTTAAAGTACTTTAAAAATTGGCAGAGTATTTTTAGTATACTAAGATTTGAACAGTTTAACCAGTAGTGTCGGGATTTGATTACGCTGATAAAGATATGCAAGAAATAAAGTAATAAAAGACAAAATGTAGGTTTGGAAAATTCAAATTGTAGTTTTATCCATTAATCATATACTTTACTTTGTGCTTGTCATTGTGATAATTACATAAAGATAAATAAAATAACACACCTAGCCCTTAAAGTAGTAGTTCTTTACTTTTTAAAGGTCAGGGGTCCCTTGAGAATCTGAAAAATTGAGAATCTCTTCCTAAGAAAGTGCACATACACATAAAATTTTAGGGAATATTCTAGTTGTCTTTTCATCCTTGAAACCCCAATTAAAAATTCATGTCTTAAAGAACTGAGATGATGATCATGCTATATGAGCTAGTTAATTATTAATGCTGATGTGGATATTCGTTTAAATAAAGCGAAATTTTAGAAATCAGAAGTTAAATTTATAGAAGGAAAAAGTATATTTTCTGTTGTTAGGAAAGCATTTTCCAGTAATTTGATTTTTCTGGCACCCTAACTAAGGGAAGTTGGCTTTTTAAATTTTACTTTGTTGCAGAAGATTAAATTTAAGGTTGAGTTCCACTTTGTTTGCAATAGTTTGAAAAAGAATAGTTAATGCAGATTTTTTTTTTAAATTTTTTTCCTTTTAAGCTTTGTGTCTTGTACAATGTGAGTTTGCCAAATTTTCTTCATCTGCTACAGATTAGGTATGCCATTGTTGCTGCCATGTGGCGGCGCACCCCGTGCTTCTTAAACGCACTGACTGGAGGTTTATCGCATCACTTGTTCACATGCACGGAGCCTGGTAACAGCCTCATCTGTATCTTGTTAGCTTCATTTTCTTATTTTTAAAATTTCATTATTTATAAACTCAACATAGCATTTAAAAATAAAGGCTAGTTTTAATTAATTAATGTTACTACAAAAAGTCATTGCTAAAATTTTCATAGTGAAACAGATTTTAACTTTTGTTAAAATGTGCTATGCTTTAATTAAATTGTATTTACTCTACAAGCAGGGATGTTTTACCTGCCATTTTAACTGTATTTGCCAAATTCTAAATATAATTTTGAAAATTGAAATTGAAGCTTATGTTTATGTGGCAAAAGTAAGCTTCAGGACTGGGCTGTGTATTTTTATTGGCATGTAACAGTTAATATGAGCTCTACAAGAATTTGTTTTTAAGGAGCTAAAGCTATCAACAGCTGCAGATTTAAAAAATTATATATTAAAACTGTTAGGTTAGCTCAGTTGTACAACTTAGTGAATCTTGTATCCTGAGTTTCTGAAGGCTGGTGGATAGGTATCTCTGAAATCATTGTGTTTTAGTCTTTTTACTGATAGTTTTGTATAGGGAATTCATCTTCTCTTTTAAAATAACTTTTTTCCTTTAATTTATTTCTATTACTTATTGTACATAAATTTTAAAATAAAAAAATAAAAGAAAAAAGTCACTTGTCTATCACCTGTTAATAGTTTAAACATTTTGGTTTATTTCCATTCATCCTTCCCCCCCATGCATTATTTACATATTTTTTTTTCTCTGTAGGCATATTTTAATTTGGATCACAGTTTACTACTTAGTATCTCCTTTTCATGACATTTGTAATTTCCCTGGTCATTATTTTTGAAAATGAGATTTCTTCATGGTTTTATTTCATTTTATTTTCATGCCTGTGAGTATTTTATCATGATGGTTGTCTTCACTCTCCTACTCCCAATGATTCCTAGAAAAGAAACTTTAAAACATGTTTCTACTTCCCATTCTGCAGTTTAGTAAAATGATTTGGTTAACTCTTAAAACTTTTTGTGGAATAATGTTCTGTGAATTCAAGTATACAAGGCAGGAGGATCACTTCAGGCCAGGAGTTCCATACCAGCTTGGGCAACATAGCAAGACCCCGTCTCTACAAAAAACAAAAAGAGAAAAAAAATATATAATACTTGAGGTAGTTGAATTGCCGTGATTTATTGTCACCAATATTTTTAAATCTTATATTTATTATAATAATACACATTACATTTTTATAACTGGGTTATAACATTGATTATTCTCACTTATTCTAGATGTGACTTATTTAAATAAGTTTAGAATTATATATTAAATACAATTATATTAAAAACATTTTTGCTTTTATGTAAAACACTATTTGCCATGACATTTTTTGTCACGTAATTTTGTTTTTCTTTGTGTTTGAATATGATCAAATACTTCCCAAAATTAAACTTACAAATGTATATCAACATATTATAATTCAAAAGCTGTTTTTATTTGGGAAATAAATAACAATGTGTAAAGACCGGGAATTTGTTCTCCTACCTAAGCCTGATGATTAAAAGACAGTGTAACTATGCAGGTGTTAAACATTTTCTATATTCTTACAGCCATCTCTGTTCATATATCCATTTTTAACTCCACGCCCCTGTAAGCCTTTGAGTTTGTGATCCCTGGTGAAGACAGTGACCCACATTGATTTTTTTTTTTTTTAAGGTTTCTCTCTCTCTTTTTTGCTTTTTCTCTCGAATATAGGACCTATATCTTTGTTAAGGCAAATCCTTTATAATATTCATTACTCAAAAGTTAAAAGTTCCTGAGTAGTAGTATGAAAGAACTAGATTATCTTTGGAGAGTTATAATGACATGCCTATATATGTAGCAGTAATTTAGAATAGGCATCTATTTAGCTTATGTGAAAATTTCTCACGTTTATAAACGTTAAAAGAAACCATACTTTTGCTTTTTGTAAGATAAAACCACCACCTTATTGCACCGTAATGCTGCTCAGATATGGAAACCTTGGTTAGGTAGTATTACAGGAAAATGTAAGCATATGATAGCAACTAACTTCTTGTTAGTGATCTTACATTGCTCAGCAAGTATAGCATTATTGCAAGATTTACAGAATTCAGGTCTTTAAAAGTTTATATTTTATTTCCATATGTAGATAAGCTTGTCAGTTTACTGTTGGAGTATCATAAAGTTTTTGTTAAAATTACACAGATTATTAGTAATTTCCAAAGATAAAAATTATGTTTCTAATTAAACTTGAATTTTTAAGTAACTGATGCCCCCATGTGGCAAAGGATTTATTTTGCTTTTGCTTAAACTTGGAGAATGACTGTCTTTTCATTTTTCTTTAAAAAAGTGGACATTAGTGTTTATAAAGAAGCTGTTGACCAAGAGACATAATTTGAATTTTGTAAAGCTCATTGCCATAAAATTCACAGCCCCTTACCCTGTATTGTCTCACAAGTGCATGTAATCAAGCACGTACAATGAGACAAAATATTGGAAGCTATTTAATTACAAATAGCATAGGGATTTTCTGATCTTATATGTGATTTCTTAATGTCTTTGTTTTTGTGTCTCACATAGGTGATGTACAGTTCATTGATTATGAATATTCTGGATACAACTACCTGGCATATGATATTGGAAATCATTTCAATGAATTTGCAGGTATAACTAATGGAGTAACTTATTTAGCTTTGAAACGATATTTTCAGAATATTTCATTCTTTTTTTAAAGTAGATAAACCGTGAGCAGGGGGAACATTTTCCCACGTGTTGTTGACCGTTTTTCTTTGCTTTTGTTTATCACTGGAAGAAAGCAGAGATGACCAAAATTTCTTCCTTAATTGCTATCAGAAAGTAATAGGTGGCCGGGCGCGGTGGCTCACGCCTGTAATCCCAGCACTTTGGGAGGCCGAGGTGGGCGGATCACGAGGTCAGGAGATTGAGACCATCCTGGCTAACACGGTGAAACCCCGTTTCTACTAAAAATACAAAAAATTTAGCCGGGCGTGGTGGTGGGCGCCTGTAGTCCCAGCTACTTGGGAGGCTGAGGCAGGAGAATGGCGTGAACCCGGGAGGCAGAGTTTGCAGTGAGCCGAGATCGCGCTACTGCACTCCAGCCTGGGCGATAGAGCAAGACTCCATCTCATTAAAAAAAAAAAAAAAAAAAAAAGTAATAGATAGGAGAAAAATAATGATTGTGGCTTCTGTTGAGATCAGACATAGCATAAGGTGCTTCATAAATCTTACCTCATTTTTTTCTCCACAGCAGCCCTACAAGGTAATACTCGCAGTTTACATATCAAGAAAGAAACTCACCAAGGTCACAGTAAAATACAGAGAACTAAGATTTGAAGCTAATTTTTAAGCATTTAAAAAGCCTTTGCTGTTTCCATTGTAAACTGGGGCTTTTGGAATATTAGTTCACTAAAAAGTTCAATAACCTTTTTTGACTTTGTCTATGAATATTGAAAAGTTGGTCATTTTTACCCCTATTAATTTATAATTACTTAAGTTAAAATTACTAGTTTTTTAAATGTAAGTGGGAAGAATTTAAAATCCATTTTATCACTCTTTATTTAGAAACACGAAATGCTCTAAAAACTAAAGATTAGAACATACCCCAGAATGGTTTATACCTAGTAGGAATTTTTTATTGTTGAATTTATATTTGTGTAAGTTTATATATTTATATATTTTTATATACTTCAGATTACCAGACTGGGAAATACTCTGGGAAAAAATTTTAATTTGATGTTTCCAGTTATTTTGGACTACCAAGCTTATCATATACATATAAGCTGTACATATTTTTACGTATCTCATCTATGGAAGGGGAACTAGCTGTGCATATAATAAAATATTAACATGTTAGTAATATAGACGGCCACTGCCGTGGATATGAAATAGAAAACTCCAGTGATCTTCTAATGATTTTGTGGACAAAAAAAGTGAGCTAAACCTTGTGAGTTAGGTAGAATTTGGATGTGCAAACTAAAGAGAAGGAAAGGGGAAAAAACTTTAAGATGAACTACTTACTTTTATAGGATATAGAATTCATGAAGGAGACTACAGAGTTATAGGACTAGTGAGGTAGATTTAGACCAACTTCTAAAGAACCTTGGATGGCAAGATAGTATGAACTTTGTCTTCTAGGTTAGTATTTTCCAAACTATAGATCATGAAGTTAAATTTGTGGGGTAATGACTTTTTTGTTTGCAAGGAATGGAAAAGAGAAACAAAATCTCAGAGTTGGAAAATGTTGTTGGGATAAATACTGTTTTGTGAAATGTAGTATCAGCTGGTTCTATGTATAAGGTCTCAAAAAAAATGTATTCTTGGTTGCAGTGAGCCGAAATCATGCCACTGCACTCCAGCCTGGGTGACTGAACGAGATTCCGTCTCCAAAAAAAAAAGTATTCTTACCATGAGTCATGGTTTGAAAAGTTTTATAGCCACACTTTGAGGTAGTGCTCCAAATGTCAGCATGCTTAAGAATTTCCTGGGTTGCTTCCTAAAATGCATAGTTTGGGTTTGTGATGCAGCTGGTTCAAGCTATAAACTTTGAGGAAAAATTGAAGCTATGAGAATTGATTTGGTGATCAACAGTAATGTGCCTTAGTGTTTAAGCTGAAATACAGAATGATTGGTTTATTATTTTAATAAATGCTTTTTACTTAACATGCAGTATTCCAGCCAAAATGGAACTTTTCATTTTTTATGAAAAAATGGTGGTTTTAGGGATTATTAAGGTATGCAGAAGAGTTTATGTTTTAAAATTTTTGAGTGTAGTTTTTTTTCTTCTAAAGGTGTGAGTGATGTAGACTATA
Source organism: Homo sapiens (assembly GCF_000001405.40). NCBI lineage: Eukaryota > Metazoa > Chordata > Mammalia > Primates > Hominidae > Homo > Homo sapiens. The sequence goes on from NC_000012.12 coordinate 22,673,521, forward strand.
GTCTGTATCCAGATAGAGAACTACAGAGTCAGTGGCTGCGTGCTTACCTTGAAGCCTACAAAGAATTTAAGGGCTTTGGGACTGAAGTTACTGAAAAGGAGGTAGAAATACTCTTCATTCAAGTCAATCAGTTTGCATTGGTAAGTTTAAATGTACACAATTAATGAAAGGTTCTTACTGTAATTGAAAATGCTTCTAAATTTTCGTCATCTTAGACAATTTCCTATTTTAAGTTTTGTGAATTTTTGTTCAAAATAATGTAAATACATGACCATTTACAGTATGCATTACCCCATTGCATTAGTTTTAAGGACAAAAATTTTGTTTCATTTCCTGCTATATCCCCATCCCCTAGAACAATGCCTGGCCATATGATAGGTACTCAGTAATTATTTGTTTAATGAGTAGATTCTTATCAGGGTTAAGATTGATGCATAAAACAATTTCTTAGTCTATTCCTTTCTTTACATCAAAGTCAAATTTTACAGGAGAGGAGCTTTTCCACAACACATTTTATGGTTAGATCTTATGTGATAAAAGTAGGTTGGAAGAACCTGTAGGATTATGTTTTTTATGACTTATCCAGTGTTTTGTCTTCTTGACCTTCATTTGATAAGCAGTTATTTCCAGCTTTATTGGTGTCTTAAAGCTTTATTATTAAGACCTACTTCTCTTTACATGCATTTATATTTTAAAAATGAGCTCATTATCTTTTGAGAATAATATGATACATTAGAATGATCTTTCAACTAAGGTGTTAGATAATTAAATGGAATAATAAGCCAAAGCTATTTTAGCTGCTGCTTTTTGGTTTTAATATAATTTTGTATAGTTGACATGGGAAATATTTGTTGTGTTGTCTCTACAGATAGACCCTAGTGGTATATGGGTATGCCATTTTTATAGTCTTAAAAGTACCATATGCCCAGAGTTACTCAGAATACATCCCAAGTAAGAAGGTGTCCTGAAATGTTCCTTTACCTGCTGTTCTTCTATCTATTTTCAGTACAGTTACTGGTTCAATTAATGACATGCTCTACAGCTGGTCCTAGGATGCCTGCTTTTCTATTTATTGTATTTAAGCATGATCTTAGAGAATGTAGGGTTTTCTTTCTCATTAGGTGATTTAATGAATTTCAGATTCAGCCTAATATTCCATTTATGCATTGAATTAGTTAATTTCCAGGTAAAGTACACATAGCTCATCAATTCTTAACCATCAATCCCACTGTTTGCTATTAGAAAGCTGATTTGGATTTCCTTGCAAACTTTTGATGACATTTAAGATTTTTGGGGGATACTGTGACTGTATCTGTACATGGCATTGAAAAATACCTTTGCTTCTGATTTGATCAATTGTTTATAAATATTCATCAATCAGATACTAAGTACTTACTGTTATTCTAGGTCAGTAGATTGGAAGAATAAAAAAAATGCACTCTTTCAAAATGCTTATAATTTAGAAGGCCAAATAAGATGTACAGAATAACTCTTTTGGTGGTAAAAGTTAACACTCATTTCTTTTGAAATTGATTTTATTTTAATATTTACTTTTATTTTTATTTTGAGACAGTCTTTGCTTTGTCATCCAGGCCTGGAGTATAGTGATGTGATCACAGCTCATTGCAGCCTCAACCTCCCGGGCTTAAGCAGTCCTCCCACTTGAGCCTTCTGAGTAGCAAGCGCCACCATGCCTGGCTAATTTTTTTAATTTTTCTGTGGAGATGAGGTCTCTCTATATTGCCCAGGCTGGTCTTGAACTCCTGGGCCTAAGTGATTCTTCCCGGCTCAGCCTCCCAAAGTGCTGGGAATTTATAGGTATGAGCCATCATGCCAGACCTATTTTTTTATTAGATACAAGGTCTTGCTCTGTCACGCAGGCTGGAATGCAGTGGTACGATCATAGCTCACTGCAGCCTCAAACTCCTGAGCACAAGGGGTTCTCCCAACTCAGCCTCCCAAGTAGCTAGGACTACAGGCGCATGCCACCATGCCTGGCTGATTTTTTAAAACTTTTTGGAGAGACAAGGTCTTGCTATGTTGCTCAGGCTGGTCTTGGACTCCTGGCCTCAAGCAGTTCTCCAGCCTCAGCCTCCCAGGGTATTGGGACTACAGGCATAAGCCCTATACCCAGCCATAACACCCGTTTTGCTGTAAAATTATTGGTAAATTGGAATTAGAAGGAAACTTACTTACTCTGATTCAAAATGAAAAAGAATATCTTCATGAAATGAACAACAGATATATTAATAAATGTCATACATTCAGTAGAAGGTCTGATTAAAAAAAGATAAAGGACAATTGATAGACATAAAACTTCAGTACCTTTTTAATAACATTTCTGAATAATTTAATATGTCCTCTGAACTTACATATACTAAGTTTTTCCATAGGGCATATAGTAAGTGTTATACTCTGAGATTCTGATACCAATTTCTAGTTCTTCCTCATTAAGAAACATTAAAAGCCCGTTATTTATTTCAATTAAAAAAATTTTTTATTATTATACTTTAAGTTCTGGGGTACATGTGCAGAACCTGCAGGTTTGTTACATAGGTATACATGTGCCATGGTGGTTTGCTGCACCCATCAACCTGTCATGCACATTAGGTATTTCTTCTAATGCTGTCCCTTCCCTAGCCCCCTACCCACTGACAGGCCCCGGTGTGTGATGTTCCCCTCCCTGTGTCCATGTGCTCTCATTATTCAACTCCCACTTATGAGTGAGAAAATGTGGTGTTTGGTTTTCTGTCCTGTGTTAGTTTGCTGAGAATGATGGTTTCCAGCTTCATCCATGTTCCTGCAAAGGACATGAACTCATCGTTTTTGATGGCTGTTTAGTATTCCATGGTGTATATGTGCCACATTTTCTTTATCCAATCTATCATTGATGGGCATTTGGGTTGGTTCCAGGTCTTTGCTATTGTGAATAGTGCCTCAGTAAACATACGTGTGCATGTGTCTTTATAGTAGAATGATTTATAATCCTTTGGGTATATACCCAGTAATGGGATTCCTGGGTCAAATGGTATTTCTGGTTGTGGATTCTTGAGGAATTGCCACACTGTCTTCCACAATGGTTGAACTAATTTACACTCCCACCAAGAGTATAAAAGCGTTTCTGTTTCTCCACATCCTCTCCGGCATCTATTGTTTCCTGACTTTTTAATGATCACCATTCTAACTGGCGTGAAATGGTATCTATCTCATTGTGGTTTTGATTTGCATTTCTCTAATGACTAGTGATGATGAGCTTTTTTTCATATGTTTGTTGACCGTATAAATGTCTTCTTTTGAGAAGTGTCTGTTCATATCCTTTGCCTACGTTTTGATGGGTTTTTTTTTTCTTGTAAATTTGTTTAAGTTTTTTGTAGATTCTGGATATTAGCCCTTTGTCACATGGATGGATTGCAAAAATTTTCTCCCATTCTGTGGGTTGCCTGTTCACTCTGACGATAGTTTCTTTTGCTGTGCAGAAGCTCTTTAGTTTAATTAGATCCCATTTGTATACTTTGGCTTTGGTTGCCATTGCTTTTGGTGTTTGTAGTCATGAAGTCTTTGCCCATGCCTGTGTCCTGAATGGTATTGCCTAGGTTTTCTTCTAGGGTTTTTATGGTTTTAGGTCTTATGTTTAAGTCTTTAATCCATCTTGAGTTAATTTTTGTATGAGGTGTAAGGAAGGGGTCCAGTTTCAGTTTTCTGCATATGGCTAGCCAGTTTTCCCAACACCATTTATTAAAGAGGGAATTTTTTCCCCATTGCTTGTTTTTCTCAGATTTGTCAAAGATCAGATGGTTGTAGATGTGTGGTGTTATTTCTGAGACCTCTGTTCTGTTCCATTGATCTATATATCTGTTTTGGTACCAGTACCATGCTGTTTTGATTACTGTAGCCTTGTAGTATAGTTTGAAGTCAGGTAGCATGATGCCTCCAGCTTTGTTCTTTTTGCTTAGGATTGTCTTGGCTATGCAGGGTCTTTTTTGGTTCCATATGAAATTTAAAGTAGTTTTCTGTAATTCTGTGAAGAAAGTCAATGGAAGCTTGATGGGAATAGCATTGAATCTGTAAGTTACTTTGGGCAGTATTGCCATTTTCACAATATTTATTCTTCGTATCTATGAGCATGGAATGTTTTTCCATTTGTGCATGTCCTCTTATTTCCTTGATCAGTGGTTTTGTAGTTCTCCTTGAAGAGGTCTTTCACATCCCTTGTACGTTGTATTCCTGGGCATTTAATTCTCTTCGCAGCAATTGTGAATGGGAGTTCACTCATGATTTGGCTCTCTGTTTGTCTGTTATTGGTGTATGGGAATGCTTGTGATTTTTGTAAATTGATTTTTTTTTCCTGAGACTTTGCTGAAGTTGCTTTTCAGCTTAAGGAGATTTTGAAAAGCCCTTTATTTATCAAGTCAGTTTTTGTTTCGATTCCTGTTCTTATTTTATCAGAATTTGCTGATCGTCTGTTGTGTGCTTTTCCTGCCCTTCTGGGATGTCACAACTTTCTTGCATCAGGGCCTCTGTTGCTATCTTCTTTTGACATATCTTCTTTTCTTTTCCAAGACTTTCTATATCTTCTTTTTAGCTAGCCGTTTACCTTCCTCTCTTACCAACTCTTAATTTCCTCCGACTGTTTATTAAGTATGTGCCTCTCGCATCTCAAGCATTTGAATGAATCAATAATTGTGATTGCAATGTGAAATAAAAGGAAACCCTGAATCTTACTCCTTTATCCTTCATGCGTTTCTCAGACACTGCAATCTGCCTTTTCCCTCACTGCTGTAAAAAGAAAATCAGGTAAGGCTTACCAATCATGACATAATTGCCAAGTCCAATGTAAATTTTTCAGTCCTTATCTTACTTGATCTGTCAGTAGCATTTGACAGTATTTACCATTGATTTAAAAAATGTTCTCTTGTTGACTTTTGTGATAGTTTTATGTATGGTGAAAATAAGGAAATGATCAAAGTCTGGTTTCATGAATTACACACTTTATTGCCATACAAAGATAGTTTTTTCCCCTTAGGTTCACAATGCTTAAAGAGAGGAAGAACAACCTGAACAAATCTCACAGGGAATATACTCAATAGATGAGGTACATTAACTATATAATGAGTGAGTTCCAAATTGTTAAAAGTCTAGTCCAATTCGGATGAAAGCAGGAGAGGATTGAGCTTTTTACGATTAGTTTCTTGGGCTTGACCAACATAGGAGAGATCCATGAAGACACTTGAAGTTCCTGGACACAAGAAGTTGGACGTTAATGTTGTCATGACAAGACTTCAAAGCTCCAAGGCCTGTAGAGGCCTGAACTCTGCTTTTGGAGAAGTAACTGACAGAGTGTAGCCTGTCACAGACTAAGTGTTCAGAATGTCAAACTGTTATGTTTATATGTATTTTGAAGTCCACTAGTTAAGGTCAGTTACTCACATGGGGTCTGAGAAAGTGTAATGTAACATTCCCAAGAGGGGAAGGAGTTCACCCCAAGTACTCACATATGGAGTTTGTATTGGCATTCTCCAGAGGGACAGAACTAATGGGATATATGTATAAGTGGAAGGAAGTTTATTAGGGAGAATTGGCTCACCTGATCACAAGTTGAAGTCTCACAGTAGGCCGTCTGCACGCTGAGGAAGAAAGAAGCCAGTAGTGGCGCAGTACAAGTTTGAAAGTCTCAAAACCAGAAGAGCCGACAGTGCTGCCTTCAGTCTGTGGCCAAAGGCCCAAGAGCCCCCTGGCAAACCACTGGCGTTTAAGTCCAAGTGTCCAAATGCTGAAGAACTTGGATTCTGAAGTCCAAGGGCAGGAGGAAGCATCCAACATGGGGAAAAAGAAGGAAGCCAGAAAACCCAGCAAGCAAAGTTATCCTACCTTCTTCTGCCTGCTTTGTTTTTGCCGTGCTGGCAGCCAATTGGATGATACCAGCCGACATTGAGGGTGGGTCTTCCTCTCCCAGTCCACAGACTCAAATGTCAGTCTCCTCTGGCAACACCCTCACAGACACACCCAGAAACAATACTTTCCTAGCCAACTAGGCAACCCTCGATCCAATCAAGTTGACACCTAACATTAACCATCATAGGGTCCGATAAGACTTCGCATTCTCCTAGGGAGTGGGAGTAGTTGCATTTTACATATGCGATCTGATAGTTCTCATATTCGTGTTTTTTGTTCTTGGTTTTTTGTTTTTTTTTTTTTTTTGATATGGAGTCTCACTCTATCGCCCAGCCTTGAGTGCAGTGGCACAATCTTGGCTCACTGCAACCTCTGCCTCCTGGATTCAAGCAGTTCTCTGGCCTCAGTAGCTAGGAGTACAGGCGTTTGCCGCCACACCCAGCTAATTTTTGTATTTTTGGTAAAGACGGGGTTTCACCATATCGGCTAGGCTGGTTTCGAACTCCTGACCTCAAATGATCCACCCACCTCGGCCTCCCCGAGTGTTGGGATTACAGGTGTGAGCCACCTCACCTGGCCATATTCTTGAAGGGTGGAGGAATACATACATCATTTTAAAGCTGTGTGACAAATTCTCTTTTTGTACTGTCTTGCTCAGTCTCTTAATCTGGCTCCTCTTTCCTCCTCTTCTCCCAGCCCTCTTACATGTTAACAGTATTCCCTAGTGTTCTGATTTGGGTCTACCCCTTCCAAGTTCTGTTCTTGGTTCCTAAAATGTTCTTGATTTCAGCACCTTCTCCTTTTATTTTTTACCTTTGATTGAGGACTGAATCTCTTGCCAACATTAGCCTTTACTGGTCTCTTTGCCTTCAGTTTTTTTTGTTGTTGTTTTGTTTTTCCTGTCTTTCATTTATTCTGTATATTAAAAAAGTGATCCTTTCTAGTAATTAGAATTTAATTAATTAGATTGTGTCACTTTTCTATTTTATGGCTCCCTGTGACCTACAGAATGAAATCCAAATGACAGCATCTGCAAACTCTTATTTCCCACTACTTCACACGTCCTACTTCTGCTCTAGCAGAGTCATTTTGTGCGGGCATACTCCATGATGTTGCATGTCTGTGTACTTAGAAGCTTATTCCTTCTACCTGGAATGCCTTTTACCCTGCATCTCTTGGCAGATTTCTCTTATTCCTTATGGATGTGTCTTAAGTGCTGTTTCCTCCTTAGATAGTTTATGAAGCTGCTTTGATAAAAAGAAAAGCAGGTCTGAATGATAAGATCAGGGTATACATGTTTTGAAATAGTATAAATGGTTAGTAAATGTTGATTGCTCAGGCCATGATACAGACTTCTAAAGATTATAACATTTCACTTGTCATTGATTGTTTAATGTTGAGATGGTGGCAAACAAAAGTAGGTATATGGGTTATAAAACCAAACAGAGTATACGTAATGGCTTTGTGGAGCTTTTCTTCCCCCGCCCCCCCCTCCATTATATGCACACTGGGGATTTATTTTAGTTATTTATTTACCATATAAAGCTTTGAATATTTCTTTGCAACAGGGGTAAGTAGTCTAGAAATTAAAATACCCTTTAACAGAGAGACTTACATATCCATAACTTCCAAATGTGAAAGAGATAGTATAGTTACAGAATTTATTATTTTTTTGGATGTACTTGTATTTTGGGGGGATGCAAATGATGAATGGGCTGTTTTCTGCCTTTGTTTCTCATCCATTTAGAATCTACTGTTATATATTAATTTATCACTTTTCCCCCTATAAAAATGGTTGCCTACACAAATGAGATTTCAGTGAGGTTTTATGGATAATGCTTCTCTAGTGTAGAATCGTTTAGTTAATTTATATAAGTATATGAATAAAAACTGATTGAGAAATATAGTTACCATCTCTGCTTGACAATGGTGAGAAGAGCTAAGTTGGTATGTTTTTAAAATGCAGAATGACTCTTGATTTCTCAGTCTTTTCCACTACAGAGCAAATTTAGTAGGAAGAAGAGATTAGGATACCATCTATAGGTGATTTTATATCAGCGTAAAATATGCAAGGCAATTTAGACTAGTGGTTCTCAAATTTTTCAATCTTAGGACCCCTTCATACTTAAAATGTTTTTGAAGACCTCTACAAGCTTTTGTTTTTGTGAAATAATTAACAGTATTTAACATATTAGAAGTCAAAATTCAAACATTTAAGTATATATATATATTTAAAATAAACTCATTACATTAACGCAAATGCCATAAATAGAATACTATTTTTCAAAACAAAAAACAATTTAGTGAGAAGACTGGCATTATTTTACACTTCTGCAAATTTCTTTAATGTCTGGTTTAATGGAATACAGCAGGATTCCCGTATCTGCTTCTGCATTACATCTTTTGTGATGGATTGTTTCATTTCAAGTATATGAAAAAAAGTTTCACACATGCATGTTGGAAAAGAGGAGTATTTTGCCTTTTCAGATAATTGTGGATATTCTTTTTTGATACTAGACCAAAGCTCAACAAGTGATAGTTTCTTAAAGGTTAGTTGCCATGAATAATCTGAATGTATCAATTAATTTTTTACTCTATTACATTAAAATCTACTGGTTTATCTTGCAGATTGAATGATTCTTTTACCTGTATGTGATTTTGTAATTTTAACTTATTAGTTATTTGGAAAATAATTGATTCATTGAGTTGTATAGATCTTCCAAATGTTGACACATCTCATTATAAGATAGCTAAAGATCACATATGTTGATATCACCACCAGTGTCATCAGAAAAACTTATAGTACTATATTGAGAAGCTGTTAAGCTCACAGAATCACATAAAACTTTTCTCATGTTCTAATTTTAGGGTGAAAACTTGAATTTTATCATTGGCAACAAATATTGTCAGTTATTTTCACTGAAATGGCAAGTTATCTTTTTTATAGTTGAGAAAATGTCTGCCAAATACTCAAGTCTGATAACTCTAGTTTGATAACTCTAGTTTGTATATTAGTCATTTTTTTCAAGTAAAAATTGTGTCCCATTAAAAATGTGCAAATTCAACTCAAAAGTCAGTTACCTAGGTGTTTTTCCTGAGACATCCATTGTACTTTGGATATGCAGTAGACGTGCTTTATATGTACTGCCTATTTCCTCCCACAGAATACTAGAGCACGTACTCCAGGGTAGAGATTTAATAAAATTAATAGTTTTAATGGCTTCACAAAGGACATTCTTTAGTGACATTGGCTTTTTACTGTTATTGTGTGATGGTGAAGAATAAGACTATTACACTAGTGTGATTTGCTACCACTGCCTTGACTTAAGGTAACAGTAGTTTCACCCTCACTGCTTTTGAACCATTGGTGCAAATGTTAACATAGTCAAAAAGGCAAGTAACATATCAGTATAATTATGAAAGTAATTTTGGGCCTCCGAAAACTCCCATGGGTTCATCGACCACTTTAAGAACCTCTGATGTAGACTTTGAAAAGAAGGAAGTCCTCTAATTTCATAATTTCATTTCTCAATACCTGATATACTTTTTTAGATAGAAGACCATTTTTGAAAATCTTTATCATTTTTAATCATTCTGGTTTCATATAGTAAGAATAGCTAGCATTCTATTGAATATTTGTTATATGCCAGCTATAGGTACTATTATGACCTACATTTTACAGATGAGGAAATAAACGCACCACGTGAAGTGCTTAAAGCCACACGCCAGAGCCCAGCTTGTTTTTTTAACTTTTATGCTTCATGTGCAAGTGACTTTAGTTGTTTAGTCTTTGCTACATTGTTTATTCTTTTCTATCTCTATATCAGGAAAGAAATTATATTCCTGTTCTTTTTTTTTTTTTAAGAGACAGTGTCTCACTGTGTTGCCCAAGCTGGAGTGCAGTGGCATGCTCCTCACTGCAGCCTTGAACTCCTGAGCTCTAGTGATCACCAGCCTCCTGAATAGCTGAATAGTTAGTGGTATTTTTTTGAGGAAGCCAAAAACAAAGTGCAGAGTGCTTTTTAAATAGAGATCTTTAGGTTGAAAAATTTTTTTTACATGTATTATATCCTTTAGTCTTTAAAACAATCCTGTGTAGAATACAGAATGGCTAATATTCCCATCTCGTAAATGATAGATCTGACACTAAAGTTTGTGACTTATTAAAGGTTGCAAAGGTACTCAGAGATAGAGCCTGGACTGGAACCTCTACATCTTGTAATTCAAATTAAGAATTCTTTTTGGTATACTGTGCTGCTTGGTATTTTTAAATACCAAGGTCATGGCTGTTGAATACTTTTTTGTTAGAGCCCCTTTGTTACTGTTGCTGTAATGAATTTAGCTGAAACAAAAACCTTGTCTTTAATACTGTTTCTACTTAGAATATTTCTAGTTAGAATATAGTATTTCTTGGGAAGTGAAATCTTGTTCAGATTTTAAAATATTACCCTGTTTAACTGAAAATAGATTGTAAAGCACACATAATTATTTTACAGTTACTAATTACATGCTAATTTCCCTGTAAGTCCAAAACCCATATTTTTCCTGACATAAGTTGTGTTACTTTATGTTGTGGTCTGTTATGCAGAATTAAGCCAGTAAGATCATTTTCAGATGTTTGTCACCCCTAGAACATTTTTCACATTTAAATATATTTATTGCTTGTGAGATTTGGATTTTCTTTTGTGTTTATATTTGTATGTCAAGAAACAAAGGCCTTTGATATAATAATGTGTAAGCCTGTTAGCAATTATAACCATTAAAAACACTAACATCTATCAGTGCTGATGGTAAACTTTGCTTTATAAAAAAGCACATCACAGGAACTGGCCTCTATTTTTCAAGTGATTATAATTTACCATAATCTCCTTTGGTGTTGACGAAAGTGATCTGTAGCCATCTAGTGGGTGCAGACGTCAGTAGGATCTAGGTTTTAGACGCTTTATATAAAAAGAACAGCAAGAAAGTGTGGTGCATGGAGTTGATTTAGAGGATAGAATTAGCAATTCATATGTGTTTTACAGAGAAATTCATTATCATAATTTTTGATTTTTCTTTCCTTCTTTTAAGGCTTCTCATTTCTTTTGGGGATTGTGGGCTTTGATTCAAGCCAAATACTCCACTATTGAGTTTGATTTCCTTGGGTAAGTTAAATTTTATTATATGATTACATTGGTCTCTGCTTTTGTTTGGATTAACATTAAGAATTCACAGGGAATATTGTAGTTATTTGCAATCAATTATAAAAGTTGTATACACTTAGTAATTGGTCTGTGAAGAAATTGCTATAAGCTGTTAAGTGCTCGCAGGATTAGAAAAGTGTCCAGTAGGTGGTGCAATAAACTAAAAATATGTCCTTTGAAAATCTTAAACTTTAAGAAAACCAGCTTAGAGGACTGAGTGAAAATAAGGGAAGGACCAAGTTTTTCAGCTTTGACTAATTTTTTTGTTGTTCTCTTTTCTCACTAGGTATGCAATTGTTCGTTTTAACCAGTACTTTAAAATGAAGCCTGAGGTTACTGCATTAAAAGTGCCTGAGTAAAGAAGAGATTTAATTATTCTCCAGTAGCTGAGCAATGCTTGTGAATCTTTTCTTAAGAAATCCCAAAAAGCCAATATTAGTTAAAATTCTGTTGTTTAATTTGGTTATCTTGCTTTATAAATTATGCCTCTAAACAATCAAATCTATTTTTGAAATAGACTGAATGATGTCAAGAAATATACCTACTGCTATCCGTATGTGGTGGATTAGAAATGTGTTAAATCTGCAAAAGGTATAAAGATGTCAGTTTAATTTCTTTGATAATTTAACCTATGTTGTATGTGAATTATTTATTATAAACTTAGCACGATTCTGTGACTGTTTTTCTCTGTTTCACGTTCGTTGAGTGTAAGCAATGAAAATGTCCCAAATAAGTTTTTTAAGTTTTACTTTAATAAGATTAATTTCAGTAAACATTCTAGTTGTTCAGTGTAACCTTTTTATCTTGATGCATTGTAAGTAAAATGAATCATTTACTCTTGAAATGCCAGTCATTGACTGATGTAGATAATTTAGGATTTTCATATAAAAATAGCTGTTTAGGAAGGTGAAATACATTCACTGTCTCTGTTGGTGGTACATCTTGTTGAATTCAATATTAGAAAGTATTTCTTTTTGGGGTAATATAACTTAGAATTAAATCCCTGTTTCTCTATGTAGTCTGGCAGTATAAATATAAATATTTACCATATAATCTTGGAATAAGTATTAGTTAATGTTACCAAAATCTGTATTAAATAATGTTTTCAAATGCTAAATATGGTCGTTACTATTTTCAGTTTTAAAAATTTTATAGTATCAAATTGTTTCTAACCAAAAATTTCCTTTTACTTCTAGAGATGCTTTATGTTTTTGATTATTAAATAGTCACTAGTATTGCTAATTTTTGAAACAAATACACAAAATTTATCATATGTAGAAATAAGAAAATATTGTTTAGGTTAATTATTTTTTACCTATCCAGAGTCATTCCTTACATTTCAGTTTCATGTTTCATTCCTCACATTTTAGTTTCATGTTTTAGTTTGATTCTATGTTTTTAGACTGATAGCAAATGATTACTTGATACATGTAAGTTCAGCGTTATATGTTGAGGCAGTTATATAATTAAATAAGGAACACTTAGGGCATTGATCTTGTACACTTAAAATCTGACAAATGACAAAATGTGAATTAAGCATAAATAGTCATGGCAGGAGGGCTTTTGTTTATTTCTCTTGTTTTTGTTTAACTGTATTTTTAATTTTGTCTGGTGGTAAGAGGGAGGTAATTATTGTATGGAAAGAAGTTAGATCTTTCAGATAGATAAATAGGCTTCAGGTTTTGAAGTCTGCTCTGTGTAGTTGAGCAGTCATGGTTAACTTTACTTAGAAAATTAGTCTGACAAGCTTTGCACTTCGGTCACATAAGTGCCCATGTACAAAGTTGGCTTACTGGATCTGCATATTCAAAATATGCAACTACAAATTTATCCTCTGAGAAATCTTCTGAGGAGTCTAATGTATTCCAAATGACTTAATATTCTCAGACAAATGCTTTAAAATACTTGGATTATCTCAAGATTTTTGAAGCTAATAAAGTAAATAGAAACACAGGCCATTTTAAATGGTAAATTCTAGTTACATAAATATAATCTTAAAGTATGTTTGTATCTGTAACAGTGTTAGACCAGATTTGGTTTCTACCTCCCCAATGTTATAAATGTTCACTTTTGTTTTTATAAACCATATTACTGTAAGATCAATAGAACTTTGCCTAGTTAAGTGAATGGAACCAATTAAACAACTAGTAGCTTTTTATAATGTTAGTGTGAACTTGAAAAATTGTTTTTGGTGGAATTTTTGTCTGTGGTTAGAACATTTTCATAAAACAGATAAAGAATGTGTAATACTCTTAATTTTTTTTTTTTTTTTTTTTTTTTTTTTGCTTTCTGCCTTCTAAAGTGCAACAGTATATATCTTGTAGAACTGTGGGAGGAGAGAAGATAATTTTTCTACCTTACTCCATATTCTTACTTCAAACTATTTTGAATAGAGGTTCACTGAGCCATTGCTGATAGACTGTGCATAGCTACTAGCTGTCACACTATTGTAGGTTTTTTGGAGAGATTCATAGGGAAGTGAATGTAACCAGGAATAAAGGCTCTCACTTTAGCTCTGGGACTATGCAGTGGATCTTGGGAACAAAATAAGATATCTAATCTATTTTCCCCATTCTGGCTAGATTTTGGTTGTTGTGATGCTCCTACTTCCTGTATAGGTTTTTGGGATCATGGTGCAGGCTAGTAATAGGATTCAGAATTGCTTCCCTTTTATATCGACCATGTAAGGGATTCTAAAGGAGGGTAAATCTCAAAGTGCTCTGAAATCATCCCTCTAAAATCTGTCCTGTGGTGTGCTAAGATGTCTGTTGCCTTTTTATGTTAAGCTAAGGAACTTGAATGCCTTACCTAATAACTCAACTAGTAGTAAGCTCATTTTGTAAATATGAAAATGGCTGTAAGAAGTGGCATTCATGTATATTCAATGTTAGTCAATAGACCATAGTGGCCTGGATGCTTTAACAAGCCAAATTCCGCAATTTTTTTTCCTTTTTTCCCCTTCATACTTGTATGATCTCACCTGACCAGTGATTTCTTTTCCTCCTAACCCCATGCTACCACCATTTTCTGGAAATCAAAGAGATGTGGTAGTAAATCATACAGTACACACGATCATCTGAGATCAATATGAGCACAAAACTCATCAAGTAGGTCTGCCTGGAATGTATATAAAAAATGTAAATAAAAATTTGTAAATTAGTGTGAACTGTATCTTGCATATGAGACTGTGTATTGTTTTGCATTCTCTTCCCTTTTGTAGAAATTTTTCTGTAAGGAAATGATTCAGCTTGTTGGTTTTAGAGTAAAAATAGCCAACAGTTGTGGCTACACAGTGAGATCACAGGAACTGGAAATAGGGTTTGTCGGCTTTGGTTAATGTCAGTACTCATTTATTTAGCCTCTCAGTGCTTAATAAGACTTTTCTTTATTTTTTAGTTAGCCGTTAGGTTTTGTGAGGTTAGATTCCTGGAAGCAGTGAATTTATACACTGTTATATTAATAGAGCTCCGTTCTTTGAGTCATGATTCCAAGCTAAAGGAAATTAAAAATGTAATTTAATAATTTCCTATTTTTAGGGTTGTTAATTTTTTTCTACAAAAAAACCTTGAAATTTTAGATATCCCAATGTGAATCTAATTTCCATATATACAGAAATTAGACAAATAATAAGTCTTTAGTTCAACTTAAGCATATCTCAAATGACTTCTCTAAATTTAAAGTTGATCATGATAGGATCATAAAAGACAGAAAAGACTTAAGTAATCTTGTAATGACAATTATTTCCATTTTTGCTGAACTAAAAATATTTAACTTCATAAATATGTTACTACAGCTTCCAGATTTAAAGAAAAAAAGTTTCCCCCACTCTCAATTAAAAGTTAGAACCCTCCACTTTTAAAATTATACAAATATTTCTTTTTTACATTACACAGAAGCCTTCTGTACCATTTTACGAATTTCTGTCTTCATAATATAAGTGAAAATACTGTCATTTCAATTTTCTGCTTTAAATTGTTTTTAATAAGCATTCCAAAGTGATACAGACTTAAGCTTTTAATCAATCAGTCATTCAGTTGATAGACAAAGTTAGCGATGCTTTATGCTAGGAAACTTGTTGACAGTAACCTGTGCGACTTTATGCAGAAGACAAATGCTAGTAATTATTATGCACAGAGGAAAAATCATTTTAAGTATGTGGTAAAGCAGCTTCATCTTTCAAAATTGATTTGCTCTGGTTTTTCTTTAGTCCATTAGATTCCAGAATGTCCTTTTACTGGGAATTTAGTTATGTATTAAGATAACCTGTTTTCAGTTCTTTTTGAAAAGAAGACATTATTTATATTGAACCACCTTATTTTAAAATTTTTAACTTTTATATACCACTTGTGTGATTCCAGTGTCATGTCTTGGGTTTGATGTCGTTGGACAGAAAAGTGTATCAATTATTTTAAATGAATTTTTCCCCATGTTTGAGGCTTAGTCTGTAAATGTGTTGCTGTAACAGAAAATACTTGGGTATGCATTACTTGAATACTTGAAAACTGAAATTAATAAGATGTATTACATAATGAATTAGATTTCTCTGAACAGTTTTTACACTGAAAATCTTCATTTCTGGATTGCAGTTTGAAATGGAATGAAGACCTGAATTATTTGGGTAGAAAAAATTATGATAGTGCTTATAAGAACTGTAAACTGTTTTAAACTATTTTGTGTTTGACGCATCAAACTTCAAGTTTTTTGTAAGTTTCTCTCCTGAAATTTTCTTTCTCTTCTATACTTTATGCACTTACTATACTACTGATGTAATAAAAGAGCAGGGTTAAAAATATTGTATCTGTATTCATTGTGAATCCTGTAGCTTTTCTAGTTAACAAAAAATCGCTTTCTAAAATACTCTTAATCCCATTGTTTTGGTTAACATCTTACCCATTTGTTGTATTTCAAATGCCATTAATCATTTTAGTACAACACCTATGTTTATAAAAATTTGAAAACATTACATATTGTATTTAAAACTAATTAGTGAAGAGTAAGAAAAAAACTAGCCAACAGAATTGTAGGTGATGCATTAGTTAAATTTCAAAACTCATAATAAAGGAACTTTCAGAGATTGGTTGAAACCCAGTGGTATCCCTGTAAATTAGCTCCTGTGACTGGAAAAGACCCCAAAAAGGCAGTAGAGGAGATTAGTGTTTACTTGCTGTGGTTGTGGTGTGCTGCTACTTAATTATAGGTAGTGACACACTGAAATTCTTATTTGTCCAATAATCTGAAGTAGTTTCCTATATTTATCTGTACTAAATTGACTATAAATTGAGTCTGCAAAGAGGAAACTTTTTGACTGTACTGTATTTAGGAGCCTTTGTACAGCTTGGTCAAATTTCCATGATATGAAGTATTTGAGTTTTAAAATATACTGTTATTAAAAGGAAAAAGACATGGCCATTATTCCATGTGCTTAAATGATAATTTCCTTATTCAGTTTCAGAAGAAAAAGAATGAAATTGGGTAACTGTCATTGCGTTAGCTTTATGTTGAATTGGGAAATTGTGGCATAAAGCTTAAATTCGTGTTTATCAAATGTGAACCATAGTAGTATAATGCTGCTTTGTATATAATGTAAGTGCTACAAATAGTCTCAGCACTGAAAATGTATTGATACCTCTTAAATGAATGCAACTTTTGATGTAGGTGTTTTGCTATGCCTCAGAAAATATCTGTCTGAGAATTTGTTAATCTGTTTGATAATGAAGATACTTCCTGTTTTCTTGTTTCATATTTTCATGTTCAAAATTTAAGTTTTACATTTTTACTACTGTTAATTTAAATAAAATTTGTTCTGTGGATAAAATGAGGTTGGCAGTGAAGAAAATTAAAAACAGCCTCATTCATGTAACTGGTTAAGTAAAAATACATTTTCACTATGTGTTCATAAACTTTTAATGAAGCTGTTTGTCTTTCAGTTCAAATATAAGTGATGTTTAGGCTTTATTTCTGTTAATAAGGCTTTTTACCATTGATTAAATGAAGGAATGTATCTTTTTGAAGAGATTTATATTCTGTAAATAAAAATTCGTTGTAACAATAAAGTTGAGTTCTAACTACAGTGTATTCATAAATTTTATTGTTACTTCAACTTATTTTTGAGGTTTTCCTTGTGAATATCTGCAAACACAAGACTTTCCAAAGTTAGTGTATAAATGTATATGTGGAGTGATTCTTTGAATTCTAGTTTTTTGTTTTCTGTTTTTTTAGTTTTATATACATTAAAAAGTTTTGAAAAAATGTTTACTTTTGGAAAAATTTGGTTGAGATGAGACTATGGAATATTACATAACTTATAAACATTTCTGTTTACCTAGTTTAAAAATTCATTATTCTTCTAACTATTATGCTTTGTGTCTTCACTATTCTTTGGAACCAGAGTTGGGAAACATAGAGGAATAAAGACACTGTCTGAGACTTAGCATCTTATGGTCTAGGCAGGGATTATCCATTTAAACAACAAACTCTTAAAATTATCAGATAGTGTGATAGATGATCTCTGCCTTCAGGAAATGTTTATTTGCCATGAAGATCAGTTGTCCATAACAAAAATAGTCATTAATTTGTGTTTGTGTGTGTGGTTTTTGGTAGAATGTTTTCCAGTTTGGGTTTGTCTGAGACTTTCTGATGATTAGCTTGCAGTTATGTATCCCCAACTGGGGATAACATCAACAAGTTCCTCATCTCACAGATGATACCTTAACAAGTGATGTGTTCTTGTTAAGGTATCACATGTGAGATGAGGAACTTGTTGATGTTAATTTTGATCACTTGGTTGAAGTATTGTTCTGTGTCTTCACTGTATATTTCCCCCTTGCAACAAATAGGCAGTCTGTGGGAAGGTGCTTTAGATTGAGTATTTTGTTCCCCTACAAACATCCACTGTTTTCCTCCCCTGATTTAGCAATACTTGATGATTCTTACCCAATCCAGTCTTTATTACGATGATTGTAAAATGGTGTTTTAAAAATATTGCTATGTTCTCCTTTTCTCAGCATTTTACTGAAAGGAATTGTCCTCTTATTGGCATCTAACTACCTACCTACCTACCTACCTATCAATCATCTATCATCTGTTTGTATTTTAAGTATAGACTCGTAGATTTCTGTTTTATTCAGTGGATTATAATCTGCTATTAATACTATATTTATTCATGTCATTGTTAAAATTGTCTGAGATTGGTCTTGAGGGAGCCCCTCAAATCTGGTTCCTTTTGCTATGTTCCCAACATGTTTTGAGCGCTTACTTCCTGGCAAAAGAAGACATTCTAGACTCATCTTGTACCTTTTCTGCCTCAGCCCTGGAATCAGCCATTTCTCCAAAGAACCTAGAGGTTCCATTTAGGAGGAATGGTGTTTAGAAACTAAGATCTGAGAACTTGGTGTGCTTATTGGCTCCTGAGATATTACTGATCCATCCTAGGTTCTTTTGGCTGGCAGAGCAAGAAAGCACGCACACACACATTTATATACAAATCTCTTTTTTGGAGATTGTGAGTTCATACTGTTACCTCCAATTTCTACACTTGATCTTAGCCAAAAGGCCAAGTTATACCTCCAGCTTCTAACTAGAATTTTTCCTTGCCTCTCTCATTCATATTTGTTTCTCCCTTTACCCACTATGATTACATTTGTGTGTGTTTTTAAGAATTCCACATAATTGATGTGCTTGTTTAGAATGTGTCACATTGTGTCCGAAATTGGTGGGTTCTTGGTCTCACTGACTTCAAGAATGAAGCCACGCACCTTTGCAGTGAGTGTTACAGTTCTTAAAGATGGTGTGTCCGGAGTTTGTTCCTTCTGATGTTCAGACGTGTTTGGAGTTCCTTCCTTCTGGTGAGTTCCTGGTCTCACCGGCTTCAGGAGTGAAGCAGCAGACCTTCCTGATGAGTGTCACAGCTCATAAATGCAGTGCATACCCAAAGAGTGAGCAGCAGCAAGATTTATTGCAAAGAGTGAAAGAACAAACCTTCCACAGTGTGGAAGGAGACCCAAGTGGGTTGTGGTTGCTGGCTCAGGCAGCCTGCTTTTATTCCCTTATCTGACTCCACCCACATCCTGCTGACTGGTCCATTTTACAGAGAGCTGATTGGCCCATTTTACAGAGGTGATTGGTCCGTTTTGACAGGGTGCTGATTGGTGTGTTTACAAACCTTGAGCTAGACACAGTGCTGATTGATGCATTTACAATCCTTTAGCTAGACACAAAAGTTGTCCAAGTCCCTACTAGATTGGCTAGACACATAGCACTGATTGGTGTGTTTACAAACTTTGAGCTAGACACAGAGTGCCGATTGGTGCATTTACAAACCTTGAGCTAGGCATAAAAGTTCTCCAAGTCCCCACACAACTCAGGAGCCCAGCTGGCTTTGCCTAGTGGATGCCGCGCTGGGGCTGCCTGCAGAGTTGCCCGCCAGTCCTATGGCACGCACCCACACTCCTCAGCCCTTGGGCGGTGGATGGGACTGGACACTGCTGAGCAGGGGGCGGTGCCTGTCGGGGAGGCTCGGTCTGCGCGGGAGCCCACGGGGTTTGGGGTGGGGGAGGCTTGGGCGTGGTGGACTGGAGGTCCCGAGCCCTGCCCTGCGGAGAGGTGGCTGGAGGCCCGGCGAGAATTTGAGCGTGGCGTGGGCAGGCTGGCAGTGCTGGGGGACCCAGCACACCCTCTGCAGCTGCTGGCCCGGGTGCTAAGCTCCTCACTGCCCAGGGCTGGCGGCGCTGGCCGGCGGCTCGGAGTGCGGGGCCCGCCGAGCCCATGCCCATCTGGAACTCGCGCTGGCCCGTGAGGGCCACGTGGGCCACACGCAGCCTGGGTTCCCACCAGTGCCTCTGCTTCCACACCTCCCGGCAAGCAGAGGGAGCCGGCTCTGGCCAGCCCAGAGAGGGGCTCCCACAGTGCAGCGGCGGCCTGAAGGGCTCCTCAAGCGCGGCCAGAGTGGGCACTGAGGCCAAGGAGGTGCCGAGAGCGAGCTAGGGCTGCCAGCATGCTGTCACCTCTCAATATGAGAGTGTATAAGGTGTTACTATACAAATTACTAGTTTTTGTAAACTTTAATCATTTGATTAAAGTGGTAACTGCTGGATTCCTCCCAATTCTGCCTCTCCCCCATCCCTCTTTTTCCCCCGTTTTTCCCTTTTAATTAATATCCTGTGTGTGTGTGTGTTGGGGGGGATACTTTGAAACTATGCAAATCTTTTGCCATTAATTTTAGCATCCATTGGTGGGTTTTGTTTGCAACAGTTACGTGTTTGTCTAACATTGATTTTCCATTTCCCTCTTCTACATTTGGAAATGGGAATTTTGCTGGAATGAGGAGTGATACCTTTTTTTTACACTTATTTATTTAACTATATCAGTAAGGACTCAGATACTTAATTCACTGGCCTATAATCCACTACAATGATTTTTCTGGCCAAGTTGTTGACCAAAAAATAATTTTGTTGCTCAAGTTTTTCGTTTTGGCAATTGGGAACTTTTTCAACTTGGCTTGTGTATCCTTTCAACATGCCTATGGTACAGGAATTGAGAAGAAATTACTGATGCAGATAGTGAAGGTATGGAAGTCCTCAGTAAGGTTTTCCTTTTAACTAGGTGGCTCACGCCTGTAATCCTAGCACTTTGGGAGGCCAAGGTGGGTGGATTGCCTGAGCTCAGGAGTTCGAGACCAGCCTGGGTAACACGGTGAAACCCTGTGTCTACTAAAATACAAAAAAAATTAGCCACGCGTGGCAGTGTGTGTTTGTAGTTCTAGCTATTCGGGAGGCTGAGGCAGGAGAATGGCTTGAATCCAGGAGGTGGAAGTTGCAGTGAGCTGAGATTGGGCCACTGCTCTCCAGCTTGGGCAACAGAGCAAGACTCCATCTCCAAAAAAAAAAAAAAAAAAAAAAAAAGAAGAGGAAAGCAGCCCCAAATCATTTTCCCTTCTAACAAAGAGCAGCCTGTAAAATTGAGCTGTGGACATAGATGCCGGCAGTTGTGCCAATCACGTTCAAATCATGTTCAGAATGGCAGCAGGTCTTCCCTTCTTTGCCAGCCACGTGTACAGTAAGGAGCAGATAAGATGGTGCCGGCCAAGGGGAAAATTCATTTGCGTAATAAGCTTAGGGTGGGGCGTCCAGCATTCCCAGGCAATATGATGGAACCAATCTATTAGCCCAATCTGTTAGCCCTACATAAATCAGACACTGCTTCCTCAAGCCAGTCTATAAAATCCGGACATGGGTGGCTGGCTGGCCTTTTCCTCTCCAAAGTCCCTTCTCTCTCACTAGACAGCTGTTTTCCTTTCTCTTTCTTCTGCCTATTAAACCTCTGCTCCTAACGTCCTTGTGTGTGTCTGTGTCCGAAATTTTCATGGCAGGAGATGACAAACCCCAGGTATTTACCCCAGACAATGTAGCCACTTCACCTACATAATTATTTTTATGTATTTATTATTTCTTAACCTCTAGCACTTGCAGTGTAAGCCTACATAATTTTTTGAGCACTTCTTTTTCTAACAACATGAGGTGTTTCAGGCTCATCTTGTACCTTCCCTGCCCCAACCCTCAATTCAACTGTTTCTTCAAGGAGTTCTGATCTCTCTTTTTTTTTTTTTCTATTTATTAGAGAATGGTATTTAGAAACCAAGACTGGGTGCCAGGTGTGCTTATTACTACTGAGTTCTTCCTACTTCCTTTTTTTTTTTTTTTTTTGAGATGCAGTCTTGCTCTGTCACAAGCCTGGAGTGCAGTGGTGTGATCTCAGCTCACTGCATCCCCCACCTCCCAGGTTCAAGCGATTCTCCTGCCTCAGCCTCCTGAGTAGCTGGGAGTCCAGGCGTACGCCAGCACGCCCAGCTAATTTTTGTATTTTTAGAAGAGATGGGGTTTCATCCTGTTGGCCGGGATGGTCCCGATCTCTTGACTTTGTGATCCACCTGCCTCAGCTTCCCAAAGTGCTGGGATTACAGGCATGAGCCATTGCGCCCGGTCTGAGTTCTTGCTACTTCTACATTCCATCAGTGGACATTTAGAAAATATGTGTAGACTAATATACACACACATGCCTCTATACTTTTTCATCCATGTTTGTAACTTTATTTTGAACTCATTTCAAATATACAGAAAAGTCACAAGAATCATTTAGTGAACTCCTATTTTTTCCCATGTCCTCCAATAAGTATTTGCTTTGTTTTATCATTTTCTCTCTACATCTATAATTTTGGGAATTATTTGAGAGCAAATTGTACACATAAATTTCCTTTATTCCTCAATTCTTGTATTTTCTAAAAACACTATTCTGACCCCCATTGTTTCTGATGAGCAGTTGATCATTCAAATGAATGTCACTGTATATAGTGTGTTATTTTTTAGTGACTACTTTCAAGATTTTCTTTTTTCATTTGGTTTTCAGCAATTTGATTATGGTATGCTTTGGTGCAATTTACTTTATATTTATTATCTTGCTTGGGTTTTGAACCATGTGAATCTATAAGTTTATGTCTTACGAAATTTGGGAAATGTCATTCTCATTTTTTTGTCCCTATAATATGTTAAAGTTTGATATGTTGAAGTTCCTGATCGTTATGTGATTCTGTCAATTTCACCTTGTATCTCTTGTAGTTTTTACTTCATATAGGTTGTTGCTGTGTTATTTGGTGCATAAATATACATAATAGTTAGATGTTCATTGTAAATTGTGGATTTTACCATTGTAAGGTTTCACTCTTCATCTCATTTAATACTTTTTGGTCTGAATTCTACTTTGACATTAGGATCATAACCCTCCATTCTTATTTCTAATTGCCTGGTTTATATTTGTTCATCCCTTTAACTTTTTTGAGTTACTGTTTTAATGTGTCTCTTATATACAACATATAATTGAATTTTACCCTGTGAGTCAATTTGAAAATCTTTTCATGTTAATGTACCCATTCATATTTTTTGTATGACTGATATGTTTGGACTCAACTCTGGCGATATTAGTCTGTGTTAAAATTACTATGTATTGTTGATATTTGTTATTTTTTCTGTATCTAGTTTGTCTTTTTTGTTATTTTGCTATTTGTATTCAGGAAGGTTTGTATTTTTGTTGTAGTGGTTTTCTTTATATAATTTTTATAGGGTCCTTTTCTCTTATTTCGCTTTTCCTGTCTTGCCTGTCAGTTTTAAATTCTATCCTCTGACTCCAACTTATTTATTGAACAGTCGGTGATGTTACTCTGCTTCTCTCTCTCTCTTTTTTTCTCCCATTTTATTTAATTAACATTCTTTGAATGTTAGAACATATGACATTTCCATACAGTCAAACAGTGTCCCTATCCTTGTTTCATTCTTACCTCTACAATTATATATATTAAATTCAATTTTTTTTGTTGTTGTTCATACTTTTCTTCTAATCCTCTTGACCAGGTTAACTCTTACTCTGTTAAAACTTTTAAAAACTGTTTTGGAGGTAAGACTTTCAGAAAGCCATCTTTCTGCTTCGTCAGCTGTCTCTTTTGCCCCCATCCCCTGTCTCAGTGCAGCGCTCTAGGAACACATTCCACAAAGCCATGAAGGCAGGATTTGATTTTGGAAAGAGATAAAAACTGGAAATAATTGTCCAGAGTAATTTTTTTCTGAGTTGATATGATGCTCTCAAATCTGCATTGAAGAACCTATACTTCATTACTTTGGAAGTTGTGAATTCATTTTTTTTAACCACATGTTTCTACATGGTTTGGTTTTAATTTATTTAGTTGAGCCTGAATTGAGGGGGGAAGTATTTAAATACTTTGTAAACTGCCATTGATTTCCTAGAGGTGACTAGAATTCAGTCTTCTTAGAATCTAGCATCCCAGCAGCTTTTGAAGTCCCACCAGTGTATAGTCTTAAAAATGTGTGTCCATAACATTGAAACAAGCATTAAACGATTTTATCTCTCTAGATGAGTTTCAGCCAAAGCCTATAATTGTTTTTCTCAGACTATTGCATGGAAGTCAATAAAACCCAAGCCAAGCATTATTGACTTTTGATACCAAAACTTTATTTTTAAAAATGGCTGTCATTAAGATTTGGCAGTTGCATTGCTTTATCTCCGCTGACCCCTTCTGTCAATGAGATTATCACAAAAGAAGAATCAGCCTAAAACTCTTCTTTGACATATCAGGTATTTTTACTGTGTTATTTTAATTCAACACAACATCATGAATCAAACATTCTGGTTTCTACTGCAATTTCTCTAGTTGGTTTTCTCGACTATATTATGAATCTTAATAGTTGAAAAATTATTTAGACATAAAAATATATATTTGGTAATTAGTTGATAAGGATTGCCATTTTAATCTTCTCACCACATTTCAAGAAGCTAACTAAAACTGTTCTCTTTTTTTTCTAGTTTTGTAACACTTGGAAAGAACTTAAAATGTTATTGTGCTTCTTGCAGGTTTTCTTTTTTCTTTTCCACATGGAAACAGAAGGCTGTGTAGGTGCCTTGTAAAAGTCTGTCTTGGTGACATCCCTAACAAGAACCTAAAGCAATCTTGCTAAAAAATATTTCTGAGTTACAGCTTTGAAATATTCTAAAACAGAAAATTCATTAACTGGAAAGAAAATGTAACCATTTGACCACATTTGCCAGTGAATTTCCTTCCTTGGTTAGAGGAGGAGAATTCTTTGTCTTAAATTACCTGGCAATTGTATTGACAATATCAGCTCATTTACCTTTGCAATACAAATGAAGGATGAGAGGGGGGTTGCTAATTGCACCAGTCTTTGTAAAGGTTGAATGGAATTTAGTTTTTCTCTTGTTTATCCTTGTCAACCCTGAGTATCTCACTGGAGACAGAAAGTAGAGGTAAAGTATTACATAGTAGAAAGGCCCTGTTCAGGTGGCAAGAAGTCCCATTAATGACCATGGGTTTTCTGGGCTTCATATTCTCATTTATAAAATGATCAGATTAAATAAGATTAGCCCTAGAGTCTTTTCTATTTCTAAAATGCTAAGATATGGTATCCAAAATGTTGCCAGAAATGGATCCCAATCCAGAGCCCAAGAGGGTTCTTGGACCTCACACAAGAAGGAATTTGAGGTGAGTCTATAAAGTGAAAGCAAGTTTATTAAGAAAGTAAGAGAATAAAGAATGGTTATTTCACAGGCAGAGCAGTGGTATAGGCTGCTCGACTGAGTATACAGATATGCTAAACAAGGGATGGATTATTCATGAGTTTTCTGGGAAAGAGGTGGGTAATTACCACAAGTGAGGGTTCCTCTTACTTTTAGACCATAGGCGATAACTTCTGGACATTGCCATGGCATTTGTAAACTGTCTTGGCACTGGTGGGAGTATCTCTTAGTGTGCTAATACATTATAATTAGCGTATAGTGAGCAGTGAGGATGACCAGAGGTCACTTTTGTTGCCATCTTGGTTTTGGTGGGTTTTAGCTGGCTGCCTTTTCGCTTGGTGTTTTATCAGCAAGGTTTTTGTGAACTGTATCTTGTGCTGACCTCCTAACTCATCCTGTGACTAAGAATGCCTAACCTTCTGGGAATGTAGCCCAGTAGATCTCAGCCTTGTTTTACCCAGCCCCTATTCAAGATGGAGTCACTCTGGTTCAAACACCTCTGACAAAAATCCTTCTAAAAATTTTTAATATACAAATTGAGATCTTCTAATATTTTTCTATTACTGTGGTATATCACTTCTTTCCCTTTGTGCACCCTACTTAAAATTTCAACTCACTCAGAAGATACAGGAGCTGACTGTCGCTGTGGCTGTGCTGTATCGGAACACTGCCTACCTTAAGGAAAGAACTTTGGAGGTCTCAGGCTTTGAATTTTATTTCCTGTAGTTTTTTCTCTCTGAAATCTTATATAGGCTTTTCCTGAGTAAGGGTCATTTTCACTTAGCTTTTTGATGGTATAATGGACTGAATGTTTGTGTCCCCCTTCCAAGTTCAAATGTTGAAGGCCAAACCCTCCTTGTGGCTGTACTTGGAGATGGGGGCCTCTTAGGAAGCAATTAAGGTTGGATGAGGTCCTTAGGGTGGGGCCCTGATAGGATTAGCGTCTGTATAAAAAGAGACACCTGAGAGCTTCGCCCTGCTAGGATTAGCGTCTGTATAAAGAGAGACACCTGAGAGCTTCGCCCTGCTAGGATTAGCGTCTGTATAAAGAGAGACACCTGAGAGCTTCGCCCTGCTAGGATTAGCGTCTGTATAAAGAGAGACACCTGAGAGCTTCGCCCTGCTAGGATTAGCGTCTGTATAAAGAGAGACACCTGAGAGCTTCGCCTACACGCTTCCCCACTGAGGGAAGACCATGTGACTATACAACAGGAAGGTAGTTGTTTACAAGCCAGGAAGAGAGCCCTCACCAGAAACCAAATTGGCTGGCGCCTTGATCATGGACTCCTGGGCTCCGGAACTGTAAGAAAATTTGTGTTGTGGAAGCCACCCAGCCCATGGTATTTCGTTATGGCAGCCTGAGCAGAGGTGGTAGCTATGTGGACAGTTTTTGGACTTCTCTATTGTAAGTACCTGAGGGAAATGTGTGTATGTTGAGGGTGGTGTTTAGGGATGCAGTATAAAAATATTTTACAAAGTACTTCCCTTTCTTGCTTTAGCTGAGAACAGTGTTTCTCCTGAGGATACCACTTAGTCACAGTCCCCAAAGGCTGTTCATTCTTTCATTAATCATTTATCTAGGGCTGAGGCTTGTGGATATTTTCTTAGCCTCCCACTGCTATCTCTTGCCAATAAACACTTGCCCTATGCGGAGTTCATGAGACATGGCCATGTAACACCCAACTTGTCTTTCCTATTGGTCATTTCCTATTCTGGTTGCTCTTTCTTCCTCATGAAGAGCTTTAGTATCTCTGAATCCCAGTCTCCTACTGCTGCTATCACCACAGGCAGCTTACTTGAGAATGACCCTTCCAGCAACTCAGGCTGAAAGCGCCTGGGCCTCTTCAAATTTTAGTATTATTCATTTCCATTTTATATCAACATCCCATGTGGATAGTCATAATCTGTGCCTAACTCCTGACCTGAAAAATGCATCACCACTGAAGTGTAAAAACTAATATCAATCTTTGGCTATGCTTTTCTATTCATCCAGCTTTTTTCATTTTTTTTTTCCTTTCACTTCACCTTTTCTTTTACCTCGTAAAATCTCCAGACTTTGGACCGCATTCATTTCTGTCCAAATATCCCCCCTTTGGCCTATTATTATGTAGGCTAGACTCTGGCATGTCACCTCAGGTCCTCCTGCCAGCATCTTTAACTACTGGCCATTACCATTTTTCTCTCACCAATATCCAGCCAATTCTTAGACTTGGATATATCCAACCACTCCTGCCTCTGGGGCTGGCCCTGCCCCGTGACAATTTTGCTAGTTGATGCTGTTGTACCTGAGCGAGTTAGAAAAATGCCACACTTTGAGACGAATTAATAGTCCTTTATTAGCCGGCGACCGAGAGACGGCTAACGCTCAAAATTCTCTCGGCCCCGAGGAAGGAAGGGGCTTGATTAACTTTTATACCTTGGTTTAGGAAGGGGGCGGGTTGGGCGGTGGGGAGGGTCTAGTTGAAACAATTTTACAGAAGTAAAGTAGTCAAAAAGTTAAAAGGATAAATGGTTACAGGAAAGTAAACAGTTCCAGGTGCAGGGGCTTTAAGACTATTACAAGGTGATAGACCCGGGGCTTTGGGCGTTATCAATCGGACGAATTCCTGGGAACTGCGGATATAGCTTGCCACAGTATCTTATCAGTTAATTGCATTCTTGGATGTGCTGGGAGTCAGCTTGCACAAGTTACGTCCTTGAGGAAGGGGCTGCCAGTGAAAGAGCCAAGTGGAGTCTGTCTGGCTCTGTTAGCTAAGGGAGTGTCAATTCAGGTGGAAACAAGGCTAGGTGATTAAAGGAAAGGGAGTCTAAAAACAGAGTTAGTAAAAACCAGGTTGGGCACTACAATGCTCCCCAATTCCAGAGTCTCCATTGTAGACTGCACCTTTAAGAGCAATGGACTTCATTAATACGGAGCTGAGTTAATCATACTCTTCTGTTAAAGCCATGTTAACATTGTTTGTCCTTGCAAAGCACTCCTAGTCAGTTTGCTCTCATTTATTTATTCATTTCCCTTTTACCCATGCCTTCCACTCTTGTTCCACTGCTCCTAATAAGCAGCCATCTTATTGTATATATTTTGCAATTTGAATATAGTTTTACAATATGTGTATAGTTTTATGGCCATTTAAATTCACATAACATTAGTTATTGCATTCTTATTCTCACTTTTTTCACCAAGCACTATATTTTCAAGATTACTTTTTGTAGCTCTGTGAATCTGTATTTCTAAGGTGTTTCTGATAGCTGCACAATCATTTAGTTTCCATCGAAAACATTTCACGTATCCTTTCTCCCAGTGATGGACACTCAGGTTGCCTGTAACTTTTCGACACCACAAACAATAATGTATGTCCTCATCATATATCTCCTAATGGACGTAAGTTATAATTTTACTGGGATATAATTTTTTATTATCATTGTATAATGTTACTAAATATATCTGTTATCATTATTTCATAAGGAATGTACCACATAACAATGTTTTGGTTAATGATGGACAACGTATATAATGGTGGTCCCATAAGATGATAATGGAGCTGAAAAATTCATATGGCTTAGTCTGGATAATCTTGACCCTGTGTTGGCCTAGGCTAATGTGTGTGTTTGTGTTTTAGTTTTTAACAAACAAGTTTTAAAAAAATTTTTAAATTGTAAAAAGCATATAGAATAAGGATAGAAAGAAAAAATATTTGTGTACAGTTGCACAATACGATTTATTTAAGTATTATAAAAGAGTCAAAAAGTTAAAAAAGTTTATTCAGTAAAAAAGTTACACTAGGCTAAAGTTAATTTATGATTGAAGAAAGAAAAATATTTTAAAATACATCTAGTGTAGCCTAACTCTACAGTGTTTATAAAGTCTACAGCAGTATACAGTAATGGCGTAGGCCTTCATATTCACTCACCACTCATTCACTGACACCCAGAACGACTTCCAGTCCTGAAACCTCCATTCATGGAAAGTACCTTATACAGGTGTATTACTTTGTATCTTTTGTACTATATATTTACTGTAGGTTTTTAATGTTTAGGTATATTTATATACGCAGATACCACTGTGTTCCAATTGTCTACAGTATTCAGTATAGTAACCAGCTGTACATGTTTGTAATCTAAGAGCAATAGGCTGTACTACACAGCCTAGGTATGTAGTAGGCTGTATCATCTAGGTTTCTGTAGTTACACTTTATGATGTGCACACAATGAGATTGCCTAACAATGCATTTCTCAGTACATATCCTCATGGTTAAGCAACACGTGACCTACTTTCACTAATGATGAACTAGGATGGTGTGCTAGTGGATTGAAATCCATTGGTGTAGTGTGATTATTCAGGAATTTGAAATGAATAAGGGGAATGATAAATATAAAGATAATTGAATTGTTGTTATAAGTTGCATTGATAATCTGTAGATAAAGAAAAGCTGAGGTCAATTAGCAAACAATTGAAAACTAAATAACAGAGCTGGTCTCTTTGGTAACTTACAATGAATTTATTGACTTGATGGTACTCTGTTGGGATATGCAATGTAACATTCTGATAAGGGCTTCAGGGGATGATGCAAACTTGCTACAAGGGCAAAAAATGATGGCCCACATGAATGAGGCCGAAATTCCCGAATTGCTATGACATACATTAGTAAAAGATATTACAGTAAAGGATTGAGAACAGTGGACAGGCTGAACATATAATATTGTATATATAAGGCCAGAAGACACATCAGAAGGTTATGTTTTATAGGGAGGCACAGAGGACACATCATTCACCATGGCCATCAGGAATAAGCTGATGAAAGAGCCACCAGCCAAGAGGTTCAGTGACAGTTCTCTGTAAGCCAGTGCTGTAGGTAGGAGAGGCTATCACAGAACGTTTCTCATGGGTAGCATTGGAAATGATAGTGCTCTGAAGCATAGAGGCCAGATGGTGGTGCTTAACTGCCAGAAATGAGGGGTCATGATTATCAACACAATCAACAAGCTTGAAGTAACAGCCTAGGGAGTTTGACCAGTTGAGAATTATGGAGACTATTATCATCATTAGATGTGAGCACATAGAGCCCCCGCAGTGGTCCCCATGCTTTGCTGTACCATCTAGGTAATTTTAAAAGTCTCTTTATGGTACTGTGACCAGCTGAGATTGGAACTGCCATCCAGGTGGGATGCCCCAAGACTAGACCAAGGCCCTCGTGAGTTTCGGTTCTCATTTCTCCGTTTTGACCCACTAAACTGCATGGGGAGTCAACCATATGCCAAGGCTTTGTTAACATCATCATGATGTGCCATAATATAGTCCAGATAGATCTAAACCATCTGGATACCCAAGAAATCATCATGCCAATCCATTACATCAGTGACATCCTGCTGATCCGGCAGGATGAACAAGAGGTAGCTAACATGCTAAAGGCCTTGGCAAAACACATGTGTGATAATCCTTAAGCAGATTTAGGGACCTGTGACTTAAAATAATTAGGGGTTCAGTGGTAAAGATCATGCTGGGACACCCCCCTCCAAAGTAAAAGACAAAATGTTTTATTGTGCATCTTTGCCTACAAAGAAGAAATCATAGTGTGTAGGAAATCTCTTTGAATTGCAGAGGCAACATATCCTACACCTAGGAATACTGTTTCACCCCATATTGTTGATGATATGGAAGACTGTCAGATTTGAGTGGGGCTTAGAGCTGATAAGAACTTTTCAACAAGTCAAGCCTGTGGTGAAAGTAGCCTGGACACTTAAACGATATGGTTGGTAGACCCTATGATGTTGGCGATGTCAATGGTGGAAAAAGATGTAATACGGAATTTCTCCCAGTGGAGGAATGTCAAATCAGGCCCCTTAGGTTTTGGAGTAGTGTTGCCATCTGCAGCATAGAATTAATTGCCTTCTGAAAAATAGCTGTTGGTATGCTACTGGACCCCAAATAATCAAGAGATGGAGCACTTGATTATGGGCCCCCAGTTATTATGCATTTTGAACTGGCCATCATGATCTGGATTCTGCTGGTCCTACCAGATTAAAAACTCAGATGGGCCCAGTGGCAATTCATTTTAAATTTAAAATAGGAAACCGGGGACTAGACATGAACAGGATAGAAGATAAAAGCAGGTTGAATGGGTGGTTAACCCATCCCTCTATGCTGTTCATCGTATTGGCACCATCACCCCTCCCCAATTTTATATATGGGAGGTCTTACGTGACCAGCTGAAGGTAAAGGAGAAAGCCTGGGCGTGCTTTATAAACAGGTGGCTTCATACGAGTGTAAGCTGGATGTGGATAGCAGCTGAATTACTGCTCCACTCAGGATGGTCTTGAAAGACAGTAGTGAAGGAAAATATTCCTAGTGGACAGAGTTTTGGGTGGTTTATTAGGTTATCCAGTTTGTGTGGAAGGAGGTTATGCTATACAAGGACTCATGGGCAATGATGAGCTGGTCAGAGATGGAAGGAAAGAAGATGTGAAGATTAGTGACAAGATCTGGGAGAGAGACATAGAGTTAGACATATGGGAGTAGGCACGAAGTTTAAGGATCTTTCTGTCATACACTAACATGCCCCAAACATGGAATCCACCATGGACGAGCCACTAAACAACTAAGTAGACAAAATGGCTTGGCCATTTCATATTAGCCAGCTTTCATCAGTGGCCACCCTAGGGCTAACATGATGAGCACATGAATGAAGTGGTCACGTTAGCAGGGATGGAGGCTCTTTGTAGGCTCTATTTGAGTTCCTACCTACCAAGCCTCATCTGCTGCCTCTGAAGCTCTGACCAGCTAACAATAGAAAGCAAACTGAGCCCCTCCTAAGACACAATTCCTCTTCATAGGTGTTACTCCCTGATGAACTTTTGTACTCTCTACTCCTTTTCAGTCTCTGCTTCCCAGAGAACATCACCTGGGACAACACATATTTCCCAAGAAGACATTATCTGCTGCGTTTTTCCCAAAAACATGTGATACTTCTAAAACCACTGTCTGACCCTTGTACCCCTCTTTGCCTAGCATTTGATCTTGCCTCTAATTTCACAAACAATTAAAATGTCCCACTGCATTCCATCCTCAAAACTAAAAATATTATGGATCCTCCTCATTTACTTTTCTTCAGCCTCAGAAGTAAAAATGCTCTTTATCCCATTCAATACTAGTGACTTCCTTTGTGTCCTCTCTTGTTCAATTATTTTCCTCTTAATAATGTTCCCCATAAGACGGGAAATGCAAATGTCTCTTCTTAAAACAAACGTGATAACAATAAATATTTTCCATTACCTGCACCCTTTTCAACATCATAGCTGAAGTTCATGAAAACTCAGTGTACTCTTGGTGTCTCCATTTGTTTATCTTCAGCTTTCATCTATTAAGGTTTTAGTGATTTTTTTTGGTCTGAACAAAATAATTCTCCACACAACTATTTTATATTTATTTATATTTATTCTAATGAGACCAGAGGTTCTTTGTGTTAAATATTTGATTTGTAAATCAATCAGTGGAAAATTTTTGATGAAATCTAAACGCAAACTTCTAAGCACTTGGAAAGAATTAATCTGTCCTCTAGTTAGGGGAGGGAAGTCCAAGGCTGGAGATGTAGATCCAGATAGAGGGGTGGGCGTATGGCATAGGTATTCTTCTTGTGCTACTTCCACAGATATCCTTCTTTTCTCCATGAAGAAGGGAAGTCTTTAGTATTCTCCAAGTCCCTGTAGTAAGAGTGGAGGTCTAATGGTGGGGTGGGGTGGGGTGGGGCAACAAAAGGAAGAAGGGTTATGTGAATAGTCTGACCCATAATATTGACAGATATCACCTCTTTCCCCTACCTCCCTCCTCTCCAAATAATTTCCATTCACTGACATTGACCTCAAGTACATATTGATTTGAGGACTTGACACTAAGGCACACGTAACCAATTGGCTTAACCTTCTGTAAAACTCCATAGGTCTTTCTGTTATTAAGATTCAGATGCTTTTTTAAATTCAGGTGAGCTTCCTATAGTCTCCTTGCTTGATGGCCTTAGGAACTTAGCAGCCTCCTTTCTTTTCTTCTTCTTCTTCTCTTAAAAATGTAACCTTTATTACCTCCCTCTCCCCCTTATTATCACAAAAGTGATACTTGTTCACTGGAGAAAAATCAGAAACTACAGAGAAACCAAAAATTAAATTATTTATAACCCTATTTTCATTTTGGTCTAAGTATTTTCCAGCCTTTCATTATGCTGGCTATCTGTTTGTCTGTGAATGTCATGTACGTACATAAGTTTATTGCATTAGGCCATGACAGAAATGAACCCACATGCACATACAGATGCACACTAAAAAACTGACCACAGTTGTTTTGTAACAACATTTGTTTTGCTTTTCAGAAAAATGTTCATTTCATTTTTAATAGCTGCCTGGGTTTTATTATATGTTATACCATGATTAACTTTGGTAAGTGACTATTCTGGACATTTTAGGTTTTTAGTTTTCTTTTTTTTCCCGTCATATTAACACTGCTGTGAAAAACAGTATTATATTCAAATCTTTGTGCTCAATGTCAATTTCACTTCCTACAAGTGTAATTATGGGTCAAATGATATGCATGTTTCTGATATATTTTGTTGTACTTACTTCTGAAAGACTTAAATTTTTACTCTTACCTGAACTTTGAGAACCCTTGCTAACAGTAGCTAATCATCATTAAGAAATACCTGCCCAGTGTGCTAAGCCACAAACCGTATCTCCTTCTTTTTTTCCTTTTTTTTTTTTTTTTTTTTTTTTGAGACAGAGTCTTGCTCTTTCACCCAGGCTGGAGTGCAGTGGCACAATCTCGGCTCACTGTAACCTCTGCCTTCCAGGCCCAAGCAATTCTCATGCCTCAGCCTACCTAGTAGCTGGGATTATAGGTGTGCACCACCACACCCAGCTAATTTTTTGTATTTTTAGTAGAGATGGGGTTTTACCATGTTAGCCAGGCTGGTCTCAAACTCCTGGTCTTATGTTGATCTGCCTGCCTAGGCCTCTCAAAGTGTTGGGATTACAGGTGTGAGCCACCGCGCCCGGTCAGGTATCACCTTTTCTTCATTAAAGCTCTGGGCACCTGTATCTTGTGGAGATCAAATTCCTACAAACAGCTGCAGAGTAGAAGGCAGCCAATTTTCCTTATATACCCATGCCTTACTGGGCACTGTGCTTGGTTCTGGGACTTCTGAAATAAATACGGCACAGTTCAGTCTCTACCCTGCATTGGAGTTTTGGGGAGCTGGGGGTAGGGGGTTATAGAGAGACCAGTAAATGCATCATTACAATACAGGGAGTTAAGTGTAATAGTGTGGGAATGCTGTGGGAATACTCAGTCGGGGAGTGAGCCGAGTCATGAGTGTTAAGTCTGAATTAAGACTAATCAAGATTGGGAGTTAACCTGGCATAAAAGTGGGTTTTCAGACAGGGATACAGCTTGTACCAATGCAAGGAATTATGGAGTATGCAGTGGCCTAGTTGGGAACAGCAAGGCCGGGTTTGACTGCAGCAGCCTGTGTAAGTTGGGGGAACAGCAGTGAATGATC
Organism: Homo sapiens; assembly: GCF_000001405.40. Lineage (NCBI taxonomy): Eukaryota > Metazoa > Chordata > Mammalia > Primates > Hominidae > Homo > Homo sapiens. The sequence continues at coordinate 22,708,226 of NC_000012.12, forward strand.
CTAGAAAGCAGCAGGAGTTGTATTATTAAGAAGTTGGCTGTTAGCATTTAGTATTCTTGTGGTTGTTAAGAAGTGCTGGAAGATATTAAGCGGAAAGTCACATGATCCCATGTGCATTTTGGAGAAGTCACTGGTGCAGTGTGGAGGGTCAGTTGGAGGGGCTCTGGACTGGAAATAGGGGGGCTAGCTAGGAGTCTAGTGCATCAATCCATGCCAGAGATGAGGACTGCAGGGGCTCACACAGGAGGAGAGGACAGGAGGGTGAATTTAAAAGATAATATGGGAGAATGGTAACAGCATTTGGGCTACTTGGACTGTTGCGTATAAGAGAGATAGAATGTCCTGGCTTGGGTCATGTGGCTGAATAGCGGGGCCGTTACAGCCATAGATTCCTTTTGGTTCGACAGTCCAATCCTTTCCTGTCTTACAGTGCCACATTATATGAATATATTATGCTGCTTTGTCACATGCTGTAAGAAAAGTAACTGCTATGGAGTTGAGAAGGTACAAGAAAGGTGAGTAGAATGCTCAAAAATATAAGAGTCAGAAATTATTATAAGATCAGTCAGGCAGGAGATATAATGGTAAAGGGTGACAGGGCAAGACCTCATCTTGAGAAAAAATACTATAAAACCAAAGGCAAGAAATTATTAAGAATTTTTAGTAGAGACAGGGTTTCACCATGTTGACCAGGATGGTCTTGATCTCTTGACTTCATGATCCGCCCGCCTCCGCCTCCCAAAGTGCTGGGATTAGAGACGTGAGCCACCGCGTGGTGGTGGGCACCTGTAGTCCTAGCTGCTTGGGAGGCTGAGGCAGGAAAATCGCTTGAACCTGGGAGGCGAAGGTTGCAGTGAGTGGAGATCACGCCACTGCACTCCAGCCTGCTGACAGAGCAAGACTCCATCTCAAAAAAAAAAAAAAAAAAAAAGAAGAAGAAATCATTAAGTATTGGCACAAGGTGAATAAGAATTTGTTAATAAAGTCTTGAAATACCAAATTGGAAGCTAACCCTGAATATATAAAGGGAGAAATTTGGGACAATGAAGCATAGAAATATTGAGACCTTGTAACAAGTGGGGATAGAGTCTGAAAATATTAGAAGAGTCAAAAAAGTTTATATCACAAATGAGAAATCTCCAATCTGAAGCTTAGATATGGCCTTTAACTAAATTACACCTGGCTCAAGCATAGGGACGATACCCCCACAAATGCCTACAGGTGTGAAAAAACATCATCCTTTGAGTATTTAGGGGCAATATCCTAAAAGACCACAAGGTGGTAATGTAATTTCACGTCTGTTTTTGAGTCTTTAAATTCGTGTTGCTTTCACTCTGATAGTGCCCTCTTTTTCTGTTCGTGTTTATGGCTTTCTCTCTCTGTATTTTGTCTTTTACATTTTTCTGCTGTTTTCTAATTTATGTA